>NC_000001.11:214434587-215059587 GCF_000001405.40 Homo sapiens | reverse complement strand
ATTTCACCCCAAGGCGATGGATACCTTGAGCTGACTTGGGAGAACTGTGTGTACATTGAAAGTAGAAAATATCTTATTAATATTTTTCTCTATATAGTATATAATGCTATTTTTCTGACTATTGACTTAGCAAATTTTACTCATTACTAACTTACCAAATTAAGGGAGCACTCGGAAGGCTTTCAGACTTATTGGCTTAAATATAGGGTTGATTACCTATAAATTTCAAATACTGGCAAGGATTCTGTGTTCAGAGGTTAAATCATTAATTCAGCAGCGTTCACTAAAGTAATAATTAGGTTCAGATTATATGCTGCACACATCTCTTGGCACTAGGGAAAGATTCTGTGAACTAGATGGGCAAGGCCTCTGCTCTCCTGGAGCTAAAATTCTAGGGACAGGGGGAAATAAATATGTATGTGTGTGTGTATATATATATATGTGTGTGTATATATATACACGAATATATATATGTATGTGTGTGTATATATATACACGAATATATATATGTATGTGTGTATATATATATACACATGTATATGTGCATACACACACACATACATACATACACTCACACACAACAGAAAAACAAGTGAGAAGAGCTCATGTAAAGAAACAAAATAGTGGACTGTGACTCAAAAGACTGAGTGACTTTCACATGGAGAGGTCATCTAAAGCCCCTCAGAGAGTGACTTCTAAGCTAAAATCAGGATGACAAGAAGGAGTCTGGCTATGAAGATAAGAAAGAAAAGAAACAGGCATTCAAAAGGCCCTAAAGGGGAAAAGAACAACACTTGGCAAGTTCAAGAAACATAGAGAAAAACATCTTCACTGTGGCTCCAGGGTAGATTGCAAGGAGAAAAGTGGAATGAAATTGGAAAGGTCAGGGGGGCGATTATGTAGGGCTTTGTAAACAAGGAGAAAGGGTTTGGATTTTAAACATAGTACAATGGGAAGCCACTGCAAAGGTTTAATTGGAAGTGGGGGATTACTTTATCTTTGAAGAAAGATTGAAGGAGGCAAAAATGGAAACAAAGGTCGTTATAGAAATCCTTGTGGTAGTGAGGTAGTAGAAACAGGTAGTGGATAAGTTTAGCGCATACTTTGGAAGTAAAAGTAACAGGATTTAGAATTATTGATGGGTGAGAGAAAGAGGAATCACGAATTCTCTGAAAAGATATATAGAGGAGAAAAAGCATATATCCAACTCCAATCTGCATAACTAATGGTCCTGCATTCTGTCTTCAATTAACTCTCAGCTCCTGCTGCTAAAAGACAGAAGTGCAAGGTGCAATCCTGTATCCCCTAAAAGGAAAAAAGGAAGAGGGAAAAAGTCACAAACATGAGGAGTGAGGACCTCTGCCAACCAGTGAATTGCAAGTATTTATCTAGTGAAGGGGCATGGCTGTGAGAAGGACAGAGAGATGGTATCCTAGAAGAGAGCTTGAGGCAAAGCTTCAATTAGGTCCACTAGCATTCAAAAACAAATTTCTCATGTTCTCCTTTTCCCTTTTCATTCCTCATAGTCTACTTTCCCACTCCCTATTCCTGGGGCTGCTTCTCCATCTCTTTATTATTCTCACTTTTGCCCTTCATCATCCTCACCATCATATTGTCAGCATCCCCCTCACCATCACCCTCATTGTCACTACTATTCACTGAGCACTAAACTGGTACACATTTATTGTCTGAATTATTTCTTGCAGCTTCCCTGTAAGGAAGATATGATTAACCCCCTTTGGGCTTGGTGAGATGAAGCAGCTTGCCCAAAGTTGCCAGGCCAGGGAGCAAAGCCAAAATGTGCAAACAGGTCTGTCTGACTCTGAAGGCAGTGTTCTCATCCTATCCTCCACTGCTGTACAGCACCCTTCTCCTTCCTGCACTGCCCTTTCTCTCCCTGATGCAGCCCCCAAGCTTTCTTCTCTTACCTTTGTTTCTTCCATCTTGCCATTGTTAATATGGAATTTTCTATTATTATAAACAGAAAATAGAAGCTATAGACTATTCAAGCAGAAAGAACTTCAGTGGTGGAGTCAACATAAAAGCAGGTCACTGTAGCTTCCACTCCACAAAATCACTGTTCCTAATGTACAGATACAGATTGAGGCAGAAACCATATATTTCACTGTCACCCATGTGGGTCCTGCCTCAGCTGTCACACCCAAAGCCATGCTGTTTGCAGAGACTCTACTCCTTCTGCCCTGCTCCTTCTACCCTGACCTCCAGTTCAGTTCCTCTGCATTTATGGGACATTTGTTGTATGCCTAACCAGGGTTATAAGCACTTAAAAGATCATTTTGCATCTTTTTTAAAAAAATATGATTATCCTATAACTCTTTTATGCTTAAATATGCATATCTCAACTTCACTCCAAAAAAAAAAAAAAAATACTTGTACCTCTGGTTTGCTATTGTCCCAAGCATGGGCTTAATCCAACTTTGGGGTAATAGGCAACACAATGAATATAGCTAGGAAATGGCTAGGGGCAGGTTTAGGAAAGGAGTAGCAGTGTATACATTTAAAAAAGAATGAAAAGGCAAAGTAATAAACTTACACAAACTCACTCTTAGCTAGATAGAGGTTAAGTCATTTACATGTAGTTCTTAAATAAACATTTTAGATAAATACTCATATTATTCCTATTCTACCTATAAAGCAGTTTAGTTTCTATGATAGTAAACATTTTAGATAATTACTCATATATTCCTATTCTATCTATAAAGCAGTTCAGCTTCTGGGATAGTAAGCAGGATTTGAATGTGGTTCTGTGGTCTCTGCAGCCTGACTGAACTTTTTACCCCATGTACATCCTGCCTCGAAAATAGAGTGGATGACTGGATGTGATGGCTCATGCCTGTAATCCCAACACTTCAGGAGGCTGAGGCAGGAGGATCATTTGAGTCCAGGAGTGCAAAACCAGTCTGGGCAACATAAGGAGACCCCATCACTACCAAAAAAAAAAAAAAAAAAAAGAGTGGACACAATCCTTTACAAATCTTTTATACATTAAAACATTTACATGACTATGGCATTATTGTATTAACTCATTTCTCTCCTTCTTCTTCTTTTTTTTTTTTTTTTTTTTTTTGAGACTGAGTCTCACTCTGTTGCCTGGAGTATAGTGGTACAATCTTGGCTCCCTGCAACCTCCATCTCCCAGTTTATGTATACAACAAGGTACTCTTGATAATCTTATGCCTCTAGTTTTCTTTTATTTTTAGTGTCATTATAAGCCACCCCTTCAGGTAATATGAATTTCTTTCCTTTTTTTTTTTTTTTGAGATGGAGTTTCACTCTTGTTGCCCAGGCTGGAGTGCAATGGCGCGATCTCGGCTCACTGTAACCTCCCTCTCCTGGGTTCAAGCGACTCTCCTGCCTCAGCTTCCTGAGTAGCTAGGATTACAAGCATGCACCACCATGCCCGGCTAATTTTGTATTTTTAGTAGAGACGGGGTTTCTCCATCTTGGTCAGGCTGGTCTCGAATTCCTGACTTCAGTGGCTGATCTGCTCACCTTGGCCTCCCAAAGTGCTGGGATTACAGGCATGAGCCACCACTCCCAGCTGACATATTTTTAAAAATGAAACGCAGATGAATTTATCTTTGAGGTGACCTTAGGCTTTAAATTTTTAAAGCCTAACTTTGACTTTAGGATTTGCAGCCCACAAGCCATTGTACATAAAAGAGAAATCTCCAGGAGTTTTCTGTGCCACAAGGGAAGAATCCATCAAGGACAATGCCATGTATAATCACTGAATTTAAATTTCCACGTTCATTGGTTGTAGCCATTTCTCAAGTACATCAAAAGGTCAATGGCAGGTGCCAAGCATTCCTCTGCTAGACCTAACAAACATTCCTACCAGATACAGAAATCCAACCAGGAAGCAAAGCGTTTGAACTGCCATGAATGGAGGGTGGGAGGAAAGCATGGAAAGAAGAAAGACTAGAAAACTTTCTCTTTATTCAAGTGGAGAAAAGTGAGACCTTAAAGAATATAGGAAGCTGTAAAGGGCATCCTGGGGCCTATTTTACTTCCTCATAATAAAATGAAAGCTCTTCAACCAGTAACTAGAAAAGCAGGTTCCTTTCCTTTGTTACCTACATGAGCTCCTGAGAATGTAAATGTACTTGAAGCTACAGAAGCAGTTCTGTGGGGATGCTGTATTGCATCTTGTTTAAAACCAATGAGCAGTGCAACATTCCTTTTTTAGTTCTTTTTCATAGCTTACTTTGTATTCATGAATAACTGATATGTGTCATATCCTCTGTGAAATGGGAACACATTCTGAGCATGTACTGAGAATTTCTAATTGCAAACAGTGATTGGGACATAAAAGACACTCGTGTAAAGGTGCCATGAACAGACTCAAAGAGTGATAAATCTTAAGTCTTTCTTTGAGGTGTACCCAGGTATACTGGTGGTATATTTTAAGAGACAAAGTACCATAGATACTTTTAAAATAACACAAACTAGTTATTCAAGGTCAAAACTTTCACAGTTTCCATGTATTTTAGATTTAATAATAAGTTATGATATTCATATAATGTGCCTAAATAAGCAATCCATCTGATCCAATTACCACAGAATTTTAATTCTATGTTCATTATTCAAATTAGTGATTTAACACTTGAGTTGTGTGCTCAAGGTTCAAATTAGTGATTTAATGATATGGTTACATGAACATTCATAGTATTTGGTAAAGACAAGTAGAAACAAACCTTGTGGGAAGAATACATTAGAAAAAATGAAAAACAATTTAAAGTACACATGCACTGAGAAGAGTCTTTTTGAGCAAGCCTTGATTGGTTTGTGTGGAAAAAGGCTAAAAATTCCCCCCTT
Source organism: Homo sapiens (assembly GCF_000001405.40). Lineage (NCBI taxonomy): Eukaryota > Metazoa > Chordata > Mammalia > Primates > Hominidae > Homo > Homo sapiens. The sequence goes on along the minus strand of NC_000001.11, from coordinate 215,054,748 downwards.
ATAACTCAAAACACGTCTCCATTCAGGTCATATTTTCATTGTCTCCACAGATTTACATGGTTTGCATTATCACTTGTTATTTATAGAAAAATACACCCTGGCTACCTTGACACAGAACTTGCAAACTTTTCCCTCTGCACAGTAACTCACGGTTGGTGCTTTCCTGTCCCCAGCAAAGCTCGGTAGAACAGCGGTGGGTGTGCAGTGCAGCCTACCGGAGAATCGAAAATCTCAAACATGCATCTGGTATATGTGTGAGGAAGCTAAGTTCCCTATACACTGAACAGAATGTGGCACCTTTTATACTCATGTGATGAATTACGTGTTCCTGGTGCAGGGATGGTCCTGAAGACAAAGCAGCCTTTGAAAAACTCTCACCAGTTTTCCAAATTGGCCTGGGGGTTTCTGCAATCAGAGCTAACATTTAAAAGGAGCTGTGTGTAAGTAACTCTTTCAGACTTGGTGGAGAAAGACTCAAAACTCCCTTTGACAGTCTTCTACCTACCAAATTCCTCTCCACCAAAGAACATGACATTGACAATTCTGCATTAAGGGAAATATCGGCAATCATAGGTTTCTTTAATCATGAATTAATACCTAGAGAAATAGCACAGCTCGAATAATATAGCTGCAGCTCAAAAATTACAGACTTGTATCTTATGCTGTCTGTGCTATCATTTATTTAAGGTGAAAACTGATTTTGATTAACTGAGAAAACTCACAGCTTTAAACTCCTCAATACACTCAAAGCACAACAGTCAGGGGTTGTACTTTGTTTTTTTGAGATGGAGTCTTGCTCTGTCGCCCAGGCCGGAGTGCAGGGGTGCTGTCTTGGCTCACTGCAACCTCCGCCTCCCGGCCTCCAGAGGTTCTCCTGCCTCAGCCTCCCGAGTAGCTGGGATTACAGGCATGCATCACTATGCCCGGCTAACTTTTGTATTTTTAGTAGAGACAGGGTTTTGCCATGTTGGCCAGGCTGGTCTCGAACTCCTGGCCTTAAGTGATCTGCCTGCCTCGGCCAGGGATTGTACTGAGTTCAAGAATATCTATCTAAGGCTTTTGCTCTACCTTTGTAAGCTAGAAACACAATGCAAAAGAGAGGAAGCATTCATTTATTTATCAATTTTTCATTTGCTAGAATTTCCTGGTTGCAATTGTGATTTGAGTTCAAGCATAGAAATATCACTTTTCCAGAGGAATTCTCTGTTCAGAAAAACATTCAATATCTTGTACATTTAACATCTTCCACCATTTGTTTTAATTTGCCTTGTCCACTTTATCTCTTATCACCTACTTGTCTGTTCATTTGTTCATTTACTGCTTAGTCAACAAAGTTCCCAATGGCTAAACCCGGGTCCTAGCCCACGCCAGAGCCTCAAACATTTGTCAGTTGACTGATTGATTTCTGCTATCTCCCTGCCCACCACCCAGAATACCTAGGGAAGATGCATCAGTCACTGTCACTCTTATCCCAGCAGAATTTCCTGGGATAAGAAAGACATGTAGCATTCCCTTCTGAGAGTTTGGTTTTCATGTCTTTCCATGGACTTGTTCACCTTGCCTGCATTTTACAAATGGAAGCCACGGACTCATCGTTAAATGGCTGAACTAACCTGCACGTCCTGCACATATATCCTGGAACTTAAAATTAAATTAAATTTATTTTTTAAAAAAAGAAAAGAAAAGAAACCAAAAAAACCTGCAGGTGAGAACATGAGAAGTTTGCATCCTCTGACTTTGGAGAAAATGAGTAACTTATTGCTCATCTCCTGCATCCAACCATCCAACTTTGACATAACTACTGTTTATAGAAAAGAAAAAAAGAGGAATCTGGTACTCTGGCAAAAACTCAAGAGAAATATCCACAATTATGCTCATCTATCATATGCTACTTAATTCTACCCAATAGTCATGATGCAAAACTGTTCCTCCTCCATTCTTCCTCATCACAAAAATAAATGACTAATAAATACTATTCTCTCATTGCTGATGTCCCAAACCTAGGAATCTACAATCCTTTCCCATGACTTCTAATCCAAGGTTTCTCAACCTTGGCACTGCTGACATTTTAGGGGGCTAACAATTCCTGTTGTAGAGGGCTGTCCTGTTCATTTCAGGATATTTAGCAGCATCTCTGGCCTCTGTATGCTAGTAGCACCTCCACAGTTATCACCAAAAAATGTGAGCATACATTTTCAGATATCCACTGGGGTTGAAAATCACCCCCTGTTGAGAACCACTGAATCTAATAGCAAGTCTTGAAAGCTGAAATTCCAATGTTTATCCTGAATCTGAATCTCTCCCACAAAATCCATCATGTGACCTAGATCTAAGCCACAGCTTCTCTCACTTGGACCACTACAGTCCTTTTCCATTGCATTCCATCAGTCCATCCTCTGCTCTATAGGCAGTGTGATATTTTTAAAACTGCAATCAAGTTATGTCATTTCTCTTCTTAAAAACTTCTAATGGCTTCTTGCTACATTGAGAAATGCTCACTCTACCACCACCTAGAACCAACCTGCCCCCATCCATGATTCTCTAGTTTCACCGGTTTCACCCTGTGTTAATTTTCGGTGTGTTTACATTCATCATCTCTATTTGAAATTATATTACTTGTTCATTTTTCACCTGTCTCACCTGCTATAATGTAAGCTCCATGACAGGAAATATCATATCCATATTATTCACTGCAATATCACCCATGGGCTAGAGCAGCCACCTGGCACATAGTAGGTACTTAATAAATGTTTGCTGGATGAATAAATTACTGAATGTTAGAAATAATAATAAATGTTATCTGTTTGCAGGTGAGCATATTCTTTACTTAAAATAATATCTTGTTTTTATATTACCAAATCTATTCAAAACAATCCAAAATTTTCTTATCTCACCTCAAATTAAAGTATAAACTGTTCTAATCACCTGCAAGATCCCCCCTGAGCTGGGAAACTACTACTTTCTTGACATGATTTTCTAACCCTCCCATGCCACACACTTCACTCTAGCCATATACGGATCTTCTTTTATTCCCAAACATGCTACATTCCCATTTCAGAACCTTGCATCTGCTGCTTCCCAAGCCTGAATGTTGTGCCCCAGATATCCCAGAACTCACTCTTTCATGTCCTCCAGGTTTCTGGTCAAGCATCCTCTTGTCATAAGGGCTGTCATCAATTACTTTATAGACAGTAATAAGAAAGAAAAAGCAGCTCCTGGCTACTGTCAGCTTGGAGCTGCCCTGGCTCTAATGGCTAGGTATGGCATTCCCCTTTTGAATATAAACAATTTTATAGTACACCCACATCTGACAAATTTACTCTGTAATATGATGGATCAAGACAAAAACAAGACAGCTCTGTAATTGTGTCTGAGCAGAGAAAAATTAATGAAACCCTCAAATATTTTCCTTGTTCCTGCTAATATGAGTGACTGCTTTATCTTTATCAATTTTAGCTTCAGTACACTTTGTTCCTTCCATCTTCCACATAAAATTATTAATATTAAGATCCATGCATGGTGGTGCACATCTGTAATCCCAGCTACTCAGGAGGCTGAAGGAGGAGGATTGCTTGAATCTAGGATTTCGAGGTGGCGGTATAAAATGATTGCACCTGTGAATGGCCACTATCCTCCAGCATGGGCAACAAGGCCCTGTCTACAAAATAAAAATAAATAAGCTTTCAAAAGGTTATTAAGGCAACCATAGAATTGCTTTGACTCTCTGACAGTACTGAATCAAGATCAAAACCACACTTCCTTGAAACATCCCCCAAATCACCTCATACAAGCTCAAATCCAATAATAAGCCCCTGTTAACAACCTATTACTGTGACATCCCACAGTTCCCCATAGTGTAATGATGCCGGGAGCTAATAAACTCAACTTTGTTCAACTACAAGTTTGTTTACAGTGGACTTGCTTGGAGGACATCGGCAGTAGCAACCCCCAACTCCAATGAGCACTTAACATGACCTTAAGTAAGATGATCATATATCTCAGTTTGCTGGGGAGAGTCCAAGATTACACCTCTTGATTTTATATGTCATTTGGTTATTGACAGTTCTCATCCTCAAAAATGTCCCAGTTTGAAAGGTAAATTGAACATAGCTTCAATCTGCACTATTTTTTTCAGTGGCTTGAATCACTATCTGGTACATCAAACTTTTTTTATTGGTTCTGTCTCTCTTTTTATTTCTCTCTCTGTATGCTCCCTTTCATCCTGTTCCTCTACTAAAATATGAATGAACGAAGTACAGGAACTTTATCTATTTGTTTTTATTGTACTGTCCCCATCACCTATAGTACTTCTTGGAACAGAGAAGTCTCCCAGCAGATATCTGTTGAATGACTTAACTAATGAATAGTTATGACATGACACTGCAAGAAATCTTCGAGTTCGGAAAACTTTTTGAAAAATCATTCAAACCCCCAAATCAGTCATTTTTCTATATACTAACATGTAGAAACTGACATTAAAATACAGTACCATTTATGATTACTCCAAATAAAATGAGATACTTAGATATGCCTTAACAAAATATGTATAGAATCTGTATGCTGAAAATTACAAAATGTTAATTAAAAAAATCAAAGGAGACAAAAAGTAGAATTTCATGGGTTAGAAGACTCAACATAGCAAAAATCTCAATTCTCCCCATGTTGATCTATAGGTTTAATACAACTCTTATCAAAATCTCACCAAGGTTTTTTATAGACATAGATAAGCTTATTATAAAATTTATGGAGGAAGGCACAGGCTCTAGGATAACTGAAACAATCTTGACAAATAAGAATAAAGTGGTAGGAATCACTCTACCTGATATGAAGACCTGTTATAATGCTATAGTAATTAAGGTAAGGTGATATTGATGGAAGGATAAACACATAGATTCTGAGAACATAATAGAGAACCCACAACTAAATCCACACAAATAGCCCCAACTAATTTTTCACAAAGATGTAAAAGCAACTTCATGGAGAAGGAAAGACTTTCATCAAATGGTAAGGAAGCAAGTGGACTTTCATTGGCTAAAAAAATAAATAAATAAATAACCTAAATCTAAACCTCATATTTTATTCAAAAATTCACTCAAAATGAATTATGTGCCTCACTGTAACATGTAGAGGTGTAAAACTTTTAGAGAAAAATAAGAGAAAAGCTCTAAGACCTAGAGCCATGAAAAGGGTTATTTGACTTGACACAAAAAGCACAATCTATAAAAGAAAAGAATTAATAAATCGGACCTCATCAAAATTATCAACTTTTGTTCAGTGAAAGAACCTGTTAAGAGAATAAAAAGACAAGCCACAGACTGGAAGGAAATATTTGTAAACCATATATCTGACAGTGGACTAGTATCTATAATATATAAAGATCTCTCAAAACAGTGTAAACAAAATCTTGATAGAAAATGAGCAAAAGACAGGAAAAACACATTTCACTGAAGTGGATGTAAGATGGCAAGTAAGCACATGAAAATATGTTTAACTTCATTCAGCCATTAGGAAAACGCAAATTAAAGCACAATACAATATCTGATAGTTACCACTATATATCTATCAGATAGGCTAAAATAAAACTTAGTGACAATATCAAATGCTGACAAAAATGTGAAGAAACTGGATCACTCATATAACGCTGATGGGAATGTAAAATATTATACCTACTCTGGAAAATAATTTGACAGTTTCTTATAAAAACATGATCCTAAGACCCAGCAATTGCATTCTTCCACATCAAGGAAATGAAAACTTACATGCTCACAAACACCTAATACAATGTCCATTGTGGATTTATTTGTGATAGCCAAATACTGGAAGTGCCCCAGATGCCGTTGATGGATGAATGGTTAAACAGTTTGGTACATCATGCCACGGGATACCACTCAGCAATTAAAACAAAGTATAAGCTATTGATACATGCAAACTCAGATGCATGTCCAGGCTGGGATGAATTCTCCCAGGCTGACGCAGCCAGAGCAGGGAACAGAGCTTTATGCATTAGTAGGGCTGGATTTTAATCCCTACTGTCCTCTTGGTTGAGCACTCAATGGTAAGGCATACTCCTAGCAAAAAAGGGCATACAATTTACTCTGGATATTATTGGGGAAAAACACTTGTGGCCCATTTGACTTGAATAAAATTTAAGTCAAAATTCATACAAGCCTTTTTAAAAAACAGAAATGTGAGAGAGGTTTTGTTTTATTTGTTGTTGTTGTATGTGTTTGTTGCTAAAGTATGATTCTCAGCAAGACATAAGATCAGCTGGTGTTAGACATATATTCAGAAAACCACAAAGGCTCTGAAGATTTTGCATGAAATTTTCCCTTTAATCACTAAGCATTTCTTTTTAATCTCACACCACTGGAGTTCTCATGAAAGCTTTTAGTCTGAATGCTACTCACACTTTGCTTAGAGAGAAAACAAAAAGATTTTCACAATATTTCTTCTTCAATTCTATGGTTAAGTGCTGAACTGATGACTTAGAGTCAATACCAAATTCACAATTGATAAAAGAAAAAAAGTATAACTTTTTCTGTAATTAGTAGTGATGTATCTGTTGATGAGGGATTGTACGCAGCTATGTGTTCATTCAAGTATGGGAAAAATAAAGACTGTTTTCTTAAGCCAAGGAGGCCAATATTAAAACCCAGGAATATCTTTGAAGGCCTGTCAAGTCAATAAACTTAATTGGAAATAATATTATCAGAATGTTCACTGACGTTACTCCATAAATTCTGGGTCTCTGATCAATATTGTTGGTAAAATTCCATGAAGAAAATAATATTGTGGGGGAATTCTCTGCATTTTCATCTACACACATTGACTTTCAAACTCTGCACAGTGTGTGAAACACCAGCTTATTTGCCTCCCTTGATACAGATCTAACCGCTATTCACAGAGTTCTATCTATAGACATAGAATATATCTGTATTGAAATATTTCATTCCATGTAAAAATTGTTAAGGGAAAATATGATTGATTAGATGTGCAAGATAAGAGCTGAGGTGTATGCATTATTAAAACAAGAGGAAAAGTTCAATTACTCTAACATGTAAAAAGTAATTTTCAGAAGCTTGGCAAATTTTCTAGGATATTTGAAGTTTTTCTACTAACAGAGGGAGCAAACATCAATACCATTGCTTACATTGCTTAATAGGATTGATGTATATTCTATCATCATAGAATCTTAATCATAACTTAATCATGAAGTTATGATTAAGATTAAAGACTTAAAAATCAAAGAAATCTAGGTTCAAATTTAGGTTCTGTTATTTGCTAGGTGTGTGACCTTGGGCAAGTTACTTAATCTCTCGAAACTTCAGTTCCTAAACCTTACTATGCCTCAACTCTAAAATGAAGATAATAATGTTAACTCTTTACTCAGTTGTTTTGATAATTAAATTAGAAAATTCAAAAATGCTAAAGTTCTGTGTCTTTTAAAACTAATGCAAAATGCTTAGCACAATGGCCACATGGCAAGTATTCAATTAAGACATTATTTTTATTAGTATTGTCCAAAACCCACTATTATTATGAGAATTTATGCTAACATAGCTGTCCATTTTCTGTGTTAAATCTTTTCAAGGAGAACATTAAATCGTATTTAATTTTCTGCAAGTTAAAATCAGGCAATAATTTCCTATTATGATGCTGAAATTTCCAATTTTGAATTTAAAAAGGAGCCACATTCTTAATGATTTTCAATGTTTTCCAGACTCTAAGAAGTTGTGAAATTAACTTTGACTTGATCATCTTAGATAGTTTCTAGAACATCACTATAGAGATATTTTTAACCCCGGAAACAAGAGATATATAAAGTCATCATTCCATTTTCATAAATATCAGTTTCTCTTTTTACAACAAGCTTAACACTGAAAGTGATCTATAATCTGCTCAAACTTCAATACTTCCTTGGATCAAAAGCTTGTGACAAGCAAGCAAATCCAAAGCTCAAACTCATATCCCATGGTAAAGTCAAGAAATATATCTTTTGATGTAATTTTTTTACCATTACCTCAGTCTTTAAGTCATGTTATTTCTGTTTTTCTAAATTTTACATAAGAGGAAGACATAATATCTTTATACAAAGTAATACAGATTTTAAAAGCTGAGAAAACTGATCTGAACCTATGAATATGGTGATAATCCAAAAAAACCTGTACCTGTTTATTCTAACAACAGCCTTCTCCTAACTGTGCTATATGTAGTTTTTGGCCTGTGAGCTTTCAAAGTTGAAAGTACAAGCAACAAAATGAGTATTTTATATCAGAAAATGAAGTCTCCCCAAGTTCTATATGCTTAAATACTAAGATCAAACTTGACCTTAGTCAAATATAGTCCCCAACCATATTCACAACACCTGGAAAATGTTAAACTGATATAGCATTGAAAACCAAAATTCATGAATATATACATATATTTGTGTATATGTATATATTCTTCGAGGATTTTTTCCCAAATATATACCTTTTTATGCCAAGGGCCATCTCTATTAAATGTAGAGCTGCTGTATTTCTCAAATCATATTTTCCAAATCAAAACCATCTGGTAACAGATATTTCTATTCACTCCAGAGGACAATTCCATTAGGCCTATTTTCCTGGCAATGACCTAGAATTTACAAGTCTGAGTACAGCTTAAAATCTAAATATGTGTAAATCACTCCCGTATTGTGAACAATTCTTGTTATACCAGATTTTTCCACGGTTACATGAACAATTAACGTGTGTGATTCAACCAACAGAAAGCTGTAGAATTCCATGTGTTACATTCTGGAGGTATTTTTACAATATACTATGTGTCTGTGTTTTGCTAGTGGTGAATTCTTCAACAGAGTAATTACTGCAAATTGACTGTACTGATATTAGCATCAAGGGACACATTCATAAAACACACATCAGCACTTTTACAGAAGTCACACATTTGTTAACACGGCAAATCCAAGGACAACAGAATGGAAAATTTATTTACAGGTGAGAGCCCAGGAAAACCTATTGTGAAGACATAGGGCATCTTGAATAACTATTAAGGGGCATTATTTTATTTAAAAAAATTATTCAAGACCACATTTTACACAAATTAAAGAGGGCTTTTAGATAATTCAAGGACAGGTTTTTCATATGCTGTCTATCAAACCAAACAAGGGTTATATGGATATTTTGAGTTATTTCATATGCATTTAGGAATAACCCAAGATATGCATAATCCTTAAAAATCATTATCTCAAATATTACAAGGTCATCTTTCGATGAACAGCAACAAGCAGGATTACAGTTCTCTTTGAATTTTAGTTTGCAAAGGAAAATTGTCACATTCAGAAATGAAATTAGATTCCTCCAGCAGCTCATACAGGGACATAATTAATAGTACAAAGACCCAGACAAATTACACCCCAACACCAGTATTGGGTTTCATATTGGACTACCAACGGTTATTCTATTGATAAGAATAGTTGTTGCCTCACAATTTGGATAGTCCCAAAGTTGCCTTTAACTCTGTTCATCTTTTTTGTTTTTTATGTGGTTTTTTTTTTTGGTTTTTGTTTGTTTGTTTGTTTTTTGAGACGGAGTCTCGCTCTGTCGCCCAGGCTGGAGTTCAGTGGCACGATCTCGGCTCACTGCAAGCTCAGCCTCCTGGGTTCACGCCATTCTCCTGCCTCAGCCTCAGGAGTAAGCTGGGACTACAGGCGCCCGCCACTGCACCCAGCTAATTTTTTGTTTTTGTTTTTGTTTTTTTTAGTAGAGACGCGGTTTCACCGTGTTAGCCAGGATGGTCTCGATCTCCTGACCTCGTGATCCACCCGCCTAGGCCTCCCAAAGTGCTGGGATTACAGGCGTGTGCCACTGTGCCCGGCCTAACTCTGTTAATCTTTTAAGAAATTCTTGCCAACTCGTCATCAACACACGTGTGCGCGCGCACACACACACACACACACACACACACACACATACACTTATCCCCAAGTACCTAGTTATAGAAAACCACCACAGCCCATCAGGATCCCTAATTATGGTCCAACTTTTATATGTTCCCATAAAATGGTATCAATTTGTAGTTCCACTTATTCAGGATTTCACTTTTTACTGCATGGTATTATAACCGGTGATAATTGGTTAATCTATTAATTAAATCAATTAATGGGTTACTTTGCCAAGCAACCACAACTTCTAATATGCACCCTAATAGGAAATATCTACCTATAATATAGGTATTATTGTTATTATTATTATTCCCATTTGATAGGAGAAAATCAAGAGACACAGAGAACTAACATGCAAATCCAGGTGCTGACTCAAAAATCCCACGTACTTTCATCAATTACATCATTCTTTCCAAAGGGAGTATTGAGACATTACTAGGTGTTTTGTTCAACTAAACCAGGGAAAGTCTGGGCTAAATAAAAATTAACAGATTTCTTCACCACCGGAATTCCTAGATCTGATGTTTTGTACAAAGCACCAAGAAGGGTATAATATTTATACTGCTTCTGAAAATTATTAACATGTGGTTGCCCTTTTTCTCCCTGCTCAGACTATCATGTACGACTAGTATTTTCCTAAACATACTTTGGAAAAAAAACACATTAAAGTATATGGTTCTTTTCCATATTCATTAATTTATTGTACTTAAAGAACCTGTACATTTTTGTAACCTTGTGTCCTTCTTTGACTCAGCAAAATTTCTCTACTATTTCTTATTTTCTTCCATTATTCTTATTTGTTATCTTTGTTTGATCCCCTTATTTTCTATATCTTTTGGAGATTCTTATTATACATCTATCTTTTCTCTCATCTTTTTTATTGTGTTAATATTTTTGGCATCATCTACAGATTTCTTGCATTTGTCGTTAATGCTGCTAAGTCAATTTGGGGGAAGAATCTAACTTTTTGTTTACTACCCCAAGATTTCTTTAGACTTCTTATTGTGGTAAAATATATATAACAATAACATTTTAGCATTTCATCCAATTATAAGTATACAGTATATGGCATTAAATACATTCAGATGGTTGTGCAAGCATCTACCATCATACATCTACAGAATTTTTTCATCTTCTTCAACTGAAACTCTGTACCTGTTAACCACTAACTCTGTTCCTCCCTCCCCCAAGCCCATGGCAACCACCATTCTACTTTCTGTCTCTATGATTCTGACTACTCTAGGTATCTCATATAAGTGCAGTTGTATTTGTCCTTTGGTGAATGGCTTGTTTCACTTAGCGTAATGTTCTTATGATTCATCAATGTCATAGTATGTGTCAGAATTTCCTTCCTTTTGAAGGCTGAGTAATATTCCATTGTATGCATATACCACATTTTGTTTATCACCCATCTGCTGATGGATATTTGGGTTGTTTTCACCTTTTGGCTATTGTGAATAATGCTGTTATGAACATGGTGTACAAATATCTGTTTGAGTCCCTGCTTTCAAATCTTTTGGCTGTATGCCCAGAAATGAAATTGCTGGATCAATGGTAATCCTATGTATAGTTTTTTGAGGAACTACCGTACTGTTTTTCACAGCAGCTATATTTTACAGTTTCACCAGCAATGCACAAGCATTCCAGCTTCTCCACATCTTTTCTAACACTTCTTAATTTTTGCTTTTTTCCCTCTAATAGCTATCTAAGAAGTCACTTGCATTGTAAGAAGTGATTTGAATATTGACTGCTAGACCTGTGAGGGCACATACTGGTTTATCACATGATCATGGGCACCTGGAGAGTAGGGAATACACAGAGGCTGCATAGCAATAAACATAGTAAATGTTTTTTATACAATGTCATAAGAGATAACATTAAATTCAATAAGAGAGCCTAGAATGAAAGGATACATTGGCATTTTGTCTTGTATCCTTGTAAGTAGGAGCCATTGTGAATTTAGAAAAAGTTAATTAGGCTAAAACACAGGTATTTGCAAAAAATTTTCTGGAGGTAAGCCCACTTAGGAAATGGCAAGATAAGTCATGATTTTATGAGAGAATAAAGTAGGTACATCAACCCAAGAGGTTTATAAAATGAGAGGCAGGATGTGATAAAAGAGGGAGAAGTAAAAGGTGACACTAAGTTTAGTGTCTTGAATAAGCATCAAGCAATAGTGCCAGTGACTGAAATTTTAAAATGTGATTGTAAAAACAGAGTGTTTGTTCTTTCTACTCTTCTACTCTTATTCTTAGTCAAATTAATTCAGTGCTTCCTTTGTCTACTCATTTTACTTCTGCTGATGCCCTTTCTCAATATTTTATTTGGACCAGAATATGTTCTTTGTTTCCACAAATCATCAGGCAGACTTTATCACTGACCCATCCTATGACACTCTACTTCCTCCATGAACCTTACCAAGTTTCTTTTCCTATCCCTTGTTTTCTTATCCAGGGCCTCTAATGACAACACCCCGTCTGGGCAACCCACATCTACAAAATGCAACGGAATGATTTGTTCAGTACTTGTGCCCCTGATCTTATGTCCTATCTGTGTCTTTCTGCATAAATATTATTTGCTCAGTACATGTGCCCTTGATCTTATGTCCTATCTGTGTCTTTCTGCATTTGCTTAGCATACAGCTTATAGCATCTGATAGGGCTTGGCTCACCTTGAATTGCAGCTCCCATAATTCCCACGAGTCATGGGAGGGAACCCGTGGGAGGTAATTGAATCATGGGGGCAGGTTTTTCCTGTGTTATTTTTGTGACAGTTAATAAGTCTCATGAGATCTGATAGTTTTATAAGGGAGAGTTCCCCTGCAAATGCTCTCTTGGCTGCCACCATGTAAGACGTGACTTTGCTCCTCCTTCCCCTTTTGCCATGATTGTGAGGGCTTCCTGGCCATGTGGAACTGTGAGCCCGTTAAACTTCTTTTTCTTTATAAATTACCCAGTCTCTGGTATTTCTTCATAGCAGTATTAAAATGGACTAATGCAGTATCCAACCTGATGGTCTATGACAAAATGATGTTTAACAGGCTGTGCCCTTTCCTTAAGTTACAGACCTGAAAATATAGCTTGCAATCTTATTGGCTCACCTGAAAATCATCAATGGTAGAAATGAAGTCTTAATTTTGTGCACAATCCAGGCACATATAAATTAAATAATTCAACACATAGTTTAAGGACAAATATCTGAGTTTAAAATTCAACATTTTCAGCTAGCTAATATCAAGATCTGACTACATATGATTTTCTTGAGTGTCCACAGTAAGGTAGATAGAGATAATATGAATCCCAGAAAGTTTCCCAACCTCATTTTAGGAAAAAGTTAAGTTGGCCTTTCCTATCACTGTGGATCAGAATTGCTCACAAGAAACAAAACTTACCAACACTTGATTTTTACCTCTTTTTATACTTTTGAGCTCCTCTCACCAGCTAACTATGGGTTAGCACATACTATGTACCAGGCACTCTGTTATGAACTTTACGTGTACTATCATATTTAATTTTTATTACAACTTCTGGAAGTGGCTTTTATTATCCTCAGTTTATAGACAGGAAAACTGAGGCTTAGTGAAGAAAAGTTACTTACTCTAAATAAATCGCTAAGAAGTGGCAGAGCCGCTTACTTAATCTCCAAAAAGAAAACAAAATGGAAAAATGAAATGAGGCATAATCTTCTAAGTGAGTGTTTGATTTCTGACACATTGAGTGCTGATGCTGGACATCTAATGGTTTTCCTTAATTTAGCCAGAAATAAGATGGTAGATGAGGAGAAGAGTGAAACATAAGAATGCAAAAGCTTAAAAGGAAGTGAAGCCTTGAGTCTGAGGTCTCATGCTGTTGCTTGAAGTTCTCATTCAGACCTTCTTTGCTTGGCTAGTTCAAGTTGGGGAGCGACTAAAGAGCCCTCCACACACAGCATGGTTCCTTCACATTTGCCAAACACAGATGTTGCCCAAACAGTGGTGTCCTGTCAAATGTTGGATTTGAATCTCAGTCTTCAGAATTTGACATGTCTGTTGAATATTTTAATGCTGCTGGGCATTGAAAGTTGATATCCGGCTGAGTCTCAGTTACAGATGTGAGAACTGGTTTGCTCAAGACCTCATAGCTAGCAAGTGGCCACACTGTATCTAAACCCACAAAGCACTTCCTACTACATCATGCCAGTTCACAGAGGTAGTCTTCACTTCTAGTGATAGCCACTTGCCTGCTTCATAAGCAGATACTTCCGTTAACTGGAAGTATCTCTGTTTCTATTAAGCCCCAGGATCCCCATTAGTCACACAGTTATGTAAATTGAGGCTCTGAAGGAATAATTATCTTTCCTAATATCACACAATTACTTAGAAGCTGAGCCACATCTGGTGTAATCCTAATGAATAATGTCTTTAAAGTCAAACTGGCCCAGGCTCAGATTCCATCTTGCCATTGAACTAGGAGTGTGACCTCGGGCAAGTTATGCAACCTCTCTAATCATCTGTTTTGTCATCTGTAAAGTGGAAACAATAGTATTATTTGTCTTATGGACACATTTAAGAATTAATGGTAACAAGTTTCTAAGGCTGATAAATTATTATTTTCTTATTAGATAAGGGTATAAAGCAGAGATGGGTTAAATAACTCACCTAACATCCCATAATGCTAAGTGGGGAGTTCACATCCAACCCAGATTTCCTGACTCAAAAGCCTGTGACCATGGTGTCACTGTAATGTAATGTAAAGTACTTAGCACGGGAACTGAAATACATTAAAACCTCAATCCAGAGCTCCTTCTCTTATACCATGCTTATCCCTCCCCACTTGTAAAAATGTCCAAAGAATGGCATTCCATAATGTTCTGCAAAGTGGCACTTCCAGATTGCTCAGTCTCCAGTTAATTGTAAATCACTGTAGAAATTCCACTCTCCCGGAAGGCAACAAACAACGATAGGAAAAGCCTTCATTCATCCCTCCTCTGTCCCAAGTACCTAGATCTCAGGATGTTCAGAGAAGATGAGTTCTCCAGGATGTAAATAAAAAATTATTAGAAAGCAAATTGCATGCGATGGCAAAGATCCAAGTTCTGAACTATCCACAGTCTGAATTGAGAAAAGCACTTGTAGAAAGGGAATTTAAAGAGAAAAAATATTTAAATCGTCCATTAAAAAAATTGTGTTTGGTTTCTGAGGATAATGTTAATGGTATTCTGAAGTCATAAAGTGTTCTCTTCTCTGCCTCCTCTCTAAGTTTTGTGATTACCTTTATATTTCAATTGAGTTCCTCTATCAAATTACAAAATAGCTTACCTTCAAGTTACTTCTCTTCAATATCCAATACTATGTTATTTGGCAATGATTCACTTCTAGTTTGGAATATAATGGAAACATAACTATAGATGGGGTTTATTGCAAAACTAGAAAAAAGATTCTCCGAAGTGGAGGTGCTAAGGAAATTATTATATAACTCAGTGGCTTCTCTGATAAGTGGCTGATCGAGCTACCCTTCATCTTTCAAGATTAATTTTGTTTTTCAAGATTAGCTTGTTAAAAGAGGAGTATATTCAAGTTGGAGTAATTTTTTTTAGGTCAATGTAGTTGATAAAGGTTAAAGACCAATCAGGACACCAAATGGCACTCTCTTGTTAGCTTTAGTGTATGGGCAAGACTTACAAATTGACTCCAAATTTGATTTTGCATTCTTATAGATAGTCTTAAAACAAAATGAATAATTACTATCTGATTTGTATCTTGTTTTCTTTCAGGTACAAATAGTAGGCACCTTTTCATTTCACCGACATTGTCAGTCCAACCTAAATTCTACCCGAACTGAAATCTTCATTCTTTTTTTTTTCATAGCATAATTGCTTCCATGGCAACAACAAATGTGAGTATTCTCTGCTGCAGGTAAAAATGATCATAACATATTGATAAACCATCTTAAGATTCCATTTTTATGTAAATGACCTTAGAAGAGAGAGAGAGGAGAAATAGAAGAAATAAAGTGGCATTCAAAAAGCAGAAGTGCTGGGAATAAAATGTTTTTCAGTGGTTTCAGTGATGTTTAAAGAAGGATCGAATTGAGAGAAAATTTCAGATAATCATACACATTTATTATTAATGAAGAACATTTCTTTAAAATATACCAAGGAACAAAGGAAAAGGCTTCCCTGTTCTAGAAGTATAATCCATTGGTTCTGTTTTTATGTCCCTTAGCAAACTCATTGGGAACAAAATTAGATATATAGAGATTAAAAACAAGGAGTGACTCCAGAGCTTGTCTTCAATGCTGGAAATGTTAGGTGAATCCTTAGACAGAACTTTCTAGATGATGTTCACAAATTTAAATTTAAAGAATAAAGTTTGGACCCAGAAAATGGAAGGGGCTACTCCCTGAACATACTATCTCCATTCACTCTCAACTCTTACCACAGTTCTCTATCTCCTGAAAGCCCAGCACCTGCTGGAAACAGCAAGTAAGACCTTCCTAGATGACATGAACAAAAGAGTCATGAACTTCCTTCATGTGGGACCTGACTAAAGCTCAGAGGACAATATTGATGAGCCCTAAGGCAAGGAAATGAATGAGGACTACCATAGGGAAGGCTTACTTGCTGAGATTCTTAAAGCCCTGGAGGGGACTGGTGAGTCTACAATGTTCCTAATGAGATTCAGGGTCTCTAATCTCTGAAAAGTTGAAGATAAAAATAAAGATAAAGAGTTGAAGATAAAAAGGTAGACTGAATTTTCTGCTCTTGCCCCAAGATTAGGAGAACATAAGGAGACTGAAGAGCTAGAATCTTCTTCCTTGTGTCTTGGAAGAAGACTGACAACCTACATCACTGAACACACCAGCTGCCTTCTACCACCTAAGGTATATCTCAAGATATACCTTAGGTATATCCTAAAGGATATCTCAAGAAAGAGAGAAAATATAAATAACCATAATTATGAATAAAAGAAATTACTACAGATTCTACAAGTCTTAAAAAGATAATAAGGACATATTCAGAAAAAACAATGCCAGTCAATTTGATAAAATTGGCAAATACTCTGAATAACACAAATTATTAAGAATTATAGGAAAAACTAGATAATCTTAATTATATTACTATCTTAATATTCATTATTAATTGTTAAATAATTAAATTCACAATTTAAAACCTCCCACAAGGAAAAGTCTAAGCTCAGGTAACTTCACTGGTGATTTCTGCCAAACACTTAGTAAGAAATAATATACACAACTCTTTCAGAAAATAGTGGAGAAAGGAATTTTAACATATTTAACATTTAACGTATGAGGTCAAGATAACCCTTATCGAAATCTTGCAATGTCATTATAAAAAAGAAGATGTGAAATCAATATCCCTCATGAACTTAGACCTATAAATCCTGAACAAAATATTAATATCTCAAACCCAGAAATATATAATAAAGTCAATTCATCACAACCAATCAGACTTTATTTCAGGAGCATAAGATTGGCTTAACATTTGAAAATCTATCAGTATAACTCACCTCATTGAAATAATAAAGGATAAAGTAAAATCATACAATCATTGGAATAGATATAGAGAAATCATTTCACCAATCATTCTTAATCACAAAGAAAAAGCTCTCAGCAATTTTCTAAACCAGATAAATAATTGACTACGAAAAGAAAACAAACAAGAAACACTAAAACCTTATGGCTCGTAGCACATTTAATAATGAAATATTGAATAATAAATGCTTTGCCCTTCTAAGATCAGGAGCAAGATGAGAATATTCATTCTTACCACTTCAATATTGGACTGGGATTTTAGCAAGTACAATAAGGCAAAAAAAAAAAAAAAGGAATAAAAGGCATTAAGAATGAAAAGGAAGAAGTAAAATAAATCTACAGATGGCATCACTTAGTAAATTCTAAAGCATCTACAAAGCAAATATTAGAACAAATAAGTGAATTTATCAAGGTTGCAGGATACAAGCTCAAAACATAAAATCAGTGTAATTTCTATATACTAGTACAAACAATTGGAAAATCAAATTAACTAAACAATAACACACACAAAAACATCAAAATATATGAAATACCAAGGGAAAATTTAATAAAATGTTTGTAAAATCTGTACATTGAATACTACAAAACATTGTTCATAAGCAGCAAAGATTTAAGTAAATGGAGAGTATATTCAAAGATTAGATGAATCAATCCTGTTGACATAAATATTCTACCCAAACTGATCTACAGATTTAACACGTGTCAATTCAAAATCTAAACAGGCACACTAAAGAAACTGACAAGCTGATTCTAAAATATATTTTAAAATTCAAAATATATAGAATAGCTACAGCAAAGTTAAAAAAAAAAGAACAAAATTGGAGAACTTTAAACTAATGTTAAAACTTTTTATGAAGCGAATGTTAAGATGGGGCCATGCTGATGTAAAGATAGAAAAATAGATCAATGGAACAGAATAGAAGTTCAAATGGAGACTTACACATAGATAGATGACTGGTTTCACCAAAGGCATCAGAGAATTTCAGTGGAGGAAGGGAATGTCCTTTCAACAAATAGTGCTGGAACAACTGGATATCCATATGGAAAACAAATGAATCATGATGTTTATCTCACCATACACACTCAAAAAAATCAATTTGAGGGGAATTACAGACCTCAAAGTAAAAGCTAAAATTATAAATTTTCTAGGAAAAAAAAAAACACATGAGAGCATCTTCATAACATTGAAGTAGGCAAAGATTTTTTTACACAGTTAACAGAGAGCACTAACCATAAAAAAATTATAAATTGGAATTCATCAAAATTAAAACCTTCTGCATATCAAAAGACAGTAGACTAGGAAAATATGTTTCCTATGCATATATTTGACAAAGGACAAATACTCAGAATATATTTAAAAAAAAAACTCCTCAAAACCAATCAAAATCCGCAATACCAAATGCTGATAAGATGCAGAGCAATAGAAACTCTCATTCACTGCTTTTGGAAATATAAAAATACACAGCTGGGTTCGAAAGTAATTTAACATTTTCTTATAAATTTAAACCTATACTTACCATAGAAACCAGCAATCTCACTTCTATTTTCACAAGTGAATTGAACACGTATGTTCATACAAAAACTTGCCCACAAATGTTTATGGCAGCTTCATTCAAATATTAAAAACTGGAAAGAACGAAGATTTCATTCAACAGGTGAATGCATAAACAAACTATGGTATATCTATACAATGGGTTACTACTCAGGTGATTTGTGTAACAACGTGGATAAACCTTAAGTATATTTTGCCAGGTGAAAGAAGGCAGACCAAAAGACTACATATGTAAGATTCAATCATATGACATTATGAAAAGGGCAAAACGATAGGAAAGGAGAACAGATCAGTGGTTTCCTGGAATTGGGAGATGAAAAAGAAGACAACGAAGGAGCTACATAGAGTAATTTGTAGAGTGATCGAACTATTCTGTATGGCACTGGGATGGTAGATTCATAACTCTATGCACTTGTCAAATTCCCACTGAACTGTACAATACAAAAAGTGAACTCTGCAAACTTATAAAAATTAACCAGGATGTCAGGGGTTGACAGGATAGCATGTGGACTGTAACAAACAACTCTTACAAATGTTTGACATTACATCACTGAAAGGTAAAAATGCTTTTGACTTAACTTTGGGAAATTGTTTTTACTGGATACTATAAGTACAAAGACAAAATTATGTGTATACAAACACTAACTCGAGTTGGTAAATTTGTTTCTCACAGGGGTAGGAGTTAGCAAATTTGAAACTATTTGTATACTAGAAGTGAACAAATAAGTAAATAAATTGTAGGTAATGGAAGCCAGGTTTTTCACTGTCAGAGAAAAAAATGTTACAAATAAGCAATAGGTGAGGGCAATTAGAATCCGTGATGCTGGACTGGGATAATCAATACCAACATGAATGCATGTATATTTTAAAATATTACGGATAAGTAGATACAGAAACATAGAGATATGTATGTACATGGGTTAGTAAACATTCATACATTCCCTTGTTCTGTCCAAAGATAAAGCAATATTAATGTAAAGATAAAAAATAGATCAATGAAACAGAACAGAGAGTTCAAATACAAACTTACACATAGATAGATGACTGGTTTCAACAAAGGCATCAAAGAATTTCAGTGGAGGAAGGAAATGTCTTTTCAACAAATGGTGCTGGAACAACTAGACATTAGAATGACTTGAACTACAGAGACTGACAGCACAAAATATTGGCATGCATGTGCAGCAACCAGAACTTTCAAGCCCTCTGGTGATACTGTAAAATGATAAAAACCCCTTCAAAAAACAGACGGTTACTTATAAAGTTAGATACATGCTTACATTAGGATTCAACTACTCCATTCTTACTATTGAACCAAGAGAAATCAATAAATAAGGTCGCAAAAAAACTTGTACAAAATAGTAACTGTATTCACACTAGCAAAAAAAAAAAAATGAAAACAACATAAGTGCCCATCAGCTGGGGAGAGTATAAACAAATTTTGGTATATAGATACAATAGAATACTACTCATCAATGAAAAGCATTGAATTACTGAGAGATTTTAAAACATGAACTTCCAGTTTCTATTCTTGGCACATAAGAAACTTGGAAGTCACCACTCCATTCTAACTAGTAAAAAGCTGAATAAACTAAAAAAGTCAACAACTCTTTTTAGATCCATCAAAGAATTGAGATCATGGAACAAACCAATTCCCCCTAAATTGGAGAGAACAACAAGAGAATACAAAGAAGGGCAACTCACTGGAGCAGAAACCACCAAGGAAACTATGTAGGGAAACCTGAAATGTAATTGATGAATTACTGAAGACATAGTGTAGACAAGACCAAGAGATAAAACTTGCAAAGGGATCCAGTCATTGGAGGTCTCCACAGTTTTGTGAGGAGACTCACAACAGTGAATACTGGGAGAAATTCCCTCATGCTTCAGACAGGGAAAAGTTAAATAAGGAATCATTTTGAAACATATCAGAGCATTCTATTCTTACTAGGGAAGATCTGCCCTCAGGAGAAATTATTTAACCACAGCCTACCTGCTGGGGTTTTATCGGAGACTAAATATTCAACCCCAGACCCCTCTATCCTTCCACATGGAAGAAGAGAAATAAGCAACTCCAGTCCTCTAGCCATCCTGTCCCATCTAATGGGGTGGGGAGTTACTGAGGCACTGAGAAGCAGGTGTGAAGTTCACAGTCACAGTTGGAAGCACAGGCTCGCTAAAAGACTGAAATGGAATCATGGCAATGTAAAACACTTCTCCTCCCCTCATACCTTACCACCACATTACTAAAAGCCTATTTACAACAGTTATTTGTACCCAGTACATTATGTCTGGCTTTCAAGAAAAAAAATCACATACCAAAAGGCAAAAAAATAAAAAATAAACACAGTTAAAAGAGACAGAGTAAGTATCAGAACCAAACTCAAGTATGGCAGGGCTGCTGAGATGATCAAATTGGGAATTTGAACAATTATGACTAATATGCTGAGGACTCTAATTGAAGTAGACACCATGTAAGAACAGAGACAATATAAGCAGAGAGATTAAATTTTTTAGAAATAACTACAAAAAAAAAAAAAAGAAAAGAAACTGCTAGAGATCAAAACCACTGTAACAGAAATGAAGAATGCCTTGACGGGTTCATTAATAGAGTGGACATGTCTGAGGAAAGAATTTCTGAGCTTGAGAGTATGTCAATAGAAACCTCCAAAACTGAAAGTGAAGAGAAAAAAAAAGACTGAAAAACAGAACAGAAAATTCAAGAATTGTGGGACAACTACAAAAAGTGTAACCTACATATAATGAGAATACTGGAAGAATAAAGAAAGAAAGGAAATGGAGACATATATGAAACAATAATGACAGAGAATTTCTTCAAATTAATGGAATCGCAGAGAACACCATTCAAGATAAATGTCAAAGAAACCTACACCTAGGCATATTATTTTCAAACTACAAAAAAATTAGGATAAAGAAAAAATTCTTAGAGAGGATAGAGGGAAAAAGAACACCTTACCTACAGAGAAGCAAAAATAATAATTACATCGAACTTCTTGAAAACCATGCAAACAAGAAGAAAGTGGAGTGAAATATTTAAAATACTGAGAGAAAAAAATCCACTAACCTCAATTTCATACGCTGGGAAATTATCCTTCAAAAGTAAAGGAGAAATATTTTTCTGACAAACAAAAATTGAAGAAATCTGTTGTTAGTTGACCTTCCTTGCAAGTGTTAAAAGAAGTATTTTAGAGAGAAGAGAAATGATATGGATCAGAAACTCAAATCTACATACAGAAAGGCAGAGTTTAAGTGAAAGAATAAGTGAAGGTAAAATTATAAAAAAAAAGTTTACTGTTTTTTGTTTTTGTTTTTGTTTTGAGATGGGATCTCACTCTGTCACCCAGGCTGGAGTACAGTGGCATGATCACAGCTCACTGCAGCCCTGAACTACTGAGCCCAGCGATTCTCCACCTCAGCCTTCCTAGTAGCTGGGACCACAGACATGTTCCACCATACCCGCCTAATTTTAAAACATTTTTTGTAGACACAGGGTCTCCCTATGTTGCCCAGGCAGGTCTCAAACTCCTGGGCTCAAGTGATCCTCCTGCCTCTGCCTCCCAATGTGCTGGGATTATAGGTATGAACCACTGTCCCTGCCCTTCTAAAAAAAAAAAAAAAAAATCCTTAATTGATGTAACAGATAACAGTTTGCTCAAAATAATAATAGCATCAATATACTGTACTCGATTGTGTATGCTTATGTGCAAGTGAAATGATTGACCGCAATGATACGAGAACAGGAGGGAAAATTTAGAATTATTTTGTATTATTATAAGGTACTGGCACTAGCAGTGAAGTAGTATAATGTTATTTGAAAGTGGACTGGGATTAACTGTAAACATATATTGGAAACTCTAGGACAAGCATTTTAAAAAGTAAAATAAGAAATATAATAAGAAAATCCAAAAGAATTAACAAAATAACTCCTGGAACTACTGAACAATCTGAGTAAGAATGCAGAATATAAGTCAATATACAAAAATCAATTGGTATCCTCTATACCAGTAATGAACAAGTGGAATTTGAAATTAAAAACACAATACAGGTTGAATATCCTTTATTTTCAATCTTTGGACTGAAATATTTAAGATTTCATATTGTTTCAGATTTTGAAGAATTTGCATTATGCCAACTCAGCACCCTAATCCAAAAATAAGAAGCATCTTGTTGGTGCTCAAAACTTTTTGGATTTTAGAACATTTTGGATTTCACCTTTTCAGATTAGGGTTACTCAACCTGTACTATTTATATTAGCACCCCAAAATATTTAGGTGTAAGCCTAAAAAATGGTATGAGATCTCTAGGAAGAAAATGGCAAAACTCATGAAAGAAATCAAAGAGCTAAATAAAGGGAAAGATATTTCATGTTCATGGCTACGAAGACTCTATATAGTCAAGATGTCAGTCCTTCACAGCTTCTTAATCTGCAGATTCAATGCCATCCTGACCAAAATCCCAGTGGCTATCGACAAACTGATGCTTAAGTTTATATGGTGATGCAAAAGACCTAGAATAGCCAACATAATATTGCAGGTAAAAAAGTCAGAGGACTGATAATCCCTGACTTCAAGACTTACTATAAAGCTACAGTAATTAAGACAATGTGGAGAAAGAATAGACAAATCAATCAATGGAACAGAAAAGAAAGCCCAGAAACAGACCCATATAGATATGGTCAACAGTTCTTCGACGATGAAGCAAAGGAAATACAATGGAGAAAAAAAGGTCTTTTCAACAAATGATGCTGGACAACTGAGTATCCACATGTAAAAAAATGAATCGAGATGCAGATCTTACATCCTTCATAAAACCCAAAAGAAATCACAGAACCGAATGTAAAACACAGAACTATAAAACTTGTAAAAGATAACACAAGAGGCTGGATGTAGTCACTCATGCCTATAATCCCCAGCACTTTGGGAGGCTGAAGTGGACAGATCACTTGAGCCCAGGAGTTTGAGATCAGCCTGGGCAACGTGACAAAACCCAGTCTCTACCAAAAAAAAAAAAAAAAATACAAAAATTAACTTGGTATGGTGGTGCACACCTGTAGTCCCAGCTACTCGGGAGGCTGAGGTGGGAGGATCACTTGAGCCTGGGAGGTCGAAGCTGCAGTGATCCATGATCACACCGCTACACTCCAGACTGGGCCACAGAGTGAAACTCTGTCTCAAAAAAAAAAAGATAGGTAACATAGAAAATTTGTTATTATTATCATTAAAACACTGAGCAGGCTGGCTGTGGCTTTGGTGATGACTTTTTAGATACAACACCAAAGGCACAATCCATAATAGAAAGTATGTATAAACAATAAAGTTTATTAAATTAAAATTTTCTGCTTGGCAAAAGAGACTATCAAGAAAAGGGAAAGACAAGCCACAAGCTGGGAGAAAATATTTGCAATGGAAATACCTGATAAAGGACTGTATTCCAAAATAAAAGAACTCTTAAAACTCAGCAATGAGAAAACAAACAACCCAATTAAAAAACGGGTCAAAGACCGTAACAGACACCTCATCAGAGAAGATACACAAATGACAAATAAGCGTATGAAAAGATGCTTCACATTACATGTCATCAGGAAAATGCAAATTAAGATAACAATAAGATACTACCTCTTAGAATGGCCCAAATCCAGAACACTGAGAGCACCAAATGCTGGCAAGGATGTGGAATAACAAGAACTCTTGTTCATTTCTGGTGTGAGAAACAGTACAGCCACTTTGGAAGACAGTTTGGCAATTTCTCACAAAGCTAAACATACTCCCACCATATGATCCAGTAATTGTGCTCCTTCTTATTATCCAAAGGAATCAAAAACATGTCCACACAAAAACCTACACAGAGGTTTATAGAGGCTTTATTCGTTATTGTCAAAACTTGCAAGCAACAAAGATGTCCTTCATGAGATGAATGGAAGTACACTGTGGAATCATACAGTCTGGAGTTTATTTAGATTGGCTTCTTTTATTTAATGATATTAATTTGTTTCATATTAATAATCATATTAAGTGATGGTAATTTAATTTTAAAAATAATATTCTGTTTTTGAAATTTAAGTATATCCAAATATATTAAATATATCAATATTTATATTCATATATTAAATATATATTAATATATTAAATATATCAAATATTTATATTTATATATTAAATATATATTAATATATTTGATATATTTGGATATATTTATATTTAAATATCTAAATATATTCTGTTATTTATATAAATTCTTAAGTAACAATATTATTCAGCACTAAGAAGAAATGAGCCATCAAGCCATGAAAAGACATGAGTGACACTTAAATTAATACCACTAAGTGAAAAAAAAATCCAAATAGATTATATGCTATGTGATTCCAAGTATATGACTTCTCGAAAAGGCAAAACTATGGGGATAGGAGAAACATCAGAGGTTACCATGCGGTCGGGGAGGGAGGGATGAATTAGGTGAAATACAGAGAATTTTTAGGGCAGTGAAAATGAAACTCCTCTGTATGATTACTATGCTGGTGGATTTTGTTCAAAGTCATAGGATGTACAACACCAAAAGTGAACCCTAAATTAAATTATCAACTCTAGGAGATAATGATGTATCAATGTGAGTTTGTCAATTTTAAAAAAACTCTGGTGGGGGATGTTGATATTGCGGGAAGCTTTTCATGTATGGAGGCAGGGGTAAAGGGTATGTGGGAAATTTCTGTACCCTTCAGTGAATTTTGCTATGAACTTAAAACTCTTCTAAAAAAAAAAAAGCCTGTTTTTTAAAATAAGTGAATTTCAAAAACATTATTCTAAATGAAAGAAAGCTTACATTTAAATGAATTATTAAATTATTCAATTTATATGAAATTCAAACACAGCAAGATCTGTCTATGGTGTATAGAAATCAGAACAATGTTGTCTAGGAGTGGGAAGGGATTTCCTAGAAAAGGTCATGAGTGAACTCTCTGAGGTGGTGAAAATTTTCTTTATCTTAATGAGATATAAGTCACATGGTAAATGCATTTATCAAAACTGAACGGTACCTTTATGATTTGTGCATTTCACTGAATATAATAGGTCAAACATGAAAATTTTATTCAAAGAAATATGCATAGCTTTTAAATGTCTGTTATTAAAGAAGAAGAACTAAAAGTAATTTAGGTTAGTAGGCTTCATAAGAATTAAAATGATAATGACAAAACAAGAGAAAGTAGAAAGAGGAAATTAAGAAAGATGATGCTGAGATTAAAAGTACAAACATCTTGTAAAATATAATAATAAAATTGAGACAGAATCCCAAAAGTTATTCTTTTATTTTTTATTTTATTTTACTTTATTTTATTTTATTTTTTGAGATGGAGTTTTGCCCTTGTCGCCCAGGCTGGAGTGCAATGGCACAATCTCAGCTCACTGCAACCTCTGCCTCCTGGGTTCAAGCGATTCTCCTGCCTCAGCCTCCTGAGTAACTGGGATTACAGACCCGCCACCACGCTCGGCTGATTTTTGTATTTTTAGTAGAGACGGGGTTTCACCACATTGGCCAGGCTGGTTTTGAACTCCTGACCTCAGGTGATCCACCCACCTTGGCCTCCCAAAGTGTTGGGATTACAGGCGGGAGCCACGGTGCCCAGCCCAAGCTATTTTTAAAGAACATTAAATTAGATAAATATGTTAATCTTAGTTCCAAAAGGAAAAAAAAGAAAAAAATTAATATTTTTAGGAATGAGAAATGAGACAACCACACACAACTCCAGAAAGAATTAAAATAATATTAAGATATATTGTGAACAAATCTATGGCATTTAACTTTAAATGCTAGTGGGAAAGGATCATATTTAGTGAAATTCAAAGTTATCAATGTAAACTAAAGAAACTTTTGTTGGCCAATTTCTACAGAAGTGAATGGAAGGCAAGTTAGATCCAACAGATATTCTCATAGATGAGGTCTATCAAACCTCCTTTTAAAAAATGAAATTCATCCTATCTATACTACAGAAAATATGGAAAGTTTCCCAATTTTATATAAATCTAGCATAAATTAAGTATCAACATGATTGAAATAGATCAATCACACGGAGGAATGTACATGTGAATATTTTAAATAGAATATTAACAAACAGAACCCAGCTGTATGTCAACAGAAAACCCCAAACTGGCCAAGTAGGGTTTACTCTGGGTGTGCAAGAAGAGGTTCAAATTAGCATCCACATAATTTAGTATTTCAGCAAATTCCAGAATATCTCATATGATCACATTAATAGATGTTGGAGGGACATTTGATAATATTTAACAGCTAATCCCAATAAAAATCTTTAGGTAAGACAGAAAAGTTAATGGAAATATTTCCGATATTTACCAAAACCAAGACTCAATGTATTCTCAACATCGAAACGATAGAAAGAATCCAATAAAACCCAGGAATCAAACAGAAAGCTTGTTATCACTATGTTTATTCAATATTAATTTGAAAACTCCAATGAAAACAGTGAGATAAGGAAATGAGTTGTTAGAAATTTTGTAAATGAAGAGATAAAATTATCTCCATTTTGCTGATACGATTATGTACTTAAAAATCCAAGAGATTTACAAAGAGAAAAAAACTACTGGCATTGATAAGAATATTTGATAGAATGACTGTGTATAAACAAGGTAAGCAGACTTAATAAATTTTTCCTTCCTAGTAACATACTTGGAAAAAGAAAGAGGAGAAAAAAAATGCCTTGAAAATGACAATGTAAACTAAATAGAATAAGCAAGGGATAGAGCCCATGAAAGCTATAAATCCTGTTGTAAGAATGAAAAATGATCTGAAACAATAAAATTACATGCCCTGTTTTCAAATGGAATAAATTAATATAAAAATTAGTCTTCCTAAGATAAGGACGTATGTATATGTTTGTTTACACATACACACACACATACACATGATGTCATTCTCAATAGAATTCCAAGATTCAGTTATGTTTCATTTCAACTTGAATTGCATAAAAACTTAAAGTTCATATGGAATGAAAATCCTATGAATAAACTAAAATTAAAATAAGGGAATATTTACCTAACCAGGTATCCAGATATACCATAAAGATACTGAAATCAAAACAATATAGGGATGGCAGATATATGAAAAAGTAAATCAGTGGAACAGAGAGAGAATCCAGAAAAGACAGAGTGTATACATTAGAATTGGATATTGGTCCAGGGGTTATTCAATTTCAGGGAGAAAAAAAGGTGACCTGTTTACAAAATTTCTCCCCAAGCCGCTATTCATTCTAAAAAAATTAATAAACCCATCTCATGTTATTTACAAAAAAATCAATGGATTAAAGTGTTAAAAATAATATGATATTACTGTTTTACTAGGATTTCTGGGGAAGACCAGGAAAGAAACTAATAAAAAACTTGTGTAGCAGAAGATACTATTAATAAAGACAGTAAACAAATGGTAGATGTAGGAAACATGTTTGCAATGCAGATGACAGATAAGAGTTTAAAAGCTACAATTATATGAAGAGAGCTTTAAAAATTGATAAGAAACAAACAACCACCTGACAAGAAAAATGAGCAACAGATATAAATAAGCTATTCACAGTTGAGTAAATCCAAATGGCCAAAAAATATGTGTATATATATTTTAAATTCACTAACAGGGAAACAGAAACTGAAGTAATAATAAATGATCACTTTAACCCTATGAGGCCAACACAAATTTTAAATAATGATAACACTGTTGGTAGGGATATGTGGAACAAAGCATGTTCTACATTGCTGCTAAAAATGTAAATTGGTACAGCTTTTTAAGAAAGCAATTGGGCAACATTTATTAAAATGTAAAAATACATAAACCTTTTGACCAAGCAATCCCACTCCTTCGTATATATTCCATAGAAATACAGCTGCCAGTAAATAAGGACATGTGAATCCAGATGTTTATTGCAGCATTCTTTGTAGTGGCAAAAATATGTACACAAAGGAATAAACCACGGTAATCCACAGCACAGAATATTATTCAGCTATACTTTCAGACCTAATGGATTTCCAAAAGTTACTACTGATTCAGAAAAAAGTAAGATGCAAGAAAAATTGTGTACAATATGGTTTATTTCTGTAGTGCAAATAATGACAAAAACATACTCACATATATGTGTATATGTATGCACATAATATATAATGTGACATAAACTTAGGGAATCTTTTGAAATAATGCAGAATAATACATATTAGTCCACACTAGTTAAGGGGGTTTACAGGTATTAATATTTATATTACTTAAAGTAAGTGGTGTAGGAGAGGTAAATATAGGAGAATGAAGACAGGGAATAGGGAACAAATAAGGAAACAGAAAAAGGAAAGAAAATGTTATACTGAAAAGAAAGCCTTATAATAATATCACTTACATAAAAGTATAAAAGTCCATATGTATGCATATTTTCTGACCTGGAGGAGCAATTTATAGCACCTTTATTGAGTGTGCTTTTCTAGAGTACTTTTTATGTCTGAACTTATTTAACCATCACCATAATCCCACAATAATATTGAAAATATTATCCTCATTTAACCAATGAGAAAACTAAGAGGTTAAGTAAGTAATTTATGAAGAGTTACATGATTATTTAGCTCCAGGGTTTGGATTTGAACCCAGGCACTGTGACCCTAAAACCTTGGCACTTAACCATCAGATAGCTTAGCTTTTAACAAATTTATGTCCAAGACATATTATAAGGCTAAATTCACAAATTGCAACATAATGTGTGTAACACTGTTTTATCTCAGTTAAAAAAAAAAAAAAAAAAAACTCCTGTAGATACATAATGAACATATGTTTTATAGACATATATTTGTTTGAGCAAGAAGAAAGATGTAGTTTAGTCCACAGGCTATTAAATTTGTTAGCTCTGGTGGGTGGAGATGGATATAAAGACAAGAGTGGGGCAATTGGTTTTGGTTTTATATACCGCTAAAACATGTTTGATAAGTACCTAGATAGTCTCCTACACAGTGTATAAAAGTTAATTGCTGAGATGTTTTGTTTTGTTTTGTTTTTCTCATTTAGGGCTCTTTGATATTTAAGCAACATTTGTTCAATGGGAATTTCAGGCATGAAAAGCTTTATAAAGGAGGTGGCACTCAGTATATAGGTAAGATTTTGAGATGTCAGAACAATTACATGAAAAAAAAATTATGGCAAAATATTGCAAGACATCTTTAAGCCTACTCCTTCAATAACCTGGGCTAGAGGAAGTGTTTTTGTATGAAAGCAATGTTAGAAGTCTGAAAGACGGCATAGGCTTATACAGCCTTGAATGCTAGGATTAGAAACATATTATTCACTGCGTAAGTGAACTGGGCTCCTGCAATACTGGACCTCTTAAAACTGTGCACTAACCGTATGAGAGTCTGATATGGATGCAGCCTTGACATCAGGGAGGGTCCTAGGCTTGGCTCCAGCCTGCAAGTCCTTTACCTAATACTGGCCCCATTCAAAGATTGTTTTATTCCATGTGTCTCTTGTCACCCTTGTTCCACAGATGCCTATGGAACATCTGGTAGTTCCAGTGAGTCCACAGGGTGTCAGGTGTCAGTGCAGAAGCACTTGCTCCACTCAGATCCCTATACCTGCCTTAGGAAGTTCATGCCACCTTACTCTTCCAGAAGCAAAATAAATGCCCCATCCATAAAGGACCATGTTTCCTTTCTCCTGCCTACTCCTTGGCAGCAGTTTTACTTCTGCACCCTGCTGGATTTTCCTGGCAATGGTTAGGAAAATCCGCAGAGCTAGGTATGCAGATTTCATCCTTCTCCTCTTTTGTGTCCTAATGACAAGAACATTAAAGGCAGCAAGGTGAAGTGGAGGGGAGACAAAGCAAAACAAAATAGAGTATAATGTAGGATTTAGGTTGGACACATCTCAGATAAAAGCTGCATCTAAATCAACATAGCTTTGAGCCACCTCTCATGCAAATTTCTTCACCTGGAAAGCCAAGTGTTTTGCAAACCCAAAATTTTATTTTTAAAATTGTGCAATTGTTCTGCATCATTGCCATTACTGATGAGAATATATGTCAAAACAAATTCAGGAATTTGGTGCTTACGCAATGACATTCACTGGTTGCTGGACTTTAGCTGGAAAAGTCGTCGAAGCCAAATCAGTTTATAACATGGTCGGGCTCACTGACTAGGGCACTCAACTATTGATTATGATTGTTGTCCAGTGATTTAATGTAAAATACTCTTGCCTCTTTCCATGCTGTAACTGCTTTAATGTAATTCAATTCAGAGTATAAAATGATGTTGAAGTGACATACTTATGGCTGAGGGGCAGATTTTAAAAGGTGATTCATTAAAGGATTACTGAACTGGCACATTCAGTTATGCACAGCTGGATTATATGGCAGGGTTCTCTGTCAAGAAGAGTGCACAGGAAGATGCCTTTGTAGTAGAGGGCTGGCCTGAGCCCAAAGAGCTTATGTATTTCCAAGAATAAATTTCATTCTCTCACCATACAGGAAAAAAAGATACAAAAAAAATAATAATAATAACAAGCCTTAGAGAAAGTTCCTAAAATGCAAGAAGGGATTTTTTGGAAAGGATTTATACAGTTGTTTTACAGTAGCAATAGCTCCATTAAAACGAAAGGCTCATATTTCAGGGCCACCTACTTCAGTTTCAAAATCTGTAGGCTGTGGAAATCCATGTGTTAACAGGCATACTGTTCATACTTAGATATTGTATCACTGAGTTGTTTCTTTCCATTTCTAGTAATTCTTTTTACCCATGTGATTCTAACCCCACTAATAAAGTCTCTTTTAGATTCATGGCCTCTGGGAAGGAAAGAAGGAAGGAGTAAATCACTGACTTTCACTTTAAAAGTCAAAGTCCTTGCATAAACATTAAAGTTGTGAAATCCAGGGTTTGTTTCTTTCTTTCCCATTTTAGACAAGATAAAGATTAGCTGGGCTGGAAAAGAAGAGAAAAATCAGGGAGAAGGCAGATTAGATGTTCCTGGTGTTTTGGGAAAGGGCCATGTACCTTCCCCAAACCATAGGCCAAGTTAGGCAGAAGGAAGGTTGCACATCTTCAGACAAGTTTAGGGATTTGAATGGAGCCCGTGACCTGGAACTTAGTAAGGGAGTGCATTTTAAAAAAATATCCTGTGCCCTCCTTGGCATGATAGCATTTGAATAGTAATGGTTCCATAAGGTATTCAGCCAAAAAAAGGCTGAGACAAATTTGAAAATCCCCTGTGGACCTAGAATGGCACAAGAGAAGAGCCACACACGTCTCTTGTTTCACAAGAGGAGCTCATAAATTGCCAAGCAGATTTGAAGAGATCTGATACAAAGGGCAAGGAAGACATGGTTACAACCTGTGGAGGACTCAACAACCAGTGATGTCACAGCAAATACTTCCAAGGCAGATGTCAAAATAGCCACACCAAGATCTTGGGCCTCTTAAAGTTCTAGAACCCAGAAGAAAACATGGGATTTGGGAAGATCCTGAATTGACTTGGAAAAGACCTTGAAACAATGGAAGAAATTCCAAATTGACTGTTAGAGTGCTCCTAGGAAAGGAAACAATAGGATAGATAGATGGATTAGATAGATAGATGATTAGATAGATAGATAGATAGATAGGAGGGGATTTATTGTGGCAATTGGCTCACATGATTATGGATGCCAAGTCCCACAGTGTGTCATCTGCAAGCTGGAGAACCAAGGAAACTGGTGGTACAATACAGTTGAGCCAAAATGCCTGAAAACCAGTGCAGCCAGTGCTGTAAGTCTCAGCCTGAGGCTGAGGCCTAAGAAACTGAGTACTGCTGGTACAATATCAGAACCCAAAGGTCTAAGACCCTGGAATTCTGATATTCAAGGGCAGATGAAGATGGTTGTGGCCGGGCGCAGTGGCTCACGCCTGTAATCCCAGCAGGCGTGGGAGGCCGAGGCGGGCGGATGACGAGGTCAGGAGATTGAGACCATCCTTGCTAACACGGTGAAACCCCGTCTCTACTAAAAATACAAAAAAGAATTAGCCAGGCGTGGTGGCGGGCGCCTGTAGTCCCAGTTAATCGGGAGGCTGAGGCAGGAGAATGGCATGAACCTGGGAGGCGGAGCTTGCAGCGAGCGGAGATCGCGCCACTGCACTCCAGCCTGGGCGACAGAGCGAGATTCCGTCTCAAAAAAAAAAAAAAAAAAAAAAAAAAGATGGTTGTCCCAGCTCCAGAAGAGAGGGCAAATCCATCTTTCCTCTGTCTTTTTGTTCTAGCAAGGACCTCAACAAATAGAAAGGTGCCTGCCCACCTTGGGTAAGGGCAGATCTTCCTTACTCAGCCCACCGATTCAGATGCCAACCTCTCCTGGAAACACCCTCAGAGATGTGTCCAGACATAATGCTTTCCCAGCTATCTGGGTAACCCTTAACCCAGTCAAGCCGACACCTAAAATCAACCATCACATTGACCAAGATTGAATTTCAACCAGATGAAATAGGGAACTTGAAATATAACTTAAGTTCACTTATAGGAAAATAAAATCATATTTCTTAAACCGTTCCGTTGGTAAGCTGAGAATTGCAGGTACTTAATATGACTACCTGAAGCATAATTTTTCACTGTCTAAACATAGATGAAAATTACTGTAAAGTTAAAAAATATGTTCTTAATATCTAATATCCAACTCTCATCCATCATTGAAAATATAAACTCTGTGTGATTTAAAAAATTTGAATTATTTAAAATAATTGAAATTATTGTCTTCCCACCACGATTGAATTTTTTATATTATACTAGAAGATTAGAGGTAGGCAGACCAGGAGACTTATAAAATGAAATTGAAAGGTGATATCCTATGTATGACATTTTACTTGGAGAGTCTTTAATCCCAATAATGCATCTGACAGTATATGGCGAGAATGTAGCATAAAGTATAAAGCAAACTCTATAATTTACACATCCAAATGAGTATCATTTTTCACTTGTTACACTGGAAAACCATTGAGATCTAAAGGTACTGTGGTTTGGCCCAGCACGGTGTCTCACTCCTATAATCCTAACACTGAGAGGCTGTGGTGGGTGGATTGCCTGAGCTCAGGAGTTCAAAACCAACCTGGGCAACATGGTGAAATCTCGTGCCTACTAAAATACAAAAAATTAGCTGGGCATGGTGGCGCATATCAGTAGTCCCAGCTATTCAAGAGGCTGAGGCACAATAATCGCTTGAACTCAGGAGGCAGGGGTTGCAATGAGCCAAGATTGCACCACTGCACTCCAGCCTAAGTAACACAGCCAGACCCTGTGTCAAAAAATAAATTAAATAAAGAAATGTACTGAGGCTCAACGTATTTTGGGGATTCCTCTTTCAAAGTTTGCTTCTGAGACAGTATATGAGACCCACAAGAAAATAAGTGTTATCACCAATTTAGAAGCCATTCAAGAAGTCTAAATATCTTTGTAGCCAGACTTTATCTTTGATTATTAATACTATTTTTAAGCTTGATACATTTATTCAATAGATTTGGTCCAAAGCATTATTAACAGAGTTCACAGCACAAAGCCATCCTTAAAGAATGCTCCCATTGAAAACATCCAAAGTGCCACACCTCTGAAAGGAACCTAACGAATTACCAAAGGTTTGGCAGAAATGGTAGAAAATGTACACTCACTCAACAAGGGAAAAAAGGGATAATTAATGCTATGAACTTTGATGAATAGATCTATAATGACTCAGGGTGAAATAAATTATCTTGTTTATTCTTTTTTCTCTTAAGTACAATATGGTAAATATATATATATAGTGGTCCCTCTGCTCATGTACCCTCTATATCTAAAATACAACCTGAAATTTTTGAAAAATTGTAGTCTCCTTTTTAAAAACAGAACAATAATATTGTGCCAAAGAAAGGAGGAAAAGCATAAGAGAGGCAAGGCAGCTAGAATGTTTCTTCACGGAGAATAACCAAGCATACCAAAAACCAGAGAATGCAAGAAGAGACAACCTATAACGTGTCTACAATAAATCTTTTTAACAATCTTTCCTTGCCTCTCCAAAGAAAGGATTGTATGTGGCAATTCTGAATGTTGTCTATTCTCTCCCTCTAATTCCAATAACATAGAAGGTGAATGAATTAAAATGTATTCCAAATGAAAATTGTAAATATGATTCAATATTCATGAACAGAATGAGTTTTAAATATTTAACAACCATGAGCGCATAGACACTGACCAGTCGGAACAGATGCGGCAACTAATGGACACTAGCCATTAACTGACATTGTCATGAACAACTGACATTGTCATATTGGGTGTCTCAGCTGATTATTAGCCCTGCTCATGGTGTTTCTCTAGGGGAGAATAACTCCTTTTTACATACAAACAGGTTTTTTTCTTTATATGTGAGCTCAGTAAGAAACACAAAATCTCTATTGCAACATGCTGTTTTTGAAGTTCTATCGTTTGCATCAGAAAAGGTAAAAACGAAGTATAATAGTAAGCAATTTTATCTGCTCAGAAAACTTTAAAAGCAAAGTGAAATCACTCTACTAGACAGCTGTTCTTTGAAGAGGACCTACCAATTTTTTATTATAAGTATAAACATTACATAGAATCTACCTTCTGTTGGAGAAAACCAGTTATTGATAACAGTGGAATAAGGACAACAGGGCTCATGTTATCAGATACGTAGGACATGGCAAGTTATGAAGTTACTCCAGAGAGCAAAGGGTCTTTCTTAGATGGTTTTTTTTTTGTGTGTGTGTGTGTGTTGAGAGAGAATTGCACCCCACAAGTGCTTGTCAGGTCTAGCCAGCTTCATCTCTCACCTGCAGTGGCCCTGAGCTCTCCCTTTCTGTGATTCTGCTCTTGACCCCTCCAATCCATTGGCCACATAGCAGCCAGGGTGATCTTTTAAGAATGCAAATTTGATCGTGACTCTTACTTGCAGGAAACTTTCCAAGAAGTTCTCATTATGTTTAGAATTGAAAGACCAAATCCTTAGCATGACTAAATGATCCTGAAATGACTGGCCATGCGTAATTCCCCAACCTCATTTTGACCCCCTCTCCTGTCCACTCACTTGTCTCCCAACACATAGGACTGAATTCTTCCATCTTCATACTGTGCACATATACTATCTGTGGCATTCTCACTGGCTCTATCTTACTTACCCTTCCATTTCCATTTAACTATCGTTTTTAAAGAGGAGTTCCTTGAGTCTCTAATTATTTTCTTATCATCATGAACTCATGCATTTAAATATTTGATGGATTTCCATTTATTGCAGTTGTTATCCTGCTCAAATTGTCCCATTAATAGTGGCCTTTTAAAATTGGTTTGATAGGCAGGAACCAATCACAAGACCCTATAATTAGTCATGAGAGCTTCTTTACTATCTAATGTAAGATGTTCCAGACTGATATTCTACATTTCTTGATCCACACTTGGACCCATGCATTTCTCAAAGATGTTTGGATTCTTTTAGTGGGAAAATGACAAAACCACAACTTTGATGCTAAAGATTCTCATTCGCAATCAAAACCACAATTTTAATACTGAAGATTTATTTTGCTACTGGAGGTCTGATGATTTTTTTCTAGACCTTTATATTGGACATAGCTGGGAAATATATCAATATCTACATCATACATATTATTACATACATGCTTTATTATATATGTTCTCAATTGTGCATATGCAATTTATATAAAATTATCAGCCACTAATTATTTGCAGACTACTTTTCCTTCATTCTCTCAAAATGCATCTCCAATTGAATACTTGATGTGTGTTATTTTTTCATTCTTTATCAATTGCCCAAGGAGAATTTCACATGTATCTGCCCACCATTTTTGGCATTTCATGTTGTGTCTGCTGGACACTATTTATTTACTTTAATTGACAAGTAAAAATTATACATATATGGTGTATAACATAATGTTTTGATGTATGTATACATTGTGGAAAAGCTATTCAGGATAATTAATGTATGCGTTACCTCACATACTTGTTTTGTGGTGAGAACACAAAATCTATTCTCCTAGTAATTTTCAAGTATACATTATTAGCTATAGTCTATACATGTTGTACAATAAATCTCTTGAATTTATTCCACCTAACTGAAATTTTGTATCCTTTGACCAACATCTCTCTAATCTTCCCAAACCCCAGTCTCTGGTAACCACCATTCTATTTTCTGCTTCTATGAGCTCAATGTTTTGAGATTCCACATATAAGTGAAGTCATGTAATAGTTGCCATCTCTGTCTGACTTCTTTTATACAACACGATGTCCTTCAGGTTCATCCATGTTGTACAAATGATAAGATATCCTACTTTTTTTAACAGCTAAACAGTATTCTATTGTTCATATACCACATTTTCTTTACCAATTCATCTGCTGATGGACACTTATGTTGATTTAATACCTTGACTATTATGAATAGTGCTGCAGTAAACATGGGAATGCAGCTATCTCTTTGATAAAATGATTTTCTTTCTTTGGGATATACACCCAACAGTGGGATTTCTGGATCATATGATAGCTCTATTTTTAAATTTTTGAGGAACCACAATACTGTTTCCAAAAGGGCTGTACTTATACACATTCCCTCCAACAGTGTGTAAGAGTTCCCTTTTCTTCACATCTTCACCAACACTTGTTATTTTTCATCTTTTTTGATAATAGCCATTCTGATAGGGCGAGGTGATATCTCATTGTGGTTTTAATTTGCATTTCCCTAATGATTGGTGATGTTAAGCATATTTTTATACACCTGTCTGTATGTCTTCTTTTGAGAAATGTCTACTCAGGTCCTTTGCCCATTTGTTAATTGGGTTATTTGTTTTCTTGCTCTTGAGTTCTTTGAGTTCCTTATGTATTTTGGATATTAACCCCTTATTAGTGAATGGTTTGCAAATATTTTCTTCTTTTCCTTACAGTATCTCTTCATTCTGTTAACTGTTTCCTTTGCTGTTCAGAAGCTTTCAGTTTGATGTAATTCCATTTGTCTGTTTTTGCTTTCATTTGCCTGTGCTTTGGGGTTCATATACAAAACATTGTCCAGACCAATGTCATGCAGTTTTCCCATGTTTTGTCCAGGGGTTTTACAACTTCAGATCTTATGTTTAAATCTTTAATCCATTTGAGTTAATTTTTATATATTATGTGAGATGAGAGTCTAATTTTATCCTTCTGCATGTGAATATTCCATTTTCCCAACATGATTTATTAAAGTAACTGGCCCTTTCCTTATTGTGTGTTCTTGGCATCTGTCAAAAATCAGTTGGCCATAAATTGGTAGATTTATTTCTAGGCTTTCTATTCTGTTCCATTGGTGTATGTGTCTGTTTTTATGCCAGTACCATGCTGTTTTATTATTACTGTAGCTTTATAGTAGATTTTGAAATCAGGGAGTGTGATGCCTCCAGTTTTGTTCTTTTTGCTCAAGATTGCTTATGTGTTCTATATCTCTTAACTCTTGTATTTTTCATTTTTTTGTCTCCGTATGCTTCATGCTCTGAATAGTTTCTTTAGACATACCTTCCAATTCATTAATCCTCTCTTTAGTGTTCAACCTGTTAATTGAGTTTTGTGTTTCAACTATTATATTTTTAGTTGCTAGATCCCTAATTTGTTGTTTGTCATTTTTATTGACTTTCAGTCATGTGGCTTGTTGCATTGGGTATTCAGTAAGTTTTGATTATACATACACATTTTGTTTCGCTTGATCGTGGGGGCCTGACCTGGAAATGCTTTTCTCCAGAAAGAGGCTAGAGGGATTACTGATCTGAAACCACTTTAGCTTCCTTCCAAGGCTTTTACTTAATGGAGAGGTTTCCAATTGAGACAGAGACCAAGCTCATGATCTCTGCCCTGGTATTGGTATTTGCCTCCAAGGTAACCCTCAATTTTATGTTTGCTCAGTATTATCGTTTCAGTCCATAGTTATTTTTCTTTGCATTTACTTGTTCCCCTTGGATCTCATCTAGTTTCTGCTAACCCTTCAATACATTAAAGATCCTTTTTGTAACTTTTTCAGCTCTAACACAACAAAGAATCTACAAGTGCTGTCAACTGAGAGGGAGTCAAAGGTGATAACAAAGAATTGAAGCTCCATGGGCAAAATGATGCTGGGAGCACACGTCTCTGTCACTGAGATTTTTAACAGAGAAGAAAAAATGTCCACCTGCTAACCATGGGCTCATCTAGAAATTAATTATCCATCTCAGGTCATGAATGGATAAAGAGTTACCCGCCAAAGACCCCAGAGCCTGTATGGTTTTTGTGGAAGCCTCAATTTTATGTGGTTCAGAAATCTCGAGCTAAAAAGTTGACAAGAAAAATGGCTTAGAACCTGCTAATTCAGTCAGATATGATCTGGGGTTACCAAAAATCACTCCATAGAGAGGTAACCACAGCCAGTGCACACAATGGACTAGAGAGGAAATTTTTCCTAGCAAAGTGAGGAATTTAAGGATACAATATGAGGGAGTCCAATATAGAAAAGAAATTCCAAAGACTCAGGCCCCAAAAAACAGAGAATTCACATCTGAGACACTAGAGATAAGAGAGAAATTGGAAAGGAGCTTTAAACTAGTTAAGTTTAAAATGTCCAATATAATGTTTAGTGACTTACCTAATGTCAGCCAGCTCACAAGTTCAAACCAGACAATCTAAGAGCAGAGTTCACTTTCATAACCATTATGATATGCTTTCCTGACCTCTCACATTGTGCCTGGATGAAAGGAGCGGACTTCTACAATACTAGCCTATGTTACTCTAATTTCGGAGTTTAGAGCTCTCTCCCTTTAGCTAATATTCTTATATTTGACATCATAATATCATTAAAACAACTTACAGCTGTATTGTCAACTGGACAGAAAGATAAATATGGGTTTCCACCAACAGTGGAAAATTCATCTCTCTATGGAACTTACCTATTATGCTGCTCAGGATAGATGGAAATGCCAAAGGAACACACCCTTATCAGTTCATGGAAAAATTACCAGATGGTCTCCTTGTATAAGTAAAACCTGATTACAGTGGGGTGAGAATGAGCAGTCTTCCTGGCTGGATGTGGTTTCTTAATTCACATCACATTTGGATTAGCATGATAAACAATCAATTTTTTGAGCCTAGTTCATTAAACTTGATCAATTATGTGTTTCACTTGTTTTTCTTTATTACATATTTCTAGACTACTACCCTCTTGATGGAACAGTATTGTTCCACAGCTGATCACTAATTTCTCTCTGTTAATTTAAATATAACACTACAATACCATCAGTATATTCTGAGAGCCTTAAATTGAGAATTTTTGACATTTTTGAGGCCATCAATACACTGACACCAAGCAGGAGAAAGGCAGTACAGAAAAAGAAAACTATGGATGAATGCCTCTCATGTACATATATGTAAAAATTCTCAACAAAATATTAGCAAATTTAATCCAACAGTATGCAAACAAGAGAACTGTCTTACAGTTAAGTGGGGTTAATCCTGGAAATGGAAGGCTGGCTCAACATTCAAAATTCAATCAATATCATTCACCATGCTAACAAACGATAGGAGAAAAATCACATGATCATATTAAATGAGGCAGGAAAAGCATTTGAAAAAACTGAAACTCATCTATAATAAACACTCTCAGCAAACTAAGAATAAAAGAGAATTTCCTTAACCTGATAAAGAGTATCTATTTAAAAAACTGTAGCTAACACATGTAATAATGAAGACAACATCTTTTCCCACCAATATAAGGAAAAACACAAAGACGTTTGCTCCCACAACTCCTATTTGGCATAGTACTGAAACCCTAGCCAGTTCAACAAGGTAAGTAAACGAAATAAAAGGCACACTGACTGGAAATGAAGAAATAAAATTATCCTATTCATAGATGTCATGATTGATATAGAAAACCTAAATAATTTTCCAAAAACCTTCTAGAAGTAAGAAATGAGTTTAGCAAATTTGTAAGACATGTCAATATGCAAAAATCAATCCAACATATATTTATATACTAGCAATGAAAATTGGAAACAGACATTTTTCAAAGTTCCATTTATAATGGCCCTAAAAATGAAATACCTAGATATTAATCTAACAAAAATATGCAAAATCCGTTTGGTGGTGTTCAAAGAGAAATCAAAGAATAGCCAAATAGGAGAAATTGAGGAAGAGCTAAATAAGGCTCACTTCTTCTGGAAGGCTCAGTATCGTTTAGATATCAATTTTTTCCAAATTTATCTACAGATTTAACACTTATCCCAATTAAAATCCCGACATAAATACTGTCAAGCTGATTCTAAAATTTGTGTGGAAAGATAAATGACCTAGAAAACATTTTTTTAAAAGAAGAACAAATTTAGAAGATTCACACTACTTGACTTCATGACTTACTCTAAAGCTGTGTCAGTCAAGAAAATATGGTATTAGTGGTACTAAATTATGGTATACAGGTCAACTGATTTTTAGTACAAGTGCAAAGGCAATTTGATACAAAAAGGATAATCTTTCCAACAGATTGTGTTAATACAATCGGACATTCATATGCCAAAAAAATACATACCTTGACCCACACCTCATATCTTATACAAAATTAACTTGAAGTGAATCATAGATCTAAATGTAAAACACAAAATTACAAATATTTTGAAAAAAGAAAACACAAAAGAAATTTTTCATAAATTTGAATTATACAAAATTAACTTGAAGTGAATCATAGACCTAAATGTAAAACATAAAAGTACAAATATTCTGAAAAAAGAAAACACAAAAAATATTTTTCATAAATTCGAATTAGGAAAAAATTCTTAACTATGACAGCAAGAGTATGACCCATAACAGAAAAAAGTTCATCAATTGTTCTTTATCAAAACTAAAATCTTTTTCTCCATAAAAGATGGCTAAGGGAATGAAAAACACAACCTAATGAAAATACCTGATAATCACAAGTCTAATAAAGGGCTTAAATCCTTAATTTAAAATGAACTCTCAAAACCAACAATAAGGAAGCAAATGTCCAGTTAAAAAAAATAATAATGATGAACGAAACTGGGCAACATAGCAAGGCACTGACTCTACAGAAAAAAAAAAAAAAAAAACTAAAAAATTAGCTGGGTGTGGTGGTGTGCACCAGTAATCCCAGCTACTTGGCAGGCTGAGGCAGGAGGATCACTTGAGCCCAGAAGTTAGAGGCTGCTGTGAACTATGATTGTTCACTTCACTCCAATCTGGGTGACAGAGTGAGATCCTGTCTCAAAAAAAAAAGAAAAAGAAAAAGAAAAAAGATTTGAACAGATATTTTACTAAAGAAGATAATCAGATTGCAAATAACACATGAAAAGATATTCAACATGTTAAAACCACAGTGAGATTCCACTATACACCTATTAGAACGGGTAAGAAATAAAAACAAAAACAAAAAGCCATCAATACCAAGCACTGGCAAAAATGCGAAGTAACTAGGACCCTCGTACCCGGCTGGTGGACATGCAAAATGGTCAAGCCACTCTGGAAAACGGTTTGGTAATTTCTTATAGAGTTATATGTACATTTACCTTATGATCTGCAATCCCACTCCTAGGTATTTAGAAGAATGAAAACTTGCATTTATACAAAAAAACTATGTCCAGGGCACGTTAAGAGCAGCATTGTTCCTAATCATCAAAAACTGGCAACAGCCTGAAAGTTCTTCACTGGTGTTTTATTGTACCAGAGTTACCCTGGTACAACAAAATACTTCTCAGCAATAAAAAGAAACAAACTACTGATATACACACACAACAACAACAAGAAGGATGAATGTAAGTGCATTCCTCTAAGTGAAAAAAAATCAGACTCAAGGCCGGGCACGGTGACTCACGCCTGTAAACCCAGCACTTTGGGAGGCCGAGGCGGGTGGATCACGAGGTCAGGAGATCAAGACCATCCTGACCAACATGGTGAAACCCCGTCTCTACTAAAAATACAAAAAATATAGCTGGGCG
The DNA here is from genome assembly GCF_000001405.40 of Homo sapiens. NCBI lineage: Eukaryota > Metazoa > Chordata > Mammalia > Primates > Hominidae > Homo > Homo sapiens. The sequence goes on along the minus strand of NC_000001.11, from coordinate 215,011,761 downwards.
TGGTAGCACGCGCCTGTAGTCCCAGCTACTCGGGAGGCTGAAGCGGGAGAATCACTTGAACCCAGGAGGCAGAGGTTGCAGTGAGCTGAGATGGTGCCACTGCACTCCAGCTTGGGCGACAGAGTGAGACTCCATCTCAAAAAATAAAAATAAAAAAAAATCAGACTCAAGGCCGGGCATGGTGACTCACGCCTGTAATCCCAGCACTCTGGGAGGCTGAGGCAGGTAGATTCTTGAGTCCTGGAGTTTGAGACCAGCCTGGCAACATAGCAAAACCCCATCTCTACTAAAAATATAAAAATTTAGCCGATGTGGTGGCGTGTGCCTGTAGTCCCAGCTACTCAGGAAGCTGAGATGGGAGAATCACCTGAGCCCAGGAGGTCGAGGATGCAGTGAGCCAAGGCAGTGCCACCGCACTCCAGCCTGGACAACCAGTGTGAGACCCTGTCTCAACAAAAAAAGAAATCAGACTCAAAAGATTGTAAACTGTATGATTTCATTTATACTAAAATTCTGGAAAAGGTAAAACTATAAAGACAAAAAACAAATAAGTTGTCCCAGGAGTTTGAGATGGAGGAGGTTTTGACCACAAACGGGAAGCACAAAGGAATATTTTTGGGGTGAAGGACCGTTCTATATCTTGATTGTGGTTGTGGTTACAAGACTCTGTATCAAAACTCATAGAACTATACGCACAAAAAATAGTGAATTTTACTTGATGTAAATTTAAAAGTAACTTAAATATATATTTAATACAATATTATATATAAGTATATTTTATTATTCTATTTATATTATGTAATGTATAATATATATTAGTTAATATAAAGTAACTTAAATATATGTGTTTATATACACACACATACACACACACACACACACACACACACACAAAAAAAAAAAAAAAAAATCTGTGTCCTGTGAGCAGACAATCCTACCCTGAGGGAGTGAGGCTCCTATACCCTTCTCAAAAATAAAACAAACCTTAAAAACATGAAGGAAAAGAAGTGAGAACTCAGGCTCACACTACTCAGAACTCTTGAAAGCCAAGGTATGAAAAGTTGCTGGTTGCTTTTTACACATTGCAGTTCAATTCACCTTGACCTCTTACCTCGGGTTTCAAAAGAACAAAAGCAGCCTAATGGAAACAAAACACTTTGGCGTCATGGTATTTAATGACTTGTAATCGCACCTCTATTAGCTCTGCTGCACTTAGTCTAACCTTAGAGTCTGTTTCTCTCATAGGAGGGAGGAATAATAAGGATAACACAGTCTGAGCTATGCACATGCAGAGCAAGGTCTTCTCTAAGATTCATTCAGTGAAATTCAAAATGCATCGAAGCCCTCTATTCTACGATTTCCTCTTTAAGACTGCATTCTCATGAAATGCCACCAATCAGAAGCATTGTACAGAATGCGTAATGTTAAGCTTTTAAATGAAAAGAAAATTAAAAACTGAACTAAAAGAATATTGCAAATACATAGCTACTCATATAAAAAATTCAGCACTTCTCTTCTAAATAAACTGGTGGTTAACTTGCGAAAAATATCTGGACCTGCTGCTTCATAGTTATATGTTTTTCTCTTGCACCTGGCTGAAACTCTTATTCATACCAAGGAAGACATCTGATTACTAGACTCAAATAAACAGATGTAACTATGCCCCAAGCCTCAAAATCTATTCCTATTAAGAGGTAGTTTATCAGCTTTTGAGGAACTGTGAAGCATTGTTTTAGCTGATGTTGTCACTGTTAATTTGAGACACACACACATAAAATACAGTTGTCCAAGTCCATGTTATCTCAGCAGCCAGAAAAGGTAGCCAAGAGCACATTTGTAATTGACTCCTTTGTAAAATGAAAAATATAAGTGAATAAATATGAATAACTTCATTCTCTTGAAGTGTCTGGGATATACTTATAGTAGAGAAGACAGAGAATTCCAGACACTCAGGTTTTTCTGCACACCTAATTGGGTCTGTACTCAATTATACTATATCTTTTTTTTGTGCCAGATTGGTTGGGCCTCTGTGGATGACACAATACAAAGTAAGAGTTAATTAGTTCTCAAGTTTAAGACCACTATTAAAGCATTAGAGAAGCAGGTGAATCATATATTTCTGGATAAAAATCAGAGATGGCCATAAGACTATTAAACAAATTATACTAGATGCAAAGTCTCATTACTCCATAACCATTTTCATTGGACAACTCTGCTTAATTTCTGGGTTTATTATTCACATTATGCAGCAAATGAAGTAAACATAGCTTCTCTCTCCACTTCAAAGTGAGATAAAATGAAATGATATATATATGTAAATGGTTTTGTAAAGAAAATGGCACTATATCTATGCAAGATATTATTTTCTTTAATAGCTGCTGCTGACACTCTCACAAATACAGTAATTTTCCAGATAGCAAATCTAACAGCTAGATTGTCATTTCATATCTGTGATGTGTAAACATTGCTTAAGCCAGTTTAAGTAGTAGTATAAAAATGGTGGTTCTGCCCAAGTGCTTTGCATATGTGTTTGGAACAAATTGACACAATAAACTAAATCATCAAAATACACTCCCCACCTAATACTGATTTTTGCAGACACCATAGAAAGCTACTATAGGATACATTTTAAAGATGAACAGTTTCAGCCCTTAAACTTTCAAAAAAAAATCATTTCTTCTGAGAATGACTTTGTTGGCTACAGTGGCTTTTCTAAGATGATTAGACATGGTTATATACCAAAGATGAAAGGGAAAATCAATTAGCAATGGCCAATCTGGTGTTTCCACCGTCTTAATCATCAAGGACTATAGAATGACAAATCAAATTGATTTAGATCACCTACACATCTAAAGCATCTAAAGCAAACAGAACACATTACTTTCTTTAAAAAAAAAGCATGCATTCTGATTCCCTTACTCATTTTTTTACTGCACATGTAGATTTGCTTTACAATTTTCTATTAGAAATCTATTAGGTGGAGAATAGATATTTCTATTGAGTTGCAACTTTGAATAGCATTGAGCACAGTGGAGGAATTTAGGTTACTTTAAACAGCTAGAATTTCTAGGACCTCAAAGTTAGAAAGGTCTCTAAAGCCCATGTCGTTTAACCATCTTATCGCATGCTTACTATCTACCAAAAAGTTGACATTAATTATCTCATTTAATCTTCACAAAAAGTACAGGAGGGAAGAACTATTAATCCTGTTTTATATATGGGGAACCACAGTCTTGGTAGTTAGGTAATTTGCCCAAAGTCACTCTGTTTATAAGTAGGGGGTCTGGAATTCCATCACTAATTTGACTGACTGAAAATACTTGTTTTTTCCTCCTTGCTGAGCCTCATCATCTACATTTCACTAGTGGCAGGGAACTCATTCCTCCTGGTGCAACAAATTTTTAGATGGCTCTGGCTATAGAAATTTTGATGTCAAACAAGTAACCAGAAAAAAATATAGCATGCCATAAAAACTAAAGTTATCATTTGTCATCAATAACTACATCCTGATCCTGCTTGTGGGAGGATCTAAACCTACAGGTTTCCTTTTGAAGATAATCCTCAAAATCATAATCATTCTACCATACCTTACTTGGCTTTCAAATTATAATCAGATGGCTTCCTTTTCCTTAAAAAAAAAAAAAAAGACTTAGGACTTCTGTAATATTGTGTCATTTCTTGGTCAAGGTCCCAGAATTTTGCATAATAAATCCAGATGCTTTTAGCCTGAAAAAGTGTTCATGCAGGTTATCAACCAACTTCCTAATTCTTAAAAGAACTTCCAAGCTATTCCTGTAGAATGCCTTGTTTTAATTAGAATTGCTTCTGAAAGATTTGCAATTTGCCTGGATTAATTTACTGTAATAGACTGAACAGAACTGTTGATGGGATAATTTAAATTTATCTATTGTTTTATATGATGTTATATACATTTATATAATATAAGCTTATCCAACGTTAAGCTTATATCCAATGCTATAGATGATTATACAAAAGTAGTTTACCTTAATGATAACCGTTGCTTAGTTGAAGTTGAGGTCAGTTTCTACCCAAAGGATTTCACCACTACTTCTAATCAGATGCAATCAAATCACATATACAGCATTTTTGTTTCCTACTTGTGGCAGCAGAAGGACATGTGTTCAGTTTAGCACATGTCTATACTAAGTGATATGAGAAGAAATTAGAGCACTAGAACAGTGTTAGCTGGCACAAGATAAGATGGAGATGGCATCTGTAGCTTGACCTAACCTCTCCAGCTCTCTCCATACCTCTTGTTTCTCTTCTGCCACTCTAGAAATTTGACTCCAAGAGCTACTCAATTTAACTCCAAGAGCCTTTTGATCTTCACCTTCACCTCTGAGTTTATTTTCATGCCCCTTAAACCTAAAAAGTAGTCTTCATCCCATGAGGACTTGGCCAGTGTCTTGTCCAACCCATCAACCCTCAGCAAAGGGGGCTCCAGAAGTGCTGATCCCAAGTCCCAATGCCACAAAACAGAACCTGGACATTACATACTAATTGGAAATGAGCCTATATATATATATATATATATATATATATATATATATATATACCCACACACATACATATATATATACATACATATATATATACACATATATATACACATATATATACATATATACACACATATATATACATATATATATACACACATATATATATACACACACACACATATATATATACACACACACACATATATATATATATATATATATATATATATATATATATATAGTGAATTGGTCCCCAAACTTAGTGATACCCTTCCAATGTGGAACAAACTCTTCTGTATTTCAAGAGAAAAACAACCAAGAATAGCAATTAGCCAGAAATTTGATTTTTGAGGAAATTCCTTATGGAAAAAAAGTGACACAATGTAATGCCATTATTATATAGTTCTTGTTAAATAGAATTCAATCACACTGAAAGATACATTCATAAAATTAAACCCTGCTGTAAAATGATTACTATACAAACAGGAAACGTGTCCTATTACCCAACACCAGCATTTATTCAGCATTCAAAAAATATTTATTTAGTACATACTATATGACAGGCACTAAAGATGGACTTTGCTACATTTAATATGTACATAGGATTATACTTTTGATGAGTTTTATTCACATTTCTAAGACCACAACAGTATTCTTGTGAAGTGAGAAGTCTCACATAGAGACATCTAAATAATTTCAAATAAAACTACTTGCTAAATAAACTATGGAAATGTAAAAAGAACTTAGGTCTTAGTTCTCAAGATTTAGTTTAAACTATCGTACCTTTTCTTCCCCATTTCCAAGATTCTAAGCCACCTTTTTCCCAATATACACATAAGATTCCCTCAGGAAATAACTAATATTCTAAGTAAACTACAAATAATATGTGTAAATCTGTATATGAACAAATTGATGACAGGACTAACCACAGCATGAAACCAAAGTAAACATAAATTACCAGAATCTAAATGCAATGGAATTTATAGATACACATGTTGATCAATTTTTACATTGCCAGAAGTAACACATCGCAAATAAAAGCCTGATGTAACATGCCTGTTGTATAAAACATGACCGAATTAACGTGCAATTTATTTCAGTGTTGCAAGGTCATGGAAAAAATTCCAGCAACTAACCCTCTGTTGGAACCACCCAATGAGTTTAATTATAGACTTTCATATAATGAAGACTCCTTACATCAAATACTTGCTTGGAAATCTACTCAGCCTACTCTAGAAAATTTGAAAACAAATAAGGTACTTGATTATTGCAAAGATACTCACAGTAGAAATCCCTTTTTGCTCGTGGGTTCATCATTTGGTGATGTTTTCATCAGGAGTCATCATGCTTTTGATCTTTAATGCCGTTCTTCCTCCAAGGTTTCTTGTCCGTAATTTCCAAAACAGAGTCACTTGTACTAACAAGCCATCGTCCCATACTGTTTCCTTTTTGTGTGTGAATGTTACCCTGTAGATCAGTTTCCTGTACAAAAACACTCAAAACGAACAAACGCTGCTGTATGCAAGTGAAATGTGCTACTCAAATCCTCTGTTTTTACAGTCTGGTTCAGGAAGAAATTCCCTGATTAAAATGAGGAACTATATCCCAGTTGTTCCAGAGAATTTAAAAGACAGAAGTTTCTTCCTTATGAATGAGCATATCAAAGTTGCCAGCGTCACTTATTCTCACAAGTTTGTGGCTCAAGCATTTACACACGAAGCATCCACGCACTGTGTGAAGGCTAAAGACCCTCCCAACTGCCACAGTAACAATATCCCAACTATATTTTCAAATCAGGCTTAGTATGCTTTGAAGTACATAATGTTTTCCATTCCCAAAAGGACAAAGAGATCTGCATTGTCAAAAGTTTATTTTTAAGCTCATGTGCTTGCTAAGTGCAGTGGCAAACCGGCTTGGCTTTCCGTGCCTGTAGAACCATTGCTGGAACCTATTAATGCAAACAGATGAATCGTTGGCTGCGTTCCATATAGGCTTTTATTTTTTATCTTACCTTATCTAAATTGCATCGATAATAATTTCTTAAATCAGAAATGTTATCAGATTTCTGAGCATGCTTGTTTTATGATTGTAGAAGCCATGTAAAAAAGTCAAATAAGAGGAAAGTTTTAAATAGTTTTTGCTGAGATAAGAAAGTTAGTAATTAGAGGTAGATGCTGCCTCTGGAAGAAGTTTAAGGGACATTTGGAGACAGTAAAAATGACAACAAATCTTAAGGAGTGAAAAATGAATAAAAGAGAAGAGAAGAGAAAAGGAGAGACAGCAAAAGTGAGAGCAACAGAGAGAGAGAGAGGCCTTGACTATTAGCAATAATTTTTCACATATTTCCTTATTGTTGCTCTGGTTTGTATAACCCCCTACCAGTCTGCTGAACCCACCAAATTTAGCCCACATGTCATCTAATATCAGGCTAAGACTTGTGGAAACACATTATTGCTCTATTAAAGCCATAACAAAATACAGCTGAACATTAGGTAGTGGGGTAGTCCTGAAGTAACACAATCTGTATGATGGAATTTCTAGCCCCAATTTTAAACATCTGGTTTTGATATGGTAATAAATGTGATAATGTACATTAAATACCAGTGTTCAAGTAACATAATCCTTCCATCTGACTGAAATAATGAATACTTTTCAGATCATATGAGAAACAGACACTTATTTTTGTGCACATGCAAAAAATGGCCCTCCCATGGGCACACACTCATGTGCGCGCACACACACACACACACACACACAGCAATAGCACATAAACTGTCAGCTGTTTTTTTCCAGTAATAAGTTTTTACTAGGCCCTTCCTATGCCCTCTTTTCTGGATATCCCTTTACTCAATTGCACTAATCTGTAGGAAATTTGGCTGAGATTGAGAGGAATGGAAAGAGAATTGAAAAATAATAATATGATGTGGACCAGACAGAGATGTGAACCCCTGACCTTTGCCTCATCAGTACTATCTCACACTATAATCTGAAGTACTCAGTCACTGGCAACCTGAAAAAGAAACTAAATCAAATTATCCTTCTCCTGTTATAACTTCATGGGAGTTTCTGTATTGTAAATCCAAATATTACCATAATATAAGACATCAAGTAATGCAGCGCTATAAATGGTGCTAGAGTCCGGAAGTTAAGATCGCTTTAAATTAGCACCTTAGAATTGGGCCAACTGATGGAAAAGTACTATTCCATGAGCATTTGTTGACCTTTTATATTTGTACATGAGAAGGCTGACAGAGGGACTTGAAGGACAGAGAAAGTGTGTGGAAGCTGCTGAGACAACAGTCATGTCGGGAATGACAAATGGTAGATTAGTATTTGGTTGAGAGATAAGGATGAGGCTAATGTTGATTGAGGGCTCCTGTGTTACAAAAAGGGAAAAGGTTTTGTAGTGGTGTATTGCACAATCCATCTCTATTTATCAAACATCTACTATGCCCCAGGCACTGTGTTAAGAATGCAACGTTGTGTGTTAAATGCAATAATATAAATATGTGCAAAGTAGGGAAATAGCAAAGATGAGGGAGGAGTTAATTACATTTGGCAAGATTAAGGGTGAGTTTTAGCTGGACTTGGGAGAGAAACTGGAATTTTACAAGCAGAGGACAGGTGATAGAACATTACAGGTCGCGGAGTTAGCGTATGCAATAGTGAGATGAGTGAAATGGCAAAATTATTCTCAAAAACACAAATAATGTGCATTACTGGATTCTAAAATTCCAAAGCGGGACAGGTGCAGTGGCTCAAGCTTATCATCCCAGCACTTTGGGAGGCTGAGTTCGGTGGATCACCTGAGATCAGGAGTTCGAGACCAGCCTGGCCAATGTGGTAAAACCCTGTCTCTACTAAAAATACAAAAAATTAGCCAGGTATGGTGGTACGGGCCTGTAATCCCAGCTACACGGGGGGCTGAGGCAGAAGAATTTCTTGAACCCAGGAGGCGAAGGTTGCAGTGAGCTGAGATTGTGCCATTGCACTCCAGCCTGGGCGACAGGAGCAAAACTCCTTCTCAAAAAAACAAAACAAAACCAAAACAAAAATAAACAAACAAAAAAACAATAAAATTGCAGAGGACTTCTGGAAATGACAGGATAATTCAGGTTAGTCCCTGTTACTCATGTGATCTATCTAAAGGGAAAAACTAAGTCTTGTATACCTTGATCTCACCTCTATTTCTGGTACATAATGAGTTGACTGATAAACAAATTGCATTGTCACTGTGACCCCCAGCAAGGTGGGGATGAATACATCTTGCTCCAACGGTATTCTGTTCTTTCTCCCAGCAAGGAGTCTTGTTCCAAGTATGTTTGAACCTCAAGAATATTGAAAATTTATTCACTCCCTTGTTTCTTCCTGATGTTCAAAGCTTCATGAGTCAGGTAAATGGTATTTGAAAAAACTGGCACAAAATAAAAACCCCAAGTGCTTTTTCTTCATTTGAGCCAAACCCAAACCTTTTCAAAGGCGTGAAAACATGCAGCCACATTGGTTTGGTTTTCCTTTCCTGGGCTGCTCTCCTTCCTGGTGCTGGCCAGCACCACACAGAAGTCTTGTGACATGAGCCATTTCCACGGAATTTTAAATTCTGCCAAAAACAAGAGGGATTGGAAATTTCGTGAGAATGGTTATTCTTAGGAGATTTCCATCCCAGATTCCTAACTCGTGTGGCTCAGATAAGCATCTAGAATGTACTGCCAAACCTTCTGAGGTCCCCCAATGCACTTATTTCCATTTGCATTTCTACATAAAGACCTCGAAGTAACAGGACATTCAATGGTTTGTTGGAAATATTTTCTATATGCCAGCCCACAATCCTTCTACCTTTGTGGAAATGGGTTTGGAATGCCACTTACAACACAAACATTGGGTTTGAATGTCCCCAGAATATGTTCAGTTTTTAGATGAGACATGTTTACATTCTCCAGAATCTAAACAACCTACCCCAAAGCAACCCTTCAATTATTTTCTGTTCTTTTTCTTCTGGGTGACTTCAAAATATAATGAGAATTATTTTTGGCATATTGCTAAGTGTGTAACTGCACAAGCTCTTCCAATAGGCTCATTTCTCATGAGAAAATTATGTCATAAATATAACCAAAATCTCACTAATTGGGACACTGTATCAGATATTGCTATGAAACACACCTACTACAAAATGGAATGGCTTAGAACAGTAGGCATTTATTGTTGTTCGCTATTCTACAGGTCAACATGACAATTCTGATCTCATCTGGGCTCATTCGGGCAGTGAGTTGCAGGTTGTGTAGGTGATTGCTGATCTTGGCCAAACTCATTAACATGAAACTGAGCTGACTGCAGGCTGATATAAGGTGGCCTCACTAGTACAGGTCTTTCATTTTCCTTGCACAGGCAAGCCCAAGCATGTTCTTAACCTAAGTATGATTTCAAGGCAACCAGAGCCAAGAGGGGAAGTGAAAATGTATGAGCACATTTTAAAGCCTGCGTTTAGGTCAATTTGTTCAGGTCATATTGGCCAAAGCAAGATACAAGGTCAAACTCAGAGTCAGTGTGGGAAGGTACTCACTACCAAGGGATGTGGGCATATATGGAGGCATGGAAAGTTGGAGCTATTCATGCAACCAATTAACCATAGGCACGTTGATGGTAGGAAGCGAGTCATATTCAGTCAGTTGGATGGACCCAGGACAGTATCAAATGCCTCAACATGTGAAACTAGAGTTAGCTTTCAGTACCAGGGCAGAAAAGAGAAACCAAACCCCAAGTTGGAGTGGGTGGGATGTGTCCCAAGAAAGCACAGACAAAACACCAATCTATGACACCTGTGTCAGAAGCTGAGTTAGAGATATGGCCAGACACCACAATGAAGAACATATAATTAGAGCCAAATAAAACCACTCAGAATGGTGGAACCAAAGTTGACAAACACTAACAAGCAGTTAAAAGATGACACTTCTCTGGGATAATTTTAAGAAGGATGGTTGTTTGGGTAGGAGAGCAGTCGCAACATCAATTGCCTACAGGAGACAAGAATGATTGAATGGATTTGATTCAATATAAAAGAGTGGTGAGAATAAGGTCACTGGAGAGCACTGTATTACAGGCACTCCTACTACTCAACTCCAGCCAGTGGTTTCCCTGAAGGACTGAGTGCATAGAATGGCCAGCTCTTAAATTTTTTTAAAGAAGCCTGAAATTTTATGTAATATTTCCTGATTTTTAAAACACTTTGAAAAACACCTGTAGGCATGATTTACCCCATAGGCCACCAGTCTGGAACTCCAGACTGTAGAGGTTTCATTTCCATGGGGCAACCTCTATCTACCTTAAACTGGCTGTCCAAATTCCTGTACTAGGACTGACATCAATAAATAAAAACAGTGATCGCAGCATTCTTGAGTACCAAACACACAATTAAAGACTTCTAAAAGTACTTTTATCTCCCCAAACCTTTTGCATTTCAAGAGTTTGCATTCTTCCATTCTCTATATGAAACTTGGTTGGGTACTTCCAGAACTCCACCCCAAACCTAATTGCCCTTTATTTTTAAAATCAACTTACTTTTGACATTTGCTCACATATTAAATTTCTGTTTATAACTATTTTGGTCTAACAATTGTATTTTGATCTCTTACAGTTTTAATTTCCAGAATGCAAACTTTTTCCTACATAGATCTCTTCCTATAGCATCTGGAAAATATATTTATAATTAAGTATTCACAACTCTTGGTCTTGTATACCAAAAGTCTGTTATCTATATTGCAGTTTTCTGAATTTTAAGTTTATTGATTCAGCTTCTCCACTTGCGTGGTTGGTTCCTTGGTTCTTTTTGTTTATTCTCTAGGCAACCTAGAGGGAAGCTCTTTGAAATCCAAAGATCTATTTCTTCTGCTCTGGGAAGAAATCTCATCCTAGGCATTTTATTCTTGGCATTTTGGGGAAGACCATCCTGTCTATTTCCAGGAAACCATTATTTTACTGCAAGTGGTTAACCCAAGGGCAAAAATAGGGAGGTAAAGATAGCTTTCGTTAGCTTCCTAAACCAGGTCTTCTAAATACATCTTTATTATTCTGTATTTAGGCTTTTACTTGGATCTCAATAATAACAAACACAAATTCCAAAGCTTGATATATTTTGTATTCTATACAAGCTTATATACAGCTCTGTCTTCACCATTAACGCAGATATTTGAAAATATATATTATGTTGTTACTATAGTTATTGCTGTGTCTAGATACATACACTTGTGTTGTGTCAAACACACCTTATGGCCTTACATATTCTCTTGACCTCACCTACTTCTCAGACCCTCAGCAACTTCCTCCATCTCAGCCACTGACCTGACACCTACCTTTGAGACTGCTGCATGGTTTTATACCTGAGGCCAAACAAGTAACATTTCTGGAGTCCCTGGTTCCTCCAATCACTTCCAAACTTAGATTCCAGAAATACACACCACATGGAGTAGGATCTGGCTTCCCCAAAGCTGCCAAAGGACAAACTAATGCAACTTCTTAAGTGTTGGGGAGACAACTTCCAGGGGGCAAACTTTCACCCACAACAAGCAGAAGACGGAATAGAGATGGCATACAAGTGTCATCTCACTTCTTCCCCAGATGGCTGTTTAGATGCAGTTTTGCCACACCATTTGTACAAACAATGCCACACAGGCCAAGCAGGGATGCAGCTGACGATGGCAGGACTGTGTCTCTTTGTGGATCTTTGTGAAGCCATGGTCAGCATGGTAACACACTGTCTTGTATTTGCCTCCCACTTTTCTCTGCCTCATTTTCCTTTCCCTTACTCTAGTCATCTTGGGATTCTTTTCCCAATAAAGCATTAGCATTTAACTCTTGTCTCAAGCTCAATTTTCAAAGGAGTCCAGGTAAGACATCTGTGTGTATATATGTATGTATATAATTCTATACATATGGTTAGACATAAGTACTTTTATATAAAGAGAGAGATGTATTTATATGTAATTATATAGTGATATATATACATGATGTCTTATATGTATAATCATTTATTTCCCTTTGCTATAGTATACAAAATTTATACCATGTAAAATTGTTAAGTACTGTATGGAGATGTTATGAAGTAAGATATTAAAATGAAAAATTTATGAACCACAGAAGCTCCAGAGTTTTGGGGGGTTTTTTTGTTTTTTTGTTTTGTTTGTTTTTTTGACGGAGTCTTGCTCTGTTGCTCAGGCCAGAGCACAGTGGCGTGATCTTGGCTCACTGCAACCTCCGCCTCCAGGGTTCAAGCGATTCTCCTGCCTCAGCCTCCTGAGTAGCTGGGACTACAGGTGCGTGCCACCATGCCTGGCTAATTTTTGTATTTTTAGTAGAGATAGGGTTTCACTATGTTGGTCAGGCTGGTCTGGACCTCCTGACCTCAAGTGGTCTGCCCACCTCGGCTTTCCAAAGTACTGGGCTTACAGGCATGAGCCACCATGCTCAGCCAGTGATTTGATTTTCATCGTTCTTATTTCTGATTTCTAAAGAAGGGCATACACATTAGTTTGCCGGCTGGCAGTTCAGTATTATTGATCCAAATCAGGATCATTTACTTAAATTTTATGCCCATTTATGGTTCATTTTTAGGAATTAGACCATTTGTACTTGGTTGTTCCCTATCTGTGGTTTAAGAATAACTTAATATTCATTCATAAACTACAGTAGAGTCAACACACTTCAAAACAATTAGGCCTGTAATCCCAGCTACTCGGGAGGCTGAGGCAGGAAAATCGCATGAACCCGGAAGGTGGAGGTTGCAGTGAGTCAAGATCACGCCATTGCACTCCAGCCTGGGAAACAAGAGTGAAACTCCATCCCCCACAAAAAACAAAAACAAAACAGTTAGGAGTGAACCATGATCTACACAGCCTTGAGATATATTCCATCATCTAATTTCAATCATAACATTGTAACACTTACCAACCAGAGGAATTAGAAAAGCTACCAAGACAACCTTTTTGATGAGGAGTCTTTTTAGAATTGTTGATCCTAGGCTGTCAGCCTGAGCGTGCCTCAAAGCGTAAAATCAAGGCAGAGGCAAAGCCACCTCTGAGGTAAAGGGAGAAGAAATTGGGTCTCTGGCCCTCTGAGGGCAGAAGCATCACTGGGAAGATGGCACCCTGAGTGTCCTAACAATTAGTCCTTCCAGGGGCTGGAGGCTTCTGAGCCCAGTGTGCCCCTTTTTTTCTGGACTTGATCTAGGGCAGCCCAATGAAAGAAGAGAACCTATGACATAGAGAGAGAGAGTCCAGGGGGAAAAGGGGAAGAGATAGCGTCTGTGACTAGATCAGGGCCTGGCGCATAATAGGCATGTCATGAAGGTTGTATTGAATGGATTACCTAATCTTAGGTCTATGTGGGCAACTTCCACATGCCGTTGAGCAAGTCACTTGTCACTTCCTCACTTTGAGCCTTAGTTTCTCCATCTGTACAGTGAGGATAATAATAATTCTTACTCAGGATAATTTCAAGGATGAAATGCAATAATAATATGACATCAGCTTGTGAATTCCAAAGGACTTAACAAATTCAGAGGTCAAAAGATAGAAAGCTGCATCCAGGTTGCTTTCTTCCAAATAATGCACAGGTTTTATTATTTGTCATACTTTGGCTTTCTCCCCAAAGCAAATCCTGAGATAAGGACTTGTCTGTAGATAGTCAATTTGAGGAGTAATTCCAAGGAGCAGGAGAGAAGGAATGGAAAGAATAATGAAAAAGGGAAAACCTAATTTTTTAGTAAGTCACTGCTATGGGTAATGAACACTTGGTCTTGCTGGAGGCCTTATGAAAAGCTTATTATTGCCTTTTAGAATTGTTCACCTGAGGATCAGCTTGGGAATTTATTCATCTGCTCCCACATTCCCTAAGGGATGCCCCGAGGTGTTCATCTGCTCACTTCTAGGTACAAACAAATTTGACAAGTGAGTGGTCCTCTACCTGTAAAAAGAAATGTACACATAAGAGAAAATACTATTGTCATTAGGTGTGTTGAAGTCCACATTGAAGTGAAGCTGAGAGGATGTGAATACAAGCATCAGAGAGACCAGATACCATTTCATTAGTTAAAAACCAGGGTCGATTTTCTCTTTAGCACTCTTCTACTTAATATAGCATTTTATTTATTTATTTATTTACTTATTTATTTGTTATTTATTTATTTATTTTTATTTGTTTGAGATGGGGTTTCACTCTTGTTGCCCAGGCTGGAGTGCAATGGTGCATTACTGGCTCACTGCAACCTCCGCCTCCCAGGTTCAAGCAATTCTCCTGCCTCAGCCTCCCAAGTAGCTGGGATTACAGGCATGGAGCACCACTCCCGGCTAATTTTTTTGTATTTAATAGAGATGGAGTTTCACCATGTTGGTCAGGCTGGTCTCGAACTCCTGACCTCAGGTGATCCACCCGCCTCTGCCTGCTAAAGTGCTGAGATTACAGGCGTGAGCCACCACGCCCGACTATATAATTTGAATTACAGTATAATTCAGACATTTTTCTGGACCCACTTCCCCACAGAAATTTTATTGAACTTTACCTCAAATCCAGTGCTATACTTTTGTGAAAGCCCGAAGACGCACAGCATTGATTTGTGGGATTTAGTAGCTCTAATGCCTAAAGGATCATAAGAGCGACACATCTCACATTGCTTCACCATCTGTCATCTTGGCCACTCCACTCCAGACATTGCCTCTCCTTATCCTACATCTTCAGTGCTGTGAAGAAATGTGGCCCATTTTCTCTCTCATCTATATGTAGGCTTTGAGAGCTTAGTTTTTCCTAATGAAATTGTATTTTTACCTATAGGAAATTCAGTTCTCATATATGCTACTAAAACATTTTTTCTCCCTATTATGAAATAAGAACATAAATTTTGTTCTATGAAATTTAGTAAAACTATTTTTGAGTCAAAAAATATGATCATAAACACTTTATTTTTCCTAAATTATCCCTTGCACAAAATATAACACCCATGGTAGACTAGCTCAATTTCCCCTTTTATTAATAGATGCTTTCTTAGCTCAAAGCATTTTCCCCCTTTGAAGTTATTACATTTATAACTTTCCTTTCAAATGATGTTTGATTAATGTATGTCCTTCATCACTAAATTCTAAACTCTAGCTTGGTCCTAGTTGTCACTGAATTATCAGCACCTGGTCATAGCCTGGTACCAAAGTAGACGATCAATATACATTTATTTGTTCAGCAAATGGATGAATGAAATTATATCTGAGAACTTATTAATTTCATCTTACATAAATGTGAGAAAAAAATTATAGAGGGAAGAAAAACCCCACAAAACTCCAAGTCCCAGAAAAGAGAAACATCTTGCCCAAGGCCACACAACTAATTTATAGCAGAGCGATTTTAGCAAGTTTGCCTCAGCCGTCTTACAGCCTGTAACTTAGGACTGCAATCTAGTTTGATATTGCCTAACAGAACCGCTATTATAAATCTCCTGCTTTTTCTTAGAGCCATACGCTTAGTTGAAGAAATATCAAAGGAACCTGGTCTCAGCATTCCCTGAATCTTATTTTCCTGTTGAGAGATACTAAGTAAGTTTACAGCTTACATTGAAAAATGGCACTTTGGGCCTATGTTCCTCTTTTGAAATCATTGCTTTAAAATGCGTCTATTTCCACAGGAGCTTTCAGTGACTATGGACGAGAATCATTCCCTGCATCTAGCAAAAATCAACAAATCTGATTCTCACTTCCCAAGAACACATGACAAAAAATTCGTGCTGGTGTGTAAGCACCCACAGAGTCTTGTAAAAACCACTAAGCAGAGTGTCAATCCCCTTGGGCTCCCAAAGGGTCCCAGAAATTCATGTAAAACTAAAAGAGGAGTAAAGAAAATCTGACTTTATTTTAACACATCTTAAAATAAGTTAGATTAAAATACAAACTTGCACTTGGAGACCAAGGTTGGATACATTTTTTTTATTTTCTTGTTATTATTATTTTACTTTTCTATTTTCTTATTTTTTTCTAGTGCAAATACATAGGTGGAACTGCCAGTGTGAATAGTTTTGGCACCCAGGAGGGTGAGCCTGTGGCTTCAGGGTCCAAGTTGAATATACATCTGCAGGCAAGGTTTGGGAAGGATCAGGAAAGGGGAATCAAAAGCTTTTGCTGAAGGCCTGGAATTCAAATTGATGTGACTACTCAAGTATTTTGCCACTTGTTTCAAAATATAGACTTCAAACAGGAAAGTCCTCCCACATTTGTTTATCCTTAATGTGTTTCTGTAAGACTTATATCTGTCATCTGTTATATCTGTTATCACCCAACATTCAAGAAATGCAATAAAACTATTTCACACACAGCAAGGGAGGCCATGCTCTGATAAGGGTATAGAGATTATATTAGATTAAATACGTTAATGTTACTTCCTAAAAACTTGCTTACACATTTTGAATGGTAATTATTCTATAGTATAATAAACCTCAACAGAACCCCTGTAGCATAAATTCCAAATTAGTGTGGCTAAAGTCAATGGCATTTGCTATGAATAGACTGGTAAATAATCTCTAGCAAGTGATCTCCACCTGTGATCTCACCATTTATATGCAAAACCATTTAGAGCATAGTGAGGTGCTTGAATTCTCCTAAGGATGCCATAAATAATTTCTCACTGGGAAAGATGGCTTAAGGCAGCGGTCCCCAACTCTTTTGGCACCAGGGACTGGTTTTATGGAAGACTGTTTTTTCCACTGACCGTTTGAGGAGGGGATGGTTTTGGATTGATTCAAGCACATTATATTTATTGCGTACGTTATTTCTATTATTATTACATTGTAATATACAATGAAAGAATTATACAACTCACCATAATGTAGAATCAGTTGGAGCCCTGAGCCTATTTTCCTGCAACTAAGCGGTCCCATCTGGGGGTGATGGGAGACAGTGACAAATCATCAGGCATTAGATTCTTATAAGGAGTGTGCAACCTAGAACCCTCACATGCACAGTTTACAATAAGGCTCACACTCTTAGGAGAATCTAATGCCACAGCTGATCTGACAGGAGGCAGAGCTCAGGCGGTAATACGAGTGATGGGAAGCAGCTGTAAATATAGATATAGATCAAGTATATATAGATATGAACATAGTAATATAGATACAGTAAATATAGACATAGATGTAGTAAATATTGATGAAGTTCATTCATCCACTGCTCACCTTCTGCTGTGTGGCCCAGTTCTTAACAGGGCATGGACCAATATTGGTCCATGGTCCAGGGTGTTGAGAACCCCTGGTTTAAAGTTTATAATGAAAAAAAAATCAGAGCAACCTCTGTCTGCTACTACAGAGGATAGGATAATTTCTCTTCCCTTCATTTTTTTCTTTTTCTATACTATACCTTGGCTCTTGAAGCCAATGGTACCTAAAAAGCAAAACAAAGCAAAACAACTATAATGGCCCTGCTTTGTAATTTCTTCCATATGTTTGACATGCTTCATAAAATAATTCCACATTAGTTTCTCCAGCCTAGTGTTTGGATCATGACATCTGCTTTTTCCTGTGTTTTCATGATTCATTATGGTGTCTGTACAAACTTGCTGTATAATGTTAAAAGGAATTTGCTTAGATTCCCTTTTCCTGGAATGTTTCCTGGTATCTTGCAGACCCATCAGGTTTCCTGTCCATGGAAGACCTGACAATGCTACTATCAAGCCTAGCTCTGCCACTTACTAGTGTATGAACTCACACAAGTTGTTTTGTCTCTCTAGACCTCAGTTTCTGTATCTGTAAAATGGGGATGCTAATTATAATAACTATTTATAGGGTTTGGGGAGGGCTTACATAAGTTGTCATATGTGTATGACACTTTGATCAGTGCCTGAGCCATAGTCAGTGTCGGTTGTTCTAGTTATTAAAGCCAAAGCACAAGAGATATCCTCTTACCCTACCACACCTTTGCTGGGTTTATTTATTCATTCAACAAATGATTATCAGGTGCCAATGGATACAATCAACACCAAACAGAGTCATATTGGAATTTGAGGTGAAGGAAATTGGTGATACTGATCCAATTTTACTCAAAATTTGGGTATGATGTTATCGCAGATTTTTGCATTAATTTTGACTTTTTAAAAATCTTTCATTAAAATATATAATCTATCTTGATTATGGAGTCCTTTGGCCTTGTTCTTCTACCCACCGCCAATCCCAAATTTATTTTTATGCCCAAAACAAATACTTTGCTTCCCTCACTTAGTCCTTGCCCTAGACAGTTGTAAGCAAAACAGACCCAGATGCAGTCCTCATGTTGCTAAGAAACAAGAGGGAGGCATAGGCTTTAACAAAGTTATCACAAAAACACGTAAATTCTTTGTTAAAAGTACAAGAATTTTAAATTATTCCTTAGACCTGTGGATGAGTGGAAATACTTTTTTTGAAATGAAGAGCTCACGTTTTTCATTTTTGTTTTCCAATAAATACGCATGAAGTCCCTAGCATGTGCCAGGCACTGCTGTAGATGCTGGGATACAGCAAAAGTGGCACGATTTCCACCTTGCTCAAGTTTATATTCTAGTAAGGAAGAGAGACAATGAGCAACACAAGTAGATAAAATGAACCGAATGTTGTATAGTGCTGAGTTGTAAGGCAAGAAGAAAATAAATGAAAGGCAATAGGCCGGGCACGGTGGTTCACATCTTTAATCCCAGCACGTTGGTAGGCTAGGGCAGGCAGATCACTTGAGACCAGGAGTTCGAAACCAGTGTGGCCAACATAGTGAAACCCTGTCTGTACTAAAAATGCAAAAATTAGACAGGCGTGGTGGTGGGCGCCTGTAATTTCAGCTACTTCAGAGGCTGAGGCAGGAGAATCCCTTGAGCCTGGGAGGGTGGAGGTGGCAGTGAGCCAAGATTGCACCACTGCACTCCAGCCTGGGTGACAGAGTAACTCGGTCTCAAAAAAAAAGAAAAAAGAAAAGAAATGAAAGGGAGAGTGAAACTGCAGCGGAGAGAATTATAATGTACGATAACATGCCATCAGAATTGTGATCTTTGAGTAATGACTTCAGGGACATGAGGAAGGAAGCAATGTGAATACCTGGAGGAAAACACTCCAGGCGAAGAGAGCAGCAAGTGTAGGGAAAACCACCTGGAGTGGAATTATATGTCTGGAGTGTTTAAGCAAATGGCAAAGAGGTTAGTGTGGCAAGAACAGTGTGAGTAGGAATTTAGATCCAAAAGATAATCGTGGGCTCATCATGGAAGAGTTTTTAAATCATTATAAGGGCTTTGTTTTGTATTCTGAGCTAGAGACGACATCGCTGAAAGGATTTGAGTCGAAGAGTGATAAGATTTAACTAAGGTTTGGCAGGATCAATCTGGTGCTGTTTATTCTCAAATTAACTCCATGGGACAAGAGAAGAGGCAAAACCAGTTAGGAGGCTCCTACATGATCCAGGCAACATTAATGATGGCGTGGAGCAGAGTAATGGCAGTGGAGAAGATGTTAAGTGGTCAAATTCTGGATGCATTTTGACGTAGAGCCAACAGAGTTTGCTGTCAGCTTGGACGTGGTGTGAAAGAGAAAAAAAAGCCAAGGGTAACTCAAGGTTTCTGGCCATTGCTCATGGAAGAATGAGGTTACCATCAACTCAAATAGGAATGACCATAAAGAAGGAGGTATGGGTTGGAATATACAGGAGCTCCATTTTGGATGCCTATTAATCATCAAAATGAATATGGTGAGTAAATATTTGAGTGTCCGTTTGAACTCTAGAATTCAGGGTGCCAGTTGGGTCTAGGGACAGAAATTTGGGAGTCATCAACATATAGATGGTATTTAAAGCCATGGTAGTAGACAAAACCATGTAGGAATGGGCATAGAATGAAATAGAACATGTTTAGTACTCAAATACATGAGAAGGTACTAGCAAAAATGACTGAGTTGAAGAAAAATTGAGAGAGTGTGGTGACTTGAAGTTATGAGAGAAAGAAAGAAAGTGTGATAAATTATCAGATGCTGCTGGCAGTTCAGGTAGGATGAAGGGCAAACATCACTCATTGGATTTAACAAAGTGAAGTGATGGTAAAAGCAGTTTTAGGAAAGAAGTATCAGTAAAAGTCTAGTTTAGTGGGTTCACAAAAAAAAGGGAGAATTTTTGGAGAATTTCTTAGAGTTCTGCTGCAAAAGGAAGGGGAGAAATGGAAGAGTGAGTAGAAGAAAAAGGAAGTTCAAGAGAAGGATTTTTTTAAATTTTTGTTTGGTGTTTTAAGATGGGAAAAATATTACTTTGTATAGGGAGCAGAGGATAATGGATAATGATAATTAAGAAGACATAATGGGTAGTAAGACTGGTCCAGTAATGACGACGATGATGGTGATGATGATGATGTGTGTGTGCGTACATTGTGAGGAGGGAGAAAAAATGTCTAAGAGAGGAAATGATGAGTAAGAACAACATTCCACACCCACCAAGCCAGTGGTTCAAGGAATGCAAGTGAGACATCCCCAGAGTTTCTGACACAGCAGATTGGAGTGTGGTCTGAGAACTGACATTTCTAACAAACTTCCAGGTGATGTTCAAGCTCATCTTCCTTGAGACCAAATCCACTGCACTGAATCAAAAAAAACCAAAGTACTGTTCACAGAAAAGATTCTTTAAGTTTGTAGCTTTTACAGTTTGGAATCAGCTAAACTCTGGTCCATGTAAAAGTAACTCCAATTTTCATTGACTTTTAAGAAAATGTTTAAAAATTAATGTCTAGATGATGGGCACAATGGCTCACATCCATAATTCCAGGGGGCTGAAGTAGGAAGATCACCTTAGCCCAAGAGTTCGAGACCAGCTTACACAACATAATGATAACCTGTCTCTACAAAAAAAAAATTAAAAAATGAGCCAGGCATGGTGGCATGAGCTGATGGTCCCAGCTACTCAAGACGCTAAAATGGGAGAATCACTTGAGCCCAGGAGATTGAGGTTACGGTGAGCTGTGATCATGCCACTACACTCCAGCCTGGATGACATGGTGAAACTCTGTCTCATAAAAAAAAAAAATACTAAAAAAATTGTTTTTATTTTTCCATGTTCCTTTATACTACTTGTTTGTAAGAATGTTCACTACATAGTGTAGATATAACTATATGTTATTTCAAATTGAGAGCAGAAATATATGCCTTCTTAACCATATTCCTAATATTCTTCAGCACTTCACTTGTTTTATTCATTTCTTTTAATCTGTTCCATTCATCTTTAACGTTTTACTTGAAGCCAATGTATTTGTTCAACAATTTATTCAGCAGATATTTACGGAACACCTATTAAGTATCAGCAACCATTCTAAAACCTAGGGTGCAGCAACAAACAAAAACTTCTGGCCTTTGGAAAACTACATCTCAGTTTGCATAGGAAGAGACAACAAACCAATAAATAAGTAAATTTATATAGTAATTCAGGTAGTGATAATATTGACAAAGGTTTAAAAAAAAAGGAGGGAAGGGGGATAGGGATGCAAGGAAAACTAAGATGGGTGGTCAGGGAAGGCTTCACCAAGAAGATGATATTTCAGCAAGAACAGGAAGGAGGTAGGGAGGTGATATACTCAGGGAAAGAGAATCCAGGCAGGAAATACAAAGCCTCAGAGCTGGCAGCATACCTCCCTTGCATGCTTGAAGAAAAGCAAGGCATCTACTGGAATGGACAGAGAAGAGGGGGAGGAATAGAAAGATCAGAGAGGCAATGGAGGTCACCTCAAGGGATCATGTAAAGTTTTGCTGGCCATTGAGATGGTTTTGGCTGCTACACTGGGTGAATTAGGAAGCCAGTGGAGGGTTTTAAGCATAACACGATCTGGTTTGCCTTTTAAGAGGATCCCTCTGGCAGCTGCCTTGTGAATAGAACATGAGAAGCAAAGTGCACACACAGGGTGACTGTGAGGAGAAGGCTGTGATAATTCCAGCAGGAGATGATAGTGGCTTGGAGGGTAATAGCAGTGAAGACGCTAAGAAACATTCAGACCCTGGGTAGTTTTCGAGGGTACAGCCAGCAAGATTTGCTGAGGAATTAGATGTGAGATGTGGAAGAAAGAGTCAGGGATGACGGCACATTTTAAAGCCTTGTTGAATGAGGTTGTCATTTACTGAAAGGTTCTGTAGTTGCATTTTGGATGTGTCAAGAGGGTGCTATCTAATATGCCCACCAAACACACAAGAGGCAGACAGTTGGATAAACAAGTCTGAAATTTGGGGAACATTCTGAAATGAAAATATTAATTTTAGATTAATCTGTATTGAGATGGTATCAAAAGCCATGAGATGAGATGAAATCACCCAGGGAGTGAGTATAGAGTGATGAGTACAGATAGAGAAAAGAAGTAATATAAGAATTGTGTCCTGGATCTTCCATCATTTTAGAGAATGAAACAACAAGAAGGAACCAGCAAAGGAGTCTGAGAAGGAGTGGCTACGAGGTACTGGGACAACCAGGAAGGCATGGTGCTCTTGAAGCAAAGTCAAAATTATGCCTCAGTGGTAAGGGAGTAATAGGTTGCCAATAAGAATACGGATCATTTTGAGAACACACGGATACAAAGAGGGGAACCACAGACAAGGGCCCCCCTGAGGGTGGAGGTTGGGAGGAGGGAGAGGATCAAAAAAAATAATCTGTTGGGTACGAAATAATCAGTACAACAAATGAAATAATCTGTACAACAAACTCCTGTGACACGAGTTTATTTTATAAGAAACCCACACATGTACCCTTGATCCTAAAGTAAAAGTTTAAAAAACTGTTGAATCATTTGCTTTTCACATGTATTGCATATAATGTTTCTTTTCTGGGATACACAGAAAACACACCATTACTCAATGACTGGGGTCCAAAAAAATGCAATCACATAAAATATAGGATTGCATTATTCTATGGTAAATGAAAAATATTCCATATCGATTTGTGTGTACTTTCATAAAACGCACAAGAGTTCAGATAGTACAATTTGCTTGGTATGAAATTGACTAAACACAGAACTCAAGAAGTCCCTGAAGATCTAGAGGCATTCACTTCCTAACTGTTCCTCTCTCCCACATTAAGAGAAGGAATATACCTGCCCACATTTAGGGGTGAGGAATCTAGAGCCAATCCCCAGTGTCCCAATGTCATTATCATAGAAATGTACTTTATTTTCATTGAGTCCCTGAGATAGATCCACTGATTCTTATTCCCACCTTTTTTTTTTTTTTTTTTTTTAGTTATTTGTTTGGTTTTTCTGGGGAACATTCTCAGCAAAGTCTCCAGGACATAAACTTTCTGAGTACTTACCTGTGTGTCTGAAAAGGACACCTGTTTATTAATTTGTGATACCTGATTTATTTCACAGGCCATCACATTTTAAATTTCAAATAATTCTTCAGAACCTGGAGGACTGCTGCTGCTAGTAAGAAAGATTAGGTACTTTTTGTTTGTTTTAAGTTATGTTTTACTTTCCTTCATCAGGTATTTTGTCACTTCTCTTACCCTTGTTGCTGTGTCTAGATGTCTCCCTTCATTCCACATGGCTCTCAATGGTCCTCTTTCAAATTAAAAATCTATGTCATTCTTGAGTCTTGAGAAACTGTCTTCTATTATTTCCTTGGTAATTTTCTCCCTTTGCTTTTCTGTATTCCATTCTTCTGGAATTCCTATGAATTGGATATCGAAGTTCAATACTGATCCTCTGTATCTCTTATCTTTACCCATTAGAATATTTTCTGTTTCTCTATGCTTCTTACTTTCTGGGTGATTTTTGTGCTTTTTATGCAAATAAGCTCAACATGGCATTTAGGGTAGATTGCCTTCATTGAGGTAGATATGATTTTATAGAATTGAGAAAATTATTGTCAATCACAAATGATAATCTAACTCATTTCTCTGTGAACACATTTTGTAGATATTTGGTGAACTCCCAGGGAGAAAACATGACTCTATACCCACTTAATGTGGTTTTCAGATATGCCATGACTTTTTTGCTCATATTTCATCATATCAACAAAACACGTCTTCTTTAAAAATACTTAAAGTAAAGCTAAAAAATGGCAAACAATTGACTCTCACCTTGAAGTGGAGGGTGAAAAAAAAAGACATAAAATACCTACTAAATAGGTGATTGCCAAGAACACACTTTAACAAACTCTAATTATACCCTAAATCTTGGCATCCATTTCTCCTTAAGAGAACCTAGGAAAATTCCATTTCTATTTCCATGGCTCTGAGAAATTTGTGTTTCTGCAAGGACAATCTGATATACATACACACACACACACATGCACACACAAGAACCACTCTCTCTCATTCTGCTGCTCCACTGAAGTTTCATCAGGGCTTTCCAGTTTCCTGCAAAGTGTTCTACATGAAGGTATCTTGTTGCCTTTTCAGTAATTATTTGTAGATTATTTGTAGTGTCAACCAGAGTCTTTGCATCAGACAATGGTCAATATTCAAATATAGAAACTTGTCCCACTTGTGGCGAACTATGTCCCATCTCCTTCCCTGAAGGTCCTGAGGCTCCTTTATGTAGGCAACCAGCGAGCTCAGGAAAAGGCACTTTCATCTCCAGGGCATCCTGCAGCTGTTTGTCACCAGCCCTCCAAAGTCCCACTACCACTGACAGTACCATGCTACTTAGAGTTTGCATTTGTCACAATTCATTTTTTTTTTAACTCAGCTCTAGTTCCAGTTAGCTAGAGTAAGAATTCTGTCTTCTTTCCTCTGTAAATTTACAGAAAAGAATTGAAAGCAGGGCCCTCTGAGCCTGTACATTTTAGTTACTTATAGTGAGGCCATGGATACACAGCTTAGTTGCATATAGTGAGGCCATGAATCCACAGCTAGAAGAAGAAAGAAACATAATTCATTTCCCAAGCACGTGTCAGTGAGACTCCTGAATGGCAGGACTGTTCCTGTTCAGTACTAAAAACAAAGCAAATGGGCTTTGTCTTGGTTTTTAATGATAGTGTATTAGTCCGTTTTCACACTGCTGATAAAGACATACCTGAGACTGGGAAGAAAGAGAGATTTAATTGGACTTACAGTTCTCCTTGGCTGGGGAGACCTCAGAATCATGGCGGGAGGTGAAAGGCACTTCTTACATGACGGTGGCAAGAGAAAATGAGGAGGATGCAAAAGTGGAAACCCCTGATATAACCATCAGACCTCGTGAGACTTATTTACTACCACAAGAACAGTATGGGGGAAACTGTCCCCATGATTCAAATTACCTCCTACCAGGTCCCTCCCACAACACATGAGAATTATGGGAGTACAATTCAAGATGAGATTTGGGTGGGGACACAGAGCCAAACCATGGCATTCTGCCCCTAGCCCCTCCAAATCTCATGTCCTTACATTTCAAAACCAATCATGCCTTCCCAATAGTTCCTTCAAAGTCTTAACTCATTTCAGGCCAGGCGCAGTAGCTCACACCTGCAATCTCAGCACTTTGGGAGGCCAAGGCGGGCAAATCACAAGGTCAGGAGATCGAGTCCATCCTGGCCAACACGGTGAAACCCCGTCTCTACTTAAAAAATACAAAAAAAAACTTAGCCGGGCATGGTGGCAGGTGCCTGTAGTCCCAGCTACTCAGGAGGCTGAGGCAGGAGAGTGGTGTGAACCCAGGAATCTGAGCTTGCAGTGAGCCGAGATCGCACCACTGCACTCCAGCCTGGGCAACAGAGCGAGACTCCATCTCAAAAAAAAAAAAAAGTCTTAACTCATTT
The DNA here is from genome assembly GCF_000001405.40 of Homo sapiens. NCBI lineage: Eukaryota > Metazoa > Chordata > Mammalia > Primates > Hominidae > Homo > Homo sapiens. The sequence goes on along the minus strand of NC_000001.11, from coordinate 214,985,514 downwards.
CAGCATTAATCCAAAAGTCCACGTCCAAAGTCTCATCTGAGACAAGGCAAGTCCCTTCCACCTATGAGCCTGTAAAATCCAAAGCAAGCTATTACTTCCTACGTAAGATGAGGGTACAGGTATTGGGTAAATACAGCCATTCCAAATGGGAGAAACTGGCCAAAACAAAGGCGTTACAGGGCCCATGCAAGTCTGAAATCCAACAGGCTGTCAAATTCTAAAGCTCCAAAATGATCTTCTTTGACTCCAGATCTCACATCTAGATCATGCTGATGCAAGAGGTGAGTTCCCATGGTTTGGGGCAGCTCTGCCCCTGTGGCTTTGCAGGGTATAATCCCCGTCCTGGGTGCTTTCACAGGCTGGCATTGAGAGTCTGCGACTTTGACAGTGCAGGCTGTCAGTGGATCTACCATTCGGGGGTGTGGAGGACAGTGACCTCTTCTCACATCTCCACTGGGCAGTGCCCCATTATGGACTCTGTGTGGGGGCTCTGACCCCACATTTCCCTTGTGCACTGCCCTAGCAGAGATTCTCCATGAGGGCCCCACCCCTGCAGCAAACTTTTGCCTGGGCATCCATACATCTTCTGAAATCTAGGTGGAGGTTCTAAACCTCAGTTCTTGATTTCTGTGTACCCTCAGACTCAACACCATGTGGAAGCTGCCAAGGATTGGGGCTCCCACCCTCTGAAGCAACAGTCTGAGCTGTACCTTGGCCCCTTTTAGTCATGGCTGGAGTGTCCGGGATGTAGGGCACCAAGTTGCTAGGCTGCACACACCTGGGCCCAACCCACACAACCATTTTCTCCTAGGCCTCCAGGCCTGTGATGGGAGGGGCTGCCATGAAGATTTCTGACATTCCCTGGAGATATTTTCCCCATTGTCTTGGGGATTAACATTCAGCTCCATATTACTCATGCAAATTTCTGCAGTCGACTTGAATTTCTTCTCAGAAAAATGGATTTTTATTTTCTATCACATTGTCAGGCTGCAAATTTTCTGAACTGTTATGCTCTGCTTCCCTTTTAAAACTGAATGCCCTTAACAGCACCCAAGTCACCTCTTGAATGTTTTGCTGCTTAGAAATTTCTTCTGCCAGATACCTAAATTATCTCTCTCAATTTCAAAGTTCCACATATCTCTAGGGCAGAGGCAAAATGCCAGCAGTTTCTTTGCTAAAACATAACAAGAGTCATCTTTGCTCTAGCTCCCAACAAGTTCCTCATCTCCATCTGAGACCACCTCATCCTGGACCTTATTGTCCATATCACTATCAGCATTTTTGTCAAAGCCATTCAACAAGTCTCTAGGAAATCCCAAACTTCCCCCACATTTTCCTGTCTTCTTCTAAGCCCTCCAAACTGTTCCAACCTCTACCTGTTACCCAGTTCCGAGGTCGCTTCCACATTTTCATGTATCTTTTCAGCAATGCCCCACTCTACTGGTACCAATTTACTGTATTAGTCCGTTTTCATCCTGCTGATAAAGACATACCTGAGACTGGGAAGAAAAAGAATCTTAATTGGACTTACACTTCCACGTGGCTGGGGAGGCCTCAGAGTCATGGTAAGAGGTGAAAGGCACTTCTTACATGGTGGCAGCAAGAATAAATGAGGAGCATGCAAAAGCCGAAGCCCCTAATGAAACCCTCAGATCTCATGAGACTTATTCACTATCACAAGAACAGTATGGGGGAAACCACCCCCATGATTCAATTTTATCTCCCACCGGGTCCCTCCCACAACACATGGGAATTATGCGAGCTACAATTCAATATGAGATTTGGATTGGGAAACAGCCAAACCATAACAGAAAGTATCAGTTAGAGAGAATGGGGCCCAAGTTATCTCTTTCCAGGACTGACCATTTGAGTCATATGACTTATCTGAGCCTCAGTTTCCCATCTGGGAGATAGAGAATGAAACTCATAAGTTTGTTTTAAAGCCTTATTGGCAAGCTTTAGCTTAGCTTTTAGATTAGCTTTAGCTTTAGTTTATTAGCTTGCTAATAAGGCTTTAAAACAAACTTGTGAGTTCATTATCTCTTTTACTTATCTACTTATCTCTATTACTCTACAGATGAGAAAACTAATGTTTCAGGATGTAAGAAGAGCTTTGTACCTAAGAAATGCTTTACAATTTGAAGTTCTTACTGTTTATCTAAAATGACTAAGATCCCCACCCCTCTTCCTTTCATCTGAAACCACAGAAATCTGGAACTTCTAGCCTGATGATAATACAAAAGGATATTTAACATTGCAACTTGGGATAAAGACATTTCCACTTCGGTCAGGGAAAAATAACTTCCAGGAGAAGCAATAGCCAATGCTCCTATCTTGATGGAAGGATGATTAGAGAATTGAGTTTTCTGTCACCATATCTTTGAACCTACTGCTGATTTCCCTGTATTAAAGCAGCTGAAGGATATTTGAATAAAAGGATGATATGTCACTCCAAGATTCAGATATGGAAGAGTCTTTGTAGGCAGAAGTGATCGTGTGGAGAACAAAAAAAGAATTCTCTGAGAATTTAAGACACCATTACTAGAGTCTCAAATTTGAGTGTGCATAAGAATCCCCAGGAAGTCTTAAACACGAAGATTTCTGGGCTTTATCCCTAGAGTTTCTGATTCAGTAGGTCTGAGGGAAAGCCTGAGAATTTGCATTTTTAATAAGTTCCCTGGTGACGCTGATGCTGCTGGCCCAGGGACCACACATTGAGAACCACTATATTAAAACACTGTGTACTTCAGGAGTGATGAAAACCTAGGGAAGGAGAAAGGACAGGCCTTCCCTCAAAGTTCCCTTCATGATTTCTAGTGTGGTATAAGGAGAGCTCAGGCCAGTACAAGAAAGAAAGAACAGAAAAAGAAAGGGATGCAGAATAAGTAAAAAGAAGGACTGGATAATCAGAAGACATGCACCTATTTACATTTAGAAGATGGTGTACTTAATGTGAAGGCCAGTGTATTAATTTGCTATGGCTGCCATAACCAAGTTGCACAGATTGGGTGGATTAAACAACAGTAGTCTATTGGCTCTCAGTTCTGGAGGCTGGAAGTCTGAGATCAAGCTGTCAGCAGGGTTGGTTCCCTCTGAGGCCTCTCTCCTTTGCTTATAGATGGCGATGTCCTCCCTGTGTCTCCACATGGTCTTCTCTCTGTGTTTGTGTCTAATCCCCTCTTCTTATAAGGAAACCAATCATGTTAATTAAGGCCCACCTATCTGACCTCATTTTAACTTAATTATGTCTTCAAAGACCCTGGCTCCAAATACTGAGGTACTAGGGGTTAGGACTCCAACATATGAATTGCAGGGAGATTGGCAATTCAGCCCATAATAGACCAGTAAACTGAAGGTGGTGAGTAAACTCTTCCAACAAAATGACACCATAATTACAGTAAGCCAGGAGCCAGAAAGCAGATCCCACATGAGCAGACACCCCACACATCACACCATGGAGAGTGTCCAGGGATGAGCATTGGTATGAGGAGATATTCTGGAGGATTTTGTGAGACCATAAGAAGATAGCACAGGTTTCAGATCTGAGGAATACCATGGCTCTTTGAATCACTAAAATAGAGTTGTTACAGAACATATAAAATTAAATCTTAGTTTCACCTAATTTTAAGAGATTAAAGCCCAAATCCTTTTTAAATGGGGAGCACTGGTTGGCTGGTGGGTTTCCAAAGAGGGCTTTATTTAAAGAGAAAGAGGCTGCAAACTCTCTAGAAATTAAACCCATGAGCTTCTGCACAGGGCTAGAGCAGGAATGGTCTCCAGCAGGGTTTCTCAGCCTCAGCACTACTAACGCTTGAGCTGGACACCTCTTTCTTATGAGGAGGTGGCCTGCGCATTGTAGGTTGTTGAGCAGCATCTCTAGTCTCTACCTTCTAGATGCCAGCAGCACCAGTTCTGACAGACAAAAATGTCTCTAGACATTGCCAAACAAAACTCCAGTCTTGTTACCTCCAGTCTCACAACAGTTCTGTGAAACAAGTGTCATACACACTTCTTATTGACAGACTCAGGAATGCATTGATATTTGCTTACTTTCACACACGTAAAAGTGTCTCTCTGATTCTCAAATCTATATCTCCTTTAATAGGCTGTCTCCAGGCAGTAGAATTTAAGGACAGGCAAGTTCCTGTCACTGCAACTGACTCTAAATCCCAGAGACCCACCTTTCTAACAAATTGGGATAATGAAAATATCTCAGGTTTCAGACCCAGAGAAAAAGATCGCATCGTAGTGAAAGCAAGGCCAACTTTCATATCCAGCCGGGCTTTCGGGAGCAGCACTGGGTCTCCCTGGGGCCCGTTCTTCTTGCTGCAGCTTGACAGACAGCTGTCAGATAGAAGCTTAAAACTGGCAGGGTATGAAAAACACACCCAGTCCTCTGCGATTTATCAGGCAAAGCACGGCTTGTTAGCCTGTCAATTATTGTCACTAAGGTGCCAGACTGATTTTGGTTCTCTCCTCACACACATGAAACACTTTGTGTTAGTGGAGAAATCCTTTTGGGAATCAAAGTCTTGTGACTTTGTATTTCCATTTTTTTTTTAATGTTTCTTGGATTTCAGAGGTAATTCACTCACGGAGAGGACATAAAAGAATAAACAGACTATCTAAAGAGTACTCAAGGAAGTGGGTTGAAAGCGTGATTTGTCAGGGAAAAGGGACACTCATTTATTCATTCACATGACAATTTTTGCAGAGCACCTAATTCATGCCCAGTCTGGAGCCAGGCACAGGACACTCAACATGACATGTTTCACACCCTCGAAGTTCTCACTGGCAAGCTGCAATGAGGCACTTAATCAATTTACTATAATACAATGGTGCTTAACATCGGAAAAAAAAAGGCTAAGAAGCCATAATAGGAACATAAAGGGCAGGAAATAAAAATTCAGTGATGCCTTGGCTAATTAAATCATCTGAGCTCTTCTATCTGCTGGTAATTCAAAATAAAAGTAACCCACTGGAATTCGTAATTCCATTTGGTTCTTCCTGTTATAATCAATCCCTTAGACTCAATGGCTTCTATCTCATTTAGTTCAGAAAAGACATTCCCCAATATTGGTATACCATTGTCCTTGCAATAATTCTTTACGATTTGTCTTATTTGTGGACTATTCACCTACCGTGAATGATTCTTTTATCCTACTTTTTGTTTTTGTTCTTTTGTTTAACAGAATACATTCACTTTCTTCCTGGCTTTGGTTATTTCTATTGCAACTACCAAATGTCTTACTCCAACTGATAATTCTTGGCTTTTCTTTCTTAGATTTTCTGGGATGAATTTGCATTATTTTAGCAAAGAGACATGAAGAACTAAACAGAACCAGACATATTATTTCTGGTTCTGATCCTGCTAATATGACTTTATTGTACCTCCAACAGCAACTCGGATGAGATTTCAACAAGGACTTGTTTGAAGCCTGTGTATGAAGAATCTAAAAGAGAAATGTAGGTGTTGATCTGTTTTGTCCTTTCAGTGTAAAATGTCATCATTACTTTGAAGTTGTCGTTTATATAGCACTACAATTGATTTTGAGTTTAAAGTGATTGGAATGAAACAGATTAGAAGCCAACAGTAGAATTGAGCAAGTTCACTTGGTCAGTAAAATTTATTTTTCTACAAATAAGTAGTTAAGACAAAATTGGAGCAAATAAAGCAGAGTGTTTAGAAACTGGTGTTTTAAGAGGAGAAGGAGAAACATAGAGCCCTGTTTATTAATAGCTTTTTAAATTCAAGTGACTCAACTTGATATTCTGACATGACAGTGATATGGTCAGATCACCTTAAAATCTACAATAGTCCACCCTCCTCAGTGCCCCCAGCTTTGCTAGGCGAGGAAAGAGCACTGGGAGAAAAGGAGTCTCCTCCACCAGCCTCCAACTTGTCCAGAATGTGTCTTGTCCTGTGCACAAACAGAATCAGCCTCAGTAATTCAAGTTCTCAACACATGAGAGGTTGAAAGAAGTTAAAGAAAATAGTCCATTTCCCTCATTATTTTTTCATCTGATTTTTTTTCTCCTCTTGTGGGAAACAAAGCAGAGAGTGTTTCTTAGTCATTTTCACCCACTCAACAGCAATAGGTAAACTCTGAAAAAAGAAATACAAAATGAGTAATACTTCTTTTGCCCAACACGCATCATCTGCTCCACCAAATTGGCAATACTTATAAGGTTTTGAGCACTTACTACATGCTAGACACTATTATTTATGTTTTATTTCTATTTATAGACTTTGTACTCTTAGAATCCTTGTGAAAACTCTTGAAGTAGGTCTTGATATCCTTATTTTACAGAAGAGGAAATTGAGGCTCAGAGAATTTAATGAACTAGTCTAAGGTTATGCATCCATACAAGTGGCCAAACTAAGATTTGAATCAAGGTCAGTGTGACTCCATACGTCCTGAGCATCCTTCCCGACGTGCATGTGTGCTATATGGCGTCTCTCTTCTTGGACCTGCCATATGCATTTTTCCTGGAATGCCATTCCTGTTCATTTCCAGTCATCTAGTCTTCTCTTTCCCTCAAGTCTCAATTCTCTTCTCCTTCACAGAGTGTAGTCCAGCCTTTGCAGTAATCAACTGTTTCTCTACAGTCCTATGGCACCTCTTTCTTTGGCATTTAACAAATGCAACCTTCTGTTGTTCATCTATTCTGCAGCAGAGGTTAGAAGCCAACATAAGGTGTCTATCCACTAAATATTCAGACTTTTGGAGCTGTAATCTTTCCTGCTAAGACACATGATGTCAGAAACTGAGACTCTTTCATCAACCACCATATCCCCAAGCCCTAGCATGGTAACTGATACGCAGTAGGTACTTGATATAATTTTATTGAATAAATAGATGTGTAGAGAGTCATTGAGGTAAGATAGCAGGAGACCTATATGCCTAAAAGGCAAAGAAGCAGCTTATGAAAGTAATTTATTATTAACAAAGATTCATTCAAGCCCAGTGGGTCCATGTGGGAGAGGAGGGTAGTTTTAAGTGCCACCTGAAGTATGTTATTTTCATTGTCCCCTGGCCCAGCTGTCCAATAACTCTAGCAGAACTTACTCAAAAGTTTGGGGACTTAGAGTTTATAAAGTAAATAAATAAAAGTGCTGCTCCATTAGGATCTCTATAACACGCAGAGTACACAAAGCAATGCTTATTTTTAGCCCAGGCAATAAGCCATAACAAGTGGGCATGGAAAGCATTTTCTTCTCTTGAGCAGGAGGCAGGGATCCATGAGACATCAAAAGAGAGAATCATAGAAGCCTGATTAGGAAGCCAGATTGACCTACACATGGAAAGAAGAAGTGAGGATGACATTACAGATAAATGCTGGCAAGACATCCAGGAAAAACCAAAAGCAAAAGAGAGAACATGTTAGGCTTTCCAACTGGCCAGAAGACCTTTCCCAGCAAGGCATGATGAGACCCTCGGACTCTACTTAAATAAACAAAAAGTCTATGTTGGTTATTACAAGCGAGATCCTTTCTTGGGGATTACTAAACTAGTTGCGAGAAATTTGAGGTGGAAATATTAAGCCACTATCCATAGTAGATGAGCTAGAGTAAATATTGCTAGTTTTGGTATTTGCTTTTTACTAGTATTGTGAAATTTTTTTCCTGTGTAGCCTGGGGATACTCTCGTTATACCAAACTGTGTCCTGATTTCTGTATAGGACTGTAATCCCCTACAAGTTGAGAACTATATTCAATTTGGTGTCCCCAGATCTTGGCAAAATGTTCTTTATTAGACCCTACTAAATCAATGTTTGTTGCAAAGTTGGTAACGATAATACAAATCTTAAGAGATCATTGAAAGACATCCTAGCGTTCTTGCATGGATTTATTAATGCCAGATTTTTTTAATGTTTTGCTTCTACTTCAAAATGTTTCAGCACTAGTATATTCATTATGGCTAATAATTACCCCTTAGCCAATCAAGGGCCTCCTGAAAGCTTTTTGTTTTTCAAAAGCGTCTTCAGTACATATTCTGTTGCTTCAGAAAATGACACTTTGAGGAATTCAGGGTCAAGCAAACTTGCCAAAAACCACATAAACGCAGTACCCCTAGACATCACAAAACAAAGCAGAGGGTACAACCTTTTCCAAAAGAAAACAGATAAAACATGAAAACAATCTGGCCACGGCAGGAGTCCTTTTGTCCCCTTGTAGAATGTCAGATGCACCTAAAGCAACAAGAGCCTATTGGACCCTGAGTTGCCAGGAAACAGATTCTCTTTTCTACACTCTAAAGTCTTTTTTTTTTTTTCTACCACACTGAGAAAGCTGATACTCAGACCCAGTGCAAGAATATGACTCTTAACGACCTGCATTTCTAGAAGTTGAGGGATTGGTGCTCTAATGTAGACCATCCTAACAATGGTTGGGCATTCTTTTGAATCAGAGACATTGATAATAGTAGAAAGTAAGGACTGATTAGCCCTCATTTTAGTCTCCTGACAATAATATAAAGTCCCTTTTATCATTCTGTTAGTCATTCAACTACCCAGGTCAGCTTCTGCTGCAAATCACAGAAACGCAACTGAACCTTGCATAGCAAAAGGGAGAATTTTTTGGCCAAGAAGCCTGCGATGGATAGTGCCAGGTGTCAGCTGGATTTAAAGAAAATAGGTGGGGCTCATTACCATCAGAATGAGCATGACCGGGATGCTCTGCAGTCTCTCAAGTCTTCTCTCTGGAGTTCCAGTTTCTTTCGTTCAGACTGCCTTGTTTAGAGGGTCAGAAACAGGTCAGTTTACTGCTCCTCACTTCTTATCTCTGAGCTTCACGCATCACCAAAAGGGATTACCTCTCTTCCTTTAGTCCATTTTGGAAAGACCCTGGAATGAACTGGTTCAGCTTGGGTCTGATGTCAACCCCTATGTCCAGACAAGATGTTACTAATATTCAAACCTTCCAGCAGGAAAACAAGGTGCAAAAGGGGATTGGAGAGGCTTTCAAAAGGAAGGGGAATGCTGTTCTAGAAGCAAGGAGGGCAGTTCAGAAGACATTAATGATGGTTCACTGTACCAGCTTATACTAAAATTCTACTTTAAAATAAGAAACATTATGCATTTAAAATTAATTTAATGTAATGTCCAAGCGACTCTATCTGAACTTTAATTTTTTCCTTTTTTTCCTACCGCCTGCCATTAATACAGGCAATCAAGAAATTGCTGACCAAGTGCCTTATAAGCAAAAAATAGATCTTTAAAAACTAAATATAAGCAAGCACAAATATAAGCATTTATAAATATTAAATGTCCTCTTAACTACCTGTAGTCTCACCAATTTGTTTCTCATGCCCTAAGCATAATTCTGACCTCTGCATATGAACTGCTTTTCATGGGATATTTTTCTCCTGGCTTCAACTTGTCATTCTTCACCTGTCCCTCTTTGAAAATCCGGCTTGAAGCTTACTTTCTCTGTGAAGCTTTCTATGACCAATCTGACTTCTTTACTCCACCCCTCAGCGCTTTTGCCACTGTATTTGCTCTATTATATTAAGTTTGTTCTTATCATCAGGTAGCTTGCCCCTCTACAAATATCAGAATCCCATACCTTGAAAATGCTAAGTATAGAGTCTAGATGATTAGCATGAATAAATAAATTACACATAGCTTTCAGCTGTGGTTCAAAAGGAAAGAAGCTATTAAGGCAAAAATCTAAAGGTGCACTAAGGGGAAATAACAACTATATTATTTGTCAGTAACAAATGCCATTTATTATGCATTTGTTACATAATTTACAATGTATATTGTGTATTGAACATCCCTCAATAACAAATATATCTCCCAACTTTAGCTTATTTCAGGGAAAATTAGGTATAATGTTCTAATTCAATCAAGGGTTGCCGTGTGCCACCATGTACCAGAACTGTGTTAGGCAATGCTGAGAATACAAAGATGAGAAAGAAGAACCTGCCAATCAAGAAGCTCACAATCTAGCAGAGGTAAAAGAATATGCACGTGGAGCAGCTGAATTAAAGCATACATTGGAGAAGGAAAGTAAGTAGTAGGGGAAGATGAGCCTTTCCCAACTTTCTTGGAAGAATTTGTCCAATGTTTCCACTGTATCTTTTGCATGTTTCCATATATCTTTCCCTTCTGCCTGTTTCTCACTTATGTCCCCCCCCCTCACCTGGGCTGAAATTGTGTCCATTTATATTTGTATGTGTTTCCATAAAGCATTGAATAAATATCTATTGAATGAGTGAATGAATGAATTCATATCTACATGCTGACACAGGTTAGACACAAAAAGAAAACTGCTTGCACACTTTGCTTGGAGATTGGCATTTTACTCTGTAAATGGCAGAGAGTAATCACAGTTTCTAAAGGAGGGAGTAAATATCAGGTTTGTATTTTACAAAGAATACCTGATATAAGCAGAGGATGGACTGGGTGAAGCAGGAAAAGTCAGGTGGCTACTGTAATATTCTAAGCAAGCAATGATGAAGGTCTAAACTAAGGTAGTATTAATGTGGATGGAAAAGCCAGGACAAATATTTGGAGATAGAATTTGGTTTCTGCTTGAATGTGGAAATGACAGAAGAGTCCAGGATAAGACCATTTAAAAGAGAACAAAAGAATCTGGACAATTCCTTAAGGATCATGTAACAGGGGTTTTTCGTGTGCATACAGAGATGATTGATGGTATACGCTGCACAAGCCTACATAATCAGCATCCCTTGTCAATGCTAACTTTTTCTTACCCTTGAATTCCCAACACCTGCGCTTAGACAGACTTGGTTCAGGTATTTCATGAACTGCCACAGTACTTGTTAATTTTATAACTTACATAACTATTCCCTTTTATTTGCCTCAAATGTCAAGGTTCCTGAATAGCAGAGCAGCACATTAAGTAACTTTTGCTAAATTTATAATGTCCTAAGTATTTAGGCAGATTTTCAACATCAGCAACTTCTATAAAATATTATGAATTCTTGGTAATTCCCCCGAAAAGGATGTCTCTAACATGGTGTAATTATTTCACTTAAATTGGAAAATGACATGCAAGCACTAACTGTACTGTTCTGTCCCTACCCCTCACTGAAGTGGCCCTCCCCTACTTAGGCTGGGATCCCAGAGACCATTTTGCCCTAAGAGAGAGTCTCACAAAGAAACAACTGGACAAGCAATTTCAAAAGTTTTTAGATCCACAAATAAGACCAAAGGATTAGGAAGTAGATGTTGTCAGACTGATTCTCCACCCCTACCCCAGTCTAGATAGAGAATGCTGTGAGAGTTAACAATTCGTGAGAGGGGTTGGGGGCAAGGAGGCTGTTTCCTAATTCCTTGCGTCCTCAGGCTCAGGCCCCATGGGGAGCCAAAAATGCCTTCAGCCCTTCAATTAAATGTTTGTATCCAAACTTAGGAGGATCAGGGCATCCATTTTCAGGTGAAGTCTCTGGAAAGCAGTTGGCTCTGCCAATGGGATGTGGCCATCACAGAGTAGAAAAGGGGAGATCTGGGGGCACCTAGCCCTAGAAGCAGTAGGAAACCATGCGAAGGTTGCTGAGGTTCCCTAGACTGGGCATAGCGGTTGTCTGAAAGACAGAGAGCTAGTGAGCTGCAGGAAATTACAACAGGAGTGCTGATGCAGGGACTGCAAGGTGGCCCATACTGTAGGGGTTCAGCTGAAAATGCCGTCAAAATGTCACAGGCACCATTATGGTAGAAACAAGCCTTAGGGCCAAATGAATGGGCCCCAGCAGGCCACCAAAACAAATCCAAATCATGAAATAAACATCTCTCCTCCATTTGCATGGCCTTCTGAGTACAACATTAACTCCAGGGAAAAGAAAGGTGCAATCGAACAACTTCAAACCTGAAATGACAGACAACAAACATAAACGTGACTGAGATTCCCTGATGATGACTAAATTAAAATGTTTGCATCAGAAACGAGGGCTTGAGATAGAAATTAAGTTTTTATAGAAAAACGAATGAATTTACATATTTGCTCAGCTGAGTAAAAGTAACTAATATTTGTACATAAATTAATAACATAGAGATCAAGGGAAGGAGCTCTAGCGTAAGATAGATATATATTTGAGACAATCTCTGCCAATTACCAGCTATGTGGTCATCGACACATAAGTTATGTTCTCAAAGCCTCAGTTTCCTCATCTGATGTCCTGATCTGACTCACATTTTAGATGTTTATTGGTTTACCAAACTTAATTCCTTGCCCATGTATCCAACTGTGCTTGGCAAACAGATCCCATCTTATGCTTCTGATCCCTTTTCCTGTTATTTTCCAATTTCCAGTTCTAATTTCCAATTGCTCCTTTTCTAGGCCTTCCTAAGCCAGAGCCATGCTTTCACAGCAATTAACCCAGGCAAGCCAGTTCAGCCAAGTCCTATACCTAAAAATGCATTCCTTGACATCACTGCTGAGTATCCTTCTGAGAGAGGATGGAGTTTCAATTTAGCTGTTTCTGCTCTGATTCTGAGAATAGAATCCAGAAAGAATTTAGGAGGAGAAAATAAAGATATTTAAGTAGTGATTGAATTAGATGGTGCTTGTAAAGCATTTGGTGTTAACAACTTTAGATGTCAAATCTGTTAATAGAAACTTTGTATGTACAGAGAGCTCCCCGAAAATAAAATAATGACAGAAAATATTCATACCAGCAAGGAACATTAGCACTATCAGAAAGTTCAAGCTGAAGCACAGAGAACAAATCACACGTGCAGAAGCCAACTGTGCTTCAGAGTCCTCATCACCTTTGGATTGTTAATATTAGTATTGTCAGTCAGCCTTTACACCAACTTTCCCAGGATCATGAAAGTGAAGATCGTGTCATTTTATCCAAGCCTACACTCCACTGATTTCCCCATATCCACTCAAAACATTACCAAGATAACTAAAGTCCTCTGGATTCTCTTTCCCAAATTCCATTTTCTTCCCCCAGGAAGAAATCAGCATCCTGAATTTGCTATTTTTCATCGACATGAATTTCTTTATTGTTTGATGCCACAAGCATATTTTCTTTTTGTTCTTTTTTTTTTTTTTTTTTTTTTTTTTTTTTTGCAGAGACAAAGTCTTGCTCTGTCACCCAGGCTGGAGTGCAGTGGTGCGATCTCGGCTTGATGCAACCTCCGCCTCCAGGATTCAAGTGATTAGCTCCTGCCTTGGCCTCCCGAGAAGCTGGGAAACAGGTGCCCGCAACCACACCCAGCTAATTTTTGTATTTTTAGTAGAGATGGGGTTTCACCATGTTAGCCAGGCTGGTCTCGAACGTCTAATTTCAGATGATCTGCCCACCTCAGCCTCCCGAAGTGCTGGGATTACAGGCATCAGCCACCACGCCTGGCCGCATATATACTTAAACAATATATATATATATAACTATGTTTTACAAGTTTTTAAACTATGTATATTTCATTTATTTGCTTATATCCTCACTTCTTTCACAAAGGATTTTAGGTAACTTATAAGAAGACCAGGAAATACAAAGTCATAGTAAAATATAAATTAGAAACTTAAAAATCAGTAACAGAAGGAATACAAATAAAGCTAGAAAATTAAGAGTCAGGAAAAGAAGAAAAATGAACAGATCAATTATACATAATGAAATATTATAAAACTAAATTCCTATTAGAATATTTTAATTGAGGCATGTCAGGTTATTCAGATTTTAGTTTAAACCATGGAGGATTTACTGTAACATAGAAATGTAAAATAGCCCATGCTTTCTCGTAGACTGATGAGAATCTCTTCTCTCCCGGATCAACCTCCCCAGTGGCCCATGACTGACACTCACCTATAGAAGATGTGTGGCCAAAGTGAGGAGGACATAGAGTGCAGGGCTCATAACAACAATTACCAAGACTTACTGAACTATGAATCAGGTGCTGCACTGAGCTCACTACATACAATCTTGAATATAATCCTCACAACAACCCTAGAGCTGCCCCGCTTTACAGAAGAAGAAACTGAGGCTTGGAAAGTTTAGGCACTTGCCTGAAATGAAACAGTTATGTGCACCCTGAATTTCAAGGTGTGTTGGGTTTGTGGGGTTGACTGACATCCAAGTACATCTGTTAAGTCACTGTGCCACCCTGCCTGGAATCTCTGAATTCCCTCCTGCCCTATCTCAGGTCATTTGCAGCCTCTGTCTTGGCAGTCACATCCTAGTATGATCATGCCAATATATTTCATTAATATTTCTGAATTCTAGACTTTCCCGACTTCTGAATGAAACCAGATGGCTCATAAAAGGTGACAAAGTGCATTCAGGCCTGAACCACTAGTGGCAAAGCTCTAGCAGTCGTTTTTCTCAGTCTCCCCCAGATCCCCAAGATAAACTTTCCAGAGAGAAACTAGAATCCCTTCTGTGGCTTTACACCCAATTATACTAGGTTTAGGACACAAAATCCAATCACTTGCCCCTGCAAACAAAATGTATCCTTTAAAAACCCTTCAGAGCTTTTACTTCTTTTGCTTTTTTATTTAAGCTTAAAAATATTAAGAGCCTATCCATTTTACTAGAAAATATTTAACATTGAAAGCGCCTCAGGAGGCACATCTGAAAAATCCAGAAATAAATGTTTTATATTTTATATTCAGCCTATTTTCCTGTAGCTAATTGATTCCATTATTCATGTTTCCACACCCAAAATCTTACTGATTTTTTCTTAGTGCTTATGCACTTCAAGAATGCATAGTTATTAATCAAAGGATCTATGTTCTCCACTTAGCCAAGCTATCCATGTTAAAAATCTTTTCATCTTCCCTCATAAATCAGTTTTTCCACCTCCTTCATCATTTTCATCACTCATGTCTAAGTTCTTTTCAGTTTATTTGAGTTGCTTAAACTCAGATAATGGGAGGTGTTTAGGTCATGAGCACTCTGCCTTCATGACCTAAACACCTCCCTTTAGGCCCCACCTCCCAACACTGTCACACTAGGAATTAAGCTGCCAATTTATAAATTTTGGGGGACACATTCAAATCATAGCAGGTATTTTCCACTGATACTTCATATACAAGTCTATTTGCTACTAAATGTGCTAAATTTTGAGGCAGAACTTTGGTCTCATTGATAAAACTTCCCATTGTTAAAAATTTCACAAAAAGGACACCTCACTTCCAAAGTAACATCATTATGATGCTCTGATTAAAGTTACAGTGACATGGACATTTTTTGCTTTCTGTTGATCAACCGACATTTAATTTGCTAGCTTTCAAGATGGCAGCTTTTCAGGTTTGATTTCATCAGTAAGAGTCTCCTTCTGGTTACTCATTGTCTGCCTGAATTAGGATAATGAAACCCTAGTAATAAGATTCTAGCTGGATAGTTAAGAGCCAAAAACAGCTAGAGATCTGAAAGATCTGATGAAACTTATTCACTGTAGTCTACTTGAATACAAGAGCAGTAACCCTAGAACATCCAGATCCAGGCCTTCTCAGCACAAATGTATAAACAAGTCACAAGATTGTTTTCAGACTGCATTAATTCAGGCATCCTTGTACAGTCATGTTCTCATCTCCAGTTATTTTCAAGATACCTAGGCCCAAATGACTTTCATAGGTTTCAAGGGTTGGTGGCAAAGGTATTTTTACGTGAAAGGCTAGTAGAATATCCTTGGCAAAATTTGGCTAGCAGTGCCAAAATGTATATAATTGTTAGTGAATTCTCCACTATTTAGACATTGATTGTTCAGTGGATGTACCATCCTGATTATTTTCTCCTTCTTGTTCTTCTTTCCTTGGCCTGATGTATAGACATTATTATCTGAACCAAAGGGTGGGGGTGAGAAATAAAAGGTGTTGAAACAGGAAATCACTCTTTCTCGAGTTTCTAATCTATTTCTGACTCCTATGCTAATAGATAGTATCCCTTATTACCAGTCCTGGTTCTCTAATACTGAAGCCAGCTTTCTTTGTTTCTGCATCTAACACAAGGCACTCTGCAAAGTACAAAGAAAACTCTGTAAGTGACAACCAAACAAACTATAGTTTGATGTCAGTTGTATATTTTATCTGCTAAAGTTAGTATTACGGTGCTTGGCTATGTACAATTAAGAATGAACTGTAAAGTGGCAGGATAGAGAATTAAGTATCATCTTCCAGAATCAACCTAAGAAAAGAACCACAGTGGCTTAGTAATGAATGTTGTCTTCATTCATTTTGTGCTGCTATAAAATACCTGAGACTGAGTAATTTATAATGAACAGAAATTTACTGGCTCACAGTTCTAGAGACTGGGAAGTCTGAGAACAAGATGCTGTCATCTTATAAAGGCCTTCTTGCTCCTTCATGACCTGATGGAAGGCAGAAAGGTAAGAGTGAAAAAGGGCAAACCCACTCCCATGAGCCCTTTATATAACAGTATTAACATATTTATGAGTGCTCTGCCTTCATGACCTAAACACCTCCCATTAGGCCCCACCTCCCAACACCGTCACACTGGGAATTAAGCTGCCAATGCATAAATTTTGGGGGACACATTCAAATCATAGCTCATGTTTTCTACTGATACTTCATATACAAGTCTAATTGCTGCTAAATATGCTAAATTTTGAGGCAGAACTTTGGTCTCTTATTGATAAATTTGCCAATCCATTGAAAATCATTATAGATACACCCTGATGAAATCCTGCCATCTCAGAAAATATTAGACTTAGTATTTTAATTTTTGAATAAATTGACTCTCCACTGAATTGGAAATAGTATAGCAATGCATCAGTGATCATGCCATGCAGACATAGTTTTGCCTTGTCGTCTATTATATTACTGTTTCTTATACTTTAACACTAAATTACTAAAAATTATAACCAAATTACTAACACTTATATTTAAATCAGAAAGATATTTAAATGAAGCTAAAATTTCTAATGGGATCTTGAGTGTAATTAGCTGTTACTTGCTGACTAGAAGCTTCTGGATTTTTTTTATTGTGGCCTTGAAATTAGTTATATGAGAGTCAGTATCCAACTCTGGCAACCAATCTTCATCTCTAAGTGAAGCAGTGGTTACTAGTGCTAATTGGACATTTATTTAAGGAAACCTTGGTTAACTGGAAGTTCAAGAATTTGGAATCCTCTGACCGTCAGAATCATCTAGGCCAATCAAATATGAGAGTGAATAATGAATGTGGTGTTTATTTGGTAATTAGGAATCTAAGTGTGTTCAGAGTCAATACTCAAAACATTCACTGGTGACCCCAGTGCAATACTATGCATATAACTGAGGTCATTCTGAACACAAGCTCTCAGTGCGCGCCTTAAAATCCCCTTTTTATTTCAGCTGATATGACAATCATTTCCTGATCACTTTCATTGGTCTTGTTCTACAAAAGCATGGGGCTGAAAAAAATCTAGTTAATTAACAGGTCTTATTGGTTTTTTACTGGACAACACTGCTGAATTTTTCAGTATGTAATTCAGCACCGTCTCCCCTAGCATGACACATACAGAAAACAGATGGTGGAGTCATTCCTAAGGGGGACAAATTGTAATCATTCCAAACATGAAGAGAACGGAACTCACATTTCTTGAGTGCCTAAGATATGTCAAGTGATTTCAAACCTTTATTTTATGTAATCTTCAAAGCAATCCTGTGTGATAGAAGACATTATCCTCATTTTTGAGATGCTAAAACTGAGGCTTGGGGAAACTGATTAAGACCCAAGTTCACAAAGCTTGTAAGAAGCAGAGTTGGGAATCAAATCTGGGACTGCATAATTCCAAAGCTATTCATTACTTCAAGTGGTCTCTTTGGGGGAACCTGAATATAACTTGAAGGAGAAGATGGGTAACTTTACCTGCAGATAAATGAGAATCAGTATCAGCTTGTAAAAATGCTTCAAATGCCCAGTTAAATGTTGTATCCTATATGAAAGCAGATCTCCTAATGAAAGCAAGGAAATCTGGTTGAAGGGGAGAAATACAAGCTGTCCAGGAGGGGAAGAGAAGGTGGACAGCTCAATGGTGTAGCCATAAGAAAGGAGCATCTCTGCCCCTGAATGAGCTCTTCAAGTAGCTGCCTTGCCCCTGACTGAACATTGAGACAGTTAGAAGTCTCAGGTAGGGATCTGAATACCTGAAGCCTTTCTGAGGTGCCTAACTCAGAGGGACTCCAGAAGAACTCCAAGGAAGCCCCCTCCTTCACAGGCAAGAGAAGCCACTTGAGCCAGGCACATCTACTGCTGTGGTTTGAATGTGTTCCCTAAAGTTCAAGTGTTGGAAACTTAGTCCCCATGCAACAATGTTGACAGGTGGAAACTTTAAGAAGTGATTAGGCCATGAGAGCTCTGTCCTCGTGAATGGATTAATGTTGTTATCCTAAGAGCAGGTTTGTTATAAAAGTGAGCTTGCCAGTGGCGAAGCGTAAACAAAAACTGAGATTTAAAAAAAAGTGAGTTTGCCTTCCTCTTGCTACCCCTCTCTCACTCTCTCAACCTCTTGCCTTCCACCATGAGATGACACTGCAAGAAGGCCCTCACCAGATGCCAGCACTTGATATGAGACTTCCCAGCCTCCAGAACGGTGGCAAATACATTTCTTTTCTTTGTAAATTACTCAGTCTGCGGTATTCTGTAATAGCAGCTCCAAAGAGACCAAGACATCCATGCTACTTGAGTTGAATCTCCATGAACAACAAATATTCCCACTCACAGAACTAATGACATACCTGAAGGTTTGTGCCTGATGCTGGGGAGCAAGACTTCCCTTGCTGTTCTTCAACAACTTTTGTTTTATTAGAATTCCAGGCAGAAGATGAAGAATCTCATCCCCCAATAGAACAGTTCTCACAAGAGATTGTCAAGGAAACTGAAATAGCCTGAGCAAGATTGTCCTAAGAAAAAGTAATAACTTAAGAGTGCAATGAAGCACTTCTGGGACAAAGCTGTCTCAGAATGCTGGGAGACAGCACTAACAATAGCAGCCTGGCAGGAGGAGCTAGGAGCTGGCCCTGGTCAAGCAAAGGCTTCAAGCCAGCATTACACAATGAGAAGCCCTAGGAATAACTCTGGCCACACAACAAAGCACAAGCAAATCCCCTTCTCCAAGACAGTTCACGTAACACGCACGTCTATCAACCACTCAAACTCAAAGGGATTTCTCAAGATAACACCAGCTCTTCAATGTTCTCAGCTCTTTAATGCTTTCAACTTGTAACTGCTACTCCTTCTTGATATCAGTATATGTGGGTTTAGATTCAGTAATTGCAAGCTGTAGGACAGTAGCAAATTGTTCCTGTGCTTTGAGAGAGAAGATAGAAAGGGAGTGCTGATCCATACTGCATGTGTAGTGTTGCTGCTCAGAAGCAGAAAACAAAGACACAAATATAGGATTGCTCCCCCTTTTAGGTTACCCCTCACTTCCCATGCCACCTTCCCTCCAACCCCTAAGAAACAAATTTAGGCCTGTGTAGTCCCAATTCTTTATAATTTGACACTTGTCTTCCTGTAGCCCCAGTCCTGCTGTTCCCATGTCAGGAATAGCTGTGGGATTCTGCTCCCTTACAATAAAGACTTAGAACAATAGGTTTGGGTTCATTGTTAAGATTATGAGAAAACACAAATAGCAAAAAAAACATTTTTTTGAAAATCTGTGTTAATTGCAAAACAGAAGAACCTTACATTTCTTTCTTGTACTATGTAAAATATTTGGTCTATTGCTTACCTTCAGTGATTTCAGAATAGTTTCAGAATCAAAATCAACTCACCCTCTCAAGAGAATGAGAGGATAAGCCACAAACAGGGAGAGAATACTTGCAAAACACATATCTGGGAAAGGACTATTATTCAAAATGTACACAGAACTTATAAGACTCGACAATAAGAAAATGAAAGATCCAAATAAAAAATGGACCAAAGTTCTGAACATATATGTCATCAAAATAGATATACAGATGGCAAATAAGAAAAGATGTTTAACATCCAAGTGTCATTAGGGAATTGCAAATTAAAACAACAAATGAGATACCACTACACACCTATTTGAATGACTAAAATCGAAAATGCTGACAATATCGAACACTGGCAAAGATGTGGAAAAACAGGAACTCTCATTCATTGCTAGTGGGAATGCAAAATGGTACAGCCACTGTGGAAAACTGTCAGTTTCCCATAAAAGTAGACAAGCTTTTAATATACGATCTAGCAGTCTCACTCCTTGGTACTTACTCAAGTGAGTTGAAAACTTAGGTCCACACAAAACCTACACATGGATATTTATAGCAGCTTTATTTCTAGTTGCCAAAACTTGGAAGCAACCAGCATGTTCTTCAGTGGGTGAACTGATAAATAAAATGTGGTACATCCGGACAATGGAATAGTATTCAGTGCTAAAAGTGAGCTATCAAGACATGAATACACATGGGGGGATCTTAAATGCATATCACTAGAGGAAAGAAGCTAATCTGAAAAGGCAACATGTTATATGATTCCAACTATATGACATTCTGGAAAAGGCAAAACAATGGAGACAGTAAAACGGCCAGTGACCAGCAGGAATTAGTCAGGAAGGAGGGATGAATAGGCAGAGCACAGAGGACTTTTAGGGCAGTGAAACTACACTGTGTGACACTAAAATGGTAGATATGTGTCATAATACATTTGTCCAAACCTATAGAATTTACAACACCAAGAGTGAAGCCTAATGTGAACTGTGGAATTGGGTGATGATGTGTCAATGTAACTTCATCAATTATAACAAATATGCCACTCTGGCACTGGAAGTTGACAGTGGGAGGGGTTGTGCATGTGTGGGGAAGGAAGTAAACAGAAATGTTATGTGCTTTCTCCTCCATTTTACTGTGAACTTAAATCTCCCCTAAAAATTAAAGTCTATTAAAAAAAAAAATCAATTTAGGCCGGGCACAGTGGCTCACGCCTATAATCCCAGCACTTTGGGAGGTCAAGGAGGATCACCTGAGGTCGGGAGTTTGAGACCAGCCTGACCAACATGCAGAAACCCTGTCTCTACTGAAAATACAAAATTAGCCAGGCGTGGTGGTACATGCCTGTAATCCCAGCTACTCGGGAGGCTGAGTCAGGAGAATCATTTGAACCTGGGAGGCGGAGGTTGCGGTGAGCCAAGATCATGCCATTGCACTCCAGCCTGGGCAACAAGAGCAAAACTCCTTCTCAAAAAAAAAAAAAAATTGTTACCCACCCTCACAGATGAGGACACTGAGGCAAGGAGGGTGTAAGCATCCTGCTATCTGTCATAGAGCTGGGCAGTAGGTGAGTTAGGGGAGAAGAAATCAGAGCCTCGTGTGTCTAAGTCCAGGGTTCTAAAAGACACCTTGTCTCTCATTTTTACACCCCAATTTCTCTAAAGCTGAATTGTGTAGATTTTTTATAGTTTATTATTTTTTGTAGTGTTAGAGAATTTAGAAAGTCTTTAAAAGCAAAATTAAAGGCTAACTCTGCACATAAAGTTTTATACTAATGATCAGGGAACCTAAACACTTCCACCCCAAAATGCATAGTTTGGTGCAAATGTTGGGCAATTTGAGAACTTTTGTAAGTGCTTCCATTTCAATGGAGTTACTGATGTGTCCTCCATACTGGCTGCCCCTTCCTGTTTAGACAGCAGCGTTTCATACTTACTGAACACCCTTTCTCGACACTTCCCTGGCAAATGAACAGTACATTTCATTCTCATCATTAAGTTAGACCAAACGTTAGAAGAAACAAAGTCAAAAGAAAGAATGTATGTGTATGCCTGAATCATAGAAGACTGTCCCATTCTCATCTTTCTGAACCAAATAATTGTATGCAATGCTTATAATATTAGCCATTTAAGGCCCCAGGCTCAGGGCTTGCTGGAAGCTTCCTAACCCAGCCTTAACCTAATCCTACAAGCCTGACTCTCACTTGCCAAACCCATTGGACCTACATAAACTGGAATGATGCATCTGCTGAGTCTGTATCACTCGAGGTTTTCAACAGAAGCTGACTTGGACTGAGTAGGCAGAAAACGAAATTAAAGGTATCAAAAGAAGCTCTCAGAATCAGCAGGAGTGTAGAGAACCAAGCTGAATGTGTTTCCAGAAATGATCACCAAAACTGTGCTGCAGGACTGATGTGATGAGGAAGGGGTTGCTGCCACCATCAAGCATTGGACATTACCCTGTCACTTCTGTGCCGAGACCTACGCCTCATAATCATGGCTACTGACCACTTCAACAGAAAGAGGGACAGAGAGGAAGCACGTTGTGTCACTAGCAACTATATTGTGTCACTAATTACAAAGTCAAAAACTGGAGTGGGTGAACCTGCCTAGCAGATCCTCTGTTACATCCCTGTGCTTTAGTATAAAGGTGATCTCCAGCTTTCTAGGGGAAGGAGGTCTCCACCACCCCCAAAACACAAGGTAAAGAATTTTCCCAATTTTAAACCAAAGGATGTTGTGTTTCCCAAACAAATGACAAGTGCTCATTTCCTGGCACAATAAAACAAGTATAATATCCCCCTATTTTTGAGTTGAAAAAAAACAAGAGGTACAACTTATCTGAATTCATAATGACCAAGGCAAAATTGAAATCGTAGTGTTTCCAGTCCAAAGCCCATTCACTTTCAACAAAGCTATGATGCCACACATTAAAATAAAAAGTTTGAGCTAAATATTTTAAACAATGGGGTAATAAATAAATAATTTAAAAATGTCGGATACATAAGAAAATTTTAAAAAGCTATTGATCACATTTACTTGATAAAGATTTGATAATCTCAAATCAAACAATTGCTGCTGTCCAAATAAGCTACCTACTTTTCCACTTTCAGTTAAGTATGAATGAAACACAGAATCAAAATGATATAATTTTAGATTTTTTTATTCATTTATCTCTTTTCTTACAGGACATTAGGAAATGAGCTGCAAAAGCAGTTTACCATCTTAAGACTGCTTTGATATGGAGTTTTAGATATGTATTGATAAAAGTACATATTCACTACGCTGCTACTCTGTGCAAGGCATTGTTTTAGCCACTGGGAAAGAAATGATGACTCTCCTGTGGAGAAGCTTCAAATCTAGTAGACGATTCAGAGAAGTAAAGGCATCATTGCAATTGTGCAGGAAGTGTAATGCTAGGAGGCTTCGCAAAGGAGGCTCCAAGCCATTAGGGAGGCCACAATCATATTCCTCATTCAACAAGTTTCTATGGTACAGCTTAGATAGGCTTTGCAGAGTTACATGTTTATGACACAAAATAAATATGGTCTCTATTGGTATGTAATTTAGAACCTAGTGAGGAAGATAGAAATTAAACAAATAATTGCACTAACATTTTCCTAAATATAATTGTAGTAAGCGCTATAGAAATAAACAGTTTTGTAAAAGTTTATTACAAGGTAAACCTACTGTAATATAGACAGTGTAGTGGAGAGTGTTGGAAGACTGTTGTGTGTGGGTCTTTTACATTTATGCACATCTTGTCTCACTTTTTGTTCAAAACTTTCTTTTTAAGGATGTTTGTATAATAAATAGCCTTGGACAATAACGATAATGCCTCTTTCTGAAGCAGAGGGAAGATTTATTTCCTGACTAGTACAGTAAAGACAATGTCTCCTTCCAGGGAAAAGACTGGACAGATTTGCTGGCATTCCCCTCCAGAATATCAGGGTTTCTTAAGCTCAAGTTTCCTCAGCTTTGGTACAAACCCACTTGTGTGCAGCATTGACCTGGGCTGCTCTGCATCACCCTAATGAGACTTCAGGGACAAGGGAAACTGACGAGAACATGCAGCTCAGCTGCCTGCTATACAGTGAGTAATAAAGTTATATCTGACCCAGGAGGCTCATGTCTTCTGCCAGCATCTATGAACTGGTAGAGTAACTTGTTAGCTTACACATAAGGTAATAGTTCAAATCATTCAAGGCACCGAGGAGCTGGTGGGAAGTCAGAAATTTTCCTAAGGAACTTAGGTTGAAGCTGGGACCTGAAGAATAAGGAGCCGAGGGTGGAGGTTGATTACTTCTGGACAGAGGAAACCCTGTGGCAGACCTCTGAAGGAATGGAGCATGGCACAACTCAAGAGCTAAGAAAGGACTGGAGTGCCCAGAGCACAGCAAGTGCTGCTAGAAGGATCTCTAAAGGAGGCTGCAGAGGTAAGGAGAAGCTTGATTATACAAATATGTAAGGAATTGAGAATATATTCTGAGACAATCCTCCATGAATTGTCTTCGAGTTGCAAGTACACATCTTGCAAGCTGCCTAACTGCCCTTTGTTCTGGACTATCATTTCAAGGATGTTTGTAATTAAACAACTTTGGAAGATAGAGATAGTGTCTCCCTCTGGAGCAAAAAGCAAGCATGCTTACTGCCCACTATAAAAGATTTGGGTAATCTTGGGCTCAGGGTTCCCCTTCTACAGTGCAATCCATTACATGTGCAGTTGTTATCTGGCCCTCTTGGCAGCACTCTGTAGGAACTGAGGCTCAGGGAAATAGCATGAGAAATGCTGATGCTTTGGCTACTGCTACTGTTCTAAGGAATCTGTGTCTTCTACCAGCCTCCAGGAAGCTGTGATAGACTAACTTGATAGCTTACAAGTAGGATGAAATCTCGGGCCCTTCACAGTTCTTGACAGTACTTTATTCAAAGAACACAAGATGTTAGACAGTGGGCTTTTATAGTTTCATATTTTGACTTTTTTTGGTATAGTAACCTACAAATCCCTAGAAAGTAGTGTCATAAATTGAGGAAATCAAACCATCCACTCCCAGAGTGGTATTTGGCACAAAATGAAACATAAATGTTAAAAATAATCATTGTTTTCAAGGAGCCTAGAATATTCTTGGCACAACCATAGACTGGTAGAATGGAAACCACATGGAGTTAGTGTATTCATTCCTGGTTCTGCCCCCATGCCAGCTGTCTCAGATTGTACAAACTACCTGATCTCATTTGCTCTTAAACCCATCATTCACTAAACAAGGATAATAGAACGTTTGTCACATAATTCACATAAAGGTGGAAAGAGATGATAACACTTTGATACAAATAATATATTTATCTACCAAACACCCTTTAAATCAGCCAACAGTGTCTCTCTTTGAGAAACTTAGCTGTTGATGGGCACTGATAAAAATATTCAAGATAAATTTGCTCTTGATCTAAAACTTTTTATTGTGAGGTCACTGGCAAACCATCCATCTATTTGTGACAACTTTGGTTTTCTCTTTCTAAAAGCTTTGACAAACTCAGGAAAAATGGTAAGACCAGATGCACTAGATGTATAAAAATATGGCCCACTTCCCAATTTCAGGTACTCGATACTTGAAAAACTATTTCAGTAAAGCCACAGGGACTGTCTACATCTCCAGAGGCACAACTACAGAAATGTTGAAAATGAAGCCATCTGCCAATTCCCCAAAACATGTTGAATGCCAGTTTCTTAAAATGCAAGGAGCAGGTAAGTTTTTTGTTTCTGTTTTTAAAAGCAGTGAAGCATCCTCATTCTCAAATTGATGAAACCTAAGTACTCACCAAAGCCAGGTCTAAGCTGCCTCTTTGTAGATTTCAATCTTCTACAAATTCTGAGCAAAGAAATTTGCTTTCCATTCTACTATGACATTTTCGGACATTTGCTTAAGATTATAATAAATTGTAAAGACCTGATAATTAAAGCCTCAATCTGGAGATAACATAACACTTTGGAGTGATTGTTTCTTTGCTGTTTTGTGAATGAGAATGATAAATCCAAGAGAAGATAAAGGACTTTGTTAAGGGAAGCAAGTCTGGCCTGACACCAGTGTTGGAGCCAGTACAAAACAGGCATTGAAATTGACTTATGGGACTTTCAAAACTCACCCAAAAGTCATTTCAACTATGGTACCTGATCCCTCTCCCTTCTGCCTCCACTTTATCCTATACATATTTTTGTCACAGCCTCCATATCACTTTATGCCACTTAGTGATTCATCTGTTGGTTTTCCTCCTTAAAACTAGAGATTGAATTGTATTTTACTATTTACCCTCAGCAATTAGCATAGTCGCTTAACAAACGTTTTTGTTTTTAGATTGAATTACTTAATGACTAAAATATAATAACTAGACTGATACATCACAGTCCAAAATAGAAGTAAAGAAATTATTATAAGAAAGCCATGGGATAGTGTTCAGACAGGAAACTAAAGTATTAAGGTAATATTGCAGCAAGTTGGGGTTGCATTTTAAAACTGTAATTAAAATTCCTTTCTCTTTCTTCCAAAAAAGAGAGTGTGGCCCCCAATGCTACTTAGGCGAGTGAAGAACAAAAAGCTAAAGCTTTTAGGAATGAATTAACAGCATTTGCAGTGACCTAGGTGAGACTGGAGACTATTATTCTAAGTGATGTAACTCAGGAATGGAAAATCAAATATCGTATGTCCTCACCAATATGTGGGAGCTAAGCTATGAGGACGCAAAGACATAAGAATGATACAATGGACTTTGGAGACTTGGAGGGAAGGGCAGGAGGGGGTCAAGGGATAAAAGACTACAAATGTGGGGCAGTTTATACTGCTCAGGTGACGAGTGCACCAAAATCCCACAAATCACCACTGAAGAACTTACTCATGTAACCAAATACCACGTGTACCCCAATACCCCTATAACTGATGGAAAAATAAAAAATAATAATAAAATAATAAACAAAGCTAAAGCTTCTTCCTTCTACCTTTAATTACGGGGAGCACAACATGGCTTTAGAATTGTGAAAGGCCAGAGAACCCCCAAGGGTTTCAAGACAGGTTCCAGCAGGGCAGAGTTACTGGACTCTAGACAAATAGAAAATGGCAGGTTTGTTCCTCATAGAATTCTAAGAAGTTTTCTCAAAGTATTTCCTCATTCCTCTGAGAGCTGCAGTTGGCCTGTGGGTCCAGCAGTCAGAGTTTGTGTCTAGGCTGAGCATCACATGCTCTTCGGGTGCCCCTGTGCCCAACTGTCCTCTTCTTCTCAGTGTTCTGGAGCCCCCTCCCTTGACAGGTGGTTGTTACTCCCAATTTATTCTCAAGCTTGTCAGCTAGGATTATTTTCCTCTATCATCTTAGACAGTTCAAGAGGTAATCTTAGCAAACATATTATCTAATCAATACAATCACTTTCAACTTTATGGTTTGTATACACAGTGATCCTTAATTCTAGCTAATATTTCTACAACCCCACTGCCATGTTCTGAATGTTTGTGACCCCCTAAAATTCGTATGTTGAAATTCTTACCCCCAATGTAATGGTATTAGGAGGTGGGGGCTTTAGGAGGTGCATAGATCATAGGCCTGGAGCCCTCATGAATAGGAGGCTGAGAGAGACCCCTCATCCCTTCTATGTGAGGTTAGAGTGAGATGATGGCTATGAGGAAGGGCCCTCACTAGACACCAAATCTGCAGGCATCTTGATCTTGAACTCCCCAGACTTCAGAACAGTGAGGAACAAATGCCTATTGTTGTAAGCCACCCAGTCTATGGTAGTTCATAATAGCAGCCTAAACTGACTATGACAGCCACAGAACCAGAATTAGCATGATTACAAGCTGAATACAAAAGAGAGAAGGTCGCTGATGAGTCAAGAATTATCCCCCAAATCCCTCTTTACCAAACAAGGGCAGAAATGTAGGCAGCATTCCATATTAGTGAGACAGAGTAGGATGTCAGGGGGTCGTTCCGGCATACAAAAAACCCACAGCTGAGAGGCAGTGAACATCGGGGAACCTCTTGGGAGGAAATAATGGCCAGTTATGGGAACTGGTTCAAAGAGGATAGGAGAAAAGAGTCCCAAGAGCAAGCTAGGATCCAGTGAACTGAAATACTACACAAGTGTTAAGTCCAGGTTCTCATTACAAGTAAGGGTTTGGACTCAAGAGACAAGGAAGGGGAAAGAGCCTATTTAATGAAAAAGGCACGGGTAAGAGCTCACTTCTTCTTCCTAAGCAGGAAGCCTGGGTTTGGAGACGGGAGTTCGACTCAATCTGCAACTGAGTATGAAGAAGGTGCAGCAGGAGACATTTGAGCTCTTGCAGAGACAGGATGTTGCACAACTTGCCACATGATGTTCAAAATATGCGTCACTATCTTGCCAAGGGCCAAACACCACAGGCAAATGAAAAACATATACCCATCTGTCTTAGTCTGTTCATGCTGCTATCACAAAATGCCTGAGACTGAATAATTTATAAGGAATGGAACTTTATTGCTCACAGTTCTGGAAGCTGGGAAGTCCAAGATCAAGACACCAGTAGATTCTGCGTCTGATGAAGGCTTGCTCTCTGCTCTCAGAAGGGCACTTTGGTGCTGTGTCCTCAAAATGGCCAAGGTGGAAGGTCAAAGGGCCTAACTAGTTCCCTTGACCTTTTTTATAAGGGCACTAATCTTCAGATTTAATCATCTCCTAAAGACCCTCCTCTTAATACTATCACATTGGGTCTTAGGTTCCAGCATGTGATTTTTAGGGGGACACAGACATTTAATCCATAACACCATCTGTTTTCAACATACACGCCCACAGACACCGCCCATCCACCTCTGCATAGAACCTCTACCTCATTGATCCTTTACCTCTCCCTTGAGCTTTGATGCATTTTACTCTGTTTTTCCCTTTTTCAGACCTGTGCCCCTCCTCAGCATACTAGCACTCAGTACATAAGAAATGGATCCTCTACCTAAACCACCACTGTAAGCAAGATGTTTGTCTCACCTCTAATGTGCCTCCAGTAAACTTTTTCTTAAAACTTCCTGAAACTTTAAGGGAGAGAAAACAGAAATGTTGTCCACACTTGCTGATGGGATTAGAGAAAATGCTTCTCCTCTTCCACACTTCAGGAATAGTAGCAAACCTCAGAGAACAGGGAAAACTCCCTGCTGAATTTAATGAGGTAAAGCCTCAGAATTCGGAAGTAGCAATTTAATTGGGGACCTCTGTCTATTCATTAGAATATTCATGAAGATGACAAAGTTTCTGAAAGCCTATAAGATAAATAAAGCCAATGATAGTCTCAATCTTAACGATAGAAGCATGCCCAGTGCTTACACAGTGCCTCATACACAATACATACTTAACAAATAATAGTTAAATTAATTAAATGGTTAAATGAGCCAATGAACGATCTATCTTTATTAACCTTTTCCTGGATTTTGCAACTGAAAAGTTGGGAAATTCTTTACAACTAATTAAAACCTGCAATTTAAACACATAGCTAATTCATCTATGTTGGGGACCATGAACAAATCTTATTCCTTCATAACACTGTTTTTACACAGCTCTCTTCTCTTTCATTGTTGGGTAAGTAAGCCAAAACCTTCATGTTCTTCTTAAGAATCTTGAGGCTGGGCACAGTGGCTCACACCTGTAATCCCAGCACTTTGAGAGGCCGACGCGGGCAGATCACGAGGTCAGGAGATCGAGACCATCCTGGCTAACACAGTGAAACCCCGTCTCTACTAAAAATACAAAAAATTAGCTGGGAGTGGTGGCGGGCGCCTGTAGTTCCAGCTACTAGGGAGGCTGAGGCAGGAGAATGGCGTGAACCCAGGAGGCAGAGCTTGCAATGAGCCAAGATCGTGCCACTGCACTCCAACCTGGGCAACAGAGTGAGACTCCGTCTCAAAAAAAAAAAAAAAAAGAATCTTGAAATACTGAGCTCCTAGTACAGAATCCCAAGCCTCAAATCATTTCCACATTCTCTCCCATTTCATCCCTCATAATTTTCTTCACTTTCATTTTATACCTTCCTCCGCATAGTCTTTGGTCAAGTATACAAATCATTGCATTAATGTGTACTTTCCAAATTCCTGATTAAAATTTAATTACTAATAAGATAATAGTAAAGTGGCAACAGATATTTTCTGCATTGCTTTTAAAGAAAGGTGAAGTAATTTATGGGACTTGGAGTTCCCATGAATAGCTTACTTTGTTATAAGTAAAGTTAATTATTCATCTTTTTATAAATAAAATCTAAAAATAAAATATGCCAGGAATAATGACAAATAGATTTGATTAATTTTGTAATTTATTCCATTTCAATGGGTCTGTCAAGATCTTTTTTTATTTTTTGCTCACTAATACAATTATATGCAAAGCCCAAACCATAGAACATGGAATTAATTTCCACCATTTCACTGTCATTATGATTATCATCATCAAAATTATTAGATTGGCCATTTTCCTTTCTGGAAAGGAAAACAATCCTTAAATGTGGAAAACAGTCTACATCCATTGAAATTCTTTCCTATACCGGTAACTTATATGCCCACTGGCTCTGTCATGTATTGGTATTGTTTTGTAAGGAGTATAAACAAGGGGCAAGGGATGCTGAAGTACAAAGTAAGTGACACTCCTCTCCAAGAAGTGGGATAAAACTCAGAAACCAGAATGGCCCGGTCTCTGCCCCCATTTAGTGTGTGGAAGAGAGACTTTCTCTTTTGTCTTGCCCTATGCTCAAAAGCCTTAGGACCAAAAGCAGTAATATAAGGTTTGTTAATTCTTCATTGAGTACCATATGGCAACAAGAGGACACTACCATGGATGTCAGCAATTATTACTAAGCCAATTCAGGCCACCACGTTACTCTTTTGGTATTCTTCTTCCATTAACTATAAGCAATATAAATCATTAATACCATATAATACACTTAAACACTTTTGCCCAATTTAAATTGAAGATAGTCACTGTTACAATTAGGGCTTTGGTCTTACAGACAGACATTCCTGCCTTCTATTCTTGTCATGACTACCAATGGCCAAGTGACCTTATGCACCTGACCTATACTCTGCAGGTCAGTTTCCTCTTCCATACACTGACACAGTCAGTGCATATTTAATCAAGGTCATTAATTTTAGGAAGTGCCAAGCACAAGTGTAGGAGCAGTAAAATACTGTCTTAAAATAGTAACATGTGTGCTTTTCTTTATATATAATCTTACCAATTAATCATTTCCTCAAGGAAAATTAGTTTTTTTCTATAACAAGGACAAAGAAGGAGAAACAATAAATTTGCTGGTTTTCAACAACTCACAAATAGGCTCTTAAAGCTCAAAGAACTAAGACATAGAGTGTTGTGGGCTGATTTATGCCCCAACACCTCCAACTCATTTGTTAAAGTCCTAACCCCCAGTACCCCAGAATGTGATGATATGTGGAGATAGGATCTTTAAAGAGGTAATTTTAGGCTAAATGAGGTCATTAAAGTGGATCCAGTATGACTGACTGTCCTTATAAAAAGGAGAGATTAGGGCATAGACAAGCCCAGAGGAAAGATCATGTGAAGAAACAGAGAGAGAGAAAATGACCATCTACAAACCAAGAAGAAAGGCCTTAGAAGAAATCCACCCCACTGACACCTTGATCTTAGACTTCTAGCCTCCAGAATTGTGAGAAAATAAATTTCTGTTGTTTAAGCCACTCTGTCTGTGGTATTTTCTTATGGCATTCCTAACAAACTAATATGTATTACAAGATTTAAAAGAATGGAGAAAGCCTCAGATTTCTTTGCCTCCAGAAGAAGGGTTGAGGGCCATTCATTCAGGCGGGGACTGGAAGTGTGAGGCAGAATATATTGGAGCCCTGGAGAAGGAGTCTGAAATGAGGAGAGCAGATCTAAGTGAACCACATGGAAGACAGTCCCTTTACAGAGATATTCAACAGAAGCTGACTCTCTCACTATCACTGCTCCTTCCACATGCATTTATTTCAATGCCAGCAAAGAACAATTTCAATCAAGGAAGTTCACTCCAGATTTGACTTAATATTCATTCTATCATAAATAGCAAGAAAAACTTTTGAGTAAAAATTCCAAACAACTATTAATCGAGAAGAGGAAGAAACAGGTACTGTCTAGGCAGATGAATTGTGTAGTAAGAAGATCCTGGAAGGAAGTGGAAGTTTCATTTAAAGACTGAAAAGAATAATTCCTAAGGAAAAGTAAGCTTATTAGAGCAGATTCTGCTAAATAGACATACAGAGGAAAGCTCTAGAGATCAAGCTGCTGTTCAAATATGGAAGATTTAATGTACTTTCTGAGAGGAAATCCTGGGAAAGGGCCTGTTTGAGAAGTAAAATCTCTAAACACTTTAAGATCATTCAATTAAAACAAAAATTGTAGAAACAGTTGAAATTTGAATAGGAACATTAAACCTCTCTGAAAATCAAAAGTCACTCTGTTGGTTTTAAGATATGAAAACACAATATGTGCTTCTTCATGATTAATAAATCGTATCAGAAATACCATATTTTAAAGTGTTTTTAATGGCATTCCATTTTAAAACATTCAGACTAAAATTACCACTTCATTAACTGATTTTTCAAATATTTTTCATACAGTTTCATGGCAGATCTTCCTTATCATGTGTTCTATATTAAAATTATCTAGTATGTAGAAATTTTTTTTAAATGAGGAACACTCTACACTTTCCTTTTAATTTATGTTCAGGTAGAAAATAAAGGAGAAATATGCCTAAAAGATCCATCTGTAATGAGAAATACTGTGTGTAGTATGATGCAAATAATACAGATTCCGAGTTGACCACCAGGTGGTCAGAACTAAAGAGAATAATTCAGAGTAGACTTCCTCCTATCTTGGGTTTTAAATTATGCTGAAAAAGCAAAATATTTTAACAAAGATGGTGGAGGTGGGATGGGTGCAGAGAATCACACTCCAAGAAGGATAACAGGATTAGAGGAAGACCTGACAGAGGGAGCTAGAGGACAATGACAAGCAGATGATCAATAGTGGGGCTGCCCTCTTAAGACGGAAGCCGGAATCTCTTCTGAGGAGGAGCGGAAGGAGCGTGCTGTTCACAGTCACGTAGACATTGCCTACTCTACTGTCTCCAGACCACTGAACAAGGCAAAACGGGAGAGGGGGAGTAGTGAGAAAGACCTACGCTGACTTCAACTGAGGGATACCAAGAGTATCAAACCACAGATGTTCCCTCGCTTTTCTAAGGAGATGGGAGCAAATTAGGAACCTGATCCTGCCATATTGCTGGTCCTCAGAGCTGAGCTCTGCAAGACTATACTCTTTGCTCAGGGAATTAGGTGGCTTACACTGATTTGATAGGAAGAATTACAAATAACTTCTCTCTCAAAATTTTTACGAAAATAAAATGGGATTGTGTGTATCCATACAGTATCATAATGTAAATGATCATAATTATCATTTGAGTACAACTAAGAGTAATGAACTGAAACACCCATTTTCCTTTTGGTTAATTCTCAATTGAAAATAGAGCCATTGCTGTTTGTCTTAATCCATTCAGGCTGCTGTAACAAAGTACCATAGACAGGATGGCTCATAAGCAATAGACATTTATTTCTCACAGTTCTGGAGGCTGGAATGTCCAAGATCAAGGTGCTAGCAGATCCATGTCTAGTGAGGACCCACTTCCTCATAGACAGCCATCTAACCGCACAAGATGGAAGAAACAAAGGGGATCTCTGGGGTCTCTTTTATAAGGACACTAATTCCTTTCATGGACTCCCCATGACTTAATTGCCCCCAATTGCCCCAGCTCCTAAATGCCATCACCTTGGGGGTGAGGATTTCAACATATGAATTTGCCAGGGACATAAATTTTCTGATCACAGCACTGTTTTACATGAGGCTTGAATTTATTACCCAGGTATCTAGATTATCCAATTTCTTGTGCCTTTTCTTTCTCTGATAACAGCCTCCTTCAGTTTCTTGATTTCTATTTATTTCATTGATTATTGGTTTTCTCCTTTTTTGATGTCCATCACATGTTATTAGTTCCTGGCCTTGGGAGTTAAATTATCCATATAAAAAAATATATAAAAAAAGCTTATTTAGAACTTCCTTTTTTTCTTTTTTGTGACACAGAGTCTCACTCTGTCACCCAGGCTGGAGTGCATGGTGCAATCTGGACTCACTGCAACCTCTGCCTCCTGGTTTCAAGCGATTCTTGTGCCTCAGCCTCCCAAGTAGTTGGGATTACAGGGGTGTGCCACCACAACTGGCTAATTTTTATATTTTTAGTAGAAGATGGAATTTCACCATTTGGCCAGGCTACCCTTGAACACTTGACCTCAGGTGATCCACCCACTGTCGTCTCCCAAAATGTTAGGATTACAGCATGAGCCACTGTGCCTAGCCTTAGAACTTGCATTTTTTACAAGGTCAACAATTGATGTGTACACAGGTTAAATGTCTGGGAAGACTTTTATCACATATGACAGGACCACTGACATAAGCAAGCCAATTAAGGTCTACTCTCAGAATTGATATGTGCATTTGAGAGAGAGTGGCTTCCTTTTCCCTTTAGATCTCAAGACATAAGGATTTAACTTGGGATTGCCAGTGCCATCTTATCTACCACATGGAAGAAAGCCAGCCAGAAAAGCATATCCAAGCCACATAAAAAGGAAGGGTTAAAAGACATAAAAGGGTTAAGAGACAGAGTTAGACAGAACCCAAACAGCATTACTTGAGTCCCTGCTATGCCTGGAGTCAGAACACCCTAGAAATTCCCAGTTAAATAAGTCAATAATTTCCCTTCTTTGCTTAAAGTATTTGGAGTTGGGTGATTGTCATTTGAAACAATCACCCTGAAATATAAAATACCAGTCTATTATACCAGTATCAACCATCAAACACCAAAAAACACATTTACCATTCTGGAGCATCTTTCAGGAAGTATATTTAATTTACTTTCCAGTCTATTTCTAGCTGCAAGCTTCTTAGAGGAAGTAATCATTGGGCAAATGGATAAATATTATATCTCATTGTCAGGAAGTTCTCTTTTCTTTCGTATCATGATAGTTTCCCCTTCTGTTTTTTTCCAGGTATCTCCCAACCCTAAGATTTCTAATTAGTTAATAAACTGGCTCCAGCTGTTTCTCCTGTTGTGCAAAATTCAATAGAAGGAAGAAAATCAATTAGCATGCACCTGAACACATTTAGACAAGATTTTCAAGTGGCTTTTTACTATGAAAATCTAGGCAGCCCTATAAAAATAAATCAAGAAGCTTTGGGAATACAATGAGATTAGAAAAGAGAGAGTTTCATTTTTACCTGGGTTAACAATACTGCATATCATATCTCCCTGACATTACGCAAATGATCAGAGTAATGCATAACTGCTAAAGAAAGAGGGGAAGTTCTCTGTATAAACTAGACTATATCATTGTATAGTGTTAAGAATAGGTTTTATTTTCCAGAAAGACAAGAATAAGAATGTCCCTTTGCTACATGATCATGTGAGGCAGAAGAAAATGACTGTTTTTAATCTTCTTGAAAGGATTTCTTGCAGAAGTATCCTCTTAAAGAACCAATCAATTTTCAGTGGGTGCCACATTGTTTTATCTCTATACTTTACCCAGCTTCGTGTAGGAAATACTGAGAAGGATATGTTTGCTCTTGTGGTCTTATCAAAAATGTAAGACTGCTAAGAAAAAGTAGAGAATTCGAATAATTTAATGTTCATGAGTCTTCAAAAACCTTATCTATCTTAATCTGACCTGTAAATATGCCTTAGAATAACTAAGATATTTTAATTTCTTAAAATCCAAATTAAAACACACTTTCCGCAAACAAACTAAAATGCAACTGTTGCATTAAACAAGCTTTATGTTTCTTTATATCTGTGCCTTGGCCATTGTTGGAGATCACAATGTCCTTCCTCTTATTTATGAAACATACAAAATAATTCTTGCCTTAATATCTAAGCATCCAAAATGCACACCACTGATTAGAATTCGCCATTCCATTTAAAGAATAATCCTAGTAGCAAACATTTATGTAGTCCCAAGCTTTGTTGTGATTGCTTTGCCCATATTAATTCACTTAATCATCAGAACAACCTGATAATGCAGATCATCGCTATTTTATGGGTATTCACAGGTATTTTTCGTCATCCCTATTTTACAGGTGAGGAAACAGAGGGATAGTAATTTACCCAAGATCACATAGTGACTAAGCAGCATATCAGTGACACTGCTACACTGACTCTCTAGCCTAGTGAGGGTTTTTTCTCAATAAAGATGAATCTATTTTTCAGAGAAAATTTGGCAAAGTTGTTACATAATAAATAGATTTATACCAACACACACACACTTTATTCTTCCCACAAAACTTAATTTGAAAGCCCCCTCTTCATAATCCTTCTCAGATTTCCCTCATCCTTATCTCTAATCCTCACTTGGAAATAACCTATAAATTCCTATATAATTCTGAAATTTTACATAAATCTTACATATTTTATATAAATCTTACATAATATAATTTTAAGAGTACTTTTCTCAGAAGTCCTTGGATTATAATTGTGTATATGATTTGTTGGCCCAACTAAACTGCAGATACTTGAAAGTTGGAGCATTTTAAATTTCTTATTATGAGGCACTTACTGCAGCATTTTACATGGAATAGATGCTTAGTAATCACTGGTTTGCTGAATTAATTAATACTTCAGCCCAAAATTAACTTTTCCCTGAGGTATTGGGTGCAGGCAGTTTTCTCAAATCTTTTGAAAAAAAAAAAAAAAACAAAGATGATGATAATAGGGATAATGATGAATTATTATAGTAAGCAGAAAGAAAAAAGGAATCTGAATACTGGGTAGTTTATAGAAAGTAACTGTTTTCCAAAAGAATTTTGATAATTAACTCAATTATCTGCAAATATTGACCACCAGTGATTGTGTAGCCACCTCAATATTCCCTACTTCCACTACAAGGACAATTTTGACTTCTTGCAATCTCTTACTGAGAAAATTTGAGGTAAAATAATGAGATGATACATTCATTGCCTCCTGAGCTCAGTAGAAAAACAAGTCACCTGTGCATTAATTCCTAATGCATATTTCTTATTGTACCTTTAGAATAATAAGAGCAAGAAGGTAACATGATGATAATGACCTCAACAGCAATGTTTATCTCTCTAATTTTTTTTAACAACTTGCCAATGATATTTTCTCTTACCTTTCTCAGAGATGGCACAATGGTGAGAAACATGATCCCTAGCATGAAATGCTTGGGCTGAGATCCTGGCCCAGCTTTCTGGCAGCCTCAGGTAAAGCACTTTACCCTCTGGTTCCTGTCCTGTAAGATTGAAACAAACCTTACAAAAATTATAACTGAGAAAATTATGATCGTAAAAGAGATCTGACCTAACTGATTCCATCTTGCTTCTATAACCTCCAAGCTGTCCTTACTCATTTCTGGGTGAAGGCCAAACTAACTACGGGAGGGACTTAGTTTATAGTTTAACTGTGAAACAAAGATAACAGCCCTTTCCCAAAACGAACCCCCTTCCTGCTTGGGGGACTAGACTGCCTTTACAGGTCTAACAAATTCGCTACAAATTAGAAATTATGGTTTAGGAATCATGCAGCTGGAAGCTGTAAGATTCTAAGCCTCCCAAATTGCTCTTCAGGATAACTTCACTATTATAAAACCTAAGATCAGTGCTTGAGATATTTTGCAGACCCTGCACTCATTGAATCAACTGGCACCATCCAGGTTGATAAACTGGCTCCCCTGGTCTTGTGGAC
This sequence comes from Homo sapiens, assembly GCF_000001405.40. NCBI lineage: Eukaryota > Metazoa > Chordata > Mammalia > Primates > Hominidae > Homo > Homo sapiens. The sequence goes on along the minus strand of NC_000001.11, from coordinate 214,948,064 downwards.
CCCACCCAGGAACTGACTCAGCACAAGAGGACAGCTTTAACTCCCTATGATTTCATCTCTGATTGGTTAATCAGCACTCCCCACTTTCCTACCCCCTACCCACCAAATTATCCTTTAAAATCCCAATCCCCAAGATTTCAGGGAGACTGATTTGAGTAATAATAAAACTCCAGTCTTCCACACAGCTGGGCTTTGCATGAATTATTCTTTCTCTATTGCAATTCCCCTGCGTTGATATATTGGCTCTGCCTAGACAGCGGGCAAGGAGAGCCCATTGGGCAGTTACAAGATTGCAATGACAGTCCCAATTTCACAGAGCCATTGTGAGGCTCAGATGACATGCTATGGGCCTAGAATAGCAAATTGTATATAGAAAGCACTCAGTGAGTCTTAGACACTATTTAAAAGTTGTTTTATTGGCAATATTCATATCTCCCTGACATTATGCAGTCATCAGAGAAACCCATTTAAAACCTAACTGTAACACAGAATTTACTTGCATGAGTAAAGAGGTTGTCTGTTTAGTAATGTTCTCAAAATGACCTTAGTCCTTTATTTCCCTGTGAACATTTCTAAGAAGGAAATGGCAATGAAAATTGTTTACTTTTTGATGTAATTATTCTGTTACAAATTCATATTTATGTATATGGTTATTTGCCTCATCAGGTCTTTTGTCAATATGGCTATCATGTTTAATATCCTTCTATTAGTATCCTGATGTAATGCATTTAAGACAGGCATGGTCATTTGTTTTGGTACTTCTAGGCAAGGAGATAATAAAATGAACCATAGAAGAAAAATCAAATGAAGTCTGAAAATCTGTAGATGGAAAAACAATATCTTTTTTAATTTCTGAAGGGTTGTATTTTTCAATTTAATTCATTCCTCCTGAGATTCTTAATGTGATACAATTTGCATATTAATTGTTGCATCTCAAAGGATTAATTGGTTACTTCAAATAAATTCTGTTGGATTTTCTAATGAATTGTCCTAAGTGATGCAGTGGTCGGGGGGAGAAAAACACAGTAATGAAAATGAGCTACAGCCCACACAAGAAAGTTTCTAAAGAACTCTTGCATGCTTAATGAAATTAATCCATGGTTTTAAAAGAAATGAGCCTTATTTAGGAGCAGACTCTCAGACACAGTCCAGGATATTTAATACTTCTCTGTGTCAACTCAGATGCTGAGGGAAGTCTCAAAGGCTGGCAGGGTCTCACTAAAGGTCTGGATCAAGCTGTTAGAAGATTCAGATCTTGACCTTAGTTGTCATCTGGTTAAACACAGATTTGTAATTTGGATTACAGCCACATACAAGGCTATTTCCAAGACTATGTGAAAAATTGCTAACGTGGATCCTTTCTCCCCAGTAGCTTCATGTGTCCTGATAAATCAAAGTTTTCCTTCTTGAAAACTCTAATTTTTTTCTACATTCCATTGAGTGTGTTACCAGCAAAGCTTAAATTCATCTTTCTAATCTGGCCTTCCTTACCCAAACTGCAACAGGTTTCTACAAATCTCAAATCACCTTGCATTCATCAAGGAAACAAGTGTATATCTGAATTAAGACTCTTCATAATTTTGTTAATTAATGGGTAATACTCATTTTCTTTCTTCTTAATCAAGAAACAAAATGTAATTGCTTTTGCTGCCATTACCAATATGTCATGAGCTTTTTGACAAATGATTCCATAAAGTAAAAATTGATTTTGCCATTATAATTGGTAACATAAACACTTGATCAAAATAATTACCTCTGTATTTCTGGCATTTTCACGTTTCTTCCTTGCAAAGTAAAATTTTTCCTAGTTAAGTCCTTCCCAAAAATGTGGAATCACTGAGTGAACAGATTTTTGCTCTAAAACACCTGCAAAAATAGTTATACTTGTGGTCGTCTTCCAAAGAATTTTCATCCTGTGCAGCACTATTTGGCATTTAACACATCAAAGTCATGTCAAATTTTCCAATCTTCTAATCTTCCTTTTACCAGAGGTAGGTGGAATATTGAGTGGCATCATTACAATTCTTTCCTAAATCGGAGGTACTAAAATCTGCAAATGCCATACATATATAATAACTCTTTCTTTTTCACCCTTTTCTTTAGTAAAAGGCTAACATTGCATCTGCACAGGCAAAGCTAAATCCCAAAAGGATGAAAAGCTTTAAAAAAAAAAAAAAAAAAAAAAAACCTGCAGCCGGGCACAATGGCTAACGCCTGTAATCCCAACACTTTGGGAGGCCAAGGCAGGCAGATCACGAGGTCAGGGACTGAGACCATCCTGGCCAACATGATAAAACCCTGTCTCTACTAGAAATACAAAAATTATCTGGACATGGTGGTGTGTGGCTGTAGTCCCAGCTACTTGGGAGGCTAAGGCAAAAGAATCACTTGAACCAGGAGACGGAGGTTGCAGTGAGCCAAGATCGCGCCACTGCACTCCAGCCTGGTGACAGAGCGAGACTCCGTCTCAAAAAAAAAGAAAAGAAAAAAAAAACAAAAACAAACCAAAAAAACTGCATACTTAAAAAAAAAAAAAAAAACCATAGTTTTTGGAACCAAATGAGTATGGCTTGTTTGTCAAAAGTCATAGCTTAATTTTTTGAGCCCACTTTTAAACTATGAAATGTGAAATATTAACACGAATTTATAATACCTAAGTTCCAGGACTATCGAGAAGATTAAAACCATAGAAGATGGGTGCCTTATAAACATTCAGTAAATGGCAACTGTTTTTATTAAAGTATTTCATGGACAGAATTCATCAGTTTCTTTAAGGCCATTTAATTTGGACTGTATACACAAAAACAGGACCCCAAGTGACAAAAATAAAATAGCCTCGTCTCATCTGCACCAGATCTCACAAAACAGGAAAGGACTATTCAGAGGAAGGAAATAGAGAGTGGAGCTGATTACTCTCTGGATTGAATCCTACAGAGAGTCATTTGGATAATTATTTGTTTCATTCATACGTCACCAAGTCAGCAATTCAGCCAGTCCACTTAGCCACTTGCCTTTCTTCCATCACTTCCTATATTTTCCAACTCCATAGGTACGTTTACATGAAAGCCAACCAACACCATAGGAAATATCTTTTGATGTTATGTCAGTTATTTTGAATTAGGCTGGTTTGAAATCAAATAAAAGAATGTGGTTTGCAAATAACCACTGAAAGCATACCTATGGTGTAAATCTTAGATTTCTTGACTTTTGTATCTTTTAATTTCATAGATGGCTTCTTATGTTAGGTTTTCTTCTTCATCTCATTCTATTTATATTTTCTACTTCTCTCATGTTAATTTCTTTCCCCAGCTCTAGCAATAATGGCTTTCATTCTATTTCTTTCTGAATATTTCACTTCTTTGCCAATCTTTACCAGCTTTTCTTATCTTCTTGAGATAGTTTATTGGAACTACTGGTATTTTGGAGATACTATTGTCTATGCGGCTTTAATTTAAACAGAATTTTTATATTTTCTATAGCCAAATATTAATATGGAGTATAAATATTGATGCGATTCAGAACATCTCCAAAATATGAAACCTTGGTGTATTGAATATTTTATGGTGAAGGAATTTGAGAAAAAGGCAGAAGCAGGAAAGTCTCTCTGAGCATCCTTGCCTGAGGTCTCCCCTTTATCAAGCAGGTCATAAACCTAGGAAGAATTTTCCGACCTTCCTCTGAAGCAGACCACAAAAATCTCAAGTGCAAAGTGCCCTCCCTATACCTCGAGGAAAAGAACATCCTAAAGGAAAAGTCATCTCCAAAGACACAGGGGCACAGAGAGGAATCTGAATGAATAGGCCTTGCTGAGTTTCCCCCAGTTTATTACCATTAGATCAGACCCTTTCCACCCAGCCCTATTTCTCCACAACTCTCCACTCTTCATCAAACCTACCATAAAAAATACTCAGGTTTAACTCTTCCTCTGAGTCTTCATTTCCTTATGAAATCTCCCATGTTATGGGAAACTTAAATAAATGTGTATACTTTTCTCCTGTTAATCTATCCTTTGTTACATGGTCCAGCCAATTAACCCAGTCAATTAATCCAAAATGAAAGAAGGAAAAGATACGTTTTCCTCCTCTAAAGTAACATGTTCTTCAAAGATTTTTTTTTCTGAAAAGTTAGATAGACATAGTAGCTATATTTAATTCTTTAAAATTAAGCAAAAGAGGGAGAAAATTAAGTACGTTTTTCCTGAATTAACCAGGTAACGAGTGTGAAGATCAGAACTGGATCCTGAGGTATCCAGATTGCCAGCTTATAGTGCCTGCCTAAGCCAATGCCAAAATACTTGCTCAAATACTTAATCAGGAAATAGTTACTTCCCACTTGATTGCAAAACTTAATGTGGGAGATCAAATGGATGATAATCCTAAATCCATCTGCTTTGGTTATTTAGAAGAGAGTTCATATAAGAACCCTTCCTATCAGAACACTGCATTGTTAAACATGGGACCAGGCTTATTAGATTGCCTGGAGTATCTGAATGGTGATGGCATGACTGGGCTGGAAGTAATTGCAAGGGTCTTCAGCAATCTGAGGACAACTGGAATATTTTGCAGAGGCAAATATCATCAATAGGATATCAGCTCCTTCTATTAAACCTAGAGTGCCATCCACCACTGTTGACTCAACCATGACCAGGTTCACGTTTTGCTGCCAGTGTGGCCACTGTCTTCAGACACTAAGTTTGACAGAGACTTAAGGTCTACTTTCTCTCTAATTTAAACCAAACTGCCGTCAAGCATGGAAAACAGTCCTGTCAAATTTCAAAGCTACTGCCCAACTGTGATGCTCTGGTTTTAATAGATAACAAATTTCCTTGTATTCTGTGGCTTCCTCTCCCTTGTTAATTCTGCAAACCTCTGATTACTTGAAAGATAACACCACATATCAGACTTACAGTGAAGGACTCACGATAGTCATCCATGATCAACCAAGAGAACTCTTACACCTACTTTATTCAGGTTGTGCCAACACCTGAATTAATCATTTTTAATGGTCCTACAAAGACTTCAGAATTAGATGTAATGACTACATAATATCCCATAGAAGCTGAGAAGCAACCACTCCTCTACAGCTAGTCATTTAGATTGCTTTAGCTTTTCCCATATGTTAAATAAGGCAATCATGATTCTCTAATATAAAATATTATGTTTTTCCAAAATTTTCTTCTTACAAATAAATTCTCAGAGAAAGGATTTCTAAATAAAGGTAGTAACTATTAAAGTTTTGATGCCTAACACTAACAATTTTTCTAACAGTGTTGAGCAAGTTTAAACTACCAAGAAGAATTTAAAATATCAGTTTCACTTTGTGTTCTACAACATTGGATTCATTTAAATATCTTGCTAATAAGCAAGACATGCTACTTAATAATTTTAAAAATCTATTTTACTTTTATTGTTAATAATGCTCTTTTTCTTCTTTTATTTATTAATGCTACTGCCTTAAGTGAATGATAATCATTGTTCAATGAACGATTTAAATCTAGAATTTGAAACACAAAAATAACAACCACAAACAAAAGCCTAGGGAAAAAGATTTTCAGCCTATATGACAGGTAAAAAATGTTAGTCTTTATAAAATATGAGGATCTGTATAAATTGATAGGAAAACCATCAAGACTCCAACGAATAAATGAAAAAAAAATGGCCTTACCATTTACCAAGAGGACTGCAGGTGGAAAGAGTAGAGAAATCAAGAGTTCAGTTTATAATATGTTAAAATTAAAGCTTCTATGAAATGAAGCAATCAAGTAAGTAGTTTGGAATATAAACCAGAACTCAAAGGAAAAATCTAAACCTATAGATGTGGCAAACAGCAGAATATAGATAACATTTAAAGGCATGAATACCAATAAGATTATATATAGAGAAAGTATGCAAACAAAAATAGAAGACAAGGCAATAAAAATATTTAGCAATGTAAAGAAGCAAAGAAATGAGAAGGAGACTGATGTAGGAGAAAAGCTGGGAGATTCTGGTGTCCTGGGAGCCACAAGTACAGTGTTTTCAAAAAAAGGAAGAGACAGCTCTTTACAAAGCCCATGGAAAATAAAACAAGATGAGAATAAAAATGGATCAGTTGGATTTGTATATTTTTTCTAATAGCCTAGTGATATCAAGCCTATCTTCCTACTGTGATTAGATTACATATGCCTTGAGGACAAAGGCAATGTCCAATTGTCAATGAAGTCTATCAGAGGACTAGCCTGATCAATGCATAAAGGCACAGATCACAGCAGTGATAGAAGCCTTAGAAGTTACCTGATTAAACCTCCTCGATTCTACAAACCCACACCAAAAAGTGGTTATGCAACTTTTCCATAGTCACCCTGCTAATTAGTGGCTACTTGTAAGGAAACCTGAAATGAGAACCTATACCACCAATATGCAATCTAGGGTATTTTTCACTCTATTATATACTAGACTTCATTTTCAAACATGGACATGGAGGGAATATGAAAACACTTTCTTTTCTATAGCCAAACCCATTTTCCTATAGCTAAGCCAAAGTTTTAGGTCTAAATTAGAGAGAAAATGAAGAGAAAGGAAATGTTGACAATGGATATATCTGTATTGAATCCATGTTGATCTAGATAAAATATATTTCTATACAACAAAATATGGATGGCTCAATAATAATCATTGGGGGAAGTGAGAGAGAGAAAGAGAGAGAAGAGAGAGAAATATAGTCCTTGTTTCAGTCACACTGTCTAGTAAATTAAACCACTTACTCACCTATTTGATTGCTTCCCAGTCAACCTAAGCCAGTTCAAGAGCTACCTAAAGCTGAAGACTTTACCAAGACAACTTTAGTATCTTACCTTGATGTGGTTTCACACATCCCTGCTACTAGTCATAAGAGATACCAAGGAAGAAATTGTTCACAAGTTAATGCAACTCTATTGTGAAGCAAATGCCACATTTAATAGTTTGTGATTTCAGCTTTATATGTGAAACAATGTTTCATTGTGTTTTGCCAATATTTCAATTGCTGACCTAAAATGATAAGCTACTTGTGAGCAAGCACAATTTTTTTTTTTTTTGAGATGGAGTCTCGCTCTGTCACCCAGGCTGGAGTACAGTGGCACAATCTCGGCTCACTGCAACCTCTGCCTCCCGGGTTCAAGTGATTTTTCTGCCTCAGCCTCCCAAGTAGCTGAGACTACAGGCAAGTGCCACCACACCCAGCCCAGCTAACTTTTGTATTTTTAGTAGAGATGGGGTTTGACCATGTTGGCCAGCCTGGTCTCGAACTCCTGACCTCGTGATCTGCCTGCCTCAGCCTCCCGAAGTGCTGGGATTACAGGCGTGAGTTACCACACCTGGCCTATAGTATTTCTTATAATCTTAATGTCGAGTGCCTCCTAACCCCCTCCTTTGTAACCCAGTGCCATGTTCCCTGTACATACTAAGTCAAATTGACAATTCACAGTAAATCTTCCATGAATCACATAATAAACTCTTAGATTGTTTCTTAGCGAGGTCTCTCCACAAGAGGTTAATGTTTTTATTTGATTTTCTTTTGCCCTGGGTGTTCACATTCTTGAGACATTGAAAACTTTGTTCCATAATTATGTATACTGTTATTTGAATTATAAAATGTACTATACAATCTATGTTGGTTTTCAAATTTTCTCATTAATTAGAAATTAAATAACTTAAAATGCTAAGGCATGCCATTGTCTGACGCTGAAGACACAAAAGGGCAGATGGTTCTGGGATAATTATCATGATCCCTCAGGTAGACACATTTTTAAGTCGTGTAAACGGAACCAAGCAGAGAGATTAATCACAATGGAAATTAATAATACCTAAATGCAGCATATCGTGAGGATATTTTACGAAATTTATATTGTTATTTCTAGTTAAATTTATTCCATTTCTAGCCAGCGAACACCTCTTCATTAGTTATTTTTTGAAAAACTTCCACTTTGAGAAAGACAATTGGTCCATAATTTTGAAAGCTTTTCCAATTGATTTTGTTGTCTCCAGGGAGTTCATTAGCTTTGATATAATTGGATGACACCTGTCTTTCAGCCACAAAAGACAAACTTACTAGCACAACATCTCAAAGGAGCACAATATAGATAAAAAAATATGAAGCACAATTTGCCCAGGCAATACTAACACATTTTGCCAATTTTAGTCCTTAGTTAAAAAGAACTTTATCTGGCTCGGTGTGGTGGCTCATGCCTGTATTCCCAACACTCTAGGAGGCCAAGGCGGGCGGATCACCTGAGGTCAGGAGTTCGAGGCCAGCCTGGCCAAGATGGCGAAACCCCATTTCTACTAAAAAATACAAAAATTAGCTGGGTGTGGTGGCAAGTGCCTGTAATCCCAGCTACTTAGGAGGCCGAGGCTGCAGAATCGCTTGAACCTGGGAGCCAGAGATTGCAGTGAGCTGAGACTGTGCCACTGCACTCCAGCCTGGGCGACAGAGTGAGACTCTGTCAAAAAAAAAAAAAAAAGAAGAAGAAAGAAACAGAAAGAAAGAAGGAAGGAAGGAAGGAAGTAGAGAGAGAAAGAAAGAGAAAGAAAGTAACCTTATTCATGGAGAGTAAACTCTTTTGTAATATGTAACTATGTCCTATGTAGGACTAGTTATTGTTATATTGCATTTCCACCTTCTCAGTAGTCAGAGATAAATTATTGCTTTGTTTTTCACTGATGCCATGAGAGACTCAGATAATGTTTCCTTAGATGGCTGTAGACTCTAGATTAGCTGCAAATAATGATTTAACTATTATCAGCTCACCCTGGGAGGAATGGTCTACATGTACCTTGCTGTCACTCCTGGTGCTGGACATGCCATATAACACAGGCCCTGAGACCTCCACTATATTGAGCCAGCTCCATCATTTGTAGCAAATGCTAAGTACTTAGCCATAGTGCTGTGGTAATAACATAACATGAGCAGCATCTGTGTTATCTTCTCTTTTGTTTCATAAATCTTTGAGTCATCTACACAGAGAAAACTGAGCAATATTTGAATTCAGTTTCCTCCAAATATACCCAGGGTCCTGCAAGAAAGAAATCTAATCTCTTAAGCAGATGGTGAAGGACCATATCATAGGCCTGATATACAAGATATATCAGTATGTTTTATGCAGAGTCATGCAATATACTGTATGCACAAAACCATAATGTCAAAAGAAATGAGACACCTCTATCATAGGCTCAGGAATACATTTACCAGACTAATGGTCCTGATGTTGAAATTTAAATCTCTGGACAATGACAGAAATAAGATCCTTTCAATATTTTCATTGTTTTTTGTTTGTTTGTTTGTTTTTGTTTTGGGATGGAGTCTCTCTCTGTCACCCAGGCTGGAGTGCAGTGGTGCAATCTCAGCTCACTACAACATCTGCCTCCCGGGTTCAAGCAATTATCCTGATTCAGCCTCCTGAGCAGCTGGGACTACAGGCATGCACCACCATGCCTGGCTAATTTTTGTATTTTTAGTAGAGACCAGGTTTCACCATATTGGCCAGGATGGTCTCAAACTCCTGACCTCAGGTGATCCACCTGCCTTGGCCTCCCAAAGTGCTGGGATTACAGGCATGAGCCACTGTGCCTGCCAACAGTTGAGAGTTTATCAAACTTTTTATTCTTGAGTAAAAGGCAGTTTAGCGGTTACATGTATCTGCTATGGAGTCAGAATGCCTGGACTCAAACCATGGTTCTACTGCAGAGCTTTGTAAAGTTAGGTGCCTTTGGGCAAGGGCTTGATCTCTAGGAAATTTTTTTCTTTATCTGCAAAATGGGACTTACACTGAAGGCTCACTAGGAGAATTAAAGGAGAAAACATAGGTAAAGTAGTTGGCACAGTGCTTAATGCATAATGAACATGCAGAAAATTATTAGTAGAGGCAAAAACGAGCTACTAATTAATTGCATGTTTGGGCTCCACAGCTAATTAACGTCAGGATTAGAGCATGTCTCTGTTTAATGTTCTCTCCTTTGATTTCCTGCAAATGAAAACTCAAGAAACAGACAACTGACATGATTAAATTCTTCAGTGTGCACCAGAACAGCCAGGATAGGAATAGTATAGATATAAGTTCATGTTCAGGGCTACATTCAGTTACTAGCAGAAGTTCATAAGAACAAAAAATCACAATACTTGTTTTCATCCAACTTTCTGTTTGTCAAACCACATTTCATCCTTATGATCAGAAAATGTAGAATTTAAGGTGAAGTAACAAAAAGGGCTATTTTGTTTTCAGATGTTTTCTAGTTTAAAACAAAAATGTTAATGTCCCAAAACCCACATTTATTTTTCATGTATAAATGTAGATATCCAAAAAGCACAGACTAAAGCACTGCAAAAAACCAAAGCTGAAAACCCAACAACCCGCAGTAAGAACAATAGGAGTGTACTTTCAATATAACATAGGCCGGGTGTGGGGGCTCACACCTATAATCCCAGCACTTTGGGAGGCCGAAGTGGGAGGATCACTTGAGCTCAGGAGTTTGGGACCAGCCTGGGCAACACAGGAAAACCCATCTCTACAAAAATAATAAAAAATTGGGAGGCCAAGGTGGGAGGATCATTAGGTCAGGAATTCGAGACCCAAGACCAGCCTGGCCAACATGGTGAAACCCACCTCTACTAAAAATACAAAAATTAGCCGGGCTTGGTGGCACGCGCCTATAATCCCAGCTACTGGGAAGGCTGAGGTAGGAGAATGGCTTGAACCAAGGAGGCAGAGGTTGCAGTGAGCTGAGATTGCGCCACTGCACACCAACATGGGCTGTCACACTCTGTCTCAAAAATAAATAAATAAATAAATAACATAAAAAATTATTCAAAAATACAATGCATATGTGTATACATATATATTATGTATAACAGGTATATATATTTATATACCTTACAAATTCATGTTTTATAATTCAAACTGCTTAAAACGTTATAAAAATATAGACAGGATTAGAAGAAAGTTCAGAAAAATAAAAAGCTTGTTGAAAGAGAAGATTGCAAGTAAATAGAGTGATTTTTTAAAATGTTCCACTGTTAATTATAATGTTGTTTAGATGGTATTTTAAGCTGTGCACAAACTGTAATGACTTAAACGCTTTTAAAAAGCTAGCTATTTGACTGTGAAAAGTTGCTAATTATTTTTCGTCATACAAGAAAAAAAAACAGAAAAGTAATCTCATTCTCCAAAGAATTCCTCTGTAATAGTTTACAAAACCCCATTAATAACAAATTCTCAAATAGCTAAAAATGCCTATAACTAGGATTACTAATGGCAGATAAATGATTGTTTATTAAATGTTGTGAAGAGTCAATGTAAAGGTAATCATAAAAGTAATATAAACTAAGCCAATTAGAATGCTTAGTTTTTCTAAAGGGGTCTACAACACACACAGGTATACTCACACACTTAAGATTATCTGTTGTTAGCAATGTTAAGTCATATGAATCTCTAATGTAGAAAGTTTACTAAACACTAAAAGTGATAGTCTCATTAAGAAGCTATTTTTAATGTAACTATTTGTATTGAAATTTTCATCAATATCGGTCACATTTTTATAAGTGCACATTAAGCGTGTTTGAGAAATTACCTATTACAGTTTACTGAACTTTTAAAATGCACTTATACCTAGTTATTTATAAGAATACAGCAAAAGGCATCTTTGGCATTGAAAACTACAGTTAAATACAACATTTAACACTATCAAAGACATGTAAGAGACATTCAAATAGAGATACAAATTAACATTGGTCACCTAATAATCTAAGTACATTAACCGCATAGTCAATAATATTATTTAGGAGAATGTAGACAGTTTTGTTTTCATTCCGTGCCTCATCTCAACTCTGCCATGAATTTCGATTCATGTATGAAAACTATCTAAAGAAAAAGAGTACAAAAATGATTGGCTGAAGAGAGATTCAGCCATGTGATCCTCCCCTCTGCATGGTAAGGTGTGATGTGCTGAACATTTTCCAATGGGTGCCAGAGTGTCATGTGACTCTCAGGGTAGCTACTTTTACACAGATTTGGACTTACACTGCATTAGGTGAAGAAAAATACAGTGATAAATCAAGGAACAAAAGCTATTCTCTTCCAATGTCCTGCCTATTTTAGGTGAAAGTTTTTCAGGCCTAGGTTATTCAGAAAAGCATCTTAAATCTGCACTTCACTTTGTATATTTAGTTAACATAACATCTTTAGCTAAGACTCTTTATGTTATCTTTCTACAAAAAAAAGAAACTTTAAATATTTGTGTGTAAACTATACTCTAAATCAGGTATATTTTTAAAACCTACTTTTATTTAATAAAGGGGCGCAGCATAATTGTTGGGTCAACAGGAAGTTAAACAGGAAGTATTCTAATGGGAAAACAATTAGGACATTAGAGCATTTTGGTATTTGACTATTTTCACATAGATTATGCATGAAAATGAAGAATAGCTAAGAGAAGGTTCCTGAAACTCTGGAAAGTTTTATCCAGGGCAACACTAAACTGTGTCTTGCTTGCTGTTCTTGTTGAAAGTGTTCCTTAATGTTGTTCTGTTTGTTCTTTCAGAAAGTTGATGGGGGGGAAAAACTCAAGCTGATTAATAATGTTTTTCTTTGAGTTTGTTTTTTTTGAGTCCCACAGTTCAGTATTTACATAAATGGATGCCCTGCTGCTGTTAAATCATTCATCTATGTTTGTCTAGAAACTGTTTCCTATAAAGCTAAACCCGTATGTTTTGCAAGGATTTTTCTCCCTCTTAAAAATAGACTGAATTTCTCCTTTCCACTACCATTGATAAGTAGTCTAGAATTGATTTTTTGTAAAGTCTCCCCACAAAGGAATATTAGAAAATGAGTAACAATAATTAATGTAACATGGCTACAGTTCATTTATTACCAGATTCCAATTCCTCTTGATTTTCTTGAAGCTTCATCTGTTTATGATGAAGGAAAAAAAGCCCTTGGTGACTTGACTGCAAGAGTAAAAATGCATGGCTATTACAGTCAGAGTTTAGACTATAAAATTGCAACTTGTCTCCTTTTTTTTCCAAGTATCATAAATACTTAACTTTTATTTTTACTAGTTTTGGGAAATACAAGGACAGGCACTTTAAAAAAAATTCTTTTAAAAGCCATGATCATAAATTTATAAGGTTGAAGCCCAAGCTACTGAATTCATTTGTGAAAAAGTCATTGTCCAGTCTTTTCAATCTTGCCAAAAGAAAGAAAAAAAAAAAACCTACTTGTAAGGGGTATAGTAAATTCTGGGGACTTTTTCAAGTCATCAATAATACCATCTCCCAAATACAACCCCAAAGGAATTAATCTTGCTAAAATAAGGAAGAAGCTTAGGTTTTGCCAGTGGAGAAAATGTTGAGATCAATGCTGATAGACTTTATAGATCCTTACTATTACAATATTAGCAGTGGATGGGAGGCACAAAGGCAAATGGCTTGAATAATTTCAGTTCTCTTTTTCTACCTTCCCAATTCATTAAGCTTTAGGCTATTTGATTTAAAAACAAGCTGTGTTTTTACTCAATTATTTTCCACCCCAAATTTGGATGATGGGAACAGACCTCTATTCTGCCGGGCAGCACTACCTAAGGACCTTGCCTGTCCACCACTTTTTCTTTTCAAAAGAGATAAACACGTTCTTGTCATCCACAGCTGCTCCTCCAGATGTTCCTGAACCAGGACCAAAATCAGCTCATCGGTGCTTTAAACGTGGTCTTCTTAGGAATTCTTGAGAGAATTGCTGTCTTCCCTAGGTGAGATCTTTCACAATTTCAGTGCACGGCAGGACAGAGACCATTTCTTCTTAAGAACGTGTGCCTGCCAAGAGCAGGAGGAGGCTCCCTGACCAACTCTGCTAGGGAAAAGCAGCCCACAGTGAAGTGAGCCATCCAGGAAAAGCAAGAATCATAGCTATCAGCTGGGAGCCAGGGAGAGGAGCCGAAGTGAGAGGGTCTGTTATGGAGAAAATCTGAGAGCTTGTTTGCTGTTGAATTCAAAGTTCATTTATTGTGGACTGTGTAGTTTACATATACAACTTAGTTTTATCAAAATCTTACTCGATGGCATAATTAACCCATCTTCATTTTATGAATTAGAAAACCGAAGCTTAGGGAATATACAAATAAGGAGTTTTGGGGGTGCAAGTCCCAAAAATCCAACTTAATTTAGTTGGTTCATATACCTGGGAAGTCTACAGGGTCTTCAGTTCTGGCTGAGTCCACAAATTCAAGATTATCATCATATTTCTATGGCTTCATTTATCAGCTCTCTTTCCCATGTTTTGGTGTTATTCTCAGATAGGCTCTCTCTGTGTGTAAAAAAAATGACCACTAAAGTTCCATGCTAACATCATTCTTACAGCTGGAAATCCCAGTGGGGTGAAAGGGTGCCTTATTCCTGGTAATTCTAGAGAAAAGTCTTGAGGATTGGTTTGACTTGGATCATATACTCATACCTGGACCAATCACTTGAATGGGGTACCCTGACAAGGCCTGAGTCACGTGCCACGAGTCACGTGCCACCCACGCAGTGAGAGGGTATTGCAGTCTCAACAAAGTCACATGAAGAGTTTCCTACAGAAAAGAAGAGTTCAGTTACCACACTAAGTGGGAAAAACATGTTTAGCAAATATAGGTCTGTGTATATGTGTATGTACACACATACATACATATATATGTAAACACACATACATATATATATATATGTATGTAGCTACCACACTCTAGTAAAGGGAGGTGAAAATTCTGCCCAAGGCCACAGTGCTGGGATTCATATTTACCTGAACTACTCCAAATCCCATACACTCCCACTCTAGAGAAGAGAGGAACATGCAGTCAAACCAACTAAAGAGAGAAAACTGACATTATATCCATTAACTACTCCAAAATACTTTGGAAGTAAATTAAGTGGTAGATTCTGATATTCATGGGGTTTGATCCCTACCAGAGCAAAGCAGGAATCCATTGGAGACTAGGTCTTTCCAAATAATGGATTTCTAACTTTTGGTTTATTCTCTCAATCACAAAAATGTTTACTATTCAATCTAATTTATAACCAAAGCATACCATTTTAAAGAGAGCATATATACGGAACATAATGGCTCAAAATCATCAATATAAACAGCAGACACTATAATGTACTACAATATAATCACACCCTAGGGTCCCCTGAGATTGACAGAACTATTTACTTATTTGCCTAATTTACATTTTTGTGTCAGCTTCTGTTATTTTTTTCTGTTACCTTCCTCACTTGTCGAGAAAATATAAAAACTGAAATAAACTTTTATTTTGAGTAGGATAAAAGAGTTGTCATCTACCACTTCCAGCCTTCCTCAATGTGCTTTCACATCTAGTCTGCTGCTTCAAAAGTATAGCGAGCAGAGAAACCAGATAAACCAATCCTATTAGGGGCCTTTTGGGGGTGCGGGGCTAGGGGAGGGATAGCATTAGAAGAAATACCCAATGTAGATGACGGGTTGATGGCTGCAGCAAACCACCATGGCACGTGTATGCCTATGTAACAAACCTGCATGTTCTGCACATGTATCCCAGAATTTAAAGTATATAAAAAAGTACATCTTAATGCTTTGAGAAATTTTTTTGTAAGTGAACTCATAAATAAATTTATTGCTGATGATAGTTCTGTTGTATGACTGAAGTATTAAGATATAAAGTTCCTATGGAAAAAAAAAATTTGATCAGTAACTACATAGGCAATGACTCAAATATTTAAAGAAAAAATAAAACATAAGCTTCATTATATGAAGTAGGCTTCGCAAAATATTGAGGACAAGAGACATAGAGATTTGAGGGAGATGGCAGATCTGGGTAATGCTTTTACTACAGAGTGGAAAAGCGATCATGTTTTTTTAGAGCTTTGGATTTGGAGTCAGACAGATTTGGGTTTAATTCAAAGACTGACCATCTATTTGCTATGTATCCATGGACAAGTTCCTTGCCCTCTCTGAGTTTCAGTTTACTCACTTACGAAACACAGATAGTAACAGGTTCTTCTGAGGGTAGTTATGAGAATTAAATAAGATAACATTTTGAAGTGCTAGTAACAAGTACTTGGAAAATGGTGTTCAAATTGTTGTTGTTGTTGTTACCACTACTTTGATCCAACAAAACCTAATTACATGATAGAGATAAGGTGGACTGGATTTTAATAATATAGCAAGGTAGACAGAAAGGCACTAGAAGCTGAAA
This sequence comes from Homo sapiens, assembly GCF_000001405.40. Lineage (NCBI taxonomy): Eukaryota > Metazoa > Chordata > Mammalia > Primates > Hominidae > Homo > Homo sapiens. The sequence goes on along the minus strand of NC_000001.11, from coordinate 214,931,853 downwards.
AAACAAGATTTAATATTTCAATCTTAAATCTTCCTTAACCACTTTCTAATCCTGTTGGAAAAGAGATCAAGGAAATAGCAGACTTTTTTATCGATATTCAAAATTTTTAAAATGAAATTTACAAATGGGTAGAATTCATTTATACTTACTATTTCATTTATCATGATTTTAGTGGGCTGGAGGTGGACAGATGATGAGAAGTTAATACAGTAATGTCTTATGAAGAAATTTGTACCCTAAGTCAATGAGTATCACAAAAGCAGTGCCAATGTCCAGTCATCCCATTTACCAGACCTGCTAGGGCTGCACATAGAAATCTAGCACGCCTAGATATACAATCATGTCATCTGCAAACACGGACAATTTGACTTCCTCTTTTCCTAATTGAATACCCTTTATTACCTTCTCCTGCCTAATTGCCCTGGCCAGAACTTCCAACACTATGTTGAATAGGAGTGGTGAGAGAGGGCATCCCTGTCTCATGCCAGTTTTCAAAGGGAATGCTTCACAATTGCTTCAAAGAGAATAAAATACCTAGGAATCCAACTTACAAGGGACGTGAAGGAGCTCTTCAAGGAGAACTACAAACCACTGCTCAATGAAATAAAAGAGGATACAAACAAATGGAAGAACATTCCATGCTCATGGGTAGGAAGAATCAATATCGTGAAAATGGCCATACTGCCCAAGGTAATTTATAGATTCAATGCCATCCCCATCAAGCTACCAATAACTTTCTTCACAGAATTGGAAAAAACTACTTTAAAGTTCTTATGGAACCAAAAAAGAGCCCGCATTGCCAAGTCAATCCTAAGCCAAAAGAACAAAGCTGGAGGCATCACGCTACCTGACTTCAAACTATACTACAAGGCTACAGTAACCAAAACAGCATGGTACTGGTACCAAAACAGAGCTATAGATCAATGGACCAGAACAGAGCCCTCAGAAATAATGCCGCATACCTACAACTATCTGATCTTTGACAAACCTGACAAAAACAAGCAATGGGGAAAGGATTCCCTATTTAATAAATGGTGCTGGGAAAACCGGCTAGCCATATGTAGAAAGCTGAAACTGGATCCCTTCCTTACACCTTATACAAAAATTAATTCAAGATGGATTAAAGACTTAAATGTTAGACCTAAAACCATAAAAACCCTAGAAGAAAACCTAGGCATTACCATTCAGGACATAGGCATGGGCAAGGACTTCATGTCTAAAACACCAAAAGCAATGGCAACAAAAGACAAAATTGACAAATGGGATCTAATTAAACTAAAGAGCTTCTGCACAGCGAAAGAAACTACCATCACAGTGAACAGGCAACCTACAGAATGGGAGAAAATTTTCGCAACCTACTCATCTGACAAAGGGCTAATATCCAGAATCTACAATGAACTCAAACAAATTTACAAGAAAAAAACAAACAACCCCATCAAAAAGTGGGCGAAGGATATGAACAGACACTTCTCAAAAGAAGACATTTATGCAGCCAAAAAACACATGAAAAAATGCTCACCATCACTGGCCATCAGAGAAATGCAAATCAAAACCATAATGAGATACCATCTCACACCAGTTAGAATGGCGATCATTAAAAAGTCAGGAAACAACAGGTACTGGAGAGGAGGTGGAGAAATAGGAACACTTTTACACTGTTGGTGGGACTGTAAACTAGTTCAACCATTGTGGAAGTCAGTGTGGCGATTCCTCAGGGATCTAGAACTAGAAATACCATTTGACCCAGCCATCCCATTACTGGGTATATACCCAAAGGACTATAAATCATGCTGCTATAAAGACATATGCACATGTATGTTTATTGCGGCACTATTCACAATAGCAAAGACTTGGAACCAAGCCAAATGTCCAACAATGATAGACTGGATTAAGAAAATGTGGCACATATACACCATGGAATACTATGCAGCCATAAAAAAGGATGAGTTCATGTCCTTTGTAGGGACATGGATGAAATTGGAAATCATCATTCTCAGTAAACTATCGCAAGGACAAAAAACCAAACACAGCATGTTCTCACTCATAGGTAGGAATTGAACAATGAGAACACATGGACACAGGAAGGGGAACATCACACTCTGGGGACTGTTGTGGGGTGGGGGGAGGGGGGGAGGGATAGCATTAGGAAATATACCTAATGCTAAATGACGAGTTAATGGGTGCAGCACACCAGCATGGCACATGTATACATATGTAACTAACCTACACATTGTGCATATGTACCCTAAAACTTAAAGTATAATAATAATAATAATAATAATAATAATAATAATAATAATAATAAAAGAAATCTAGCAGGCCTAAAGAGCGGATCCTATGAGAGGGACCCCCAACCATTGGGCTATAAGAATCTTACACTGCATGATTAGAGAAGCATGCCATTTCTCTGGTTGTTCAAAGGCCAATATACAATAGCAATATGAATTGACAGACCCTTGGCTGCAAAATTGTATTTCCATCATAAGCATTCAGTGTTGAAAGTAGTCTGCCATCTTCCTAACATGATGGTGTGGGAATAGGAGGCTGATGTCCCTACTGGCAGTTGACTAGGATTGATCATCTTAAGCATCAATCCAAAGCTGGTTTGCATGGAAATTCATGGAAGAACAGTTGCTTTTTTTTTTTTTAGATTGGCACAGTGACCTGGAAGAACAATTTTTTTAATAGAAGGCCAACTTTTAGAAGATCGGGGTTGAGAAAGTTAATTATTACCTCTCAGAAGGTAAGGCCATAATGGTGTATAATCATAGCTGCCCTTGAAAAATCCCTTGAATTTACCTAAATCATAATATAAATGAATAACATACACAATTCTGCACAGTAGTCTTATGCACACAAAAATGAAAAATCCCTAAGCTACGCTAAAGGGGCAGGGAAAACAAGAGGTAAGTCTATAGGCAAATATCAAGGCATACAAATCATTTGGCTTTGAAAACAATATTGAAATCTCTAGGTGGATGAAAGCTCAGGGGATAATTCTAGAGTGTCCTATCTCATGTACAGAGCTTACTCCATTCTCTTACAGCAGAAAATCTCCACAGCATTAATAGATTTGTTTGTTATCCGAAGAATTACATCAGTTCTGAAGTTAACTGGGCTTTAGTCAGTTTCCAAAGGTCACACTGATGCAATAAAAACTAATAAATTATTTTTGTTTCTATATGGTGTTTGAGCTTTGTTTTATTTCCTTGGTCAAGAGGTAGTTTGTAGTCAAATGAAAAACAACATGCAAAGCATTACAATAAAAGAGGAAAACTTGCCATTAGTAAGAAATACAGAGTCAAACCCACCAGTTTTCCTCTGTCACCTTACTAAAGGAAAACTACTGTGTGCCAAGAACATTTCCATCCATTATTCAGTTTAATTCCTATAACAATTTTATGATATGTATCCTACTTGTATAGATGAGAAAGCTGAGACTTCAAGAGATGATGTGACTTATCTTAGTTCATGCAGCTCATAAATGGCAATGCTGGAAGTAAATCATTGCTCTTTTAAGTCTAAAGCTCTCTGTAATTCTCTTGCCTCTATATCATACCCTAAAAAAAATCTAGTATTTAGGCACCATAATTAAACCTTAAACACAGCATATAAATTCACTTGCCTCTTTAGTTAAATACACTTACTAAAAATAAGCATAAAATAAGCCCACCAAGTATTCAGCTAATGCATAAATACTTAGTTGTATCTATGCAAGCCAAATTATTGGCATCACCTGGTTCTAAATACTGTTAGAAATATTATGGCACTACTTGGTTCTAGATATCATTAGAAATATAATTGGTAACCTTATCTGACCAGATTACTCATGTGCTTTGGAAGTTCGGATTGCTTAAATCTAACTCAAATAGTTGCCCAGCCAAGAGTTTCCATCCTTGGCTTTTCTTAACAGCCTTGGAAATAAGTCTCACTGTGAATTGTTACAATAGCAAAGAGGCATTTTATTGTGTTCCAATTATTGTGTAGATAATCCTACAATATTATGACAAAGAATGAGATATTTTAATGTAAGAAATTGTAATATAATATTTAACAAATTAAAAATATTATTTACTGAATATTAAATACTCTAAAAATAATTATTTGAGATTACTGAGTCCTTATTATATTCAAGACACTCTTCTTGGTGCTGAAGATACAACAATGAACAAGGTAGAGAAGATTCCTACCTCTATGAATCATCACAAGAGAAGCAAGAGACAAACGTAAGCAAGTAAACAAGTAAATATGGATTACAGATTGTAAGGTAGGCATCGAAGGAAACAGAAAGATGTTATGCATGAAGGTGAGAAAGATCTATCATATTAAGAGCAGGAATAAAAGCTTTCCAAGTAGAGAAAATGGCCAATTCCTGAGGCAAGAAAGAATGGGGTTGTTGCAGCAACAGAGAGTCATCCAGTGAAACACAGTAGACTAGGATGACCAAAGCAAGTGAGCAGGGTCTAGAGTACACGGGGGCTTGTAGGCCACAGAAACGAGTTTGGTGGTAATTCCAACAGCAATGAGAAGCCATTGAAGGCAGATTCAGCAGGGAAGGGACACAGGTGGGTTTGTGTTTAGCCTTCCTGCTGATGAGAAATGCTGACTTTGTGCCAGGCGTTGTACAGAGACCTCTCCTTTCTATCTCATTTGGCGGTCTTATCACCATTGTGACATGAGAAAACAGAGCCACACAACCTAGTTATTTAGTATCAACTCAACTGTTGGGTTTGAAACTCATACATCTGACTCCCAAGACCAAGTACTTAACCACCATGCCTGTCTCTGGTAACTAATAAACAGCCTAATCAATGACACATTTTACATTGCTGATACCTTCAGCATTTGATATTCCATTTCTTGAGACAGACTGGAATCCAAAGTAAATGAATAATCTCTGAGGAATAATAGCATTATTCATCTAAAAATAAACTTGTGCTGGAATAAAGATTCTTAGTCCAAAGGTGAGTGAAGTAATTAGAACTCAAGAATATAAAAACATGTATGGTTTTGGTGCTAAACAGGAGTCTTTTATTTTCACAGATGAGCAAATAGGAGTAAATTAATAAAAAGCATTTAAGAAAACATCACGTGGAATCTCTCTATTTAGTGGTTAGTAAAACTTTATACAACATAAGAATAGACAAGCTATTGTTCTAAAAATGAAAATAGATTTGACTGTTACCTGGATGGTTTCAGTTCAGTCCAATTGCACATAGATGTGTTGACCTCTAGGATATTTCTAGTCTCAGAATCTAGTTCTGACATGTCATGCTCCTCTGATAGCCTGCACATACTGGGACTTTACAGGAAAAAAAATGAAATAAGTCCTGGGTCTTAGGCCTTCCTTGACTCTTCAACTACATTATTTTCTCTTTTCTTATTCTTTATTTTATTCTTTTCCAAAACTGCTGTTATTTCCTTGTAGCTTTTAGCATCTTTTCAACAATGATGTATACAAAGACTCAAGCCCATGTTGCTAAAGAACATGGAATTAAGGTAACAGCATGTTGTATAAATTACCTGGTTCCCATAGAGAATTATGGAGAAGGATCTTAACTGTTTCTAGATATAAATTAATAGGAGCAGTAAACAGTTACATAATGTTTACTATGAGCATTACGCACTTCTCTAAGTGCTTCATGAATGTTAACTCATTTAGTCCTATCAGGTTATGCTATTACTACCTCCATTTTACAGATAGGAAAACTAAAGTAAACATAGATTAAGTAACTGGCCAACGACTTCTGAGCAAGGAAGTGGTGGAGCTTTGATTGAACCCCAGTGATCTGGCCCCAGTAATGTGTTCTTAGAGATTTCTTTCCATGCTGCTTTGATGGCAAGATCAGGAAAATATGTGGAGCCATGAAACTCCTAATCTTTTAATAAATGTCTAAAACTTAACAGAGTATTTGAGCACCTTAAAGTCAGTGCATTAATAGCTCTGATTGGAAGCAGAGTTTTCTACCAACCTAGAATTATCAACCAGAGACACACAAAATAGGTGTTTTAGTACAAAGGCACTGAGAAGAACATGACATAAGCCCTTTCAAAGAGTTCCTGAAATAAAAACCTAAACTATTATTGAGTGCAAACCTGCTAAAACTGTAGATGTCGATGGATGACTTATCTTAGTATCAACCTATAAAAATGAAAAGATTCCTGCACCTTCATTTCATTTCTGCCCATCAAAACTGGACCTTTGGCAGAAAATGAAAAGATTTCATCTTGGGGCCGGGCGTGGTGGCTCATGCCTGTAATCCCAGCACTTTGGGAGGCCAAGCTGGGCAGATCACAAGGTCAGGAGATCGAGACCATCCTGGCTAACATGGTGAAACCCCGTCTCTACTAAAAATATAAAAAATTAGCTGGGCATGGTGGCGGGCGCCTGTAGTCCCAGCTACTCGGGAAGCTGAGGCAGGAGAATGGCAGGAACCCAGGAGGTGGAGCTTGCAGTGAGCCAAGGTCACGCCACTACACTCCAGCCTGGGTGACAGAGCGAGACTCCATCTCAAAAAAAAAAAAAACAAAACAAAACAAAAAAACAGATTTCATCTTATCTATGCACTCACTCTCACAGTGTGAATCAAATATTTGTACTCCCTGAATGATGGGATTAATCTTGGAGTGTTATCCCAATTCTCTAGAAAATAAGAAGCACAAGGTATTAATAACAGCTAAACTGTGGTGGGCCCTTACCATATCCTCAGGAGTTTACCTGCATTAATGCAATCAAACCTTACAACTGCTCCCTGAGGTCAGCAAGTTTGGGTAGGCAGCTCCATACACTGCCACCTGCGTCCTGTCTCCGTACCCCTCTGACCCACAAAGCGGCTCCTTAGTTCCCATTTTGGCTATTTTTCCTTATTGTATAAATGTCTTGGTCAGAAACCTCCACGGGGAATTGGAATGAGTGGCAGTTTACTAAACCTATCCTCCTCGCATTCCCCTAGTAGTAAATAATTTTCCCATCTTCAGGATACAAATGAGGAACTGAAGGTTCAATTGGGTTAGGTAAAGTACCACTGGAACACAGTCAAAAGACAGAACACCCTGGAGTAAGAACTGCTTAATCAAAACCTTGTTTTTATATATAGAAGAAATTTAAAACTCTCAGTTCCATTGCCTGCAAAAAATTTAGAACAAACTCTAGAAGTCAGAATGTGCCTTTCCCTAATGGGAAGTAGAGCGAGGGAGGAATTGTTTAGGTGATAAGGCTGTGTTGTTCAATAAAGGGCACAGAATCAGAACTAGGGAGAGGTGATTCTGGTCCCAGATCTTTACCTGTTAACGTCTCTAGGGTGGGCTTCCTGTGCTGCAAGAGAAAAATATTAACCTAAATGACCTCCAGCTACATCTCAGCTCCAGAATTTCATGTCTCCTTTCAAAGAGCTGCTAGGAGACACAAGATAATCGATGTGAAACCATTTTAAAGATTTTACCATCTGCTGTGGAAGTGTATTATTTTATGGAAAATTATAGCAAAAAATTTCAAAGTGTCCTAAGGCCAAAGGATCCGGGAGATTGTTCCCACTTTGGCCCCACTCTGAGGGCCATCCCACACAAGGGAGTGCCCGAGGAAGAGCCAAAGGGCCTGGAATATTTTGCAGAGCAAATGTCTCTACTTTTGTTTTTTCCCTGATGCTCTTCTCTTCCCCAGCTGGGGTTCCCTTCAATTGATTTCAAAAAAAAGAGCTCCCATTGTCACAAATGAAAGTTGCACCTGCACTCTGCAGAGAAGCAAATGGAACTCACCAGGAGGATGATAAAATAGACAGGTTTTCCTTAAATCAGAGAAACAAAAAACAGATAAATATTAATTTGAAATTACACTTTATCACAGCAGTCATAATAGAAGTCTAAGAAGTAGGCATTCTCCTTAGAGAAATGAGCGGATATCTGTGTATGAAGAGAAGCTACAGAGTGAGGCCAGGAGAGTTGGGGGTGGGTATTTTTAATATGGCAGTTGGGCACAGTCAGGCAAGCTCACATATTAAGAAAGCATCTGTCTATCTCTAAGGGACTTTACCTAAATTAATTTAAAACAAAATAGCTGTTAGAATTCCCACTTCATAGAAGAAGAAAGCAGGCCTGGGAGAGATGACTTGCCCAGGTCACATAGGGAAGTGAAAGCTGACCCCTCAATGGTACCTCCAAAACCTTCTAGTCCTCACATCCTCCTTCTCTACATTTCTATATTTATTATTGAAGTCTGTGTTTTAACTACACTGAAGGGATTGGGTAGAAAAATTGTCACATTCTGGACACAACTGAGTGTTCATAAATATGTCAACATTAGTGGGGCTGTCACTGCTGGCCCAGGTGCAGAAGGTATAGTTACTGCCCCAACACAATTGACTCTCATCCATCTTAATAGTGATGGCAAGCAGATAAATCAAGCAGTTAAGTCTCCTCTGTGTTAAACAAAGCAGATAAATCTCTTCTTTTTGCACTCTCTTGCAGCTTGACCATACTGCCAAGTTAATCAAGTACAAAATGCAAGCTAACCAGACAGGTCTCCCTTGAGTTGCTGCTCAGTGTAATGGAAACAGGGTTATTCTATGGATTAGGATTGGGGAAGCTAACATTTCGATGGGGGTAAAGTATTTGCTTGTGCAGGTTTGCCTCACTGCTTTGGAATGAGCCAAATGTGGAAAGGGGACCAAATCCACTCTGGGAAAGGCAAAGCCCAGCTGAAATGTGCAAATTACTATCATATAAACAAATGCCATTCTTTATCTGGCTCTCAAGGTACAAAGCAGGTTCTTAAGTACAGATTTTCTGAGCTTTTCCTGGCACTAGACACCTTTTTTCTTGTATTTCCACAGAGACCTCATGTTTTCAAAGATTTTTCTATTTACCAAACTTCATTTAAGTAAATTAATTCATTTGTTGAGTCTTATTCATCAAAGATATAACTACTGATCAAAGCTTCTAATCAGCCTGGGATAACTAATATTTCCAGAGTGTGCTAATTATACTTCCAGGCTAAAGCAAAAAACTTGACATTTTAATTAGCATGGGCAGCTTTGCCATACTAAATGAGTTGTTTCTATTGGCTTCTGCAAATACGGAAGATAACTTCCAGTGTCCTGTGGATCCAGGGGCCTAGGGTTCAAAAATAGTGGAGTTCTCTGGCCTCTAAAAATAGGTCAAGGTCCTTTTTATGTAATCCCTTAAGACCTCCTGCAAACCCTTTCCAACATAACTTCCACGTTGCGTTGTAATTGTCTTTTCAAATATACATAATTAGAGTTTGATTACTTAGGTACCATCCTAATTACATAAGCATACTTACTGAGTTTCTTCCAAACATGTGCTTCCCCCAAGAATCCCAATGAATGTTATTTTCTCCAACTCACGTCACTGATGTGTGTTTTGTTACATATCCATTCAGATATTTTGACACATATGCAATGAAATGTTATTCAAAGAAATGAAAATCCACTTCCTCTAACTTCCAATTTGATGAATTAGTAGAAGATGTTTCACGTATCAGGTGAATAAAAAAAGGAGGAAGGGCACAGGAAGAGTGAAAGGATAGGAAAAACATTTTTAAATTTATCAAAAGATGGCCTTATCAAGACAAAGAAGAGGAGGTGGGCATCTGTGCACAGAGAATCAAGTTTAGGACATGTCCATTAGCTACACCTAATGACAGTTTAGAGACTGAAGAGAAAATGGCAAGAGACAGTGGCACAGAAAGCCAATCATGTGTTCACTGAAAAGAAATTTAGATTCTATCCTGACACTTCAGGGAGTCAATGAAGATTTTTGTAAAAGATGTATTTGTGCTTTAGAAAGCACAATGGCTCTGACTATGTGACCAAAGTGTAACTCAGGTGTCAGCAGCATTGACTCTGCCTAACTACACAATAGAAATCCCCTTGAACCACCCCCTCTACCCCACAAAATCCATGTTCTTCCCAAAGAGTAGTGGGAGACAAAAATATGCCACCCCAAAATTTGAAGGGTTGTTGAGCTGAAGACAAGAGGAAGCAGATACAGGACAGCTCTCTGCCCTTTCTCTGTTTGCCCAAAAGCAGAGCATAGACTTATAAAGACAAAAGTTATTGTGCCTCTCCTTTTTTATCAGGGAGAACAAAAGTTAACCGATGAAGATAGCTTTGGACCCTTATCAGCCCAGAGATGATACCAGAGAAACTTGTATTAAGAAGCTTTACTGGCCAGGCACAGTGGCTCACGCCTGTAATCCCAGCACTTTGGGAGGCCGAGGCGGGCAGATCACAAGGTCAGGAGATCGAGACCATCCTTGCTAACATGGTGAAACCCCATGTTTCTACTAAAAATACAAAAAAATTAGCCAGGCGTTGTGGCAGGTGACTGTAGTCTCAGTTACTCAGGAGGCTGAGGCAGAAGAATGGCATGAACCCAGGAGGCGGAGCTTGCAGTGAGATGAGATCACGCCACTGCACTCCAGCCTAGGTGACAGGGCAAGACTCCATCTCAAAAAAAAAAAAAAAAAAAAGAAGCTCTACTAAACAGCCTTTAATCTGCCAGTTTTTTTCCTTCCTCCAAATTGCTGCTGTAGAGACTCAAAGCCCTTTTCCTTTGTCTTGCCACTTCTCTAAAACTTTACTTTGTTGAAGATGCTATATAAGCTGGAATTCAAAGCCACCTCTTTGATAACTACTGATTTTGCGGGGGTCTCCCATGTAAACATGAAATACACAGGTCAATAAATTTGTTTTTCTCTTGTTATTCTGTCTTTTGTTAACAGGAGCTCATTGCAACTACAAACTTACAGGAGCTTAGAAAAAAATCCTGCAGCAATTCCGCTAATGTCCAGGGACATTTTGTTTCCTGGCCTCCTCAGTCTCTGAAGCTTCTGATTTCTTTCAACATCAATCCTAAAAGGAAGTCCAGTTTTCTCTTTCAGTTTCAAACACACACACACAATTTTTTTTATTAATACCAAGTCTTTTGTTTTTTGGATTTTTGTTTTGTTTTGTTTTATATATTTGATCATTTTGTTTTGAAAGCTACACTGAAGATTTCTTAGGGAAGACGTATTAGGTTAGCACAAAAGTAGTTGTGGTTTTTGCCATTACCAATCTAATAGAAAGGGTTATATCCCCATGATGCAAATTGATGGCAATAGGAAGCATTTTTTTTTTTTTTTTTTCAAAATGCCCGTTGGCCATTCACTTTGGCCATTCACTTATTTCTTGCTCCTTGGTCTCCTTTGTCCCATTGTACCACTGAAACTTCCACACTTCTTGGAATAGCCTTGAGAGCTGTGAAAGGCTTCCTCTCTATCAGACAGAACAATGTGTTCACATCCATGCTCTGATGTCAGGTTCCTGCCTCCCTGGCCTGGTGTGATTCTGCTGCCCCCAAGCAGGCATACCAAGGCTTATTTCCATAAAAACTATTTCTTCCTCCGATGAAACTTTTCCATCAACTGTAAAGAGAATTATATTTGTTTCATCTTCTTAAAAATTATCAAAAGAAGGCACACTTTCAATGAAAAAAATGGTAGTTGGTGCAGAAATGTAGTGGAAATGGTAAAACTGAAATAGTAGCAGTGTAAATAGTGAGAGGATTGTTTTAAGAGATAATAAGGAGATAGAATCAACAGTGTCTGAAGACTGATTAGATAACAGCTTTGTGGAGGGAGAGATGGAGTCAAGGTTAATTTTGTTTTCTTACTTGAACAGCTGGGACTATCACATAAATGGTATTGATATCCACCAAGGTAGAGAATAATGGAGGATTATAATATTATTTGTTTGTATGTCCTTTTTCACATTGAGATGTCTGTAGAACATGCAGTGACGATGTCCAGAAGGTAATTGGATTTATAGGTCTGAAACTTTGATGAAACATATTTAGACATCACCAAAATGTCAGTAGATTTAAGCTATAAAAATAGATTACATCACCCTGGACCAGTGTAATACGAGTGAAGAAGAGACATGACAACAAAGCCAGGAGACATTTATGCATAAGAAGTGCAGAGAGAAAGAAAAGCCCTCTCAGGGGCTGGAGAAGCCACCAGAATGGAGAAGGAGAATCAGGAAGGAACTGGTGTATTGAGAGCTGAGGGAGGAAAGTCCCAGAAGGACAGACTAATCACAATGTGAATGTTGTGCAGAAGCTAACATGGGACCACAATCCTCCACTGGATTTTCTCCTATTTTGTTGAGGAAAGAAAACCATTGTGAGATTTGCCAGATTTGAAATTAAACAGCTGTTTTAATTTCTTATGAGTTCTAATAATCTACCTGTCTTTAACCCACTTCTTATCATCGACAGGTAAATATATTCAAAATATTCCAGAATATAGCATTATTTTATTCACAGCTATAGAATAACGATACTGACAGGTGTACATGAGAGACCACACATCACCTCCATTTTCATTGATAAGGCCGAGAGTCCCAAGGAAACCAATCCCAACATTAGCACTGCAATTATCAAGCCTAAGCCATTGCCTAGTGAAAACTAGGCTTATTCAGAGCTGCATGAAATCTTTCAGGTCATTGGGTCAGATATTATAGTAAATTATTACAAATGGTATAGGAAAATAAATAACAGATTATTGAATATTTAGAGACATATCTATTAGGATAATCTGCCCAAGGAGAGTGGTAATTTAATTTTTTTAATCTTATTTTCTTCCTCTCTATACTATTCTCAGACAGCCGTAACAAGATCTCCTTCAGTATAACATGATTCACTGCCTAATGTTAACAGATATCATTCTTTAGGAGAAAAACATAACATCAAGAAATATTCTTCTACCTAAGAGAAAGTATTTTATAGAAACTAATATGGTAGGTGCCATGGTTTCTACTTCAGGCTGCAGGCACCCATTCCATGGTCTGCTGGCCACTCAGAGCTGAGACTTGCCCTGAGCCAGGAGGAGCTGCCTCATCCAGGCTGATAACCCATTGACAATGAAAGTCCACGTCCAACGACTGCTTTGTATGTGCACAAACCCAGATGCCTTGCCTTGGCTCATGCCCTAATTCTGGAAAACGCTATAGAGTTAAACCAGCTCCATCCCTTTAAAATGGGGTGAAGCCTCTGTGTCAACTGCTTCAAGTTCAACTTCTTTCTTCGTCCCAACCTGCTTCCTTTACTCCCTGACAGGCACTGTTCTGAGAGCACTCCCTGCTACTTCTTGCACACGGATCTCAGTGTCTCAGTGTCTGTTTTCCAGGGAACTTAATCTAAGACAACTGATAGTACATGTCCATTTAGATACACCAGATAAGACATGGTTAGACTCCTAAAAGATTTAGTACTATAGATCTCTGTTTCTAAAACTCTAAAATGCAAAGGGACAAAGTCATTATAATATATATCTGTAACTTTCAATCATCTCTGTTGTATGTGCTAATAGCCCCATAATAATGAACACAAGAATTATTGTGTTCTCCATCATGTCTGTATAAATGCCATATTGAGCAGAATATTTTTCATCTTTATTTATTTATGTGTTTATTTATTTTTAGAGACAGAGTCTTGCTCTGTCACCCAGGCTGGAGTGCAGTGGCATGATCATAGCTTACTGCAGCCTCAACCTCCTGGGCTCAAGTGATCCTCTTGTCTCAGCCTCCCAAATTGCTGGGATTACAAACATGAGCCACTGCACTCAGCCTGTTTTTATCTTTAACTCCTACCTCTCACCTTTCCTTCTTGAAAATTTTAGGAAGTGTGTTATTGTGCTTTTGTTGTTGATGGTGTTGTTGTTATTTCTATCTTCCTTCTAATAACTTTGATTTATTCTCAGATTTTCCTGCCTATTTACAATTATTTAACTTTTTTCCCTGTCTATAATTTTCACTGACTGCATAGGCTTATAGAAATGTCTACTATTTTCCTTAAAGTTGCCGTGACTTTTTCTTCGTCTTGATTACTTCTCTCCAATTTTAAAGCATGTTCTTTGACACTTCTGTAATTTTTTAAGAGGAGAAAGACTTCGTTTACTGTAATCATTCCTCTTATGTTTTAAAGTTTATCCTATTTGTTAGCAGTTAGAATGATATTTTAATGGTGTTAGAGAACCTAGAGATGCCCTAAGTATGCCTTGTCAATTGCCCTATAACCATGAGTTCTTCTCTAAAAACAAACATTCTAAGAATGAAACAAACATCTAAACAATGAAACACAAAGAATGAGAAACGAGATATCATTTCAAATCAGGCAAAGACAGAATCAGAACACTTCACTTACACTAAAAGCTTTCTCAGAATGCTACCTAAGCTCTTATTATCCTCCAATTGGTTAAGTAGTACAAAACCTTTAAGAAATAGCTAGTGTACTTAGGCCCAAGAGAAAAGGAGAAAGAGCTTCTGTCCTGTATCTGCCTTCCTGATGGAGGCTGGAACAGGACCAACTGGCAAGTAGATGCACTACCTTTTCACACGGTGATTTCTGCATTCCCCACATCATAAGAATTCCAGAAGGTCCCCTGTGGAGGAGTAAGAAAGAAGGTAGGCGGAAGAGGCAGGTAGAGAAAAGCAGCACCCATACCCCAACACACACACATGCACGCACGCGCGCGCACACACACGCATGCCCAGACACACTCACGCGCGCACACACACACGCACGCACGCGCGCAGACACACACACGCACGCGCGTGCGCCCACACATGCACGCGCGCGCGCCCCCCCACACACACATATGCACTCACGCGCGCCCACACACACACACACACACGCTGATGTACAGGAAATTTGTTATTGTCCTTAAATGTCCACTTCTGCTAAATTTCCCTGCTTTCGAAGAACTAGGTTAACTAGGCAAAAAGAAGTACCCTTACTACCTATTTCTATAGGGCTGCTATTTACCTGATTTGCCAACTCTGAAAGTCAGAATTTTTGTTCTAAATTCATGTAGAATCCACAGGGACCTCAAAACCATAGCTAGTGGCACTCTGTTTGTTTATCACTGCAGGTAATAAATCAGGTGTTAGATATTTTGAATATCAGGCCTAAGTACATAAAGCAATAATTAGAGGAGTTACTTAGGATTCTGTAAAGATGAGAAATGAATTGAGAATGACTAAGTTATCATAATAACAACAGGTAATATTTCCTCTATGTTGACACTCTTCTAAGAGCTTTGCATGCCCAGTGTACTCATGAGGTGTGCCTTATTATGACCTACATTTTATAGCTGAAGAAATCAAGGCTTAGAGACGATTAGTATCACTCCCAAAACTGTATTGTCAGCAGCTAAAATGAAGAATATATATACCATTTTTAGGCAGTGGATTCTGATAACAATTCCCCACATCTTCTTGCCTATGTGGTTAAGGGGAGTAGAATGGGTCTCACTGGATTCCCCCATAGCGTCTCTGACTTGTTCTTGTCCCACATGGTCTAATCAGTTCTAAGATGCTTAAGTGCTCCTTACTAATCCTCAGTCTTAATCTTTACTTAGACAGTTAGCCACTATTGTTTTGAAGATCTCAATGTTTCACAGTTTATTTTCACTCTTCTCTAGTGTGCTTTACATATATGCTCTTATTTTTCCCATCTTCCAATAATTTCTCTTGAAAGCACTTTACTTGCCAGCTACACCCTCTACTTTGTAGCAAAATTCATCCAAACCATTATCTACATTCAATGTCTCCAATCTTTCTCCTAAACCCCCCTGAGCAGGATTTTGTTCCTACCACAGAGTTGAAACTGGTCTTGTAGAGGTCTTCAATAACATCACATTAATAAATCCAGTAGTCAATTCTCAGTCCATGCCTAATTGAATATCCGGCAGTGTTTGGTAAATCGGATCACTATGTTATCTGTGACACTACATATCTGTGATTTCCTTTGGAATTTCCAGGTCTCCCCACTTCTCTGGCTGTCCTGCCGTTCACTGGTGGCCCCTTCTCTGTTTCTTCTGCCAGAAGCTGTTTTTCTGTCAGTCCTTTTAATGTTGGAGTACTTCCATGGCTTAGTCCTCAGTCCTCTTCACTTCTGTATCTATACTCAGCCCTCTGGTGATGTCATCTGGGGATTACAAACTCCCCAATACTCCTGCTCTACATTTTTAGTTGTTTTTGCTGTTGTTCTTTATAGCACTTAACACCTTTGACTGTCCTATACACATTTTCTCTTATTATATGTCTCATTCCATTAGAACATAAATTTCATGCAAGGAAGGGGTCTTGCCTGCTCTTTTCACTGATGTATCCCAAGTACATGGAATAAGCCTGGCACATAACAGGTGCTCAATAAACATCTGTTGAATGTCTGAGTTTGGGGCTGTGGTGCTAAAGCACTATCTTTCTAATCTGAGCATTGTGTTCCTTTTCTGTCTTCCTTTAGTAGCTGACTTCTCCCAAGAGATTCATGTGCTTCTGTGCATCCTGCCAAAAATGGGGAGAGATTTTGTTGTTATTTTTATGGAGGTGAGATTCATAAAACATAAAATTAATGATTTTAAAGTGAACAGTCTAGTGACATTTAACATCTTCACAATGTGCACAATTGCCACCTTTATCTAGTTCCAAAATGTTTTCATCACTCCAAAAGAAAAATCCATACCCACGGAGCAGTCACATTCAATTCTCCCCTGGCCCCAGCTGCGGGCACCACCAATCTGCATTCTTTCTCTATGGACTTACCTATTCTGGATATTTTATATAAGTGGAATCATCCAATATGCGACCTTTTATGTTTGGCCTCTTTCACTGAGCATTATGTTTTGAGATTCATCCACATCATACCATGTATCAGCATTTCACTTCTTTTATATCTGAAGAGTATCCCATTGTATGTGCATACCACAATGTGTTTATCCATTCATCCACTGATGGACTTTTGGAGTTATTTCCACCTTTTTGCTATTATGAGTAATGCTGTTATGAACATTCATGTGCATTTGTATATTTGAGTACCTGTTTTTTAATTCTTTGAGGTATATATCTAGGAGTGGAATGGCAACTCTGTGTTTAACTTTTTGAGGGACTACCAAACTGTTCTCCACAGCAGCTGAACCATTTTACTTTCCCATCAGCAATGTGTGGAAGTTCCAATTTCTCCACATCCTTGTCAACACTTGTTATTTTCTGTGTGTGTGTGTTTTATTATATTATAGCCATCCTAATGGGTGTGAAGGAGCACTTCACTGTGGTTTTGATTTGCATTTCCTGAGAAGCTAATGATATTAACCATTTTTAAATGTACTTGTTGGCCATTTGAATATCTTCTTTGGAGAAATGTCTATTAAAATCATTGACCCACTTCTTTATTGGATTTTGTTTTTTCGTTGTTGAGTTATAGGAGTTCTTTACATATTCCGAACAGTAGACCTTTATCAGATATATTACCTGCAAGTATTTTCTCCCATTCTGTGGGTTGTCTTTTCACCTTCTTGATGATGTCTTTCAATGCATACAAGTTTTAATTTTGATGAAGTCCAATTTGCATGTATATTTTTGGTTGTTCCTTGTGCTTTTAGTAGAAGGAAAGTTTTAAAGCCACATTAGTGGAAAGAGTTTTCTCTTGCTTGAAGTCCAAACCTTAATCCATTACTAAATGTGAACAGCATTATGATACGTAACTGCATTCAGCTTTGCCCAGACAGCAGTAAATCTGGACATCACCACTTGTTATCATGGGACATTTATTCTTAGCTCCTGGCCTTACTTACTTTGTGAGGAAAGTTTACTATCTAACACTCCTGGGCTCTGCCAGACCCCTCACTCACTGTTTCTCCTAATCAGTAAGTAGATTTGGGAGTGATGAACTAGCAGAGTTAGTGCTGCTCCTCCCTGTTTCTCTTGACAGCTGGTCTGCCTATGGAGACAATGTGTACTGCTCTGCTCTCTATCACGTGAGGAAGGAGGCTCACAACTGAGTGTATCAGTTTACTCAGCTCATGGATATAATCTTATATCTGTAATGAAGTTGATGTTTTTATTTTCATATGCCTTGCCCATTCACTGACATATGCACTCATCCACCAGCAAATAATTATTAAATGCCTATTTGTAACCAGGCACTGTCTTATATGCTGATGACACAGCTGGAACAAAATAGACAAAAAATCCTTGTGTTCATGGAGTTACGGTACTAATATTAAGGTTGAGACAAACAAGATAAATAAGTAAAATTATATTGGTCAGAACTTGGGCAAAAAATACAGAGGTACCCTTTATTGGCCCCCTCAGAGCCTAACAATAACCAGAGTCATAGGGTTTCCAATCACATAACTCAAAAAGTTTACCATTTTCTCTGGCCTGCATTCTTGGTTGCAAGCAGTAGACAGGAACTCCAATTCTTTTACATATAGATGAAATTACCATGTAGAGGAGCAGGTTTGAAATGTAAGTAGGAAACAAAGGGGCTCTGGAAACCAATTGCAGAGTGTAATCCCTGACCACACCTTGCCACAGCCATCCCTTTAAGCCTCACAGCTCCACATCTGCTGCTTAAGGGGCAAGATCCCAGGCAGGAGTCTCCTAATGGTGGAGCTGAAATCATGTGCACATGCTCTGGCTGCCATAGATACAGTGAAGAAATAACTGGCTTTCCTCGATTTCCATAGTCAAAGGTATGGATCAGCTTCTTACTGGCGGCCACCTAATGAGATCTTCTGAAAATAAAGCATGTTGGATGTTAGGTTGTCTGCATGGCCAAAGGAGATATATATCCATCATATTAGCACCCTATTACTACACGCACCCTAAGTCCTACTTATCTTACTTTTTCTATTTCCCATTTTATAAGAAATTTTGGTCAGATTTTTTTTTTCTTTTAATACTATGGCCTGAAACTGAAAAAACTGTCACTTTAAAACTGCAAGTACTTTTGTCTCCTGACAGATGGAGAATTGAATTAATCTTTGAGGCAAATTGCTCCTTCATTTTGGGGGAAAAAAAACCTACCACTGTTTAACAACGCAGCATCCACCCTGAGTACAGGTGTTTCTAGCAGAGCTATGCCTCTGAAAATATAGTCAGTTTGTTAAGATAAATGTCTTAAGGATAGGAACTGCCCTATGTTTTTGCATTATTGTTTGTTTTTGCGGAGGGCTGTGTGTGTGTGTGTGTGTGTGTGTGTGTGTGTGTACAGAAATTCAAGCACTTGCTCATAGGAAATTTACGAACAAAGACTCTGAAGACTCAAGAAAGATGATATATACTGCCAGCAGACAAGAAACTGTAAAAAGGAACTGGAAATAAAATATTGCACACATGGTATTGTTCAAAAGAGAATAACACAGAGTTTGGAAAATATACTTATTTTGGACAATGTTCAGATGTGATTCTCTTTTGGAGGCCCTAGGACAAACCCATCATGGGGTGGATTGGGAGTAAGATCCCCTCAGGAGAGGGAACATCCCACCATCACTAATTCAGTACCCACTTCATGTTGCTGCCCCTGTTTCCATAGCTACGTGCCCTTCTGCATTCAGGAGGCTGACCTTACTGCTGCCACTGTCTCTGCCATGACCACAGTGAGAACTGCCCAACTGCTTGCCTTGTATCATCCTGGCTGCTGAGACAGCCTGACATGAGGGTTGCTGAGTGGCGGAGACTGGGCAATGTGCCTGTATTCTAACTGCAAGGCAGACTGAGCAAGCCGCTAAGGAGCGTTCACAGCTCCTTTGCAGGGAGATGATCTTTGCCAACACTGCCCCCTCCCCCCCGCCAAGGCGCTGGGTAAGAGTTTGAGTAGGCAAAGTAATAAATAATGCCCACTACGCATTCCAACCTCGTTTTAAATATGACATTGTTTTGTAATGCAATAAACTATTAATTAGGTTTGGTGTCATTGCCCTCATTTTCTACCTCAGGACCAAAAAATAATTATTACTTGATAAACAGGAATTTAAATTTGCTGGTATCCAAAATTTTTTAACATGTATTCATTCAATTCACTCAATAAGTACTTAATGAATATCACATCTTTTTTTTTTTTTTTTAAAGACAGGGTCTCACTCTGTCACCCAAGCTGGTGTGATCATAGCTCACTATAGCGTTGAACTCCTGGGCTAAAACAATCCTCCTGCTTCAACCTCCCAAGTAGGTAGGACTACAGTGCATGCTTACATGACTGGCTAATTAAAAAAAAAAAAAGAGAGATATAAAGTCTCAACATTTTGCCTAGGCTGGTCTCAAACTCATGAGCTCAAGCGATTCTCCTACCTTGGCCTTCCAAAGTACTGGGATAACAGGCATGAGCCAACGTGCCCTGCTAAATCCTAATTTACAGTATTTGGAAGTAACTTAGGGTTACAAAAGCTGGAAAGTTATATAGGATGCCTTACCTTAAACATTGTATTAAATATTCTAAAATTATTCATGAAAATGTTTTAGTTCTTTAGAAAAAAAACTAGAATTCTACCTTCTCCCTGAAATTTTCCATATTTCTATTTCAACTCTTTTCATATCTTTGACTTTTTTAATCTTAAATTCTAATGGAATTGTATATGAAATATCACAAATTTAAAATTTGAGTCGGTAGAAAAATATTAAAGTGTTACTTTTTTTATAGAGCTCTAGAAATGGAAAGACATCTCCCCTGAATCTTGCATCATATTTCCAAACATTATGTAATGAGTACATGCTATGTAATAGGAAACACAGTCTAGTACTGAGGCTGACTTAATAAATAATTACAAAATAGAGAATAGATTTTACCTTTCACACTTACATAGTTAACCTATCTCAAACTAAATGTTGCTTACAATGTGAAGTAGGACACATTTTCATTTCCCTCAATATGAAAAATTGTCTCAGAACCATTTATTGAGGCATCTTTGCCTCCCTCCCTGATGTACAAGGTGACCCTCGTCATATATTGAGCTGAAATTGAGGCATGATTCTCCATTATGCTCCACTGTACAGTTCAACTTTCCCTGTATGCATGCCAGGCTCTCCAAGCACAGTAACTCTGATCCAGGACAGTCTTATCTGGAGGAGGTCAGATGGGCTTAACCACTCTATCCCAGTGATTTAGGCAGAGACCACCTGAAGGCAACCCCATAGGGTGGACCTATTTCTGGGTGGGTTCTGTGAGTCCTGAAAGTGGTCACCCCTAAAACTAATTATAAATTATTTTCTGTGTTGTGCTTCCCTTCCACTACCTCCAAACCTCCATTAAAATCTTCCTAAGTGTTACAGCCTTGTCTCTTCTTTCACCAAGGGAGACGAGAGAAGGTATAAGGATGTAGTGAAATGAAATGGTGTGAGGAAGGGCAGCTGTTGGGAAATAATGCTCCATAAATAGTTTCATGTTTCTACAGTCAAGGCTTTCTGAGCAAAGAGCACTGGCACCTGGACTAAAGGATAATTGAAGAGCAACCCTGAAGATAGATACCTCTGGGAAGATGTAGAGATTCATCTCCCTGGAGCTATTTGTTTATATTCTGGGGTGGTGAAATAGAGATTTTGTCCTCCTCTCTCTAGGGAGGATTTGTTTACATTTCAGAATAAAAACGTCTCTCTTCCACCCTCCCTTCCTCTCACTCTATGTAAGCACCTAGAGGGGAGGATGGACAGATATGTCAGTGACACCTGCATAAACTCTGAGTTTCATAATTTGGGGGTTCCTCCTCTGTGGTGCAAACCTCCGAATATGCAGGTACCTCTAGCACTCACTGCACTACCCCGTGGAGAACTAGGGCTTGAGAAACTGATGAAAGCTGCTCTGTGAATAAAAGCTGCTCTGTTTCCTGATCTTGAGATCTTGATAGATGATATATAGATACAGATATAGATATAGATATAGATATATAGACATAGATATAGATAGACATAGATACTATGGTAGGATGACTAGTTAGCTTGCAGGCAGGGTAACATCTCTGCTAACCTTTCACAGCTTCAGACCTAACAGCAGCTGCAGTCCAAGTAAAACTAATTTGAAGACCATAGAAGATGATCCTGGAGTGGACTAAACAGTAGTTCCCAGGCCCATGGAGACCAGAAACCTAGGACTGGATGGTATTGTGTCTACAAGAGGCATTCAGAACAGATCTGTTCTCAAGTGTTCCAGAAATTCTGTGGGGAGAGAAAATTGATAATAAACTGAACTTTCTGTAATTAAGGGAGTTGGAAGAGATGAGGTTAGAAAGGCAGGCTGGTGTCACAGGCCCAAAAGGACCAATGTTACATCAGAGAATTTGGACTTTATTCTATAGGTAATAAATACTTTTAAGCAATGGTCAGTAGTCTCTGTATGTGTGTGTGTTAGTGTGTGTTTTAAGATAACTAACAGCAATGTCCAGTATAAATTACAAGAAGTGACTAGCAGCAGAAAGAGAAAACATTATACCAGTCGAGGTGACAGACGATGAGGTCTTCAAACAAGAAAGGTCTAGCAATTCTCATCTTCTTTTTCTTAAATTGAAGTTAAAATTAAGATTAGCTTCTCTGCTGATCTAAAACGCATTTGTTCCTGGCTCCAGAATTTGGATTACAGCAAATATACTTCTTTCACTCATCCAAACTGAATATGTAATCAGTCCTCCATTACATATTCTCTTGCTGCATTGTTCCTTACAAGTAAATGTTCAGCAGATTCTTGAGTCAAAACATTCCCTGAAAGGGTCTTCATACACACAAGCCATGCAAGCCTTCTTTCCTCCTTCTTCCTTCTCTTCCTCCTGTCATTCTGCAGCCCTTGCAGAAAACAAAATGGGAATACCAGAAATATCTGTTTTCTTCCCTTTTGCATTTCTTTCCTCCTCTTTCTTCTACTCTCCACCCCCAACTTCTCAGTTTCTTCCTGTCATTCCATCCCTGAAATCTCCCATTTGTACCTGATAGTTGACACTGACAATGTCCCTGACTAAAGCCAAGGACAGAATATTTGGAGCTTCTTATGCCTAAACTCCTACACGTCTGTTATTCTATCACCTGCTGCTGTTGTCCTTGCATCCCTTTCTCCAGCAAGTTCTGTATAATTTGAGCCCACATCTTCTCTATTCTCTGACTCCTGATCCTCTTGGTGTCTATTTGAGTCCCTGTGGGTTCTATATTCATTCATTGACTTTCCTTCCTCTTCTCACTGCTGGTATCCAAGGAGCCTTCATTCCAGGAAGCACTCAACCCTCAGTGTAAGCTCAACTTACACTCCTAATGACCATGCCAGGTAGGCGTAAAAAAAGACTCTTATCTCCAACTTACAGATGGGAAAACTAAGTCACAAAGACATGAAGTTCCTTATTTCAGAGCTGCATTGTTAATTATTGACAGTGCCAGGATAAACAGTGCACTGATATTTCTAAAATGGCCGCCTATTTCTAGTGCATTGATAGCTCTAAATTGATATCCTAACCAGTTAGAAATATTCTTCCTAACCAAAGTCTTCCATTTATATCCAAGGATTTAATTCAAGCTTTCCACAATACTCACAGAAAAAAAAATGACATCCTAACTAGTTAAAAATATTTTTTCTAACCAAAGGTTTCCATTCATACCCAAGGATTTAATTGAAGCTTTCCACAATACTCAGAAAAAAAAAAAAAGCTTAGACTTGCCTACAATACCATGATTCAGATTGTCTTTCTATTAAAAAAAAAAAAAGGCCAAAAGCTTTGTTAAAACACTTGAGCTACATTTTTCAGACACAAACTGGGGAATTTAAACAATGACTAGAGTTCAAGATAATGCTTTTTAAAATTATTTCCAACTCTCCAGATAATAGAGGGAAAGTGTTTAATGATTTTATTAGTATAATGGAAATAGCTCAATTTCCATCTGATTATACATATACAAGAACTAAGAAAACTAAAGCTAAAGTATATTTTAATCATGTTATTATACGATTATATTATTTACTCCTTAAAACATAAACACTTGAATCAATAATTTAAGAGATGGGCAAAGGCCTAATAGACAACTTGATGCTTTTCCCAAAGACATTAAATACTATTGACATTCAACCAAAAAGAATTTCTATTGAATTTACATTAATAGTTTCCATTGCTCACATGATCTCTCTAAACAAAAATAGATGCCCTTCTTTCTACATCCACAATAGAAATTCTTTCAGTTACTTTCATACAGTGAATGTTTTATTTTAAATATTTCATATGTATTCAAATAAGAAAGAGCAGAAGATAGATTAAATAGAAATAGAAGAAATAGAAATAGAATAGAATAGAAATAGAAGAATAGATGAAGAATTTTTAGTTACCCTCCAAGGTATAATTTCAATATTCAATTAATGTTTAAATTTTACATGTTTCAATGATATAAATTGGCTCCATATACCTTGAATGTAACATGAATGTAAGAACTGTCCATTGTCTTTAGAGGATTTTTAATTCCAGTCTGTATTTGAGCATTAAGTGTTCACACTCATTCCTTCGCCCGCTATGTTCATCCACTAAATTATGCAAAATGACGAAGCCTTATGTGATTTCAGGAAATTGAAGTTCAGCATGGTCTTTGGTGTGTGGTGCTTTCCCTATTTGTGGCTTTTCTTTCTGCTACACATGATGCCACTATTGAACATCTGTCAGACACTGCTTCTCAGAGCAAACTAGAGAGATGCCCCTCACAGAGGGAGTCTGCACAGTCTGCCAGCTCAGCCACATCAGCCCTCCAGTATCCATAAGCCACACCCATCAATGCCTTCTGAGGAGCTGTGCTGGTCTCCATCATCCATGGAAGCCATTTCCCATTAACTCAGCCCAGTGGGATGGATCCCTCCTTAGTCCACTCTCTTCTTCTTTCCAAGCATCAGCCTCTCACCCTTCATTTTCTCTCTTCTGGAGCCACTTTTACTCTATCTTTCACTGAGCTTAACTTCCCCCAACAAACGCTGTATATCTAAAACTGAAGTTGATACAAAGGAAAAAGGGAAGGGATCATTGATTAATTGGTCTCCAAACACACTGCACATGACAATCACTGGAAGTGCCCTTTTAACATACATGTCTTATCTAGTCACTTTTGAGTGGAAGCGAGAAATTGACAGGAGGGGCCCTGGACAAATCTGAAGCAGGTGGTTCTAGAGCCACACTTGGAGAAACATTGGCCTAGGTCCTACAATACAAATGCCTGGCTGACCCCCAGGAGACATAGGAATGGAAAAATGCTACTCAGCCTTTTACGACAAATTTACAATCAGCCTTCAATCAGGAAAATAAGAGAGTTGATTTCCCAATCTGCTTATCTTGCAGCATGTTTTGTAAATTTTTTCTGTGATATAGAGATTCTGGGTGTCAGGATGAGAATCTGTCCCTTTGAACTGACAATAGCTCATAGATCAAGTCAACTAACAGGCAAGAAGCAGAAGAGGTATTAACATGATACATATTGGAATATTTTACATGTATGTATAAATTACACATTCATATTTTCAGATTTTACTTTTGCAAATGGTTTTATCATCACTTAATTTTTTCTCATAGAAAAATTTTGGCTTATTTTACTTTCACCTCACAGTATAAGTCCAGTCTTAAAATAACCATTTCTACCTAAGAAAGAGAAGAAGTAAGGATTACAAAGCATAGTAATGCAGCACCTTTCAAAGTTGCAACTTTCAAAGTGAATATTGCTTTTCTCTTTTTTCTCCCTCTCAATAAATGCTCCAAGACATCCATTAGCTGTTCCTAGAAAAAAAATTACCTTTATGAAATATGGAAAATTGGAAGCAAATAATGCTAAAAATGTAAGTAGTAGCCTCTGGAGGGAAAAAGGTGGATCCAATAGTTTCGTTATTTTCCTACCGCCACTATACGTAAAATATAAGGCCTCATAGTGAGTAATAGCAAACTCCCAATTACTTTTGCACCAACCTAATACCTTTAATTCTGGTTATATAATCTCTCTCTTTGAACATCTATCCCAGGAATTTTTGTGTTATGCTATTGACAGAAAAGGGTTAAAAAATTGTGAATTAAAGGTAAAATACAATTGCATCTAAATAACTTTAAGATTGTTTTGTCTTTTGTGATATAACACATTATCATTACTGTTTACCAGATAAAAAAAATCAATATATACTTGCCTTAAGAACCACCACATTTAAGGTACTTTGAGTCTTTTAATTACAGCAAGAGAAAAATTTCAGAACACCTAGATGCAAAGACTGGCCAAAGGTTTTTATTCTCCCTTTACTCCCTATCAGGTATAGTACAAGGATACTCAGATAAGTAAATCCCACACAGCTGCTGCCTTCTGTTGGGAGAAGGAGTTCTTCAACTACGTAAGTGGTCTCATAATCCATAGCAGGATAGCCTTCTGAATAGTGGGGTAGACACGAGAGGGACTGCTTCAGAAGCAACCAAGGATTTGTAAAGTATGCCCATGCAACTATTATATGCGACAGAGGTATAATATTAATCTCACAATAGAATTTATGATCCTTTGTGATATTCTGTGTTTCACATGTTCGACTGTGTTGTGTATTATTTTAGGACACTGATGGGCAAGCTTTATCATGATTTTAATTAAAAAAAGAAAACAAAATAAGAATTATTTCCAAAGAGAACATTTAACAAAGGATGATCAGATTCCATGTAGTCTCCTTCCTTTTGTTTCTTTGTATATAGTCACCAATCATTCATTCATTGGCTTCTTGTGAGAAGGAAAATGGTTACAAGGTAGTATAAAGAATCTTGGGTCTCAAGTAGGGTATTTTCTCAGGAGTGTCATAGAAGAGAGAAACAAGAAGGGAGAAAAATGCTGTAAAACATTGGATTCAACAGCGGAGGAAAAATAAAAAAGAATTTATTGAAAGATATATTTCTAAAAACAAGTGAAACCTATTAATAAAACTTACCTTTTATTGCCTAAGAGTTACAACGTTAGTTTCATTTCCAAATGATTTTGTTTAGCAATGGCTCCTAAAGGTATACTTTTCAAAATTTCTACCTTTCCTCCATTTCACTTTTGCAAAGCAGTTACTGATTTGTTATCCAAGGCTTACGTGTATTAAGGGAAGCAGTTAATGATTTTGCAAAATGAGGTCACACTTTTTGTAATGTGAATACTCACAGTTTATGTAATTGTTTAGCCAATTTATGTTTACTTAACATCGATATGACTATGCAGAAATGTTAATTTACCTTTTATTCATTTGATACCATAATCTTAAAATTATACTTCAATTGTTTTACTAAAATGAGTTTGGTATCTCAGAAAAATTAAAAATCTAGACAGCTGTTCATGCTAGCCTCTAATGTATGGAAACAATTTCTATGAACAGCTCATTTTGGATCCATTTTATTTCTCTTGGGAACTTAATATTTATAATATAGGTTACTTTTGAATCTTCTTAATTTTATTCTATTATTAAAAAACAATTAAGTCTTCTCTCCTATGTGGAGCCCATTAGTATTTTCAATGTTTGTGAGTTTCTATGGGTGGGGGCAGAGGGGGTGGTTCATATGTATGTCAGTTTGCATTTTAAAAAGAATTAGGGAAGCAGAAAAGTGCATGTACTAAAAATAACTTTAGAAATAGAACATTCACTTCTGGATTATGGGCAAAGAGGTAATGTTGGGAAAATAGACAATAAGACTTTAAGCAAGTTTTGTCTCCTTTGATTTTGTTTTTAAAGACTCCAACTTTTCTACTGCTAGATATAATTTTTAAGAGCTTTGCTCAAGGGAAGTTTAGGAATGTGAAATAAAACTGTCAAGGCAACAGCATGTATAAATTACATGGTATTATATTTCAAGGTGTACAAAAAGCTAGTGTTTTTGTTTTGTTAGCCTTAAGAGCACAGAGTATATGCTGTTCTCTTTGAAAACTTCAGTGCAGAAAAAGCATTAAATATTATACCAAATAGCAATTTGTATTCAATCTATCCTAACTTTTATTGCTTGTTTGGTTTTTTGTTGTTGTTGCGAGGCCATTGTATTATGATGTCAATTGCATTCATCACTAGCACTTATATTATCATAAGAAAAAAAATCATCTGAGAATAACGGCCAAAGGAATCACAGACACACAGAAAGACTGCATTTTAGACACACAGAAGTCATAGCTTAATTTCCCAAAGAAATTGAGTTGGTTATTTAATTCTGAGACAGATCTAGTTTGATTAAAAATCAAAAACATGATTCAGAAGAGCAAGTGAATTTAATATTACAGAATGATGTCACTATACTTTGTACTTTCTTTTTTCATGTAATAGTTTTTAAAAATCCTAAGAGCTAGACAACTAATTATTTGTGTACTTACTCATGTGCAAATGTTGATCACTTACCCCATTTTTGTTAACATACCAGATAATTGGCCAGTGTCTAAGTCCATTTGTGCTGCTATAACAAAATACTTGAGACTAGGTAATTTACAAAGAACAGATATTTATTTCTTACAGTTCTGGAAGCTGGGAAATTGAAGATCTAGACACTGGCAGAATTGGTGTCTGGTGTAGGCTCTCTGCTTCTAAGATGGCGCCTTATTGCTGAGTTCTCACACATCAGAAGGCAGAAGGGCAAAAGGGACTAGGGCACTCCCTTCAATCCATTCATAAGGTCACTAATATCATTCATGAGGGTTCTACCCTCATTACTTAACCATATCCTAAAGGCCCAACCTCTTAATATTGTCATACTGGTGATTAAGTTTCAACATATGAACTTTGGGGGCACATTCAGATCACAGCATCGAATACAAGTCTTATACCATATTTGTTCACATATCATGAATAGCCACTGAATTGTTGAGAAAATAGCCATTAACTATGATGGGGTTATCCTAATTAAAAGAATTTGTTTTCAAGCACAAGGAATTCTTGACTTGGATCTGGTCTATCCTAGCCACCTAGCTGAGTCATCTCTGACTAACTATTTAGCCTCTTTAAGTCACAGTTTCTATATTGCACAAATTAAACAGTGCAAACTAGTCAGGAAAGTGAACTCAAAATTCTAGGTGAATTTCATGGAATTTTGGTTTGTTTGTTTTTCTAGTGTTTGTTGGTGTTGGTGTTATTGTTGTTTTGGTGTATCCTCCAAAATAAATCTCCTTAAGACCACTCTTACCTTTCCTTTTTCACAGCATGTCTATGGATGTGTTAGATGGCAGGCTCAGGATACTTCGTATTTGTTATCAGAGCTATGCATTTCATTGATGAGTAATACAAGTTCAAGAACATGATTTCCTCTTTTAAGCAGGGAAATTTTTACCAGTGTTTTCCCATCCTGGACATCAAGCCACTTTATCTACAAGCATTTTCTCTTCACTTATTCATTAATGATATCTTCTTTGAAAGTTATTTGCTGAGTTTGGTGATGTTTTTTATTCTACCTATAAAAATTGTAAGAGTTTTCTTCAGAAAAATAGGCTGAGACATTGAGTAGAACATTGAAGACATTGATTTCAATAAATCTTGTGATGTAATTTCAAGAATACAAGAACTTCTACTAAATTTGATCCTTGCCTTACAGGAATCATCAAAACTTCAAAATCAGTTAACAGCAAACTAAAAAACAAATCAAAAGAAAATAATTAGGATATATGCTACCCAAAGCCATTTTAATTCATTATCTTTCTGTTTCATTATGTTTTCTCCTAATCACCAATTTTTACATAATAGTAAAGAGATATATTTTGCCATTAAAATGTATTTCAATATTTGCCAATTCATTGCATTTATTGTAATCAATTACAGTAAATACTATCCAGCCTTTATTTCTCATGAGTAGTTGTTTCTACACAATCTATGAAAATTCCAAGGTACAATACAATGTTGGAATTCTATCACCATATTCCTTTCTTGGTCTCTAGTCAGTAGGGAAAAAAAATCCACAGAATTGAGCTAAATTGAACAAATTATCAGCTTTATTTATGGATCTCCGGGAACAGCTAGACTGAACACTACAGCAGTGCTGCCTCCTTCCACTCAAGTTTTGGAATTCAGGATCCACACTATTCTGACTCAAACGTTAAGTCACAAGTGAGGAAGTTATAACTGAGACAGTAAAGATCTGACTTGGATTACTCATTTCATGATATAGAAATACAGAAATGTTTGAGTGCAGGTCTTTCCAAGAGATTGACAGAAAGCTAAGAAAGAACTGGCAAAGTCACCCTGCTTTGGCCCCACCCTCTGATTAATGCAGTTGATATGCAAGTCAAACTTCTCTCTCTCTTAAACAGAGAAGACACTTCTATGGGGAGGCAGGAGGGAGAGTTAGAAAGAGAAATCTCAATTGTTCCCTCCCAACTTGTCATCTTCCTCCACTTCCCTAGCTGCATAGTGGAATGTATTTTCTCTAATGAAAACATTTGGACAGTTACATCATTCGTATATGCTTCCACACACACAAACACACACATACACATACACACTATTATCCTTAGTTTCAAAGGGTGGTTCTTAGGTGGCAATATGTGGAGGCTTGATTTGAACGATTAACAAGTAAATATCCCTTTTATTAACTCAAGCAGCATACACTAAGAGTTCCAAGACAAAGTTCTCAGTACTCTGGAGCAGAGAAAAGCAGAAAGGGATAAAATGATGCACAGCTAAATAACAAACAAATGACTTCAAAGAGATTACAGTAAGTGTTTCAAATATAGGAACACTGACCAATTAGTCTTTTGTTTGATTTTTAGTGCCTAGAGCTTGTCGAGGTAAATTCTTAAATTATGAATGGCACCATACGAAGAAGTAAATAATCGTGAGCAAGTCAAATGTACATCTAATGAAAATTTTAGAAGAAAAGAAAATAAATAATAAGACAGAGGCAATATTTGAAAAAAAAATATTGCCAAAAGGTAACAAAAGTCACCAATTCAATAGATCTAATAATACACCAAATCCTGCATAGGCAAAATAAAAAGAATTCCTATTCACTCATATTATGTTGAAAGTTTAGAACACCACAAAAATGAGAAGGAGTAAAAAGCAACCATGAGAAAAGAAGGCAAATCAGACTGCCAATTACATATCAAAAAGAACAGCAGAAGTTGGAAGATGGTATAATAGCATTTTCAGTGTTGAGAGAAAATCATTGTCATCCGATTATATCCAGCAAAAATACCTATAAATAATAAGGCCTCTTGAGTAGCTGGTATTACAGGCATGCACCATCACGCCTGGCTAACTTTTGTATTTTTAGTAGAGACAGGTAGTTTGGCCAGGCTGGTCTCAAACTCCTGACCTGAAGTGACCTGCCCGCCTTGGCCACCCAAAGTGCTGGGATTATGGGCATGAGCCACCACACCCGGCCTAAAAAATATTTTCTGATAAGTAAAACTAAAAAATTTACCTTCAGAAGGGATGTAGACCTTCACTAATAACATTCTATTAGGAGTTCTTCAGGCAGCTAGACATCCTTATAAAAAGGAAAGTCTGAAAACCAAAAAGGTAGAAAGAAAAACCTAATTTGTAATAATAAAAGCTTTAATTCTCCAGGAAAATATTCAAATTCTAAACTTGTATGCATAAAATAATATATCTTCAAGATACATAAAGCAAAAATTGACAGAATTACAAAGGGAAAAAGAAAAATCTACCATTGTGAGAGCAATTTTAGTACAACTCTTTCTGTAACTGATAAATCAAACAATGATAGATTTCAAAATTGGCCACAGATTCCTCTCATTCCAGGATGCATATTTTTTGCAATGTGACTTTGTTACTTTTCCCATGAAAATGTGGAGTTTATTTTTCCATCATTTGAATGGGAGTTTGGGCATGTAATTTACTCTGGTCAAGGAATCATTAGCAAATAGGATACATAAACTTACAGTTTGGGGCTTGCTATCTTGCTGGTCTTGGGAACCCTGAAACCACTACCAAATGAATCAGCCTGGGCCACTCTGCTGGATAAAGAATGCCTTTGGGCTTAAGGTGGCACCCCTGCTGCTCACAATGTAAGGTCACTATAGATACTCTGTGGAGTAGCTAACCATTAATGCATGAGTATGTCTAGATAATCTCTTGGAGCAGAGATGAGCCTTTCTGGCTGAACTCAGGCCAAACTGTTGACCTAAAAAATTATGAGCAAATAATTATTATTTTAAACCAATACATTTTTAGAGTGATTTGTTTTACAGCACAAGCTAACTGATAGAGTTTCCAATTATAGAAAGTTCGAAGGTAAAATTAAATTACATATTGCTTATATACACATAATACAAAATTAGTAAAACTATTTCAAAAAGCAAGAGAATTATTAAAACAAAAATCAGAGCAATGCCTAGGATGAAGATAGAAATGGAAAAGAGCATATAGAGCATTCATAAAGTAGCCATGATACTCTATTTTTGACTTGGGTCATCAGTATACATTATTTGGCTTTTTAAAATTACTATCCTTTAAAAGGTATGTATGTGTATGTTTATATAGACTTCTACAAATATATTTCACATTTTTACAAAAAAGAAGAGTAAAAAAGAACAAACAGCAAAACCAAAAGCATGTACAGAGGAGAGGCTACAGGGAATAATAAATAGGAAGGAAAAAAGAGGCCTCCATAAGAGGCTGGAAATTATATTCAATCTACCAGTAAAGAAATAGAGCCAAAGACATCTGACTGAGTGGGAAAAGTTGGTATCTGAAAGTAAGGAAAAAGGATTTCCCTGGTCTTTGAAATATTTGTGAATTGCACCCAAGTGGAGAATCACAGGCTACTGAGAAAGTGATGCAGACCAGTTAAACAATTCCAAAAACTCCTGATATTGCCAAAAGATCCTAGGCAGGGAAAGAGCAACACATTACAGAAAATCAAACTATGAGCATCAGGAAGGCTAAAGTGGAAAAATGTAAGGAAACAAAAATGGAAAGTTTCCCCATATGTTTATCTATCTTATGTATAAACTGAACAAAGAAATAATTTATTACCAATTGGAACTTCAAGCTCAAATCTCAGTGTTGGACCTTGGTAAACTAAACTGACCCAGGTGGGAAATTATTTTTGCACAAGCTTACTTACTTCAGTCCAGAAGAAAGAATAGAGTATTTGGACTATACCCCTGAACTCAGGACTCCCCCTTGGACCTCTGAAGAGTAAAGCCCTGTCTAGAACACATGTGTCAGCAAAAAGAGAATAGTTTGCACAGAGAGCTCTCAGCCCAAGACTGGGAGAGCTACTCCTTTACACTACCACACTAATCCAGAGCATTTACAGAGGCAGAAAGAGCCAAAGAATACAAAGGAAAAGGAGACGGTTGGGGTTTCTCTCTCTTTTTTTTTTTTCTTTTTTTAGACTAAGTCTCGCTCTGTCGCCAGGCTGAAGTGCAGTGGCGCAATCTCAGCTCACCCTAACCGCCCCCCGGGTTCAAGTGATTCTCCTGCCTCAGCCTCCTGAGTAGCAGGGAATACAGGTGCATGCCACCACGGCCAACTAATTTTGTATTTTTAGTAGAGATGCGGTTTCACTATGTTAGCCAAGATGGTCTCGATTTCCTGACCTCGTGATCCACCCGCCTTGGCCTCCCGAAGTGCTGGGATTACAGGCGTGAGGAGTTTCTCTTAAGAGGGAGCAGCTCTGGCCAGCCTCTCATTAGGTTCTGTGCTATGAGAGGAACAAAGGAAACAAAGATGAGATATTTACCCTTCTGGGAGCGAGTGCACGATTGAGAATACTAATCAGGATCTAATGGTATCTGCAAGAGACAATGGAGATGCTAATCACAGGAGGTTGCGCTCACAGATACAAGGACTCTAGAGGTAGAGTGGCATTCATTCCTGTTTCCCAAGGAAAGTCAGATTGATACCACTGTTCTGGAGTGATTATTCATAGCATTCCCTCCCACTTTTTTTTTTCTTTTTTTTTTGAGATGGAGTCTCACTCTGTCACCCAGGCTGGAATGCAGTGGTGCGATCTCGGCTCACTGCAACCTCCACCTCCCTGGTTCAAGCAATCCTCCTGCCTCAGCCTCCCAAGCAGCTGGGACTACGGGCACACGGCCACCAAGCCCAGCTAATTTTTGTATTTTTAATAGAGATGGGATTTCACTATGTTGGTCAGGCTGGTCTCAAACTCCTAACCTCGTGATCCACCCGCCTTGGCCTCCCAAAGAGCTGGGATTATAGGCATAAGCTACTGCGTCCCCCCCCAACTCTTAAAAGTGTCTCTGTGTCAACAATAAATTATACAGTCATCCTAATTATAAGGAAAGTGTTTCGAGGGAATTTCAGGGCAATGAAGCAGAAAGCAAGCACCTGTGTTTTGGTACCATCCCTCAGTAACACCCACTGTGGATAAGCACCTCTTTTCCAGGACATGAAATCCAATCCCTGGATCCTGCCCAGTCAGTTCTCATTTCCTTCCTTTTCCCCTGTTTCTCTAACAATAGAAATCATGCCATCACTATCTTTATTTCAAATGAATGGAAATCTCTAAACATTTTTGGTAGAGTAATTCAATGAGTCACAAGAATTATAGCAAGCCCTAAATTATAAGATTCAAACTGGAGAGAAAGATGGAAATATGGGATAAGAGAATTTGAAAATTTCTGTTCTGGAAATTTCTTCATTTTCATTTTAGTCCTCTCTTTTATTATAAAATGCCAGCTCCAAAATCAATAGATGCTGTTTTCAATAGTGTTAGACAGTTACATTTTTCCTCAGGGAAGCATATTAAACCACATTTTCAGCCCAGTGACTTTCATTTCATTTGCTTATACTTACTTTCATTCATCCTTGTGTGCTAGGTGTATTTTCAGCAGCTAGAGGTTTTTTCTTTTCTTTCTGAATTTAGAGATTATATGGCTCTTCATTTACAAAATTTATAGACTTGCTACTGAAGATGATTGACAAGTTCAGTTGTCGTTGTGCAGAACTGTAAAATATCTACAATGCATCTCCTAGATCCCAGCTTTGCTTCCTTAATTTCCATTCTTATGCGATTTTAGCAGCAGACTTCTAAAAGCTCCTGTTTGCATTTTTTAAAAAAAGGTGCAAACTCTACCATCTGTCTCTACAATGATCAAATTTTTCTCTAAAATAAATATAGTACCAAACTGATGTTCTAATTTAAAATTTTAGTCCTATTAAGGTAGTTGATATTTTATAATTCAAGCAGAGACCAATTATTTGAGAGAGATGCTTTAGAAGGAAGACAAACATTTGGTTGTGAGCTGGACAGGAGGTATTGATTGGTTCAACAGGCATTTATGGAGTGAATACAATGATCCATAATAGATTCTGAGCCAAATTTTATTGCTGTTTAAAGGATATAAAGCCAATGATAGTGGAATCCCCAATAATTCTGTGCTACTCACCTCTCCTCCCTAAAGGATTTCATATAAAAAACCCTATATCCAAGGAACAGCAGAACAAGTGTCAAAACATCAATGTATTGATCGTTTAATGTACTTTAGTCAAAAGTGATCAAGTCTCAAGCTTAGTCTAAGCTGGGACATTTTATTTTCCACTCTCACCCCTATTTCGAACCTAAATTTAGGGTTCATCATGCATTAGTTTCCTTCAGAGAAAAAGAGATGGCCAGGTTACAGGAGGGGCCTTGAATCCATTCAGCCATCTAGCTATAAAGAATAGGAGAACAAAAAAATGAGGAACTTTCATCTGTGACCATGACCACTGGGAAAGAGACAGGAAGACAGTTTTTTAAAAAAGAGAGAAGTTATCAGTGAGTTCTGGGTTGTAATGCTCTTTAACTCAAGCATGTAATAAAAGGTGGCTCTGACCAACTGATTTACCATTGGTTCCTCCATTTTTTTAAGCAAAATGAGACTGAACTGAACAAGTCCCCTCCCAGAAAGGTACCAGGCACTGTGCTGGGCATTGGTGATACAGAGATCAGCATTACAACCCCAAAGAGCTCATATTGTTGGAGAGAGTAGCAAATGAATCAACTACCAGGCTCCCTCAAAGACTAGGACTCCATGTTTCTAATAAATATGCTTTAATGTAATTAATAGCTACATAAATCATTTTAAAATTTTGATCCATATAATTACACGGCTCTGTGAGGCAACTCTAATAATTCTGAAATTAAATGTCCTGTTCAACTTCTTTGATTCTAACAGTTTCAGAGCCTATGCAATCCCCAGACAAGGACAGATTTAGGTTTCTGACCAATAAAAAGCAACACATAAAGGAACCATGGCTTCAAAAAAGATGTGAAAATAACTTAGACTTTCATTCATTCAATAAATACTGATTGCACACCTAATATATGCAGGCAGTGGGAATGCAGCAGTGAACAAGAAGGCCAAAGACTTTCAAGAGATTTATTTTATAACACACACACGTGCATGAAAAGTATACATAACTCACAAAATTAGTTTCGAAATAAGGATGAATCTCATACAAGTTTCCTAGACTAGAATAAATTTATGCCATAAATTAAAAAGCACTAGAAAGAGAAACTGCTTTTAAAAAATCAGATAAGGAATTCAAAAGCAAAAAATAAATTGTGCACATGATTATCCTCTTCGTTAGCATAAATATGTGGCCTTCCCGTGCCTAAATGCAAATGTCACTCATCCAATCATCACATTCTTTCCCACTGAGCCCAGACACAACCTCAGAATCATTCTCATAGTCCCCTGGGCAGCCATTACCAATCAACTGTGGTAATCACTCAAGGGGAAACCTTTGTCCTCACTGACGTAGGGCATCTATCACAGAGTGTTTCGTGAGTAGCCACCAGGTACCTCCAATTCTTCCTAATTGCTAAAAGAAGAAAATAGGACTAGAAGACATGTACATTGACTAAGAGTCTTGTACACATAAACAATTAATTAACAAGACTTTAATTGGTGTGGGAAGAGTTCCAAAGTTGCAGTTGATGTTCTTTTTCTGGTCTCAGCACTCATTAACTGTGTAATCTCAGGCTTGTTTCTTATGCTTCTGTATCTCAACTTCTTCATCAATGAAATGAGAAAAATGAATGGCTATTCTGCGAATTTCTCAGAGTTGTTGTAAGGATAAAACAAGATACTACATAAGCAAGCATTTTTTAAAAATGTAAAATGCCACACATTATTACACTGCTATAATAATGAGCTGAAATTATAAGACTTGGACTAATTTTGTGAGTTATATATACTTTTCATGCACGTGTGTGTGCATGAAACAGTATTTAATATGGCATCAAGCCATAAAATGTATGAAGAATATATTGATGTATACCAAATTTTAAAACTTTGATGTGAAAATGTATGTATATCAAATAAGAGACAAAAGACAAACTGGGTGGGATGGGGGGATATTTACAACTTATTAAAGTCAAAGATTGATATGTTTTCTGTGTAAAACGCTCATAGTAATGCAAACAAACTAGGAAAATCACCACCACAATGAAAATATGAGCAAATACTATAACGTGGCCAAGGAATAAATCCTAATTTACCACAATCAACTGAAAAATAATATGTAAAGAAAGAAATGTAAACATATTTTTCACTGATCACATAAGTAACTATCATAAAATAAAATGCT
Source organism: Homo sapiens (assembly GCF_000001405.40). Classification (NCBI taxonomy): domain Eukaryota; kingdom Metazoa; phylum Chordata; class Mammalia; order Primates; family Hominidae; genus Homo; species Homo sapiens. Next base: position 214,894,539 of record NC_000001.11, on the reverse strand, counting down.
GGCAAGAATTTGGAGAAATGGCCATCTTATATTCTACCAGTAGGAATATAGATTGATACAATGATTCTGAAGGATAATTTGTCACTTGACATCACAATTTTTATTGTGTAGAATATCCTTTAATATGGTTGTCCACAACACTGATGATAATGGGAAAAACTGGAAATCGTTAAAACGTCCATCAATAGGAGATTTGCTAAATAAATGATTTTCCTACCAATGTAATCCTCTGCAGCTAATATAATAAATAAAATAGATCTTACTTATTAGCTTGGGAAAATGTCTGTAATCCATTATGGCTTTGTCATTTTGCTGTATTTCCATCTTTGTTAAAAAAAAAAAGTTTGAGTATGTATGTAAGTGTATGTGCATGTACATGCACATAAAAAAATCTTGAAATATAATCATCAAAATTTTCACTGTGATTATCTCTATGATAGAAGTGGTAGAACTTTTTTCCTTAAATACACACACACACACATATATTATTTTTTATTTGTGTGGGTACATAGTAGGTATACATATTTACAGAGTACATGAGATGTTTGCATATAGGCATGCAATGCACGATAATCACATTATGGGAAATGAGGTATCCATTCCCTCAAGCATTTATCCTTTGTGTTACCAACAATCCAATCATACTCTTTTAGTTATTTTAAAATGTACGATTAAGTTATTATTGACTATAGTCGCCCGATTGTGCTATCAAATAGTAGGTCTTACTCATTTTTTCTTTTTTTGGACCAGTTAATCAACCCCACCTCCTCCCCACCCCACCCAACCCACTACCTTTCTCAGCCTCTGGTAACCATCTTTCTATTATCTATGTCCATTAGTTCAATTGTTTTGATTTTTAGATCCCACAAATAAGTGAGAACATATGATGTTTGTCTTTCTGTGCCTGGCTTATTTCACTTAACATAATGATCTCAAGTTCCATCCTTGTTGCAAATGACTGAATCTCATTCCTTTTTATGGCTGAATAGTACTCCATTTTGTATATCTATCACATTTTCTTTATCCATTCATTTGTTGATGGACACTTAGGTTGCTTCCAAGTCTTGGCTTTTGTGAACAGTGCTGCAACAAATGTGGGAGCACAGGTATCTCTTTGATAAACTGATATCCTCTCTTTTTGGTATACACACAGCAGTGGGATTGCTGGATCATACGGCAACTCTATTTTTAGTTTTTTGAAGAACCTCCAAACTGTTCTCCATAGTGGTTGTACTAATTTACATTCCCACCAACAATGTACAAGGGTTCCCTTTTCTCCATATCCTCACTAGCATTTCTTATTGCCTGTCTTTTGGATATAAGACATTTTAACCAGGGTAAGATGGCATCTTATTGTAGTTTTATTTGTATATCTCTGATGATCAATGATGTTGAACATTTTTCTTAAGACTATTTGCCATTTGTATGTCTTCCTTTGAGAAATGTCTATGCAAATCTTTTGCCCACTTTTTGATTGGATTATTAGATTTTTTCCCCATATAGTTGTTTAAGTTCCTTATATATTCTGGTTATTAATCCCTTGTCAGATGAGTAGTTTGCAAATATTTTCTCCCATTACCAACAAAGTGAAGAGAAACTTATCTTCACTTGTTGGTTGTTTCCTTTATTGTGTAGAAGCTTTTTAACTTGACATGATCCCATTTGTCCATTTTTTTGCTTTAGTTGCCTGTGCTTGAGGGGTGTTGCTCAGGAAATTTTTGCCCAGACTGATGTCCTGGAGATTTTTCCCCTATGTTTTCTTGTAGTAGTTTCATAGTTTGAGCTCTTAGGTTTAAGTCTTTAATTAATTTTGATTTGATTTTTGTATATGGTGAGAAATAAGGGTCAAAGTTCATTCTTCCGCATAAGGCTATCCAGTTTTCCCACCACTATTTATTGAAGAGACTGTCTTTCCCCAGTGTATGTTCTTAGCACCTTTGTTGAAAATGAGTTCCCTGTAGGTGTGTGAATTTGTTTCTGGGTTCTCTATTCTGTTCCATTGGTCTGTGTGTCTGTTTCTATGCCAGTACCATGCTGTTTTGGTTAGGATAGCTCAGTAGCATAATTTGAAGTCAGGTAATGTGATTCCTCCAGTTCTGTTCTTTTTGTTTAGGATAGCTTTGGCTATTCTAGGTCTTTCATGGTTTTATATAAATTTTAAGATTGTTTTTTCTATTTCTGAGAAGAAAGACATTGGTATTTTGACAGGAATTGAATCTGTAGATTGTTTTGGGTAGTATGGATATTTTAACAATATTGATTCTTCCAATCCATGAACATGAAATATCTTTTCATTTTTTGGTGTCCTCTAAAGTTTCTTTCATCAGTGTTTTACAGTTTTCATTATAGAGATCTTTTACTTCTTTGGTTAATTCCTAGGTATTTAATTTCATGTGTGGCTACTGTAAATGGGATTACGTTTTTATGTCTTTTTCAGATTGTTCAGTGTTGGCATATAGAAATACTACTGATTTTTGTATGTTGATTTTGCATCCTGTAACTTTACTGAATTTGTTTATCAGTTCGAATAGTTTTTTGGTGGAGTCTTTAGTTTTTTTCTCCTCCTTATATTTTTATATGAAGTGAATTTTACAATGGTTGTGTTTCATTTCATAATGAGGAAAATCAATAGAACTTTTAAAATATATAATCATAAAAAGTAAGTACAGGTATATGGTTCAGACTGTTATGTGAAATAGAATATCAACTTTTAAAACAATGGAATCGAATTCTATATACCTTGGTGATTTAAAAACAAGTTTTATACTTTTTCTCCAAAAAAAAAAAAAAAAAAAAAAAAAACAAATGAGAAGAGTAGAAAATATCACATTCTCTTTATTTCCTGAACATAGTAACTGCCATGGATGTGGTATGGCATAAAAACATGCGCCCTGAAAAAGAGAGACCTGGCTTCAAATTCAGATTTCACCATTCACTGCTTTACACCCTTTGCAAATCATGAATGCTTTTCAGATTCCTTTCACATTCTTGGAAAAGGGTACACTTTCATTTTTGTTTTTTAAATGGAACTAATTTTAAGGCTTTCTACTTTCAATTCTTAAAGTAAAAAAATGAGCCTTTAGAAAAGGCTTATTTTGAAGTCTAATTGCATCTAAAATATCTGAAACCCTTTAAATAATTATCTTACATCTACTAAATTTTCAAAAGAATCCTTAGCTCTTGGAATAAAATTAGCTCCTGACATACATACTTCTCATCACTTGGAATTTTCTTATGTGATATTAGAGTGCCTCATTGGAAACTGAAGAACATATTATTTAATGCTTACCAGAATAAAAACAGTGATAAAAAAAGAAAATCCTGTGATGTCTTCCAGTCTTCTGGCTTTAAACACCAACTAATCATAATGGTTTCTAAATTCCCATCTCCAGCCCTGACGTATGTATACAACCATCTTATTGGCATGTCCACTTTTTGTTTAACAGGCATCTTATATTAATATATCCAAAACCAGACTTTTTATCTTTCCTCCCCACACCCTGTGCTCTCCAGTTCAGTAAATGGTTCCTCCTTTCATCCAGCTGTTCAGGCTAATTATATTGGAGGCATGTTTGACTTCTCTTTCTCTTGCACTTCTAGTCCAATCCCTCAGCAAATTTTGATGGCTGCCACTAAAATATATCCAGACTTGGGATATGTAGACATGGCTCCAGAGACTTCCTACCATGCCCACCTTCTCAGGCCATGCCATCAACATTTCTTACCCAAAATACTTTAATAGCTTCCTACTTGTATCCCTGCTCTCTCTCACCCCCCTCCTCCCCACTCTGTTTGTGCCACACAACACCTAGAGCAATCTTTCTAAAATGTGCACCTTATTCCATCCTGACCTTGCTTAAAATCATCTAGGTGCTTCCCACCCCCTTTAAAGTAAAATTCAGAGTCCTCACCATGAATAACAAGGCCTGACATGATCTGGGCCCTGAATACACTACAAAATATTTTACCTACCACTCTTCCCCTCATTTATTCTACTCCGCTACACTGATCTCTTGGTTATTCTTTCAATATATCGGCCCACTCAGCTCAGGGCCTTACACTTGCTCTTCCCTCTGCCTGAGGTAGGCCTTAGCTCAAATGTCTTCTCATCAAAGAAGCACTCCCTGACCAAGCTATCTATAATAACAGCTTCACTGCTCACCCATCATTCTTTATCCATTTACATGATATAGTTTTCTGCAAAGCACATTTCACTATATTATGTTTTCTAATGTGTTTGTCTGAATATTGTTTATTGTCTGTTTCAAACCACTTCCCATTCCACGTGAGACCTATGACTTTATACACTTCGGTGATTACTATACCTCCAGGGCCCAGAACAGTGCCCAGCACATGTTGACATTTTGTTAAAAATATATTAGGTGAAAAAAGTGGTAAATGAGTAAGGTGCTCCTGGTCTCCATTCTGTTCCACATTTCCGTGAATTTTTTCCTACAACCTTTCATAGAGAGACTTCCATTTTTAGTCCAATTTATGTTTTTCTTCAGTAATAAATGATAGTATTAGGATCATAAAACACTAGTCAGCAGTGTTATGACATTCAAATGAAAATTTCTCTTTAATCAAAAAAGAAATGGGCTATGCTCTGTATCTCCTACACACAGACACACAGATATTGTATCATGTTTTAAAAAAACTTCACATGAGCAAGTTACAACTAAACTGAATTTATGACTTGAAATATTCTATTTTATTTATACACAGCTTTCCATGGAATATTCAAATTTATAAATAGGTCCTATCAACATAGTCTAATTTTTCATTAGCTCTGAGGGAGTTTTGTAGATCATCTTTTCACCAAAAAGAAAACATTATCACAACTTTACCAAAGTGATTTTCCACTGTCATGTTCTTTTTAAAATGGCAGATATCTGTATATGCTATTAGGTTGGTGCAAAAGTAATTGTGGTTTTTGCCATTACTTTTAACCACAAATTCTTTTGCGCCAACCTAATAATAGAATACACTCCTGTGAGTATTTTCATACCTCTAGGTGTGTGAAATGTATATATTTTAGTATATTTTTGCAGTTTATATCAAAAGAAATAAAATAAATCTTATGTCAAAGTAACATTATAATTCCAATTACCTTTTTATAACAGAATAAATTTTGTTAATAAAAATAGATATAATTCGGCCGGGTACGGTGGCTCACGCCTGTAATCCCAGCACTTTGGGAGGCCGAGGCATGCAGATCATGAGGTCAGGAGATTGAGACCATCCTGGCTAACAAGGTGAAATCCCATCTCTACTAAAAATACAAAAATTAGCCAGGCGTGGTGGCGGGTGCCTGTAGTCCCAGCTACTTGGGAGGCTGAGGCAGAAGAATGGCATGAACCCGGGAGGTGGAGCTTGCAGTGAGCCGAGATCACGCCACTGCCCTCCAGCCTGGGCGACAGTGCAAGACTCCATCTCAAAAAAAAAAAAAAAAAATTAGATATAATTCAATACATGATTTAATATTTCAATAATTGAAAAAGAGAGCAGTATATATATATACATGTTATATCAGAAATACATAAAATATCTTAAAATATTTAGTAATAATTCATCAGAAGGAATATTTTAAGTCGAATAACATTTAATACCTAATAGATGCTCAGTGTGTTACTAGATATCTTTGCATACAATATCTTCTTTAATTATTGCAAAACCACAAATAGTAGCTATTATTTCCATTTTACACCTACCGCACCTGAGGCCTGGAGTTTATGCCCCAAGTCACTCCTTCTGAATTATGTTTAGAGCCCAGGTTGTGTTGATGCTCTTAAATCTATATAAAAGATTTCTAAAGCATGTGTTGAAGAAGGAGTGTGAAGAAAAATGGTAACTTCTATTTACATTTATTTTGATAATTCATCTTATTTTGTATTGTTTATTGCAGCTTATATTGCATGCATATTTGTGTTTTTATATGCACATACATATACAAATATATGTACTCAAAGCTTTTTTACAAATGAGATATACAATCAAAAAAGTTCAGGGACTTTTTCTTAATAATTTAATGCCTCTCACACTACCCAACTTCAAACTATACTACAAGGCTACAGTAATCAAAACAGCATGGTACTGGTACAAAAACAGACACATAGACCAATGGAACAGAACAGAAAACTCCGAAATAAGACCACACATCTACAACCATCTGATCTTCAACAATCCTGACAAAAACAAGCAATGGAGAAAGGATTTCCTATTTAATATACGGTGCTGGGAGAATTGGCTAGCCATATGCAGAAAACAGAAACTGGACTCTTTCCTTGCACCTTATACAAAAATTAACTCAAGCTAGATTAAAGACTTAAATGTAAAACCCAAAACTATGAAAACCCTAGAAGAAAATCTAGGCAATACCATTCAGGACATAGGCACATGCAGAGATTTCATGACAAAAATGTCAAAAGTAATTGCAACAGAAGCAAAAATTGACAAATGGGATCTAGTTAAACTAAAGAGCTTCTGCACAGCAAAAGAAACTATCAGCAGAGTAAACAGACAACCTACAGAATGGGAGAAAATTTTTGCAATCTATCCATCTGACAAAGGTCTAATATCCAGAATCCATAGGGAACTTAAACAAATTTACAAGAAAAACACAAACAACCCCATTAAAAAGTGGGCAAAGGACATGAACAGACACTTCTCAAAAGAAGACATTTATGCAGCCAACAAACATATGAAAATAAAATGTCAACATCACTGATCATCAGAGAAATGCACATCAAAACCACAATGAGATACCACCTCATGCCAGTTAAAATGGCGATTATTAAAAAGTAAAGAAACAACAGATGCTGGTGAGGCTGTGAAGAAATAGGAATGCTTTTACACTGTTGGTAGGAATGTAAATTAGTTCAACCACTGTGGAAGACAGAGTGGTGATCCCTCAAAGACCTAGAACCAGAAATACAATATGACCTAGCAATCCCATTACTGAGTATATACCCAAAGGAATACAAATCGTTCTATTACAAAGATACATGTATATTTATGTTCATTGCAGCACTATTCACAATAGTAAAGACATGGAATCAACCCAAATGCCCATAGTGATAGACTGGATAAAGAAATGTGGCACATATACACCATGGAATACTATGCAGCCATAAAAAGGAACAAGATCATGTCCTTTGCAGGGACATGGATAGAGCTCAAAGCTATTATCCTCAGCAAACTAATGCAGGAACACAAAACCAAGCACTGCATGTTCTCACTTATAAGTGGGAGCTGAACAATGTGAACACATGGACACAGGGAGGGGAACAACACACACTGGGGCCTGTTGGGAAGGGCAAGGGGAGGAAGAGCATCAGGATAAATAACTAATACATGCTCTGCTTAATACCTAGGTGATGGGATGATAGGTGCAGCAAACCACCAAGGCACATGTTTACCTACGCAACAAACCTGCACAACCTGCACATGTATCTCAGAACTTAAAATAAAATAAAATAATAAAAAATGAAATAAATCTAATTTGATGTCTCACACTCTAAATGGAAACGCAGGCCCATTAACCAATTGAACTGAATTTCAATTCATTTTAAGTTTTGTTTCTCCAAGAAGCCAGAAGGCAAAAAATAGGTGCTCTGAGGCCACTATTTGTTAAGTGTCTTCCACAAGTTGTTCATCAGAACACTAGGTCACCCATTTATTCATTCCAGAAAAATTGAAGGTGCACAAACTCAGTGAGTCTGTGAGAACAGGGAAGACGTATGTCAACAAGCATCAATGGAACATATGGGTAGTGCTACAGGGCCATGAATGTAGTGCCCAACTGAAGACTGGTAGATGGAGAGAGAGGCTTCCCAGAGGAAGGTGGCTGTAAGCTGACATTTGAAGGATGAGCCAGACTGAGCGCAATGAAGAGGAAGAAGAGATTTGCTCTCAGGGAACAGCATGTGCCAGGCCTGGGAGAGAGACATCACATGGCATGATTGAGGAACTAAAATATGTTCAGTTTGGGAGAGCAAGGTAAGGTGGGATGGGGTAAAAAATGGGGTTGAAGGCAAAGATCACGGATGACTTATTCCTCCAGTCGTTCCTGCATTTTGAGATTCTGAGCACCTGCTTCGTGGCAGGCTCTGGACAGGTGCGAGGGTTTCACAAAGTAGACATGGCCCCTGCTCCCACTGAGCTTACTCAGTACTGCTGGAGGGAAAGTGTTGAGTTTGCTGTGGGGAAATAAGAAGCAGAAGCACCTAAATTTTACTTAGTGAACAAGGATTCAGGGAAGGCATCCTGGAGAATGGAGCCTTTAAGAGAATATCTATAGAATAAATAAGAATTAACCAGACAAATACAATCTAGGCCAAAGCAGGGGGAAAAAATACTTAAGACAAAGAAGACACCAAATGCTCTAATGATAGGTACAAAATAAAGGAAACATAGAGCTGAATTTGTATTTTGTGGATCATTTGAAGTTCATGTATAACTCCAGGTTGGTTTCTGCTGTACTAAAACTTCTCTGAGTCAGGCTGCCCTCCACTTTCAAATACATGTTCAAGGGTAGGCAAACCAATTCCAGGAACCTAAGAAAAAAATCTTTTAAAGAAATTTTGTAAAATAAATTATTTAATATAGTCCAGTGCCAAATATAAATTATTCTAAACTGAGTGGAATCTCCTATATCTCCTTGGAAAGGATAATGAGAGGGCTAGTTGTGTATGTGTGTGTTTGTATATGTGTGTGTGTTCATGTGTTTGTGTTTATGTGTGTGTGTTTGTATTTCAAAAGTCAAAACATTTCTTAATGTAGACACAAACTGGGTAATGTGAAATTCTACATATACTAGAACTAATAGAAAATGTATGCAGATTAAATAGACTCATGTGTCACTTATAAAAGAATTCTATCTTCTGGTATTTATCAGCACACCAAGCACTCTAGCTTCCATTAAAACATAACAGATTAATAATTTTAATAGCTAAATATTAGTATTAATTGAAATGAATATAGCATGACTAAAACTATAACAGTAATAATGACTGTCTTCATTTCATTTATTCATTCTACTAATATTTACTAAGTTCCTACTGTTTACCAGGCTCTGGTTAACTGATTAGTGGAGATCTCTGAACCATAATATTAAAAAAAATCAAAAAAAAAAGAAGAAAGAGAAAGCTTTCTTTTCAATAATGTTAGAAAATAGACATTATAATGTCATCAAACAAATAGTAATTGGGTATTCTACCAGATACTGAGGATATCATGGTAATCAAAAGAAACAAATTGCTTACTCTCATGGTACTTATAGTCTGGTGGGGGAAGGGTTCTTATGTTAAATGGCCTTTCCACTTACTTCTTAATTCTTCACTTATAAGAGATCAACAGATATCATTAAATTCATGACCTTGAGAGCCAAATGCTAAAGGATGTGGGACATGTTTATTTGTTCAACTGAAGTAGGTGGACTTTTTATTAAGTCTTTTATTAAGAGATCCTGCCCATATTCCCTGGTATTTACTTACTGTCTTCATTCAGGTCAGTGGTGTCCAACTGTCAGAAACTGTGACTCTCCACCTGAGGGCATTTTTGGGGTAAGCTGAGATGGCCAGAGCTAGGAAGTCAACACTCTCAGAGGCAGACTTCAGACAGGCCTCAGCCACCTTGCTCCTTTACTGAGATCATTCTAAAGGGTTCCATGCACATATCATCTCCTGGAGATCCATAGAAGGGTTAGGTGCCAATTGGCCACAGTGGCAACTGCTCATTAAAGTGCTCTGAGTCAGTGTCTTCTTTCCTGTCTCACTTCTCCACTCCCCCACTAGTGCTACCAAGGAACACAGGTCCCAAATAAGTCACTTAATTCCTCCTGCCAGGGTCTCTTTCTGGGGGAACTCAGGTGAATACATTCTCAAATGAGTATCTTTGCTTTCATCCTTTGCTTGATCAATAGGAATATTGGATCACTGGATAAATTTTCACTGAAGGACCAGACAAAGTAATCTTATTAATTTGTTTTGTAAGTATATTCTTTCACCAAACAATAATTACCTGTTGAATTTTTAGGAAGAGATTACTATTTTAAGGAGAAGGTTTGTTTTGTGATAACTTTTCTACAGTTACCATTGCAAAAAAATTCTTGAAGACCAGAAGTATATATCAGAAATATTACCAAGCTGATACTTTTATTTATATTTATATTTATAATTATATATTTATATTTGTGACATAAAATATAAGCATGCCATAAGTTTATATTAGGTAGGTAAGGAGCCTCGCTCTGTCACCCAGGCTGGAGTGCAGTGGTGTGATCTCAGCTCACTGCAAGCTCCGCTTTCCGGGTTCAGGCTATTCTCTTGCCTCAGCCTCTGGAGTAGCTGAAGTAGGTGGACTTTTTATTAAGAAATAAGCAAAACAGCATGACAGCAACAATTTGTCCCATTCTGCACAAATCTTATTTGTTCCTCTTTGTCCCTTGGCTAAAAGCTGAGTCAGGTCTTATCATAGCCTGATTGGAGAAGTACAAGTTTCAAGGAAAGTATCCTACAACAGAAGGAATAGCAGAACCTGGCAAATATATCCTGGCAGAAACTGGAGAAACTTGTGGGAGTGGATTTTAACAACGTAGAGTAGAATCAGGGGACTCAGAATATATGATTGGATAGGAGAGAATTTACTAATGAACACTAACCCTTCACTCATGATTTAATAGTTTGTCAAGAGCACATAGAAGGGTTCCTAATGGTTTGGTGGGGTAGCTCTTTGAAGTCCAGACTTGTTTATGGCCTACTACAAATGAAATTAGATGGATAGAGCATCTTTGGCATAACCAAAGAAAAGATTAGAAGGCATACGGAAGTAGAGATGTTAAAATAAACTTACTGCATATGGTTCAAGAACCTCCGCCTCTTTTCCACAAGAGAGCCTGCAGGAGAGCCTATGACTACTGTGATCCTTTGAAAAGGGCAGAAGGATCTTTGAGAAATTTCATTCTAGATTTTTAGGGTTATAATTGGGGTTGCTACATGTATTTGGACTCCCTAATATCAATGAGGTTGGTGGGATCTTGGAATGCAGAGACAAAATAGCGGTACTTAACTGTCAGAGGCAAGATGGGCTGACTTACTGCATGGGTAGCAACATGGGAATGCCAATCAGAATGTTTTGACATGCAATCTATGATGGTGACTAAGAGATCATGATATTCTTAGATGGAGAGCAAACTACATTATTAAAATAACTGTTTTATTGAGACAAACATTAACATACCTTGAAATTCATCCTTAAAAGTGTACAATTCAGGATTTTTTGGTAGATTCACAGAGTTGTGCAAACATCACTACCATGTGATTTTAGAACATTTCATACACCCAAAAAGAAACCCCATACCAATTAGCAGTTGCTCTCCATTCCCCCTTTTCCCCAATCTCCTGACAATCATTAATCTACCTTTCATCTTTGTGAATATTCTGTGAATAAATGGAATTATACAATACATGACATTTTGTGACTGACCTCTTCCATTTAACATAATGTTTTTAAGCTTCATCCATGTTAAAGTACATGTCATTACTTCATTCCTTTTGGTTGTTAAATAATATTCAATTGCAAGGATATTTTGTCTATTTATCAGTAGCTTCCACTTTTGGCTATTATGCATAATGCCGCAATGAACATTTGTGTGCAAGCTTTTGAGTGGCGTATGCCTTCAATTATCTTGTGAATAAACTTGGAAGTAGAATTGCTGGGACATAATGTTACTCTGTTTAACATTTTGAGGAAGTGCCAAAGTGTTTTACAAAGTAGCTGTCCCATTTGACAATCTCCCAGCAATGTACAAGCGTTCCAATTTCTCCACAACTCCACCAATACTTGATAGTGTCTTTCTTTTTTATTTCAGCTGTCCTAGTGTGTGTGAAGTTGTATCTCATTGTGGTTTTGATTTGTACTTCTTGATGATTAATAATGCTAATTATCTTTCCATGTGCATATAGATTATTCATACTTTTTCTTTAAAGAAACGTAGATTCAAATCCTTTGCCTATTTTAAAAGTTAGTCTGTCTTTTGGTTATTGAGTTGTAAGAGTTCCTATATATTCTAAATATAAGTCTCCTATGAGATATATGATTAGCAAATATTTTCTTTCATTCTGTCAGTTATCTTTTTAGTTTTTTGATGGTGTCATTGTAGCACAAAATGCTTTACTTTGATTAAGTCCAATTTATCTATTTTTTCTTTTGTTGTTTATGGTTTTGGTGTTATATCTATGAAACCAGTGCCTAATTCAAGATCATAAAGATTTACTCCTACATTTACTTCCAAGAGTTTAACAGTTTTAACACTTACATTTAAATATATGATACATTTTGAGATAATTTTTATATATAGTGTGAGTTAGGAATTCAGCTTCATTCTTTTAATGTGGATATTCAGTTTTCCCAGCATCATTTTTTGAAAATACTTTCTTTCTCCTCACTGATTATCTAGGCACCCTTGTGGGAAAAGCAAACTAAGTTTTCACTTGATTTATATAATCAAAAATATCAAAATCTGGCAAAAAAATGACTGAAATCATCCACCGCAATAGAAAAGAGTGACCTACACACCATTTCAAGATCTAAGTGTCTCCAAGAATAGAGTCTATTCATTGAAGTAGAGGCTGAATCCCATAAGGAAGGACCTTGAAATATCTCCACAAAGATACACAGTGTATATTATTTCCATCTTTTCTTATTGAGATCTGTAATTATTCCTTAGCATGAACTGGGACAAGGGAAATTCACAGATTTTTTTTAGAACTATTAGATATGAGGTATAAGAGAACATGATATCACGAGATTTCAAAGGCAATGCCATCCTTGTTTAAATGAGAGTTTATGGAATCCAAATGACAAGTTGTGTTTTAACCAAAATCTGTTGCACATCATCCAAAGGTCCACAAACCACCCCCCATACTCTCCCAATAACGTTATTTCCCCAGTTCTCTTTATATAATTGAGATAAATATACTTAGCACCTGACAGAACCCTCAACTAGTTTCCTAACCTGTGAAGTAATGGCAGGAAGAAATGACAACAGAAGCTCCTGAACTGCCACATCCTCCACACCAAGAAGCAATACACCTAAAAGAATTACAAAATTTGGAGCCACCATATGTATATGGAGCCATCATATATTGAAAGACATAATGTTGATTATCTTTGTCATATCTCCATTGAATGCGAACCCCAGATGGGTCGTAGGATGATTAGCAGACACTTAAGCAGACGATCTCCATAATCGAAGCAGCTGTGCCAGGTTGGTACCTTTACTAAAATAAATCAACACAGTCTCTGGCAGGTGGTATGTGTTTATTACGTTGGCAAATGATTTATTCATGATAACCATCCATAGGGAAGATCAAAGCAATTCACTTTTACAGGGCAAGGACAGCAGTATACCTTCACCATTTTAACTCAGGAGTAGGTCAACAATTTTGCTGTCAGTTATAATGTAGCCCACAAGAACCTTAATTATTTTGACCTCATACCAGTCTACTATATTAATGACTGCACACTTATGTGCACCTGGTGAGAAGTCCAGAAATTGACAAGCACCCATAATGCACCTAATAAGACACATACATATGAAACAATTGGAGTAAAATCCCACAAGGTTCAGGGGCCTGACACTTCTGTGAAATTTCTAGGGATACAATGATTTGAGGCATGCCAGAATAACTCCTCAAAAAAAGACAAAAAGATAAGCACAACTTTTTTTTAAATCTTATCAGGCTACAGCTGTACTTTATTTATTTATTTTTTATTATACTTTAAGTTTTAGGGTACATGTGCACAACGTGCAGGTTTGTTACATATGTATACTTGTGCCATGTTGGTGTGCTGCACCCATTAACTCGTCATTTAGCATTAGGTATATCTCCTAATGCTATCCCTCCCCCTCCCGCTCCCCCCACCACACAACAGTCCCCGGTGTGTGATGTTCCCCTTCCTTGGTCACTGTGTTCTCATTGTTCAATTCCCACCTAAGAGTGAGAGCATGCGGTGTTTGGTTTTTTGTCCTTGCAATACTTTGCTGAGAATGGTTTCCAGCTTCGTCCATGTCCTTACAAAGGACATGAACTCATCCTTTTTTATGGCTGCATAGTATTCCATGGTGTATATGTGCCACATTTTCTTAATCCAGTCTATCATTGCTGGACATTTGGGTTGGTTCCAAGTCTTTGCTATTGTGAATAGTGCCACAATAAACATACGTGTGCATGTGTCTTTATAGCAGCATGTTTTATAATCCTTTGGGTATATACCCAGTAATGGGATGGCTGGGTCAAATGGTATTTCTAGTTCTAGGTCCCTGAGGAATCACCACACTGACTTCCACAATGGTTGAACTAGTTTACAGTCCCACCAACAGTGTAAAAGTGTTCCTATTTCTCCACATCTTCTCCAGCACCTGTTGTTTCCTGATTTTTTAACGATTGCCATTCCTCCTTAAGCTGATAGGCAACTTCAGCAAAGTCTCAGGATACAAAATCAATGTCCAAAAATCACAAGCATTTTTATACACCAATAACAGACAAACAGAGAGCCAAATCATGAGTGAGCTCCCATTCACAATTGCTTCAAAGAGAATAAAATACCTAAGAATCCAACTTACAAGGGATGCAAAGGACCTCTTCAAGGAGAACTACAAACCACTGCTCAATGAACTAAAAGAGGATACAAACAAATGGAAGAACATTCCATGTTCATGGAGAGTAAGAATCAATATGGTGAAAATGGCCATACTGCCCAAGGTAATTTATAGATTCAATGCCATCCCCATCAAGCTACCAATGACTTTCTTCACAGAATTGGAAAAAACTACTTTAAAGTTCATATGGAACCAAAAAAGAGCCCGCATTGCCAAGTCAATCCTAAGCCAAAGAACAAAGCTGGAGGCATCATGCTGCCTGACTTCAAACTATACTAGAAGGCTACAGTAACCAAAACAGCATGGTACAGGTACCAAAACAGAGATATAGACCAATGGAACAGAACAGAGCCCTCAGAAATAATGCCGCATATCTACAACTACCTGATCTTTGACAAACCTGACAAAAACAAGCAAGGCGGAAAGGATTCCCTATTTAATAAATGGTGCTGGGAAAACTGGCTAGCCATATGTAGAAAGCTGAAACTGGATCCCTTCCTTACACCTTATACAAAAATTAATTCAAGGTGGATTAAAGACTTAAATGTTAGACCTAAAACCGTAAAAACCCTAGAAGAAAACCTAGGCAATACCGTTCAGGACATAGGCATGGGCAAGGACTTCATGTCTGAAACACCAAAAGCAATGGCAACAAAAGCCAAAATTTACAAATGGGATCTAATTAAACTCAAGAGCTTCTGCACAGCAAAAGTAACTACCATCAGAGTGAACAGGCAACCTACAGAATGGGAGAAAATTTTTGCAATCTACTCATCTGACAAAGGGCTAATATCCAGAATCTACAATGAACTCCAACAAATTTACAAGAAAAAAACAACCCCATCAACAAGTGGGCGAAGGATATGAACAGACACTTCTCAAAAGAAGACATTTATGCAGCCAAAAGACATATGAAAAAATGCTCATCATCACTGGCCGTCAGAGAAATGCAAATCAAAGCCACAATGAGATACCATCTCACACCAGTTAGAATGAGAAGCACAACATTTGGTAGATTCTTTTGGACTCTGGAGAAAGCATAAGCCATACTTGGGGATAACCCATTTATCAGATGACCTAGAAGGATGCCAGTTTTCAGTAGTCCACAAAAAGATTTCAGTCCTCAGTCTGTACAGGAGGCTTAACTCTGAAGCAGAAAGAGACCAAGACTATGTTATCTTTATTCTCACTATGACAAAACCCGCCTGAAAATTATCAATTAATGCTACAAAGATTAAATCTGTAAGAGAAATCTAAAACTATACATATGACCAATAAATAATCTTTCATTAAAGCAAATTATTGACATTTTGGTTTTCCCTAGGCCCAACTATGCCTGATTTTTAAGGATTCCTTGCTAGCTCTGAAGAGAACCCAAAATCTTGTTTAATATTTATACTAAATCAAGTTGGATTTGACATATTCAACAATATGAATGTCAGTTAAATACAATTGGTATTTCAAAAATTGTATTTCAAGAAAATTACTTAAGAAATATTTCACTATAAAATAGATTGTTATTCTGATAACTATTTTCCAAGAATAAAGGAATGTAGAATGGATCTTTTACCATTAGAAGGAAATATGTCACAGCATTATGACATGACAGCAGTAATGCAACAGGATTCATTTTCAATTTTCCATTTTTTTCAAATACCTAAAATTTATAGAGCATTTATTTCTACGGAATTATATTTATTTGTTATAAATGATAACTTATAAGACTTTACCACCTTCAAGTAACTTTACAGTTCAGCTAATTTTGTTCTCACCATCATTCTGTAAGGTTATATAGCTATTACCATCCTAAGTTTTCATAATAGAAATCCTAAGTTTAAACTATTTAAGCAATTGTCAAAAAAAAAATCAGTGTTTCAATGATAAGATTAGAATCCAGATCATCTGGCTTCAGATTTCGTTCTCTGATCACCTACTTTAAAGACATTAATGACAAAGCCTTTTCTAATCTTCCAACTGACATGGTATCTTCCTCCTGCACATTTTTAATAGCTAGCATGCTTTTAGTACATAATATCCATTTACTTAACATTATTTCCCTTACATTCAGTCTTTGTTGGTCTACAGTACTTTGATTATATCCTTCTTTTGAACATTATCATGGGCTATAATTTTTAATACTGTCTTATTTCCTCTACTAGACTCCAAAGTACTGGAAACCTGACTTGAGATCTCCTTGTTTCCTCAGAAATTGATATACTTCCATCTGATGGGCCATTTAACCTTTTTGACTAAAATTTCTCCCAGAGGGTGAACATTTGTCTGACCTTGGTCATTGTCTTTGATCTTCCATTTCTCAGTCCTCTAAATGTCATGAACAATCCTTTCCCAGATAGTGGAGTCCTAAGATTACCATTTCTTACCTACTTAATATTTGACTGACTTCCAAACACCAAGTAATTGTCTTTCAGTCTGGGAACACTGCTAATCTTATCTTAGACCAGATCCAGACTCCACCTCTGTTGTAATCCTCATTAGTACATTTTTCCTTCATCACCACCATCCTGATGTCTCATGTTGGGGCTCAGAACACAATACCCCAAAATATACCACCTTGGCATACTGAGTATTTTAAGCTAAAGGAAATTGAGAAAACAATGAAAGCCCAAAACTCACTCTCTGACCTTCTCCCATCTTTCTCCCCTGAAGCAGGCCATGAAATAGTTCTCTGACCTATCCCCCTGAGAGAAGGTCACAAGACCCTCATTCCAGAGAGGTTATGACCTATAACCAGAAGGCCAAGAAGAATCTGAAAGAACGGGCCTTACTAAGCTCCCCCCACCACAAGGTTATTACCATTAAATAATACCTTTTGGTTTTACCATCACATTTCTTCATGACTGTCTATAAAAATATGGTTTTCCCTGGATCACTGGGTCTTCATTTCTGAAGGCTTCTGTGCCAAATAAAATATTAAATGTGTGTGTGTAAAGGGTATTGTTAGTGTAGGGGAGAAAAAGTAATATCTTTTCCTTGCCCATTGCAAGGTTCATGGATGACAACCCTGCAACAAAAGACACCTAGCAAAAAGAGAGTACTTCTACAATGTACCCATGAGCTGATTTGTAAACTGATGTGGTCTAGAAACCACATCATTGTTCCAACGGTTTAGTTGCTGTTCTACATCAATCAATCAAACATCAAGTGCTTGTGAAACACCAGCTGTTTGGATAACTGTGCCAGTCACTTTGAGAATTAACTATATGCCAACTGATATTAGAACTTAAAGCCTTTTTATTCTTTTTAAATTTCTTTAAGGTTGTTATCTCTTTTGTGGATTTATACACTACGGTGATTTACGGTAGGGTCATCTCAAAAGTTTAGTTGTATCATACCACCTTGTTAAAATCCTGCTTGTTTTTATGTGGGTTGTTACTGCTACCTGACACAACAGGGAAGTATCAAAGTATAAGATGACATCATAATTCTCTGCAGCCACACATCATATATTTGAAGAGGCAAGATGAAATACAACTGATATAATTAGATTAATTCCAGTCTATATGCTCTCCTATTAGGAAGTAAGCTCTTGAAATCAATTGCTAGACCTTATGCATTTGTGTCTCCTGTATGTAACCATCGGTTGATATCAACTAGACAATAATATAAAACTAAAGCACTAAACTAGGTAGTATAAAATAATTCTTATGGAATTTGGAATACAATCTAATATCTAGCACTGATTATAGGAAACGTGCCATTTTCACCTTGTCACGACATTAGGGTAATATGGAATAGGACTCAAAAATAGTAAAAATGAACAACACACAAAACTTCTTATTGCTTTATAGTTACTCCATGTCCCTTAGAGTTGTTAAACATTGATTTAAGTTCAGTATTTCTTATTATAACCCAAACTCATATTGTGTCTATTTTGGAAGATATTTCATGGAGGTATATCTCAAGGAAATTACTTACCTTTCTTTCACATATCAACATGGATTCTGTCCAGATGGCTCTGTTCTAAGTAACTTAGTAGTACTATTTGAAGCATATGAATCTTTCAGTCTCTTTTCCATCTGAAGTTCCAATTATTTAATTCATCTTACATTACATTTCAGAAAAAATTACAATCAGCTTGTTTGCAAAATGATAAATATTTCTTCAATGGGTAGGGATCTAGACTTACTCTGCCTCTTATATCTTCTTCAGATTGGTTCTTTTTTTACTTCCTAAATGTCAAAATGCAAAAAAGAAGTTTAAAAAAGTTTTATTTCTATTAGTAAGAGCCTTGTACAAATGTATTTGTAATAACCTTCCTTCTCAGAAAGGATTTTAAAATATCTTACTAAAAAATGAGAGAAAGGCATAACATACAATTAATATAATAGAAATACAAACTGGAAGTTAGAATTGAAAACAGTAAGGGAAGCATGGAGCCAACATAGTAGGTGAACTTCATTATAACTTTCCTGGCAACCAAACCTGAAAGGAATACCCAGTATGTGACACAATTTTAAAAGTCAGAGAAGAGGAAATAAACAAATTCTTCAAGGTACAAATCTAATGACTGGTCCAAAAACCTAATCATTTTCCAAAGTACGTTAAAGGAGAAGTCATGTTTGGCCATCGCTTTAGCTTAACAATTACTTATTAAGCATTATTAAGAATTTAATTTGTTCAAGGATTTACATTAAGCATTGTATTGACTATCAAAATGTCAAAAACCCTAGTTCCAACTACAGAATATGATTAATCCAACTGGGCAGACCAGACATGTGCTTTTAAGGGTAGCTGATGACCCAAGCCTACATTTGATAAATGTGAAATGAATTGTGCAGACATTCAGAGCTGGAGGAATTGAGAGGAAGAAGAGACTTTTATGTCAGACTCAAGATAACCA
Source organism: Homo sapiens (assembly GCF_000001405.40). Classification (NCBI taxonomy): domain Eukaryota; kingdom Metazoa; phylum Chordata; class Mammalia; order Primates; family Hominidae; genus Homo; species Homo sapiens. The sequence continues at coordinate 214,875,016 of NC_000001.11, read as the reverse complement.
TAAGATAAGAAATTCTGGAGAAATTAGGCCTGGGATGCTGGCAGGCAGAAAGAATAGCACTGGGAGTCCTGTGGGCAAAAATGAGGTCAGAATCCAGTATATCAGGGAAAACTGGATGTCACAAATGAGTTTTAGTATTCAAAAAACCTAACAAAATTTAGCGTTCAAAGATCCAGGTCAAGCAGAAAGACACAGTGGAAGTAAAATCCAAAAACACCTGCCCTGGTCAGCTTTCAGTCTTTCAGCCAGCTATCTAGAAACAAATGAAGAATGGAGTTTGATCCAAAAGGCTTGAAGCTTTGCCTGCTTTTGAAAAGACCTCTTGGAGTGAGTAGGTAAGAGGGAGTAGGAATGAGCTGCCCCCCAAAATGAGGCAGTGCTCAGCAGGAGCTGGGGCCTGCTCAGAAAACCAGCTCTGGGGCCACTTTTCAGGAACTAGTAACCTTCAAACTAATTCCAGAACTAATTCCAGAATATTCAGAGAATAACAAATCAGTAAGCAAGGGAGCTGGAAGTCACTGCATGTGAAAATTTATTTAAAGAATTGAACATGTTTCTGTTAAAGGTAAGAGACCAAGGGGAGTATGATAGTTGCCTTCAGATTTTCTAAGGGTCACCATATATATATATAAAGGTAAATTATTTTATTACACATTTGTATATAATTTTTTGGTTTTGGGGTATTAAATACATAGTTTTATTTAAAACTTTTCTTACTGGAGATAATCTGTTTAAAAAGGAGTGAATTTTCCATCCCAAGAGGTGGAAATTAGATGACCACCTTTCTGGAATATTGTTGGTGATAATCTGGCATTGATATGGTGCCTTATGCAGAAACTCCACTTTCTGATAGCTTCAGTTCTATCTTCTGGTAAGTCTCAAAGTTCAATACTACAGAACCAATCAAGGAGTTCCTGATACCTCTTAAGTGCACCAGCTTATAATAAATCTGACAGTACTTTACACATGGGTCAGAAAAATGATGTGCTTTACAGGCTCCCAAGCCTGATCCTACTGGCTTGAAACCCTTCTATTTCCAGAAAAATAAGTCTAAAAGAGATCAGGTAACTTGTACAAAGTCACAAGGGCACAAAATCAGTTAATGACAGAGCTGCAATTGCAATACTACAAAACTTCAGCAATTCTCTCCATTCTACCATTCTGCCCCCTGACTGAAGTAGAAACCCATCAGAGAGGTGTATGGTAAGGTGAGTGCAAGGCTAGAAGGCATATTCTTATTAAATAAGAACCTGCACAGGACACAAACTAGTCACTGTTTTGAAACTATGGTACTTCCTCAGAGAACACACAGAAATCTGATTTCCTGTTTGCCCTTTTCATACAAAGATGAACAGAATTGTCACCAATGCTGGATACGTAAACCTTAAGTGACACACACAAGACAGTCCATCAGGGCAGAACTAAATACTAGAATTTCTTTATATTAATTTTAACGTAATCAGTCTACCACTACATTTGTATATGTTTCTATATATACTCAATGCATGATTAGAGAAGCATATGTATATCATCTGTATATTAATATACATATATTGAAGATACATGCTCTAGAAGAAATCAGAAATATTTACAGAACATTTAAAATAATTCTTATGAAATTTGGATGAGGAATACATCAAATAGTTAAATTAAAACGATGTTTTTTTCTGTATACATTTTGTATCACAAGTATATTTCAAAGCAAAAACTGTTCCTATTACAGATTACTAAAAAGATTATATTTTAGTGGTAAAAACCACTGGTTTTAAAATAAGCTATAAATAAGACATAAATAGGCTTCTGTAATACTGACTATATCCCTGTGTTGTTGCATTCACATAATTTTTGCCTGGGTTACACAAAACAGAAGCGGCAAAGAAAAAAAAATACATATCTCTCATCATCAGGTCTGACTGGCCACTTCTAAAGAGTTCCAAGGAAGAAAACATATGAGAGATTTTCCCAAGGCTCCAAACTGCAGAGCAAAAGGAGAGAATCATGAGTAACAGCTCAATTTCCACCACAGAGACAAGGGTCCTGGACCTATAGGGACTGCCCTTGGGAGACACTGTTTGCGTGGAATCAAGTCAACTCTTAAGTAACTCCACAGCCAGCTGGAATGACAATGCCTCTGTCATGACTCTGCACACTTTTCGTAGCCGGGCTCTGCTGGTGACTGACCATATGTATCTGAGCAAAAGTGAAGTATCTAGGATGCCTTACAGATTTCCAGTTGGTGCAGCTAGGGAGATGGTGATACCGTTGAGTAAGAGAAGAACCAGAGGAAAATGAGTTGCTCAACTTGCTCATTTTTAGCAAGTTGAATTGGAGGTATAAGTGGACCACTTGTGCCAGTTCTCAGTTTATCACATCTGAGCCCCTAAATCCACGCTTCTTGCTCTGAGATACTGGCCAGACCCTGTAAACATTTCTCCTTTGCTAGCTGGCTCAATGTTGGGTTTTGTCAACAGAGAGCCCTGGAGGGATACTGTAAGGCCATAACAGCAGAAGGGCCCTCCCTTCCTATTTCAGTGTGGCTTTTCTTTGGATATGGCAGCCAGTAAATCAGCATGTGGAAGGCCATGGACATTCACCTCAGAAACCCTCAGGCCAACTCCAGCCTTGGGCCTTCTGGCAAGTTTTCTACCACTGCATGTTCGTCTGATAGCCCCATCTTCTCCCAAGAGATCTGGACTTCAGTCTCAGAGAGAGGTGGAAAGGGCATCTCTTTTAAAATCTTAGTTACTCAGTTTTTCATGGTTATATAGCCCTAGAGGTTGTAGCTTTCGGCATTTACTATTTCTCTACCTCTACAGCCCTCTTTTTCCTCATTTTAGTAATTAATCATCTTTTGCTAGTTAATTCTGTACATTCAAAGTTTCCTATCTAAATTATTGGTGTGGTTTTTATCTCCTAACTGGACTCTGATTGATACACTACCCAAGCGGAGATGCCTTTTAAGGAGCTAGAGATGCAGCTTTAAAGAGATACAGCTTTGAAAGGAAATTCCTATTTGGAAGTCTCCAGAATATTACTGGTATTTATTTTTTTAAGTACATATGAATTTATCTATCCATTATTTATTTAATATTTTTGGCTGAGTACAGGAGACTTTATTGATGGCACATGACAAGGTAGGGATACCTGGGCCCCTCCCTCTTCAGGGGGTCTGCATGGAAACTGTGAGGAGGGGAGATTCTCAGTGTGGTGGGGGACTGAGTGTGGCAGGAACTCTCTAGCAGCTGAGGGCCTCTCTCTTCCTCTCGTGCTCTTGCTTGTGTTGATGGTCTGGGGTTCTGACTCCTCAGAGGCCATGTGGTCTGCGAAGTCCACCACTCTGTTGCTGTAGCTAACTGCACTGTAATACCAGGACATGAGCTTGACAAAGTAGTCATTGAGGGCAATGGCAGCCTCAGCATCAAGGTGGAAGAATGGGTGTCACTGTTAAAGTAAGAGACAACGTGGTGCTCAGTATAGCCCAGGATGTCCTTGAGGAGGCCCTCTGATGCCTGCTTCACCACCTTGTTGGTGTCATCATATTTGGCAGGTTTCTCCAGATGCCAGGTCAGGTCTCGTACCAACATGTTGGCAGTGGGGACATGGAAGGCCATGCCAGTGAGCTTCTTGTTCAGCTCAGGGATGACCTTGCCCACAGCCTTAGCAGCACCCGTAGATATAGGGATGATTTCTGGAGAGCCCCATGGCCATCACACCGCAGTTTCCCAGAGGGGGCATCCATGGTCTTCTGGGTGAAGTGACAGTGATCATGAGTGTGGTCATGAGTCCCTCCATGATTTCCAAGGTTGTCTTGGATGACCTTGGCTAGGGGGCTACTCAGTTGGTGGTACAGGTGGCATTGCTGATTTATAATTCTCATGCTTTATGACCATCATGAACAGGGGGAATCAGCAAAGGGAGCAGAGATGATGACTCTTTTGACTTCCCACCCCATGAGCCCCATCTTTCTCCACAGTAGTGAAAATGCTGGTGGATTCCACAACATAATCAGCACCAGTATCATCCCATTTGATTGTGATGGGCTCTTACTCCTGGAAGATAATGATGGGATTTCCATTGATGACAAACTTCCTGTTCTTAGCCTTGATAGTGCCATGGAACTTGCCATGGATGAAATCATACTGGAACATGTAGACCATGTAGCTGAGGTCAATGAAGGAATCATTGAGGGTGACAATATCTACTTTGACAGAATTAAAAGCAGCCCTGGTGACCAGGTGCCCAATACGGCCAAAACCATTTACTCCATCCTTCACTTTAACCATGGTGTCTTAGGGATGCGGCTGGCACTGCACAAGAAGATGTGGCTGTCTGTCGAATAGGAGGAGCAGAGAGGTGCGGAGCCGGGACAGTCGCGGCGCTGACGCCCGCGGGCCCCAGCTGCAGATATGAAGCGGAGCCGCTGCCGCGACCGACTGCAGCCGCCGCCGCCCGACCGCAGCCGCCGCCGCCCGACCACCGGGAGGATGGAGTTCAGCGGGCAGCGGAGCTGTCTCAGTCTTTGCCGCCGCGCCGGCGAGCACCGCCCGGGAGGCAGCGGCTGGAGGAGCGGACGGGCCCCGCGGGGCCCAAGGGCAAGGAGCAGCCGCCTGCCTTGGCCTCCCAAAGTGCCGAGATTGCAGCCTCTGCCCGGCCGCCACCCCGTCTGGGAAGTGAGGAGTGTCTCTGCCTGGCCGCCCATCGTCTGGGATGTGAGGAGCCCCTCTGCCTGGCTGCCCAGTCTGGAAAGTGAGGAGCGTCTCCGCCCGGCCGCCATCCCATCTAGGAAGTGAGGAGCGCCTCTTCCCAGCCGCCATCACATCTAGGAAGTGAGGAGCGTCTCTGCCCGCCCGCCCATTGTCTGAGATGTGGGGAGCGCCTCTGCCCCGCCGCCCCATCTGGGATGTGAGGAGCGCCTCTGCCCTGCCGAGACCCCGTCTGGGAGGTGAGGAGCGTCTCTGCCCGGCCGCCCCGTCTGAGAAGTGAGGAGACCCTCTGCCTGGCAACCACCCCGTCTGAGAAGTGAGGAGCCCCTCCGCCCGGCAGCTGCCCCGTCTGAGAAGTGAGGAGCCTCTCCGCCCGGCAGCCACCCCATCTGGGAAGTGAGGAGCGTCTCCGCCCGGCAGCCACCCCGTCCGGGAGGGAGGTGGGGGGGGGTCAGCCCCCCGCCCGGCCAGCTGCCCCATCTGGGAGGGAGGTGGGGGGGTCAGCCCCCCGCCTGGCCAGCCGTGCCGTCCGGGAGGGAGGTGGGGGGGTCAGCCCCCCACCTGGCCAGCCGTGCCGTCCGGGAGGGAGGTGGGGGGGTCAGCCCCCCGCCCGGCCAGCCGCCCCGTCCGGGAGGTGAGGGGCGCCTCTGCCCGGCCGCCCCTACTGGGAAGTGAGGAGCCCCTCAGCCCGGCCAGCCACCCCGTCCTGGAGGGAGATGGGGGGGTCAGCCCCCCCACCCGGCCAGCCGCCCCGTCCGGGAGGGAGGTGGGGGGGTCAGCCCTCCGCCCGGCCAGCCGCCCCATCTGGGAGGTGAGGGGCGCCTCTGCCCGGCCGCCCCTACTGGGAAGTGAGGAGCCCCTCTGCCCGGCCAGCCGCCCCGTCCGGGAGGTGAGGGGCGCCTCTGCCCGGCCGCCCCTACTGGGAAGTGAGGAGCCCCTCTGCCCGGCCAGCCGCCCCGTCCGGGAGGGAGGTGGGGGGGTCGGCCCCCCGCCCGGCCAGCCGCCCCGTCCGGGAGGGAGGTGGGGGTGTCGGCCCCCCGCCCGGCCAGCCGCCCCGTCCGGGAGGGAGGTGGGGGGGGTCAGCCCCCCTGCCCGGCCAGCCTCCCCGTCCGGGAGGTGAGGGGCGCCTCTGCCCGGCCGCCCCTACTGGGAAGTGAGGAGCCCCTCTGCCCGGCCACCACCCCGTCTGGGAGGTGTGCCCAACAGCTCATTGAGAACGGGCCATGATGACAATGGCGGCTTTGTGGAATAGAAAGGCGGGAAAGGTGGGGAAAAGATTGAGAAATCGGATGGTTGCCCTGTCTGTGTAGAAAGAAGTAGACATGGGAGACTTTTCATTTTGTTCTGCACTAAGAAAAATTCCTCTGCCTTGGGATCCTGTTGATCTGTGACCTTACCCCCAACCCTGTGCTCTCTGAAACATGTGCTGTGTCCACTCAGGGTTAAATGGATTAAGGGCGGTGCAAGATGTGCTTTGTTAAACAGATGCTTGAAGGCAGCATGCTCGTTAAGAGTCATCACCAATCCCTAATCTCAAGTAATCAGGGACACAAACACTGCGGAAGGCCGCAGGGTCCTCTGCCTAGGAAAACCAGAGACCTTTGTTCACTTGTTTATCTGCTGACCTTCCCTCCACTATTGTCCCATGACCCTGCCAAATCCCCCTCTGTGAGAAACACCCAAAAATTATCAATAAAAAAATAAATTTAAAAAAAAAAAAAAAAAAAAAAAAAAGGAGGAGCAGAGAACCACCGCTCGTATTTAAAACAAAAAAGTAGATGATTATCATGAAGAATGTAAATCGTGGAACTATAAGGGAGCTAAGGAGGGAGCCCTGGGATGCCATCATTTGTGGGACAGGTAGGAAAAGAACAAAATGGGAAATTGTGGGAATGGAGGGAAAGGCAAAATGAAATGAGGGAAAGAAGCTGAGAAGGATTTGTCTTAGAAGTTAAAAAGGAAATCAGAAGAAGCCAGAGGCAGAGAGAATTTCATAGAGTGATCAATAATGCAAATACTACAGGTAACTCAAGTTAACTGAAAACTCAAAATGAATTTAGGAGTAATCTTTTCAAGAACAATTTTAGTGCAGCAGTTTGAGAAGTCAGTAAGAAGAAAGCATGTAGGCATGACAAATGTAAACCACTTTTTTCCTAAACTTGAAACAGAGAGAGTAGCACTGGGCACAGGGACTTCACAAAATCAGTGTCTCAAAGCTCTTCTAGTTTATGTTCACTGTAAATTGGGCTGATTTGGGTTAAATGAATTATCTGTAGGTTCTTCTCCCTTACATGCTCTTCAGATATTTGGTTTTGATCTGCTCAGTGCTCATTTAAATCATCATTGGAAAGTGAACAATAAAAAAGAAAAAGCATAGGAAGCTAAATGCAAGTTTTGTTTTAATCTACCAGCTCTAGAAGCTAGCACTAGCTAAACTTAATTGTGTTGCATTAAACCATCTCAAAAATTTTTGGTTCATTATAAAACATAAATTTATCTACAGGTTTTATTTAGTTCTTCTACACATATCTAATATCCTTAATATCATGCCATTGACTTCATTGACCACTCCAGCATGGTTAATGCAGTGGTGCCATTGCAGACATTTAATAAATTCTGTGGACCAGTGGGAGTTTTCTATATCTGTTGCTTAAAATAGTAAAACATTATTTTCAGAATGAATTTGATGGTGAAGTATACAAAATGGTTTCAATTATAATTCCATGTTCAAATGTTCATAACTTGATGGAAAAAAATGCCTTTTGAACTGAAACTTTCCATTCCATGTTCTAGCTCCATTCAAATATAGTTATTTTTTCTTCTCTGGAAAATTTGAGGAAATCCGTATGAACACTTATGAATGTGGAAAAAATGCACCCTTTCAAATGTTTAATTAAATGAAAGGATCGACAATTACAAAATCTTTAATATAAACTTCCCATACATATTTATAAAAACCAAAATATAAATCTAGTAGGCCTCAGAAAAGAGATCAGGTGTTTACCCATTTAGGGAAAACTCTAATTTTGAATGTTTGCTAATTTGAAACTCAAAACTGTATTATGCAAACACAATAGTAATTTTCACATTAAAACTGATACATTTGAAGTGGCATTGTTGTCTGGGGTAAATACCTGGGGTTCATTGTCTCGCGCACTGAGATTAAGGATATGGACACACATTCATGGAGTGGGTTAAGGAGCAAAAATTAAATAGGTAGAAGAAAAGAGAGAGGAGAGCAGCACTTTCTCTCTTGTGAGAGCGAGGCATCCAAAAGGGAAAAGGTGGCCTGGGGGGACCACAGCAGATTTTATAGGCAGGCTTGAGGAGGCGGTTTCTGATTTATGTAGAGCCCACAGATTGGTTCAACCAGGTGTGATGTGGTGTTTTACATAGCGTTCGGGAAAGGCTGGTCACCCTGCCCTAATCTTATTATGCAAGTGGCCTTTTCACCATCTTGTCTGCTCTTACCTTACACATAGCTGACCAAGGGAAGGAAGCCATTGTGAACATGTCTAGTACCAGGTAGCTTTTTTCTGCCAGCATTCATGGGTGCAGGCTTCCAACTTGTTTGTCTATGTCTGCAGCTCAATTTTACAGGCTGTTCTTTGTTAGAAAATGATTTGGGGGCTTCTTTTCATTAAAAAGGAAAACCTTACCGAGGACTCCCATACCCTTATTATCTGCCCTAGTAGTTTCTCTTTAACTCCTATATCACATTCAATTGCCTTTATAATATGACTACTAACTATTAATTTTTGCTAAATAATACCTGATATACTTTGGATATTTGTCTCTGGCCAAATATCATGTTGAATTGTAATCCTCAATGCTGGAGGTGGGGCCTGGTGGGAGGTGTTTGGATCATGGGAGCATATACCTAATGTCTTGGTGCGGTCTTCACTATAGCAAGTGAGTTCTTGAGAGATGTGGTCATTGAAAAGTGTGTGGCACCTTCCCACTGTCTGTCTGTCTCTCTCTCTCTCTCTCTCTCTCTCTCTCTCTCTCATGTGTGCTCTCTTTCTGGCTCCTGCTCACACCATGCGATGTACCTGTTTCCTCTTCACCTTCCACCATGATTGAAAATGCCCTCAGGCTTGACCAAAAGCCCAGCAGATGCCAGCACCATGCTTCCTGTAAAGCCTGCAGAACCATGAGCCAATTAAACTTCTTTTCTTTATAAATTATCCAGTCTCAGGTATTTCTCTATAGCAATGCAACAACATAATAATACCATACATGATGGGCCAAAGAACAGAGTTGAGAATGGAGATTGTTTTCTGAATTTTCCATGCTCTGTATATAGTGTGTGCTTAATAAATATTTGCTACTCAAATACAATTTGCAAAATATGGCAAATAATTTTTTTATGGCTTAAAGTTAATTTAACCTTCAGAAGTGACTTTTTACTTCTTTTTTCTTTAAATGCAGAGAAGAAATGGGAGAGTGGCTTTCCAGAGATACTAATAGAAGAGAATGTTGCAAGAAAGGGTGATTTCTTATTCAAGTGAGATATATTTGCATCTACTAATTAGAAAGTTATTGGTGATCCCAGAGGCAACAGTTTCAGGAAAATAGTGGGAATCATGAGCCAGAATGTGATGCTTTGCGAAATGAATTGGAGGGACAAGGAGTAAAAGCAATGAAGAGATAGTCTTCTTTAACCTCTACTTTTTAATTGTGTAACACATCATTCAGAGGAGTGTATTTAACGTATGTGAATAGTTAAAAGCAAACACACTGTAAAAGCTTCTAAGCCTAAAAATTACAGCATGACTAATGTCTTTGAATCCCTCTATGCACCTCCTTGAGCACGTGCACTTCCATTCACCAAACATAACCAATAACTGAATCATGAGTTAATCAGTGCCTTGCTTTTCTTTCTACCTTTGCCATGCATCCATACACATATCTCTAAATGACAATTTTATTTGTTTTACCTAATTTGAAAGTTTATATAGGCAGAATCATAATCACATATTCTTCTGAAAATTTCTTTTAATACAGTAATGATTTTGCATTCATTCAGGTTGATTCTTAAAGTAATAACTCATTTATTTTTACTGATACATAGTATTCCTTTCAATTGAGGCACTAAAATTGATTTATCCATTCTCCGGTTAGTGAATACTTGAGTTGTTCTCTATTTTCTGGTATTGGGAAAATGCTGATATTCATGATATTATGCAAGTCCCTGGCACATGTGCAAGAATTTCTCTTACAACATACACAAGAGTGGAATGACTTTGTCATAAGGTATGTGGACATTCAACTTTATTGTGAATTTTTCTGTTTTTAACCAAACTGGTTCACCAAATTAATAATCTTACCATTTGACCACAGCTTCTCCAATACTTAGCATTATCCAATCTAGTGCACTTTTAGTTTGCATTCTCTTGGATACACATTTGTTTAATATATTTTCTCTTGTTTTGGCCGTTCAAGATGGCCTCTTTTGTTCAATCCTAATTTCTTCTTTCCATTTTTTGTTCAATCCTGTTTCCTCTTTTTTGTTCAAACCCAATTAATGTTTATTTTGCCCTTTTTGGGCAGTTGCATTTATTCAATAAATTTGTAGCCATTTTATGTATTTGGTATACGAATTTTTTATTAGTAATACCTGTTTCAAATATTTTCTACCAGGTTGGAATCTCTCTTTTTAGTCTCATTATGGTCTCTTTCGATGAACAGAAATTTAAAGTTGATATAGTCAAATTTATTAATCTTTTGTTTTATGGTTTGTGCTTTTTCTCACTTTTTAAGGACCACTCCACTAACCAATTGTTAGCTCATGTGTTCTTCTAAAAGTTTTGGTTCTTTTTTTTCCATTCAAGGTCTTAATGCATTTCAGAATGGTCTTACTATGTAGCATAAAGTAAGGATTCATGTTCGTGTTTCTTTTTGTTCCATAGAGAAAACGAATTGTTTTAGTAACATACTGTATTCTGAGTAGACATCCTTTCTGCATAATCTACAATCGCACCTTCATTATAAATCAGAGTTTCAGCTATATCTGTGATTGTTTCTATGCTCTCTATTCTATTTCACTGGTCACTTATTTTATCCCTGTGCTCTACTTTCTGTAACTTTATATGAAAAAGTTTGATATCTAGTTAGGAGACTCTACTAATATTGCTTTTCAAGAATGTTTTTGTTATTCTTGGTCTTTTGCACTTCCATGTAATTTTTTAATTGTCTTTTAAAGTTCCACTAGAAAATCCTACCAGGATTTTTATTGCAATTGCATTGAATATATATAAAAATACATATGTATGTGTGTATATACACACATATATAAATATATACATATCCACATGTAAATATGCTTATATAAACTAGAAGAGAATTGACTTTTATTTAGTATTCTTTCTATCCATGAGAATCTCTTTCATTTTATTTAGCTAATAATTAATCTTTCAATTAAGTTTTATTATTTTATTATTTTATCTATACAGCTCTCATATTTAGTAATTTTTATTCTCAAAGTATCTTTTTTGTAATTATAAATACTTTTTCATAATTATATTTTCTAGCTCTATTTGCTTTATATGTTCTTATATGCTTTGTATATTACTTGTGTACCCAGTAAACTTAATGAACTCTTTTATTAATTCTAACATTCTTCAGATTGTTTCGAGTATCTGATAAAGGTAGAGAGCTAATCCATATCACTCAGCTTTTTTTGGTCTTTCTATTTGTTATAAAATTTATTTTTTGTTTTTGCCCTATTGCTCTAAGGCTCTCAGTTAAATGTTAAGTATATGTGATTATAGTGGTCACTACCGATCTTAAAGAAAATACTCTAACTTTGAATATGATGTTTTCGTAGAAACTTTTAAAATATACTTTATTGAGTTAAGGAGATTCTCACCTATTATTAGCCAAGTTTTGCCTGTTGTAACAGAGATCTAACTTTTAAAATGCCTTATATAGACAGAAGTTCATTTCTCTGTCACATTAAAGTCTAAGCTATTAAGGAAGTCACTTTGTATACAGCCATCAGGAATCTAGCTTCTTTCTATTTTTCCACCATTCCTAAGGTGTTTCCTCCTCCACAGAGTCTGAGATAGCTCAACATCAGGTCCCTTCTCCAACCAGAGGAAGAGAGAGCCATGCTCCCTCCCTATAAGGGTACAACTCTGCAATTCCACAGATAACTCTAAATTATGTCCCATTAAAAAGGCCTTCATAATAGTCACAGCTAGCTTCAAGGGAAGCTCAGTTCTTACCTTGAGCAATTAAATGCCTAACATCTAATAAGGTGTTATGTTATTACAAAGAGAAAGAATAAAAAGATATAAGAGAAAAACAGCAGACCCTGCCACATCTTCTTTTTCTAGTTGCTAGAGGTATTTTTGGTAATAAATGTGCATTAAATTTTATCAAATCTCTTTTATGCATCCAAAGTGAACATATGGTTTTTTCTATTTAAACTCATTAAAGAGAAAATTTATACTAACAGATTTTCACATTTTTGAGCCACAGTAGTATTTCTGGGAAAAAAAATAATTTGGTCATGATTTTTTCATTCTTATACATTATTTAACTTGGATTGCTAGTATTTTGTTTGATATATTTGCAGCAATATTTATAAGTTATATTGGTCTGTAAATTTTCTTATATCATCCTTGTCTGGGTTTTGTGTCAAGGTTATATTAGCTGCATTAAATAAGTTAGTCATTATTCTGACTCATTTGGTTCTCTGAAAGATTTCGTGTAAGATTGTAGTTCTGTTTCTTGAATGTTTGGCAGAATTCATTGGGTAAAAAATGTCTGAACATGATGTTTTCTTTGTAGGAAGATCTTTTAAATAATGATCCTATTTCTTTAATGTTTAAAACTAAGTTATTTTTTAAGAAATGTATCCATTTCACCTATGTGTTCCCACGTTCTGAAATAACTTATTTACCCATTTTGCGGGTTGGCAAAACGTGGGATAAGAAATTGCAAAAAGATATAGAAAGCTAACTTTTAAGAAAGAATAATGCTGATAGGATAAGTTCTGGAATCCACACTGGATAGAGAGGCAAGTGACACTCGCTAAAAGATGAAATAACTAGAAAAACCAAACTACTTTTGCAACAGGATATCGTATTGAACACAGAGAAAACATTCCAGGAGAAATGAAAAAGGCAATGCATAGGTAATGGTTTCAGAAGGGAATTTCGGAATATTAATTCCTGGAGGTGGAAATGTACTGAGTAAAGTCAGATTATAGTGAGCACAAGGGGCTTGGAAATAGGACAGATAGAAGTAAAGACTGTTAATGTAAAAGGGGTTGAAACACTGAAACTAAGGGGCTGGTTGTCACAGTCCCAGATGTTAAATATGTGCCAATTCAGGAAGAGTCCCTACTCTGATGGAGCTTAAATCCAGCAAGGAAGACAGAATTTAATTATAAATTGAAATATGAGTACAGAAATATGAGACATACTTTTTGCGGGCAGAAACCTGATATATGCTTAAGAGTGTGAGATGAGATGGCTTCTATAAAGAAGCAATAGTTGTGTTAAGAGTCAAAGGATGAGTTAACCAAAGATAGAAAGGAAAGCATTCCAGACACAGACAACAGCACATGCAAAGACTCTTTGGTATGGACTCTTGCAGTAAACCAGCTGAGATACTATATCAACATGGCTTAAGCTGAAAAGCATAGTGGAGAAAAGTGAATATTAAAGACGTTTTTCTGATATAAAATCAATAGTATTTGGTGACACACTGGATGCAAGGGGTAAAACTTTAATCTGAGGCAATTGGGTAAATAGTAACAACTAATCATTGAATTAGGAAATGTTGGGAAAGTTTTTTCGGGAAAAGATTAGAGCTAGAAAATCAGGATTTCAGTCTTGCCCATATTACATTTAAGATTGCTTTAGCTAACTCCAATGTGAAATTTCTAGTAGGCAGCACCTCTGAAGATCAGATATGAAAACCATCAAGAAAGATATTAACTTATATAATGGATGGTATATTAAGCTGTGAAAATTAGCAAATTTTGGGGGTGGAAAGAATTTCGACTCAATATAGAAAAACTGTATATTTAGCAAGTTTTCAAATTATACAAGAATGGAATGTGGTCTCAGATTGGGCTGGTGGTCAAAAGTGCTTTACTCTTATCTATAATGTTTGACATTTACAAACATATAGTGTAACCATGTGTTATATACGTAATTTAAACATTATTTTTAAATTAAGGACCAGAAAGACTCTTTAGACTAAATGCAATGGCTGAGAGCATGGAAGAACAACAGCATATAATGCAAGGTGAAAATAAAGGCAATTAAAATCTTTAGGAAACACAAATAAACAAATACCATACAAGATTATCATAGGCCAAATATGAAGCAAATAAAACATGGCACGATTTTAAGAAAGGGTAGAGTTAACAAGAGAGACTCCATTTAAACTTGAAGCTCACCACATTCTCCTGTTAGTGGCCCTCAGATTGTGGCAATGGACGCTTACTTGGCCCAGAAGTGAACCTTCTTATGTAGTCAGAGTAATGTAAGCTCTGTTTATTGGTTTTCAAGTTTTACACTAAACTGCAAAGTACAGAAATCTTATAGATGTAGCACATAGTATTAATGTTAACAGTATCTCCATATAAAAGTTTAAAAAGTATTCAATGAAGGTATGATAGGGAACAGGAAAAGGTAAGGGAAATACATAAGAGCTACTATTTTCATCTTATAACAAGAAGTTATTGGACAAATAATAAAGATTTATATATATTATTTTCAGAATTATAAAAGCAACAGAAGAACTCAAAATGATGATACTTTAGAGGAAAGATATGAGAGAAAGGAAAAGAAGTATAATTATTTAATTCTTGTTTTTCATACTGAGGAGTCAGAAATAAAGGCAAATTATCTAGAGATATGGAAATTACCAGCAGAAGAAACAAAAGTAGGAAAAAATGTGAAAGATTGTCTTTGACAACTGAAATTGGGGATGGGAGAAAATGCAGCAGGAGACTCTCTCACGTTTTGATACAATGAGCATGCACTATCATTAGCATGATTTTTAATGAATAGACTCTGCTTCATTTGCAGGGGTTGGGGATGGCGGTGAGAACAAGTTACAGAATCTCTCATGTTCAACCCAACCAGAGGCTTTGTGGCCCCAGAATATCACCTAGTTGATGTTAAACTTAGTTTGGGCAAAACTCATCAGAGTCAGAGGTTGTGGAGGAAAAATTAAATATTAAATTTGAACTCAGTTGAACGTGGACAAAAACAATGGTCACCAATTCCCAGAACAGGTTGTGTGAGCTCCTTGAGGCATTCATCCAGCACTGTTTCAGAGAAATCTCTATTTCAATATATTCCTATATGTTAGTTATTGAAAAACAACAGGCAATCGCAAAAACAAGTTGACCTTTTTGTGTTGCTGAAGACCAGTCATGAAGGGCTCTCATGACTGGGCCTCATGCCAAACAACTCATTACGAAAAGAGCTAGGGGTCCAGACCACGCCGAAGCTTCATGAGACCTCTCCTTATCTGTTCACGGACGAGTGGCCGACACTGGAGCCCAGGCCGATGCTTCCCAGTCTGGTCATGAATCCTCCTTAGTCTGGTGAGTGAGTAAATATATATATTTACACTCACCTTCTCCCCTTCCCAATGCAATTTGCTTATTATATCAATTTGCTTATTATATCAATTTGCTTACTATATTATTTGCTTATTATATCATTTGCTTATTATATCTGCATTGCCATTTACCTGGGATAAAGGTTGTTTACCCTTAAAGGTATTGTGTGTGTGTCTTTTCTTCTCCCCTCTCACACATTTCCCGCACAGAAAACAGGTCCACGATCATCATCCTAGAGCTTAATTTCTCTAATAGCTTAAATTCAGATGCACACCCCACCCAGCAAATAACACAGAGATAAAAAGACCTTGAGGCCAGCGTAAAAGAATACAAATACTTTTTTCACGTTTTTTACCTTTAATAAAACTAATAATATTGTAACAGCTTCTGCTTTTTGACTTCTCATACTGAGCCAGGCATCTAGCTAAGTGCTTTGTGAAAATTATCTTCACAACAATCCTATTTAAAAGGTATTTTTCCATTTCATAAGTGAGGAAAATGAGGTCTAGAGAGTCACACAACTAGTAAGAGTCACGGGTGAGATTTTGATGTGGGTCTGTCGGACCCTCCAGCTGATGCTCTTACCCAAGCATTCGGTTCCACAGTCCCCCTCTGCAATCCTGAAACCTCCATGGTACTACAAACCCAAAGTCCTTCTTCAGGCATGGAAAAACTTTCACCAGGTAGCCAAGTCTGATCTAAACTGATGTGAGGCTCCTTAGAATCTTTAATGATCTCACTTAGTGGGGATATTTATACTTTTAGTGTATAAATAAGATGCATTTGACTACATGTTGCTCTCCTACATGCCACTGAGGACATTATGTGGTATAGAACAGGGGACCCCAACCCCCAGGCCACAGACCGCTATGGTCTGTGGGCTGTTAGGAACCAGGCCGCACCGCACAGCAGGAGGTGAGCAGCAGGTGAGTGAGCTTTACCTCCTGAGCTCTGCCTCCTGTCAGATCAGCAGCCGCATTAGATTTTCATAGGAGTGGGAACTGTATTGTGAACTACGCATGTGAGGGAACTAGGTTGTGCTCTCCTAAGAGAATCTAATGCCTGATGATCTGAGGTGGAACAGTTTCATCCCAAAACCATCCCCCCTGCCCCACCCCCACCCCACCCAACAGCCCAATGTCCGTGGAAAAATTGTCTTCCACAAAACCATTTCCTGGTGCCAAAAGTTGGAAACTACTGTTATAGACTATATGCAAAGTAGTACTGTCCTAAAACCTGAAATATTCACAATTCCAAGAAACACCTGACTGCAAGGATTTCAGAGAAGAGATCATGGACCCGTAGATACAACTTATTTTAATCTTCTAAAAGTATTTTAGAAATCACTGGATCCAACATTGAAAGACAAACATTTACAGGCATAGAAAATAAAAAGGATTGGCCAAAATATTGATTAATCTATGTGATATAGCTAGAAATTCACTACTCAAAACAGAAAGAGCTTTTATCAACTGTCTGGTTTTCATTTACCTCTTTCTCATAAAACTTGATCTATGAGTGTATTGGGGGAAAAGATTTTTTTTAAGTTTGGACTGCAATTAAATGGGGAAATCTTTGCAAATATATTTGCCTCCTACTTGAAATGGAAAATGTGTCTTCTCACAAAGTTCAAATGAGCAATACAAGCGATTATGACTTTCCTCTGGTCTGGAAGTGACATGCTGATTTTGCTCAAGCCAGGAAGTGTTTATGTTTTGAATTAGCCAATAAAGCAAAGAATGCTAAAAATAAATGTTGAGCTACAACACATTAAAACAATTACACAAGTGCTATTCCTAGTAAACAAACAGACTTCAAGATATTATTTCCTTTCTACATTTTTTTTCCCAGAAAGCACTAACACATAAAAAGTAAACAGGGCAATTTTGTGGGTTGAAATGACACGTCCACATAAATTGCTCAGTGCTATTACCGTTCCTTTGCACTTACCACATTCATTTGTCACATATGGATGTTGGCATTGCCATTGGGCTTCTGGGAACTTAAGTGAACTGTTTCTTTTTTTGAATTTTCATTATGAAAAAAGTTTAACTATATACCAAGTAAAGGAAATAGCACAACAAACCAACATATATCCATCTCCCAGACTCGATGACCATCAGCATTTTCCCATCTTGTTTTTATGCTTTCTCTCTTTCTCTCTTTTCTCCTCTTTCATGCTTTCCCTTCCTTGCTTTTTTTCTTCCTCATAAACTATTTCAAAGCAAATCCAATATATCATGACGTGTTACTCCTAAACACTTCTCGGTTAATTTCTTTTAAAAAGATGTATTTTTACATAACAATAATATTATTAAAACACTTACCAAAAATAACTAAAATCCTTTAATATCATCTAGTACCTAGTCAGTATTCTAATTTTATTCATAATCTCAAAATGTTTTAATAGTTTTCCTATCCTTTTCATACCTCTTACTTGCCAAGCGATTGTTTTATTATTTTGAATCGAAATAATCTGTTTTGTTGAACATATTAAATATTAAAATGAAACAATATATTCCTTATCACATGAGAGCAATGCAATCTCTATTTTGATTAAGTACATGGTCATTGGATTCAGCTTCCAGCTCCTCCACTTAATTGCTGTGTGATCTTAGATAGATAATGTAATTCCCAAGTGCCTAACATTTGTCTTCTGTAAAATAGCAAAATATAAGCACAACCTCATAGGATTGTTGTGTGGGGTGAATGAATCATTGCATATAAATCACTTATTACAATGCCTGCCATAAAGGAAGCCCTAGATGAATTTAGTTTATTATTTTTCTATATTGTGCTTTTTTTTTGTATACACTATGTGCCTACTTTCTGGATTTCTGCAATCTGTATGGCATTTCTAGCAGTTTGAATCTGTGTGTTTATATATTTAAAGAGAGATGCCTATAGTATACGCACTAAAGTGCAGCCAGAGATTCCTGTACCAAACATGAAATTGTACTTAGCTTCTTCTTGGGCAGAACCAACCCCTCTAAACATCCATCAGAATCTGCAGATATCCTTGTCCAATTGTAAAAGCTATCATATATAGACAGAGGGTATCAAATTTGTCCTATACTTGCATCCTTGTTAGGCTAGTACAGTATGGAGAAGGGGAAATGAATTCAGGAGCCTTCAGACAACACATGCTTTCCCTCTGTACCCCAGCTCCCACTTGTTTTACTTTCTTCTTCAATGGATTTCTATTTTCCATTTTCTTATCTTGGCTTCTAATAGACAGTTGCATGATGATTTTGACCTCTCTGGTTATCAGTTTCCTCACCTGCAAAATGGTTCTAATAAAATGTACCTCGTGGGATAGTTGTGAATGTTGTGTGAAACATCACACTTAGGCACCTTTTTCCTTGTAAGTGTTCCTTAATAGTCTCTTTTCCACTTTGAATAAATTAGGATTGCTCTATTTGTTGTAGAAATGATATCTTCTTATCCCTTTTGTTGATTTTTTTCCAATTCTCTCACTCTGCCTCAGACACATTGTTTTCTCTCCCACTCACTTTTTTTTATTTCTTTGCTCTGCTCTGACATTGCCTTTAGGCCTTCAGCCAGTCCAGTGTGCCGTACCCTGACTTAAGAAGGACAAGGTATTAATAGGACCACCATTACTGCAACCTACAAAACTACTACCACTATCCCACCTCGACCAGAAACAATAACAGCAACAAGAATAACTGCTTATACTCATATAGTACTTTACAATCTTACACGGTTTTTCACATCTCATTATATTTAATCCTGCTCACAACCCTGGGAACAGGATATTATCTCCCATTTTATAGTCAAGGTAGCCAAGAAGCAGAGATTCATTTTGAGGGCCCAAAGAAGACATTCTTACCAGTATTCTCAACCAGTTATTAGCCACATCTCGATTAACAATGCAAGATGATGAATTTTAATAAGTTGTTTCTTCCAACTTGAAACTGATATTGAACACCAGGAAGAGCCCATTTGTGGCTGTATGTTAGTTTCTTTTTAATTGTTGGTTAAAATAACTTAACTTTGAAAGAATACTGCACCCTTTAGGAAATCATTTCTGATTTAAACAGATATTGCCACTCCAAATTCTATCGTGGCAGTAGATTTTAAAAGAAGCTATTGCTAAAGTCATCTGAGCATTCTACTTTGGTTCATACAAGGCCCACTCATGGAATGAAAATTAGGGACAGAAGAAAAGAACCATAGTTTGTGTGTGTTAACTTCTCTGTTTCTGTAATGGGGGGTGGAGAAAGAAGAGGGACTGTGGAAAGCAAATGAAATTTCTACCACTGACGATTAGTAAGCAGTTGTCCAAGTATCCATCTTCACTCAAGGAGGGAATCAGTTGAGAAAAGCTACTTACAAGGACTTGACTATAGCAACCCTGAGTCTATAACACTTGCCTGTAATGGCTTTTAAGCTGGTAGCTAATAGAATCCAGGAGTGCTCCTCAAAGATGATAACAGTAAAGTTATTCTTTTTGAAGTTTCAAAGATTTATGACAGATGAATAGAACATGCACTGTTACAGGATGATGAGAAAGATATCTAATTAGGATAACTTGCTTTTTGTACTGTATTCTCTCTAATGTATAACTGTGACACCAGTTATTCTTAGAAGAATCTGCTTAAATTATATAAATCCCCAAAATTATACCTTTTCTAGCTTTACTTTTATATTAAAAAAAAAAAAAACCTCCAGTGGGAAATTTTGGCTATAAGTCATTGTTTAAAATGGCCTTATCAGAAAGTGATTAGGATGAAATAAACTAGCCAAATATTTATAAGATTAATACATATTGATTATCAAATTCAATTTTTTTTTCCATTCTCTTCCCAAAGGTGAGATAGGCCGGGGCATTGTAAAGGAGCATGAAGAATAATAATGTTTGTAATGGCAAAAACTCTGATGGTGCCCTATTTAAAAAAAAAAACAGATTGAGGAAAATATATAAAGGAAAAGGATATGAGAAAGGAAGCAATTAAAACTTTAGCCAAAAAACAGCAGCTGTGGGAGAAATGTGGAAATGGAAGTGAGATTTTAAAATGAAACAAATACCATTTGCATTACTGTTTAATAAGTATTTATTTGTTAGAGATACCAAAGTTCTCTACAAACCACAGAAGCAGACAAAATTCTTGACTAGGAAAAGAAAATTAAAAACCCAAGAGTGCAAATGTGTAGAAACTCATTACTTTGACTATATTAGTTCATAAAATAGGGATAGCTCAAGAGTTGAAGTTTGTTTTTTATCCTCTCTCTGTATTATAACTGCTGTTACAGTTCAACCTGTGCTTTGCATTTTAGCTCTCATCACACTTTATTGAAGTAATTTGCTGACATCTTGCCACCTCCACTGGATTATGCCTGGAAGGCGGGGACTATATTCATTTTGGCATCCTTAGCCCCTGGTAATGCATCCACATCTGTGTCCCAAACTCAGAATGGGCTCAGCCTGGAAAGGTCTCAAATGCCATTTACCACCAGCTCCTCCCTGCTTGCTCCTTTTCCTGTCTTCTCTCTCTAAATTAATGGAGTCACTCTCCAGTGTCTCTCAGTATAGAAATATAATGGCTGTCTTAATTTTTTCCTTTCTTTTGCACCATACATTAAACTAGTCAACAGACAAATCAATTACTTTCTCCCTAAAAATGTCTCTAATCTGACTTTCCCTCTCCATCCTCACTGCCATGCCTGATTTTGCAGTCTCACTTGAAGAGTTTCAACAGCCTCGTAACTGGCTTCCAAGCCACACATTTCTCCCCACTCCTATGTAATCCATCACCAGAAAGATGAAATGAAAAAATTCAGATTATGATATTGAACAAACGAACAAATAATGTAATTCTTTCATTTGTTCATTCAAAGGTTTCCCATCACTAATGAGAAAGTGCAGCCATTTCCCCATGACACCTGGCTGCTCCATGATCCAGTCCCAGCATCTTCCCTCAAGCTCATTTCTCAACCCTCCTCTTCCCACCCACACTCCCCAAAACTAAATTTCTTTTGATCCCTCAAATACTTAACACTTTTATTACCTTATACGTGCCATTCCTTCTTCATAGAATGCATACCTGTTTTATTCAAGGAAAATATCTATTCATTCTTCAAGACTGCGCTGCAATATTTTCTTCCCTGAAAAAAATTTCGCAACCTCCAGACAGAGTTTGCTGCTCCAACTCCACGTTCTCACAGCACATTCTATTAGAGTATTAATCACATGATATCAACATTGCTTGCTCATAGCCTATCCTCCCACCAATGGGTTCTGAGCTTCCTTGAAGGCCAGGACTTTGCTATATCCTTCAACACAATTGGCTCAACACATGTTCTATAAATGCTTGAATTTAAAAAAAGACAATTAAGAAATGAATATAGTATTAGAAAGAATGTTTAAATAACAAGAGAAAAAAATGTTCTCAAGCAGTTTTAAGCACCATTTACATGAATAGAACTATAAACCGTTTTGATCAATATAGCTAAGGTAGATCTCTACACGCCAATAATTTAACAGCATTAAGGTTATGGCATTACTTGATGTGGGAGCCATTACTATTAAGGCAGTAGCTACTCTTTGTTGTTATCATCATTATTTTATTTCACCACACTGGGCCTTATCTTCTAGAATAGGGTTGGCACATGTTTTCTTAAAGGTCAGATAGTAAATTTCTTTCTTTTTTGGGGTGGTTGGAGACAGAGTTTTACTCTGTAACCCAAGTTGGAGTGCAGTGGCACCATCATAGCCCACTGCTGCTTCAACCTCCTGGGCTCAAGCAATCCTCCCACCTTAGCTTCCAAAGTAGCTGAGACCACAGGCATGCACCACCATGCCTAGCTAAGTTTTTTATTTTTAGTAGAGAAGAGGTCTCACTATGTCACCCAGGCTGGTCTCGAACTCCAAGTCTCAAGTGATTCTCCTGCCTCAGCCTCCCAAAGTGCTGAGATTACAGGTATGAGCCAAAGCGCTCAGCCAGATAGTGAATATTTTAAGCACTGTGAACCCAAAGGCAAAATTAAGTCTATTATGTAGTTACTTATATAAAATGTAACCATTTAAAAAACGTGAAAAACATTCTTAGTTAACAGGCATTAAAAACAGAACAACAGCAATAACAAAACAGGTGGCTGGCCAGACATGGCCCACATGCCTTAGTTTGCTGACCCTATTCTAGAACAACACTCTCCAACAGAAATGTAAAGCAAGCCTCCAGTATGAAACCCATATGTAATTTAAAATTTTCTAGTGGTCGACACTTAAAACTAGGGGAAATTAATTTTAATACTATATTTTCTTTAATCCAACATATTTAAAATATTTTCATTACAAAGTGTAATCCATATAAAAATATACATTTTGGGGATTCTAAGTCTTTGAAATCTGGTGTGAGTTTTACCCCTACGGCATGTCTCAATTCAGAGGAGCCAGATTTCAAGTGTTCAGTAGATACATGTGGCTGGTGACTATCAATTTGAACAGTACAGTTCTACAACTATAAAATAAAAAAGTAGGGTGAAATAATACATAAGTTTCCTTTTGCTCAAAATAATACTCAATTGTGAAGCTAATCTAACTTTCTAATAGCTCACCAACGTTCATTTATTCTTTCATTTATTTATGCAAGAGTTTGAGATTGAGTGTTTCATAAGTGTCAGGCACTGTATTAAGCTCCAAGAAAAGGCAGACAGCTTCGGAATGGTTCTGTCTCCAAAAGTTCACCACCTAACATCAGAATAACAATTTATAAGCCTGTAAGAACATAACAGAATAAGAAAGAAAGTAACACAAAGACACACACATGTGGGATTAGGGGACAGGGTGTATGCAACAAAAAGAAAATGGCCAGTTCCATCTAAGAGAGACAGGACAGCATCCCAGAGGTGGTGATGCTTGAGTTCAGTTAGTAGAGTGGTGACAGCTTTCAACTCCTGCAGAGGGGACAGCGTGATGAAAGGCAGGAAGGCATGACACAGCATGGCCCCACCAGGGACCTGCAGGTCATTCTGACTGACCAAACTTTAGGATGCTAGGAAGGAAAGTCACAGCTGCAGAGCCCAGTGAGGAGCCTTGGAAAGCTTTATGAGCAATAATACTAAGAAGTTCGTACTTTACCATGTAGGCTATAGAAAGGTTTACCTGGTGAGAGGCAGTGGTTGGTATGATCAGCTTTGCATTTTGAAAAGATGATTTGGTTGTAATGTGGATCCTGAGTTGAAGGGACAGACACAGGGGACATAGAAGACAAGTTGAGATTTCATTGTAAAATCCTAGACAAGGGATGATGAAGGACAAAACCAGGACAGAAACAAAGGAGGATACAGGCACAGAGCATGGCAAAGGCAACAAGCAGCTATGCAGTGAGTGGAGGAAAAGAGGCAGAGAACCAGGTTTCTGACCCACATAACTGGAAAGATAACTGGGCTTCTACTGGCCATGACAGGAAAGACAGGAGAAGGCCCTTCAAAGAGAAAAAAAAGTCTCTTCTAGAAGGTTCCAGAGAGACCCATCTTTTACAGAATGCTTCTCTATAGCAAGTCTGCCCTGGGCAAAGAAAGTATAATGGGACCTGATCAGTTTGTCCTTTTAGGAAAAGCTCAGGGAAAGAAAAGAAAGATACTTTTTTAAGGTGCTAAGGTGAGTTTCGAGCCCTACATTGGAACAATCATACCAGTGTATCGTCTGATGCTTGTTTTCTGACAGAGCATCTTGAGTTCATGATCTAATGTTCCTGAATTCACCACAAAGTCCCCACAGAAAACTGAATTTGCCTGAACTGCAAACTCAATGATCTTTTTTAATGCTTTGACGACGGAAATATATCCCGTTTCTCTTTGCCTCAAGCACTCATTAGTTGTTATCTGGTCAGTCTGTCTGACCACACATTTCAGTCTCTTATCATCATAGATTTCACCATCATAATTAACTGCCTTGCTGTGCAGCTCCAGTTGTTACATCCTCCTTTAACTTTGTCCAAGGCAAGCTGAAAGAGGCAAGATTTCTTACCTAGATGAATCCTTTTATTAGGGAACAAAATTCTTACCAGAGAGCCTCCCCACCCAGCAGCCTTCTTCTTATGACTCACTGAGTGGAACTGAGTCACATGTCTACCCTTAAACCACCAGCAAAGGGCAATAGGATTACCATGCCCTTACCTAGACCAAAAATGTCTCATTCCATGGGACAGTGTTGGGAGGGATGGAGGAGGGCAGAGAAGAAGGCCACTTTTCCTTTTCATGTGTTACCAAAATAATAATAATCAGTATATTGTTGCTGTAACAAATTACCACAAATTAGTGGCTTAAAACAACACAAATTTATTGTCTTATTTTCTGGGGGTCAGAAGTTCAAAAAGGGTTTCACTGGCTGAGATCAAGGCATCAGCAAGGCTGCAAGGCCCTCTGAAGGCTCTAGAGCAAAATCTGTTTCCTTATCTTTTCCATCTTCTAGAGGGCACCAGCATTCCTTGGCTTGCGGTCCCATCCTCTATCTTCAAAGGCAGCAATCTAGCATCTTTCTCTATCTCCTTCATCACCTTCTTTCTTCATCTCCCTTATAAGGACTCTTATGATTACACTGGGCCCAACCAGATAATCCAGGGTAATCTTCCCATCTCAAAATCTTTAACTTCACCACATCTACAAAAGTCTCTTTTCCCATGTAACATAACATATTCGCATGTTTCAGGGATTTGGATGTGGATACCTTTGGAGGGCCATTATTCAGCCTACCACAGTTAGGTTTCTATAACCCAAGAACAATAAATGATTGTCTTGATAGCAATCACTTAGTGTCTTATCATTTGTCAAGCCCTGAACTGGGCACTTTACACGGTTATCCAATGAAAGATTAACACTAAAACTGTGGAAGAGGTAGTCTACCCATCTTACACATGAGGAGAAAGATATCCATAGTGTCTTTGTTCATGGAGCCAGTAATCAGCCTCAATTCAAACCCAAGTCCACCTATCTCCTTAGCCCGTGCTCTCCTGTGCTCTTTTCTGCTTGGAAAAATCCACTAGAAGCCAAGGCAGGTATTATGAATACCCAAAGTTTAGTGATTTCTTCAAGTGCACACCTTATCAGTGGCAAATATATATATCTAGACCCTATATTTCTGAATTCCCAGTGAAATGCACAATGTCACATTTTTTAAAGGAAAGCTAAAAATTTAATTTCAATTTACTTCTGAGGACTTATCCCTACAGGATAGTCAACCCATACCCCCTATTTCCATTTCCTGCCTATGCCTTTCAAAGTCATTAAAGCAAAGATTTTTAGAAAATGAACATCTTAACATAGTGTTAGCCATAATAAGTTGGTTTATTGTTTCATTTCCCTTTTGTTTTAAAGTTCCACAATAGTCTTTAGTTGCATTTAAATAATTGTAATAGGTTATCTCTCTGGAAAGAATGCTATCTACTCAGAGGTGGACACACAATAAAAAATAAAAATAATGTCTGTGGTAAACAAAGTGTTAAAAATGAGTTTTTATATTTTTGAAAGTTGGCAAGATTCATGCATGGGTTTTAACACATATAATAAGTAGCTGTGTTAATATATTAGGGGGCGTTCGGGTGCAGTGGCTCATGCCTTTGGGAGGCTGAGGCGGGTGGATCATGAGGTCAGGAATTCAAGAACAGCCTGGCCAAGATGGTGAAAACCCGTCTCTACTAAAAATGCAAAGCCAGGCATGGTGGTAGGCACCTGTAATCCCAGCTACTCGGGAGGCTGAGGCAGAGAATTGCTTGAACCTGGGAGGCAGAGGCTGCAGTGAGCCAAGATCATGCCACTGCACTCCAGCCTGGGTGACAGAGTGAGACTTCATCTCAAAAAATAAAAAATAATAATAATAAATATATGTGTGTGTGTGTGTGTATATATATATATATGAGGGGACAAGGACCTAACACCCTAACAGCACCCTAGCTAGCACCCTAACAGCACATATATGCTGAAAGGCAGGAGGAAGATGGGGCAGAGAGATTATCTTTGATTTTCATACGAAATAAACTCCTAAGAAGACACGCTAACACCAAACAGAAAAGTTGAACAATATCTTACATATTACAATGGAGCTAGCTTTTCCAAGAAAGCTCTAATGTAAAGTAAAATCTCTAATTATACTTGGCCTTTTAGGCCATCTTCAACAGCATATTCCCAACTTATTCTTCACTGTTTTCCTCTTTCTTTACAATTAAACACGACAGTCAACTCTTAGGATTGATGGGTGTCCAACTGAAGTTTTAAAATTAAACACTCCAAGGGCCTCAATCATTGTTTCAATAGTTTCATCACTAGTATCAACACTTTGGTTTTTCTGTTTTACATTCACATTTAAATGTTAAGGATGAAATACAAAGCAATATTTATATAAATAGTTACAGAGGCAAACACTGCTATTCAGCCAACACTGAGCTGCTGGCTGACAAGCAAGAGCAATAGCCAGTGGACGTGACTTTAAATTTAGCATAAGAAAGGCAGTTTGGGTGTATTATTGTGTAGTATATGAAAAACAATTAAAATATCAAACAAAAGAGAAGGAATGCCTATAGCCCTGTTTTCGAATGTTAAGGTCCCAACATCTCAACTGGTTCATAGAATGGTTTCATGTGTGTGTGATGGGTGGGGGAGGAGGGTATGTGGGATGGGGGAGGGTTTGTCTGTCTATCCGTATCTCTGGAAAGTAAGTTTGGTTTTTTGTGTCAAGTTCAGACAATTCTTCAATTAAAATGCTCCCAGCACAATGCAGGTCCAACAATCTCTCATCCTTTTTCAGTTTCTCCATCAGTCCCTGTCCCTCCTTTCTCCCTCCAGAGTCAGACCTGAGGACCCAGCCAGCTTCAGGTGCAGTGGATATGTGGCATCCAGCACAAGCCTTCCCTGCAGCCGTCAGTGCTGCTGTTTTCCAGATGTGCGCCCATTCACTGCGTGCCAGTGCTGCTGCTGCAAATTTGGAAGTTTACACGTGCATCACGAAGTAAAAATGACTAGGAAGCTCCAACACAAGCCATTACATAAAAGCTGAAATTTTGACTATTCACTGATTTTTCTTTCAAAAGTATTGATGAAGAAAATTCCCTTACAACCAGAGCCGCATTCAATATTGGAAAGAAACTTGTGGATAATGCTTAGGCATTTGAGAAAGTCAGAAGGTTCTTATTAAAATAAACACTGTGTAATAAACTTTAATGGTCTCCAGAGGTTCATAATGCCAAAGAATAATACATAAAAAATGCTGATTTAATAAGAGTACTTATAAACTCCTCATAAATCATTTATTGCAAAGCATAATTTTGAATTATTCAAAAGATACTAAAACCATGATGAATTATAACTCATGCTGAACTAAGCCTTATGTTTCCAGTATCAAACAAATAGATAAATTAATGTCCTTAATTAGCAGCTGATGAGGAGAAATCATGCGTAGCTTTAAAAGAATCCTATAACGTCTGTGAAATTTCCAAGTCTGCTGGCTAAAATAAGCTTTTCCCTTTCACAACTTTTTTTTTCTGGATTTCCCCTGCAAGCTGTCAACCCCATATATTATGCAGAACCGTGTGGATGCCCATCACAGGAAACTGCTGTCTGACAAAGGTATTTTCAATCAGTAATGATTACTGTATCTGTCAAGCAGACAGTTAAAGTAATATAATAAAACCAAGAAAATCTGACGCTTCCCCATATGTCTGGGTAACCAGTATTCTTCCTCTCACACATGCACCAAACAGATGCACTCTATTTGTTAGCAGAATACAAAATAAAACATAACAAAGCCTATTTTCTCCAATTTGCATAAGCAGCACCCATGTGGGAGGGGGAAGTTGGAATTAAAGACTCCAGGCTTCTTTCAATTGTATCTTCTAGTTGTCAAAATCTGAAAAGGTATAATCACTCTGACAAGAAAGAGTCATCGGTTTCTATGGCAATATTGAGAAGGGAGCACCAAAGATAGGCCAAAGGAGGTAGGAAAGGGGTCAAGATTATTACTACAATTCCCTTCCTTGCTACATCTTGTTATTTTCGACAGTTGGATTGAAAAAATCCAATTTTAGCACTTTTCTTGATGTTCATGGGTGAGTGTCAAACTGCACCTTATGGAAGAGAATGTCTGAGAGGAAAGGAGTAGGAAGGAAATTCTCCTCATGGAATCAGACCACTGAGATCTAAATTGACAGGCAAGCTTCAGGACTTTCACTGACATCCCCAAAGTAAGGCAAACCTCACACTTGAAATCAAAGCCCTTCAGTGAAAATGAGTGGGACGGGATGGCGGAGCATTTTGATTGTCTTTTGAAACAGGTTTTTCAAGCGTGGGCAAGATCGAGCAGCAATCTACCAACTCCCTGAACATCCAGACCTTATCCCAGATATTTCATTGTCTGCCATTTAGTTTGTTCTGGAGTTACAGCATTTGGAAACTGTGAATCTGGAAAAGTTCCCGATATGTGTACTACCCATGGCCTAAGGCCTCTTCCTGTAAGAAGTGGCTGCCAAAGACCAGCCTTTCACCTTTGTTTCCCTTTCCTTATACTCAATAATGAGTATTAAGAATACCTATCTTTTTTTTTTCTGACTATTGCCATTATCTAATGGAAGAACTGGGCAGGAGTTACTGGAACAGGTCATGCTGACAGGAGCTGACCTAAAACCGAACCTGGCTGTTAAGGTGAGACAGACACCAGAAAAGCCAAAGTCTGGGCGTGTTTGGGTTGAGCGGAGGCTGCCCATGTGACAATACCACAGGGCACAGTCCAACAGGGTGAAGGCAAAAGTAAGTATTAGGATGGAACAGTGCATGGTAACAGGGTCTTCCAACAACCACCACTGAGTATATTGGGAAACAATACAGGAATATTAGTCAACGCACATTTTTTTTTTTTTTTGAGACAGAGTCTTGCTTTGTCGCCCAGGCTGGAGTGCAGTGGCACAATCTCAGCTCACTGATTTCTGCCTCCCAGTTTCATGTGATCCTCCCACCTCAGCCTCCCAAGTAGCTGAGATTACAAGCATGTGCCACCACACCTAGCTAATTTTTGTATTTTTAGTACAGACGGGTTTCACCATGTTGGCCAGGCTGGTCTCAAACCCCTGACCGCAAGTGATCCACCACCTTGCCCTCCCAAAATGCTGGGATTACAGGCATGAGCCACCGTGCCCGGCCTAGTCAATACACTTTTATTAGGCACCTATTATGTGCCAGGCACTGTGCCATCCATTAGGAATCATGAACCAACTAGAAGGTGTCTCTTCTCTAGGAGACTTTGCATCTAGCAGGGATGTGGGTTGTGATAGAGAAAGTACCATCTGTCTAAGGAGGATCTAGTAAAGGTCCCTAATCTAAGCTGGGAGAATAGGAAAGACTTCCTAGAAGCAATGCCACTCCAGTCAACCTAAAGGATCAATAGGAGCCAGCCAACTGAGGAAGGGAAGAATGAGGATCCCAGGCTGAGGGATTTTCCAAGGTCTTAAGAAAAGAAGGTCCATGGTATTTGATGAACTGAAAGAAGTCCACTGTCTTACAATTTAAATTACTTGGAATGGAGGAGATGGGAAGTTGTTGGAAAGAAGTAAAAGATAAGGGCAAACTCCTGAAGGTTCTCTAAGTCAGGTAAAGACTTCATCTAAGGGCCAAGAGAAGTTATTTAGGGATACGAGCAGAGGAAAAGCATGATCTGATTGGCACCCTTGAGCATCACTGGCTTTGGAGTAGAGGATGCATTTAAGGATAACTTAACTCAAGGCTTCAGGATGCTGCTGAAGTTGTCCAGGCAAATGAAGTTGGTGATGTGGACTAGGGCAGTGACAGTGGAGGTAGACAGAATTGGAAGAGTCCAGAGCCATTTAAGAAGTAAGTTTAACACGTTAGGGCATGGCAGCTGATTAGACTGGGAACGTGGGAGAGGA
The DNA here is from genome assembly GCF_000001405.40 of Homo sapiens. NCBI lineage: Eukaryota > Metazoa > Chordata > Mammalia > Primates > Hominidae > Homo > Homo sapiens. The sequence goes on along the minus strand of NC_000001.11, from coordinate 214,844,828 downwards.
AAGAAAGAACTAAGGATGGAGTCTAGGTTTGCTACTTCAGCTACAGGATACGGAAGAGGGATGTTTGAATAATTGTTAAGCAGTCTTCATTACGGGTTCACCCTGTGTGCAGGTAGTGGGACTCATTAGATTCAGAAATAAAACCTCAGATCTGGAAGGGGAATGGTAGAAGGAAGATAAGCCCCACACCACCCTCTGTCCTTTCCTTTGGGCTATAACTTTCGCATTTGCTCTCCAACGCACACCACCCAAGTTTCATCAGCAGAGGGGATTGACAGCTTGTGCCTCAGATCTGTAAACAGATCCCTGCTTTTCCCCTAACCACTAACCCGCTAATCTGTCTTGTAACCTGACACATTGGGCAGTTGAAAGTTAATCAGTTAAGGCAGAATAATATTTCACTGTGGTATATATGTACGTAGATATATGTACACATGCTCCTTGACTTACAGTGGGGTTATATTCTGATAAACCCACTGTAACCTGAAAATAAAATAAGTCCAAAATGCATTTAATACCCCAATAAACTCATCATAAAGTCAAAAAATATAAAAGTTGGGGACTGTGTGTGTGTGCGTGTGTGTGTGTGTTTCACATTTTCTTTATCCACTAGTCTGTCGACAGACACATTGTTTCTGCATCTTGGCTATTGTACATAATTCTTCAATAAACATAAATATGCAGATACGGATTTCAATTCCTTTGGATACATACCCAGAAGTGGGATTGCTGGATCATATAGTAGTAGTTCTATTTTCAGTTTTTTTGAGGATGCTACATACTGTTTTTCATAATGGTTTCACCAATTTGCAGTCTCACCAAAGGTATACAAGGGTTCCCTTTTCTTCACATCCTGGCCAACACTTGTTATCATTTGACTTTATGATAATAGCCATCTTAAGGTGTTACTTAAATGTTCTCACCACATAAAAATAAAAGGTAACTGTATGAGATAGTGGATATATTAATAGCTCGATTGTGGTAATCACTTCACGATGTATATGTATATCAAAGCACCACATTGTACACCTTAAGTATATACAATTTGCATTTGTCAATTATACCTCAATAAAGCTATGGGATGTGGGGGTATTGGAGTTAATCAGTTAACATTTGTAAAAAAATTTTACCTCTCTGGTGAGACATTCTCCACTAGTTAAAATTGTTACCTTTATCTGATCCAAGACACTCCAGCTTTTTCAATTTCATACACAATTCTGAAAAATGAGACATTTCTTGGTAGTGACCCAGAAAAACTAGCTGAGGGTTATAGCTAAACCATGATAAAACACCTTACTGAGATGACAAACAAAAGATTAGGAAAGTACAGCTCCTTTTAGTCACTCATCCATTCATTTGTTCATTCCATTCACATTTGTTGTCATTCAACAAATGTTTTATAAACTCCTCTAAATGTTCTAGGCTGTGTAAGACACAGCAATGAACAAGACAAGTTATCTGCCCTCACAGTGTGTATATTGTGAGAAAAATAATAAATAAGTACTAATTCTAGGAAGTGCTACAAAGAAAATAAATGGGGTGAGGAGCAGAGTACCTAAGGAGGGCCCTTTTAGATGGAGTGGTCAGGGAAGACCTGCCTTCTATCTGAGAATGGGACAGCCACTCAATGAGCTGGAGAAAGAGCATTCCAGGCAGATGGAACAGCAACAGCAAAGGCTGGGAGTGGGGAAGGGCTTTGCATGTGGAGGAACAGAAAGTTTGTCCACGAATGTTAAAGGAAAATAGGCAAATGTTTTAGATTGCAAGTGGAGAAGTGGGCAGAAGCCCTGTGACTCAAGACCGCATAAGCCATGATAAAATGTTGGGTTTTATGAAAACCAAAACCACAGTGAGATGTCATCTCACATCTATTCCCCCTTAGGATGGCTGCTATTTAAAAAAAAAAAAAAAAAAAGTAACAATTGTTGAAAAGGAGGTGAAATAATGGGAACCCTTTTATACTGTTGGTGGAAATGTAAATTGGTACAGACACTATATGGAGGTTCTCAAAAAACTAAAAATAGAACCACCATTTGATCCAACAATGTCACCCTGGATATATATCCAAAGGAGAGGAAACCAATATATGGAAGAGATATCTGTACCCCCATGCTCATTGCAGCATTATTTACAAGAGCCAAGACATGGAGGCAGCCTAAATGTCCTTCAACAAATGAACAAAGAAAATGTAATATATACATACAATGGAATACTATCAGCCTTTAAAAAGGGAATCCTGCCATTTGCAACAATACGGAAGAAACTGGAAGACATTTTATTAAGTGAAATAAGCCAGCCACTGAAGGACAAATACTACATAATGCCACTTCTATAAGGACTCTGAAAGAGTCAAACGCATAGGAGCAGAGTAGGATGGTGGTTGCCAGGGGCTGGGGGGAAGGGGAAACAGGGAGGTATTAGTCAAAGGGTATGAAGTTTTGGTCACATAAGATGAATAAGTTCTGAAGATCTACTGCATGGCATAGTGCCCACAGATACTAATATTATATTGTATACTTAAAATTTTGCTAAAAGGGTAGATCTTATGTTGTGTTCTTATCATAAAATAATAAGAGCAATGAGTAATGAGGGCAGGAGAAAAGTTCTGGAGGAATGGACAAGTTTATGGCATGGATCATGGTGATGGTTTCATGGATGTATACTTACCTCCAAAGTCATCAAGTTGTAGACAGCCTTTGGTATGCCAATAATACCTCAATAGCATGGTTTTTGTCAAAGGAATGTTGAGTTTTATTCTAAGTACAAAGGAAATCACTGGATGTGTTAAGCAGGGAGTGACAAAATCTGGCATATTAGTTATAAGAAAATCACTCTGGCCACCCTGTGGGAAACAGACTAGAGAAGAAGCAAGAAACTACAGTTGAGAAGGGGCTGCAGGAGCCCTAGTGAGACGTAGAGAAAGGAGTTGTGTCTAAGTAGAGATGAAGAAAAAAAATCAACAGCCTTGAGAAAAATTGTGGGGAGAGGAAGAATTGGGCACAAAGGAGATTCTCTACTCTGTGCAAGGCACACACTTTGTCTTGTCTTTTCTATAAACACTTCCCATTTCATCTCAACAGAGGGCTTATGGAAACTATTTTTATGTGGAATCACAATTTAGCAAATATTGTTGGATTTAATTTGACTTAAGCCTATTTCTATTATTCTGGCCTGTGTGTCAGGTGTATTTCAGGTCACAAAGGAAGGGTTCTGTACCCAGCCATAACACTGGTGGGCAGGTTTTAGATGGTTTTGCCCCTCTTACCTTTTTATTCCTCAACTCCACCCTCCTGGAAATCTCTGCACTTGCAAAGCTGGAAAAGATGACTGTTAGGGGCCAGAGTACCATTACTGCCCATCAGGGCAAGGAACTGCTTTAAAAATAGAGTATTGAACCATTTAGGTGTGGGCTCTGGCTGGCTTGAGAATAATCAAGAAGGGCTTTGGGACCCTTCTAATCCTTTACTTCCCCTGTTCCTCTTAATCTCTACTTCAGAGTACACTAAAAAAGACACCACTAGTTTAGCATTGCCTTCCATATACTAACTTTGAATGCCATGAAGTCATTTGTACACAAGGGCATCATCACAAATGTTATAGGCTCACCTACATGGATAACACAGCATCTATCTTAGCCTCTGACTAAGAAAGCCTCTCTAGGAAAAACATATTGATTGACCTCCACTTCACCTTCCTTCCCAAATAAACCTACTCTTTTACCCCTTTAAAATTTGCACTTGTTCTTGGGATAATTGGCTAGTCATATGCAGAAAAATAAAACTGGATCCCTACCCTACCCTTCATCATATAGAAAAATTAACTCAAGATGGATTAAGACTTAATGTAAGACTAAAACTATAAAAAATCCTAGAAGAAAGCCAAGGAAATACCTTTCTAGATATTGGCCTTCACAAAGATCTTACGATTCAGTCCTCAAAAGCAATTGCAACAGAAACAAAAATGGATAAGTGAGACCTAATTCAACTAAAGAGCTTCTGCACAGCAAAAGGAACTACCAACGGAATAAACAGACACCCTGCCGAATGGGAGAAAATATGCACAAACTGTTCATCCGACATAGGTCTAATATCCAGAATCCATAAGGAACTTAAGCAGTGTAACAAGCAAAAAACAAACAACCACATTAAAAAGTGAGCAAAGGACATAAACAACCTCAAAGGAACACATACATGTGGCCAACAAACATATGAAAAAACGTTCCACATCACTAATCATTAAAGAAGTGCAAATCAAAACCACAATGAGATCACCATCTCACAGCAGTCAGAATGGCTATTATTTAAAAGTTACAAAATAACAGATGCTGCTGAGGCTGCAGAGAAACGGGAAAGCTTATTCACTGTTGGTGGAAACAAAATATTTCAGCCACTGTGGAAAGCAGTTTGGAGATTTCTCAAAGAACTTAGGCTACCATTCCCCCCAGCAATCCCATTACTAGGCATATACCTAAAGGAAAATAAATCATTCTACCAAAAGACACATGCACTTGTATGTTCATCATTGCACTATTAAGAATAGCAAAGACATGGAATCAACCTAGATGCCCATCAACGATGAACTGGATTAAAGAAAATGTGGTACATATACATCATGGAATACTACACCTCCACAAAAAGGAATAAAATCATGTCCTATGCAGTAACATGGATGCAGTTGGAGGAGGAGGAGGCCATTATCCTAAGTGAATTAATGCAGAAACAGAAAACTAAATGCCATATGTTCTCACTTACGAGTAAGAGCTAAACATTGAGTACAAATGGACATAAAGACGGGAATAGACACTGGGGTCTACCAGATGGGTGAGGGAGGGAGTGGGAAAAGGGTTGAAAAACTACCTATTGAGTACTATGCTCACTACCTGGATGACAGGATTATTTGTAACCCAGACCTCAGCATTATGCCATATACTCATGTAACAAACCTGCACATGTATCCCTGAACCTAAAATAAAAGTTGAAATTTTTAAAAAGTTTCCACCCCATGAGGGCACAAAGTCGGCTGCATGTGGTTCACACTTTTGGTGTTGCCTTCCATTAAACCACAGCTCTCACCTCTGTCCTGCAGAGAGATCCAGAGCAGCTTAGGGCAAAGAAGGGACTTACTTGGTGGATGATTATTCTGTGTGTGAATTCAAGAGTAGGACTTTCTTAGCATGTCCCTAAAAAGAAAATTCATGGGCAGTAATTGGTGACAGGGAAAGAGACTCCGCAGGGCTGGCCATCTGGTGACCTGAGCCGGCTGCAGCTTTATTCCATTCAGATGCCACTGCTCTTCCTCCTTTTGTAGGATTTCAGCTGTCTCATTAGATTGCTCCTCGCCACTAAATATTCCTTCCAAATCATTTTCATTTCTAATAATAAAACTCATCTAGGATTTCAAAACTATTTTTATATTAAAACTTTAAAATCATGTTTCTCGGTTTAAAGAGATTTCGGGGGCGGGGAGGGGAACTTCCTGATATTTCATCCCTATGTTATCCCCATAACAACTGCTCTGGTGAAATTCATCTGGCATATTAACATTTATATACCAGGAAGAAAAGAAGCTTAACATATGGCTTATCTCTCTGTCAGTTCTGACCCTCTTCAAATGTTTTCAGTAGGAGATATTAAGATGGAAAAAAAATACACCAAAATCCAATTTCTCAGACTATCCTGCTCCCTACGTTGCCTTCCTAACACAAGCACTTCCTTTAAAAATGGGGCCAGGCACAGTGGTTCACATCTGTAATCCCAGCACTTTGGGAGGTTGAGTTGGAAGGATCGCCAGAGTTTGGGATTTTGAGACCAGCCCGGGCAACATAGCAAGACCCTGTCTCTACAAAGGATAAAAAGTAAAAAATTAGCCAGGCATGGTGGCACATAACTGTAGTCCCACCTATTCAAGGGAATGAGGTGGACAGATAACTTGAGTCCAGGAGTTTGAAGCTGCAGTATGCAGTGATCATGCCACTGTGCCACAGCCTGAGAGACAGAGTAAGAGCCTGTCTCAAAAAATTTTTTTAAAAATTAAAAAATTAAAAATAAATGGGAACTAGGCTATTTATAAAGGGGAATTAAGTTATCTTTCTCCTGAACCACACCACTAAACTTCAGGAATCAAGATGATTTCATTTTCCCACTTTGGGTTGTTTTTCTGGCAGAAGGGACAGATTTACATGAATTATTTTCCCAGTCTTTTTTTCAGATTTTACATTTTTTACATACTTTAAAATTTACTCCTGTGAATGTACAGTTCTGTGGGTTTTCAGAAATGCACACAGATGTACATCCACCACAATCATGGTACAGAAGTTTTATTGCCCCTCCAAAATGCTCTCATGCTGTCCCTTTAGGGTCAGCCCCTCCCTCTCCCTTACTCCCACGCTTCTCTGTTCTGTCCCTATTGCTTTGCCTTTTTTAGAAAGTCATAGAAACGAAATGATGCAGTATATAGCCTTTTAGGCCCGGCTTTTCACTTAGCAAAATGCATGTGGGATTCATGCAAGTTGCTGACCATATCAGTATTTTGTTCTTCTGTATTGCTGAACAGTATTGCATGGACACACCACAGTTTGTCAATCTGTTCACCCAAGGACATTAGGGTTGTTTTCAGTCTTTGGAGATTACATATAAGGCTTCTATAAACACTTGTATACAGATTTTTATATGAACATAAATTTGTGTTTCTCTTGGGCAAAGAGAAAGTGGTATAGTTAAATCATTCAGTAAGATTAGGTTAAACTTTATAAAAAACCTTAAAAGTTCTCAAGGGAGTTGTAATATTTTGCATTCTCACCTGCAGTGCATGAGAGTGCCTGTTGCCTCCCATCTTCATCAGCACTTAGCACTGTCATTTTTCTTAAATGTTAGCCATTCTGATAGATGTGAGGAGGTAAATCATTGTGCTTTTAAACTGTATTTTCCTAATAATGTCTCCTTCAATTCCAGCCATTATTCTTATCCTTTAGGCAGGAAAGAGGGAAAGACATTGGGCAGATGGCATATGCTAGCAGAGGCAGCACTCTTTTTAAGTAGCATTCCTGAAAACCCCTCACAACAACTTCTGATTGCATATCATCGGCCAGAACTATTATACTCACAAGGCCTTCCTGCATGCAAGAAAGACTGAGAAAAGTATTTTTTAACTGAGTATATCAGCACCTCATTGAAATCAGGAATCTCTAAGTAAGAAAGCAGAATGGGCATGGAGTTGGCATCATGCAGACCCTCTTGTCACACTGGTGTCCCTGCTTCCCTCCCATGTTTCTGTACAATTTATTCTTCACTTGCAGCCAGAGTGATCCCTATAAAAATTCATCACATCATGTCACTTTCGTGCTCAAAATAATTCAATGCTTCCCAACTCCCCTGCAGTAAACTCAAACTCCCCTGCAGTAAACTCAAAGTCCTTACAATTGTCAGTAAGGCCTTTCTTGATCTGTGCCCATACTCACATTTTGGAATGTACCTCCTACCAACCTTCCCCTTGATCACTAAGTTGCAGCCACACGTCTGTTCTTCCTCTTCCATGAATAAACCAAGCATACTCTGACTTCTGGGTCTTCTGGGTCTCACTACTCACTTTGCCTGGATAGTTCTTCTTTCAAAGAGGCTCATTGCTTTACTTTCAATTCCCACAAGGTTGCACACATATGCCCCTGCATCAGAAAGACTTTCCCTCCTCTATAAAAAGTATCTTATATAAAATAGAACTTCCAGCCCCTGCCATACACTGTTTATGTTATTCTTAGCACTTAACATATCACATTCTTTTATTTGTTAATATATTGTGCCCTTTAGAATATAAGAGAGCAGGAACTTTGTTTTGTTCACTATTGTATCTAGAACGTGGCCTGACAGTCAACAGACATTTGCGACCTGAATGAATGAAGAGAGGAGGGTCTTTACAGAGAACTCATAGAAAGAAAGAGTGCTGCGATATTCCTTCTTCCCTTTCTGCAGGTTCTTTTTTCTCCATTTCCCAGCTGGGTGAGGAAGACTCCAAGAGAACCAATCATAGAGCTTTGGGTTTTGCAAAAGGAGGGTCTGACAACACATCCCTGGTTGCATGTTTGCTGAAATAGATAATCCTAAGAAGACTTAGGTGGGGTTTCCTGAAATTGAGGGCATGGAAATAGAGGAAAGGGGTAGGATTATGGAGGGGAAGGGAGGCAGGAGTCTTCCTGTCAGCCTAGTAGACACCATGAAGGTAGCCAGGCGAGGGCCATCTTGAAAAGGTCCCACCCAAGTGCTTTCCAGGGTGTATTAGTCTGCTAGGGGTGCCATAACAAAGCGCCACAGATTGGGTGGCTTAAATAATAGAAACTTATTTTCTCATAATCCTGGAGGCTGCATGTTCAAGATCATGATGTTAGCAGGGTTGGTTTATTCTGAGGCAGCTCTCCTTGGCTTCTTGACAGCCAACTCCCTGTCTTCAAACGGTCTTCCCTCTGTGCATGTCTGCATCCTGATCTCCCCTTCTTATAAGGACATCAGTCATATTGGATTGGGGCCTACCCTAATGACCTCATTTTAGTTTAATCATGTCTTGGAAAGATGCTATCTCCAGACATAATCACATTTGGAGGTACTAGAAATTAGGGCTTTAAAATATGAATTTGGGTGGGGGGTGGAGTGGACACAATTAAGCCCACAACACAAGACTAGGACTTCCCTGTAGAAAGAACCTGAGTAGGGCACAAGAGCACAAGAGCTGGGGGCATATTAAGAGGCCTGCAAGAGAGATCACCAAGCCTGGAATGGCACAATGCCGAGGTCCCAAAGGGAGGTCTGGAAGAATCCACAGGAAGAGCCTCAGGAGGCAAAAATTTGCAGTTGGACCCCTGGCATTTAAAGGCAAGAGAACTATAATAAGCATGAGTAGCTAAAGAAAAATATCTTCCTCCTCTTCTCTATCCCTTCTTCTGCATGTTTGAACCACTAACCTTAGAGAGTGGGAGGAAGGTGTAGGAAGGAGAGTAAAAGAACAAACCACTGGATCCTTTCCCACTGCTGCTCGCAGAGCCCAGGGAAAGGAGAAAAGATTGAATTACATGAGAGATCAAAGTTTGATTTCTGGATTTGGCCTGCTGTGAACGGGGCTGCTAGGAAGCAAAGCAGGTCAGAAACGCACAGGTCATGGGGTGTCACCAGAGGGTGGCACAAGACTGCTGGGAAGCTGTGTCAGGCCAGACTCCTCAGAAGAACCATGGCTTTCTGGGAGAGGGAGCATTGCCTGCACCATCAAAACTGCTCTCAAAAATTAGGCTCATAGCCCTTCACTCCCCAATCCTTTCACAGTGACTCTTCCAGAAAAGTTCATTTCCCATAATGCACACCCACAAGGCCTTTGTTCCCTGGTCTTCTCATTCTCTGCAATTCATTCTGTAACTCCACACAATTAATTCCCATGGACATACCAGCCCCAAGGCATATCATATTGTATGCAAGATGTTCCAGCCACCAACTTTATCACAAAAACTTGCTCACCCTTTACCCCATCAATCAGGTTTACTTATCCTATAAGCACCCTATAATAGGAGACCGTGTTCAGCAATTTCAAGGTGATACTCTGTCTCTATCTAGTTCCGATGTAGCTGGCAAGGTCTCTGTATCAGTTTGCTAAGGCTGCCATAAAAAAGTACCACAAATGGAGTCAATTAAACACCTGAAATTTATTGTCTCACAGTTCTGGAGGCTGGAAGGTGTCAGCAGTATTGGTTCCCTCTGAGGGCTGTGAGAATCTGTTCCTCTGGTTTCTGCTGGTTTGCTGGCAAGGTCTGGTGCTCCTTGGCTTATAGAAGCATTGCCCTGACCTCTGTCTTCATTTTCACATGGTGTTTCCCTGTTTGCACATCTCTGTGTCCAAAACTCCTTTCTTTATAAGGACACAAGTCATATTGGCATTAGGGCCCACCCTAATGACATCTTAACTTAAATAACTGCATCTGCCAAGACACTACTTTCAAATAAAGTTGCATTCTGAGGTATGGGGGTTTGAACTTCAACTTATGAATTTCGGGGTAGTGAGAAGGGGACACAAGATTCAACCCATTACAGTCTCTCACTGAGGAAAAACATTCACTCTCCAGGAGAGCACCCCACTGGCAGGGAATCTGTGATGATTAATACTGAGTGCCAACTTGATAGGATTAAAGAATGCAAAGTATTGATCCTGGGTATGTCTGTGAGTGTGTTGTCAAAGGAGGCTGACATTTAAGTCAGCAGGCTGGGGAAGGCAGACACACCCTTAATCTGGTGGGCACCATCTAATCCGCTGCCAGCGAATATAAAGCAGGCAGAAAAACGTGAAAAGGCTAGACTGGTCTAGCCTCCCAGCCTACCTCTTTCTCCCGTGCTGGACGCTTCCTGCCCTCAAACTTTGGACTCCAAGTTCTTCAGCTTTGGGACTTGGACTGGCTTCCTTGCTCCTCAGCTTGCAGACAGCCTATTGCAGGACCTTGTGATCATGTGAGTTAATACTACTTAATAAATCCCCTTATATACATATAATATATATATTATATATACTATATTACATAATATATAATTATATACTATATTATATAATGTATATAATTATATATTATATACATTATATAATATGTAATTATATATTATATATGTTATATATTATATAATATATAATTACATATTATATATACTATATTATATATAATATATAATTATATATAATAGATATAATATAATATAATTATATATACTATATAAACTATATATATAGTGTATATATATATACTATATATATAGTATATATAATTATATAGTATATATAATTATATAATATATAATATACCATATATATAATTATTTATTTTATATATATATCCTGTTAGTTCTGCCCCTCTAGAGAACCCTGACTAATACAGCATCCCACACTAACCATGGCTATAATGAAAGAATATGTGAAAACCTGGCAGGAGGCTTCATTCAGGCCAATAATTCACAACTTTGGCAACTAAATAATCAACTCACATAGAATAAGATTGAACATCAGTAACAAGACGCTCCTCTTACCCCAGTCAAATGAGGATCTAATAATAATACTAAATGGTAAAATTAAGAGCTTATTTTAAAAAGTGAAAAGCACCATTTAATATTCACATCAACCTTTGCTAATAAAATAATGTGGTTTCCATTCGTTGAGAGAAAAACACATGTTTTGGAGTTACATTCTTTGAATGGGATGTGAAGATTCATATTGAGATAGAAGGCTGCATATTTCATCTGTTAACTTAGCTGCTGTTGACTCATCTGCACCCAAGAGTGTACACACGGGTATTAAATGTGAGCAGAGCTTTGCTTTGACATCAAAAGTATGTTGGGGGCTTTTATTTGCTTTTGCTTTGTTTGGAAATATTTTTCTTGGACTGTCTTATTTGATTTTCTAGTATCCAGGGAATTTAGAGAAGCCAGAAACACATCAAAAGTTTTTCAGTGCCCTCTATTATCAAATGACATTGGAGAGGGCTTAAAAGAACAGTCCCTTTATGGATATAATGCTTTTATCCAAGGAGCTCAGAGTCTTTTACAGCAGATATTACTTACTTTTATAGAGCTTCAAAGGTACTTAGAGTTAGTCCAAAGCCTGTGAGTAGATCTAGGGGAAAGGTCAAAGAATAAAATATTATGGTTGGATTTTTAGCCCTTAGCCTATACTTCTTAGAAAAATGGTCTCCCTTTATAACATGGTAATCACCACCTGAAATATTATCTGGGCATCTGCCATCTAAATAAAATATAGCCTGATCAACCAAAGGGATTATTTACTTAAACATTATTAAATCCTACTAAGTGTTGCAGACTAATCCTACACAAGGGATGCAGCAATGAGCAAAGTTCTCATGAATTTATACTTTGGAGACAGAGATAGACAATAAGTTAAATTAATAAGTTAGTGTCTTAAGTTGGATAGTCCCCCCAAAATTTCACATCTACCTGGAACCAATGAATGTGACATTATTTGGAAATATTATCTTTGCAGGTGTCATCAAATGAAGATGAGGTCATGCTGGATGATGGTGGGCCCTCAATCCAATATGAGTAGTGTTCATTAAAGAAGAAAAAAAATTGGACCTAAAGATACAGAAAAACAGGAAGAAGACCACATGATGATGGGGGCAGAAATTGGAGTGTGCAGCTCCAAATCAAGGAACACCAAGGATTGCTGCTGCCACCGGAAGCCAGGGGAGAAGCATGGAATGGGTTCTGCCTGAGACCCTCCAGAAGGACCCAATCCTATCATCATCTTGATTTCAGACTTCTGGCCTCCTGAACTACAAAAGAATAAATTTCTGTTGTTTTAAACCACCTGGTTTAAGGTACATTTTTTATGGCAGCCTGAGGAACTAACACAATTTGTGAGTGCTGGTATGTGCTAAAGAGAAAAAAATAAAGCAAGAAAAAAATAGTGAAGTGGGATAGAGAGATTTGGGGAGGGTTGCAGTGTTAGACTGGCCAGAAAAATTTTCCGTGAGAAGATGATATGGACAAGAGACTGAAGAAGGTCAGGGAGTGACACATGACGATACCCAGAGAAAGTAAGTGTTCCAGATGGAAGGAAAGAAGAGCTTGTGCAAAGGCCCTGAGGTGTGAGCATGCCTGAACTGTCAGGGAATGGCCAGGAGGCCAGCATGGCTGGAGTGGAGTGACACACGGGGAGGGTAGGAGAAGGTCAGGGAGGCCATGGACAGCCAGATCACAGAAATGCCATGCGCTGTTTTAACGTCTCTTGCTGTTACTTTGAGTCAGACAGAAAGGAAGACTCAACTCTTGAAGAGTTTGGAGCACAGAAATGGAGCAGAGGACTGACAAGATCTGACCTATATCTTAATAATATCTTCAACTTGTTAGGAATACACTGAATGGAACAGGACTGGAGCAGGTAGAACAATTAGAAAACTGCAATAATCCAGGCGGGAAATGACAGTGACTTGGACCAGGGTGGTAGTGGTAAAGCTGCTTATACGGGGTCAGATTCAGGATTTTCTTTTTGTAGACATGGCCAATAAGACTTATTATGGATCAGATGTGGAATACGAGTAAAAGAGAAGAATTAAATATAGTTTCAAGACGGTTTGTCAGAGGAATTCGAATAATGAACTGGCTATTTACTGAGAGAAAAACATGAGAAGATTAGGTATGGTGAGGGAGTTCAGGAATCATCTCAGGGCATGTTAACTTTCAGATGCCTTTTTTTTTTTTCTTTTTTTGAGACAGAGTCTCGCTCTGTTGCCAGGCTGGAGTGCAGTTATGCAATCTCAGCTCACTGCAACCTCTAACTCCCAGGTTCAAGTGATTCTTGTGCCTCAGCCTCCCAAGAAGCTGGGATTATAGGCATGTGCCATCACACCTGGCTAATTTTTGTATTTTTAGTAGAGACAGGGTTTCACCATGTTGACCAGGCTGGTTTTGAACTTTCGACCTCAGGTGATCCGCCCACCTCAGCCTCCCAAAGTGCTGGGATTACAGGCATAAGCCACCACACCTGGCTCAAATGACAATTAGATATGTAAGTGAGAACACTGTGTAATCAGTTGAGTGTACAAGATGGAGTTAGTTAGGGAGAAGTCTTGGCAGGAGATTCTAATTTAGAAGTTGTTGGACTAGAGATAGTATCACATGTCTGTGTATTTATTATGCCTCTCCACAATGCTTCTTATTCCTCTGTAGAAAGACTGTATAATTTGGCAATGTAGGGAGAATGACCTTGCTTCTGACTCGTGACAGTTCCACACCCTTCTTATGGAAAGAATTATAAAAATGGCTTACCACAATCTGTTCAATGTTTCAGATTGTTATATATATCTATTTTTTATAGCCTTCCCATTTTAAAGAAAAATGTGTTCGGCAATTTACAATGTTCAACACATAATAAAAAAACCATAATTTAAAAAGTAAAATTAGCAATTAGAAAGAGAAGTTAAATAAGTAAGCCAAGCCTCTGTGAGTGGACATTTTTTTTTTTAAGTTCTGTTTATGATGATCACCTTTAGCAAAAGCAAGAAAAGAAGCAGGTATCAGCCTCCACGGGAAATTTCTAAATAATATTTTCATTATTATCTAACTTTTGGAAAAATGTTGAATGCATTATTTTGAATCAATGAATGAAAGGTTTGTACTGATCATGAGATCTAACCACACAATTGTTTTTGATTCCTGGTATTAATTAAATATTGTACCCTAAGAAGATTTAATAACTAAGCCATGACTCCTTTGCAGAGATCCTTGATCAATAACACTAAAGTAAATATATCAATAAGAAGAAAGCCCCTTTTCTGATTTAAGAACACAGAGGCAGGTGGATGAATGATAAACACAGATGGATCTGTGATGATGACCAGAACTCAGGTGGGAACAGGAAAGAGTTTCAGTGCAGAGCGTGAATTCAATGAGTACTGAACCCTCCAGGGAACTGAGACTACTATGACTTTCTTATTCGTATTCAAATGATGATGCTTTGAGGTCTGTCATGTCATCTATAGTTTCTGCTTTAACAAGAAACTGAGTCAAGACATGATCCTGGAGGGGTTCCTTCCTGCCCATCTGCTACTAAACCCAAACAAGAATCCTGAGCTCAGAATATTCTACTTTGGATCCAAGGGCGTGGAGTAGGTAAATTATATCACTCCCTTCTAATTTAAGAATTTAGTGTTGTTTGTTCAGTTAAATTGGGCCTCATATGGGCATCAGTGAAAATGTTCTGATTAGTTCTTTTCCTCCTAATTATTCTAACCAATTCAAAGAAATTACCTAGAACAAATAGTAGGAGTGAGATATTATAACTAAATGCTAAATTTAACTTTGAGCTTCATGGTAACTAAGTTAAAAACAATCATTGGTTGATGCTCCCAAAAAAACTGGCTTTTTAAAGACCCATATATTAGCATGGTGCTATTGACTGAAAAATTGTGTCCCCTCCAACCCCAGAATTTATATGTTGAAATCCTAACCTCCAAGGTGATGCTACTAGGAGGTGTAGCCTTTGGGAGGTGAAGCCTTTGGGAGGTGATTAGGTCATGAGCATCATCCCTTACAAATGGGATTAGTGCCCTTATAAAAGAGATTGAGGAGGGCTCCCTCAACCCTTCCCCAGTGTGAGCTTACAACAAAAAGACAGCCATCTATGAACCAGGAGACAGGCCCTCAGCAGACACCAAATCTGCAGATTCCTTGATCTGGAATTTCCCAGCCTCTAGAACTGTGAGAAATAAATGTTTGTGGTTTAGGCTACCTAGTTTATGATGTTTTGTTATAGCAGCCCAAACAAACTAAGACACATGGAAAAGCATATTTTTTCTAGTGTAAATCTAGAAAATATTTATTAAGTATATTTCAAATTCCAGGGACATTGGATGATAATAGAAAAATGCTTAGTATTGTGCTTTTACAAATGATACACACTGCAAATGATCACTCTAGTATTATCCTTACACAAAATACGCAGCACTGCATAGAAATCAAAAGATATCTTCAAAGAATTAGAGTTCACAAAAACTGAGTTCTGATTATACAACTTAAAAATGGAAAGGACTTAGGAAATGTAAAGGAATTAATAATTAATATATATTTTACACATTCCCTTTAAAGCAGCAGATATTTCAAAAATAAAAGGTTAGAAAGGCAATTTATCATGCCTAGAGTGTTGCTATTTTATAATATTGATTAAAGAGATAATCATAAGACTTAAGCAGGGATTCCAATTTACATTGCCTGCAGAGTCCAGGCAGATAGATGTTTGACTCAGGTAGTGAATAAATAGGAAGTGAAGGGGATTGTGCAAGTTAAGAGTACATAATTTATCATATAAGAGAATCACTACCCAGCTTCAGCCCATTTTTATTTAAAAGAAATACAGACCCATTATTGTAAAATTTATCTGGATTTTCAGGGAAAACTGGTAATATGGAGTTTATGTGAAATTTTGCCATCTTTGATTAAGTTGTTTTAGATCTTAGATGGTAAAAGTTGACATATAAAGGGACTTCCTCTTCTTGTCAGAATGTAGAAAGTGAGAAGAGAATGTCTCTCCCATCTAAGAGGTTGAACGGGCTGGGTAAACACACAAATTTTTCCCCATGTGCAACGCAGAAGCCACCAAAGGCAGGGACAGAGCAAGAGTTGAGAAAAATCTTTCCAAGGCTCACCAGGCTTTTACTAAGTATACTACAACACACTCTCCAAAGCCTAGGGACATCAGCAGAGCAGAGGGAGGTATCATGAGCACAGAAACCTGAAAGTAACTTGTAGAGAAAAGAGAATTCCTCCCCCACTCATCTACAAACCCAAAAATCTGGTAGCAAAGCTATAAAGCATACAAGGAGGTTCATGAATACACAGATCCCAAACCCCACTGAAGACAAAGGGTTGTAAGATTCCATTCAAGTGTCGTAAGATCCTTGTTGTAAGATTCAGTATTACTTCAGCGTAGAACTGAAGTTCAAAGCTCATGTAGCAATCTCTACAGCAATTACTAAAATACTTTAAAAGTTAATAGAAGAAACAAGGTGGAATATTACAAAATTTTTTATTCAGCCAAAAGAAGGCAGAAACAAAGAAATAAAGGAAAGAGAGATGAGGCAAATAGAAAATCAATACCAAGATGTTATACTTAAACCCAAGTATCAATAATTATATTAAATGTAAATGGATTACACATGTCATGTAAAAAGCAGAGATTGTTAAACTAGACCAAAAAAAAGCCTCAATCATTAACTGTTTACAAGAAATACACTCAAAATAGAAATACATAGACTGATTGAAAGGAGAAGGGTGAGAAAACATATACCATGCAAGTACTAAAGGATAGAAAGCTAGTATTAGTGTACTAGTATAAAACAAATTCCTCTAAGATAAACAGTATAATCTGAACTAAAGGCAGACATTTGATAATGATAATATGGTCAATTTATCAAGAATTCAAATCACTCATAAATAAGTATGCACCTAATTATGCAGCAAAAACTCAGAAATCAGAGAAGAAATTGAAATATCTATAATCACAGCTGGAGAAGTTAATATTTCTTCCTCACTAATTGGCAGAAAAAGTAAACCAAAAAATCAGTTAAGAGTATAAAAGATTTAGACCACCATCATCAGCTAACATGACCTAATTTACATTCATAGAAAATACAATACCCCAAAATGAAGAATGCATATTCTTTTAAAGAATACAGGCTGGCCATGGTGGCTCATGCCTGTAATCCCAGCACTTTGAGAAGCCTATGCAGGTAGATCCCTTGAGCTCAGGAGTTCAAAACCAGCCTGAGCAACATAGTGAAACCCTGTCTCACAAATAAAAATAAAAATTAAAAAATTAGATAATAAACAGATAAAATTTAAAAGAATACATGGCACACTTACCAAGAGAGACTGTATTCTGGCCCATAAAACTAGTTGCAATTCATTTATAAAAATTGAAATGATAAAGTATGTTCTCTGGTCACATTGATATTAAATTAGCACTCTAAAACAATAAGATAGCTAAGAACACTCATGACAAACATTTGGAAATTAAATTATGGGCTTCTGAATAATCCAGAGTCAAAGAAAAAATTATAAGAAAAACTGAAAATACTTCAACCTAAATGACAATTAAATCACAACATATGTAAATTTATGGGATTCAATTAATACTAAGCTGAGGAGGTAATGAGGCAGGAGAACAGGTAATGAGGCAGGAGAACAGGAGAACAGTGCAAACTGATTTGCACTGACTTCCTAGAACAGAATCAAAAAGAAAATCCTATCTCTCCATGCCCAAGTAACAAAAGGATCAGAGGCTTCTCCCTTTGCAAAACCCCCTACCCTTTCCATTGCGTTGCAGAAGAAAACTGGAAAGTACCTCTGATTGGCCACCTCCCACAACCAATCAGATTGGTAACGGGCCAAGTCTTTGTATGCATAGGGTGTAACTTTATAACTTCACTTCAGCCTCTGATTGGTCACCTCCCATGACCATTCAGACTGGTCCTGGGACAGTGCTTCATTTACATAGGGTGTAACCAATTAAGCAATGGGAAATCTCTAAAGGGTATTTAAACCACGAAAATTCTATAATTAGCACTCTTGACCACTTGTGCTTGCTCAAGGCTGATCCCACACTGTGGAGTGTACTTTTGTTTCAATAAATCTGTGCTTTTGTTGCTTTGTGCATTTTGTCCAATTCTTTGTTCAAAACGCCAAGAACCTGTATGACTCGTAGTCAAGACCCTTCACCAGTAACAGAAATGCTTAGTGTTGAATTGTTTACATTATTAAAGAATAAAGATGGAAAATCACTGATCCATGCTTCTACCTTAAAATTTGTAAAAGAGGCCAGGCGTGGTGGCTCATACCTGTAACCCGAGCACTTTGGGAGACTGAGGCAGGAGGACTGCTTGAGGCCAGGAGTTTAAGAACAGCCTGGGCAACAAAGTGAGACTCCATCTTCATAAAAAAAAAAGGAAAAATCAAAAGAAATTCCAATGGAATTTACAAAAACAAATTCTATTAGAACTGGCAAGTGAATTTAGTAAGGCTGCAGAATTTAGGTCAATATACAGAAATCAATTGTATTTCTATATGTTAACAAAAAACAATTATAAAGTGTAATTTTAAAACAATACCACATATAATAGCAACACAAAACGCTGAACACATTGGAATGATTCTAGCAAAAGACGCACAAGACCTTTACACGGAAAACTACAAAAATTTCTAAGAGATATTAAAGAGCATTTAAATAAGTGAAAAGATACCTCATGTTCATAAATCGAAGGACTCAACACTCTTTTGTCCATTTGACCCAAGTTGATCTCTTTAATACGTTCTCAAACAAATCCCAGCAGACTGCTTATGAAGAAATTGACAAGCTGAGGAAGAACAAAATTAAAGGATGTATACTACTTCATTCAAAACTAACCATAAAGTAATATTATGACAGTGTGCTATTGCTACATAGATAGACAAATCAATCAGTGTAACAGAATAGAGATTCCAGAAATAGATCTGCACAATATAGGCAGGTGGTTTTCCCCAAAGATGCCAAGGTAATTCATCAGGGGAAACAAAGTCTTTTGTACAAGTGGTAGTGAAAAAACTAGAATCCAAATGAACAAAAATAAATAAACCTCAACTGCTACCTCATCCCATTCAAAAATTAATTTGAAATGGATCATAGGCCTAAACTTAAAAACTAGAGCTATAACACTCTACAGTAGATGAAGATTGCTTAGGTCACAAAAGTAATAGCCATAGAAGTGGAAATTGATAACTTAGATTCCATCAAAATTAAAACCTGCTGCTCATTAAAACCACTACTTACAAAACTAATAGGTAAACCACAGACTAGGAAAAATATATATTGGTTAAAAATCTGTTTTTAAAAATCTGGCATCCTTTATATAGATACACAAAGAATTCCTACAAATCAACAGGGGAAAAAAATGAATAATCTAATTTTTAAAATGAACAAATATATTCAAACAAACTTGTCTCACACACACACACACACACACACACACAAGATTTACAAGTAACCAATACAAAATAAAAAGATGCTCATTATTATTCAAAGGGAAATTCAAATTAAAACCAAAATGAGATACCATTTCATGCTCACTGCAATAGCTAAAAAAACAAACAAAAAAAAAACTGACAATACCAAGTACTGGTGGTGATGTGGAACAATCAGAGCTCTCATTCACTGCTGGTGAGAATGTGCAATGGTACAACCACTTTGGTGAACTGTTTGGCAGTTTCTTAGAAAAATAAACATATAATTGGCCCAAGGCCAGCAATTACACTCCTAGTAATTTGCCCAAGATAACTGAAAACATATGACCACAAAAAGACTTGTACAAGAATGTTCATAGCAAACTTATTCATAATCAAAATCTGGAGATGATCCAAATGTCCATCAACAGGTTGTTGATTGCTGGAGAGTGACTGAGCTGACTAAACGTGGGTACAAGAAAAGTTTCTGGAGAAAATGGAAACGGTCTATATGTTTTTTCTGGATGATGTTTAGCACAAATACACACAGCTCTTAAAACTCAGCAAATAAACTCTTAAATCTGTGCATTTTATTGTATTTAAATTATATCTCAACTTCAATTCTTGAAAAACTTTGTGACAGGTGTCTATGTGTCATATTCTATATTTAAAAAAAAACCCCACCGGGGTAGAATGATCAAGATTTTTCTTAAAAGAAAGAATACATTAAATCTGCTTAAGCACTTAAATACTTAGTTGCAACTTTGTAAGTCTATGTTATTCAACAGTAATTTTTAAATGTAGAAAAAATGTGCAAAGGGCTTGAATAGAAATTCTTCCAAAGAAGACCTAGAAATGCCCCACAAGCATATGAAAGCATGTTCAACATTGCTAATTATCAGGGAAATGAAAACAAAAAAAGACATAAGAGATAGAAGTCGATCATGGTGGATGGGAAGCAGGACAAGATTGCAGCTCCTGACAGAGCAGCGGGTGGCTGGCGTTGTGAATTTTAGCTCCAGATCCACCACAAGAACCTTCAACCAGCAATCCCGAGAGGACCCACAGACCCTCTGAAGGAAGCGGACTACTCCTGCAGGACCCAGGAGACTCCCCCAAAACTGTGAGTGCCCAGACTGTGGAAGTGGGAAAGGGAGACCCTCCTCTCCTGAACACACACCCCCACTGCAGAAACTTAAGGTCTGTTTGGGGGAGACGTTTCCGACTTTACCTGGAGCTGAATCAGTATGGAGAGCCGAGTGAAACACGGGTAGAGGAAGCAGCAGAAAGGCCCCGGAACCTCACTGGGTCCCCTAGCACCCATTCCTGCCTGGTACCACAGAGATCCAACAGGAGAGGAGCGGGGGTAAAACTGCACAGGAAGAAGCAAATCTCTAGCTGAACTTTGTAACAATTTGAACCGGGTGAGAAGCCTCCCGGCCAGAACTTGCGGGAGGGCGCAAATCCAGTGTGCGGACTCCACTGGTTGGGGAAGAACCAAGCCCTTTTTTTTCACAGCTGGGAGGCGAATAGCCTGGTGCAGATTTTCGATCCTGTATTGCTCTCCACCTGGAAACAGTCTGGGGGCAGTTGCAGGGAGCATGGTGGGAGGGAGACGGGCCCTTCGGTTTGCGTGTGGGAGCTGGGTGAGGCCTGTGACTACCGGCTTTCCTCCACTTCCGGAACAACCTGCATGACTCAGCAGAAGCAGCCATAATCCTCCTAGATACACAACTCCAGTCACCTGGGAGTCTCACCACCATCCCCCACAGCAGCCACAGCAAGACCTGCCCAAGGAGAGTTTGAGTTCAGACACACCTAGCCCTGCCCCCACCTGATGGTCCCTCCCTACCCACCCTAGTAACAGAAGACAAAGGGCATTTAATCCTGGGAGTTCTAAGGCCTTGTCCACCGGCGGCAGGTTCCTCCCCATAATACCACAGCTGAAGCTCTCTGGAAAGCGCCACCTCCTGGCAGGAGGCCAACCAGCACAAAAATAGAACATTAAACCACCAAAGCTAAGAACCTTCACAGAGTCCGCTGCACTTGCCCCCACCCCCCTCCCACCACCTCCACTGGAACAGGCACTGGTATCCACAGCTGAGAAACCCATAGACAGTTCCCATTACAGGACTCTACGCAGACAACCCCCAGTACCAGCCCAGAGCCGGGTAGACTTACTGGGTGGGTAGACCTAGAAGAGAAACAAGAATCACTGCAGTTCAGCTCACAGGAAGCCACATCCATAGGAAAATGAGTCTCAATAAATTTAAGAAAATTGAAATTATATCAAGCACTCTCTCAGATCACAGTGAAATAAGACTGGAAATCAACTCAACTACAAAAGGAATCTTCAAAACGATGCAAATACACAGAAATTAAATAACCTGCTCCTGAATGAGCATTGGGTCAAAAAAGAAATCAAGATGGAAACTTAAAAATTCTTCAAACTGAGCAACGATAATGGCACAACCTATCAAAACCTCTGGGATACAGCAAAGGTGGTGCTGAGAGGAAGTTCATAGTCCTAAATGCCTACGTCAAAAAGACTGAAAGAGCACAAACTGATACTCCAAGGTCACACCTCAAGGAACTAGAGAAACAAGAACAAACCAAACCCAAATCCCACAGAAGAAAGGAAATAACCAAGAACAGAGCAGAACTAAATGAAATGGAAACAAAAAAAATACAAAAGATAAATGAAACAAAAAGCTAGTTCTTTGAAAAGATAAATAAAATTGATAGACCATTGGCAAGATTAACCAAGAAAAAAAGAGAGAAAATCCAAATAACTTCACTAAGAAATGAAACAGAAGATATTACAACTGACACTACTGAAATATAAAAGATCATTCAAGGCTACTATGAATACCTTTATGCACATAAACTAGAAAACCTAGAAGAGATGGATAAATTCCTGGAAAAATACAACCCTCCTGGCTTAAATCAGGAAGAATTAGATACCCTGAACAGACCAATAATAAGCAGTGAGATTGAAGTGGTAATTTAAAAATTAGCAACACAAAAAGTCCAAGACCAGAGGGATTCACAGCAGAATTCTGCCAGACATTCAAAGAAGAATTGGTACCAATCCTTTTGACACCATTCCACAAGATAAGGAAGGAACCCTCTAGTTCACCCTAATACCAAAACCAGGAAAGGACGTAGCCAGAAAAGAAAACTACAGACTGATATCCTTGATGAGCATAGATGCTAAAATCCTTAACAAAATACTTCCTAACCAAATCCAACAACATATCAAAAAGATAATCCCCCATGATCAAGTGGGTTTCATACCAGGGCTGCAGGGATGGTTTAACATCTGCAAGTCAATAAATGTGATACACCACATAAACAGAATTGAAAACAAAAATCACACGATCATTTCAATAGATGCAGAAAAGGCATTTGACAAAATCCAGCATTGCTTTATGATTAAAACTCTCAGCAAAATCAGCATACAAGGGACATAACTTAATGTAATAAAAGCCATCTATGACAAACCCACTGCCAACATAATACTGCATGGGGAAAAGTTGAAAGCATTCCCTCTGAGTACTAGAACAAGACAAGGATGCCCACTATCACCACTCCTCTTCAACATAGTACTGGAAGTCCTAGCCAGAGAAATCAGACAAGAGAAAGAAATAAAGGGCATCCAAATTGGTAAACAGGAAGTCAAACTGTCACTATTTGCTGATGATATGATTGTTTACCTTGAAAACCCTAAGGACTCCTCCAGAAGGCTCCCAGAACTGTTAAAAATAATTCAGCAAAGTTTCCAGTACACAAGTCAGTATCTCTTCTATACAAGAATAATGTACACAAATCAGTAGCTCTTCTATAGACCAATAGCAACTAAGCACAGAATCAAATCAAGAACTCAACACCTTTTACAATAGCTGCAAACAAAATAAAATAGTTAGTAATATACTTAACCAAGGAGTCGAAAGACCTCTACAAGGAAAACTACAAAACACTGCTGAAAGAAATCATAGATGACACAAACAAATGGAAACACATCCCATGCTCATAGATAGATAGAATCAATATTGTGAAAATGATCATACTGCCAAAAGCAATCTACAAATTCAAAGCGATCGCTGTCAAATATCACCATCATTCTTCACAAAATTAGAAAAAAACAATTTTAAAATTCATATAGAACCAAAAAAGAGCCTGCATAGCCACAGCAAGACTAAGCAAAAAGAACAAATCTGGAGGCATCACGCTACCTGATTTCAAACTATGCTGTAAGGACATAGTCACCAAAAGAGGATGGCACTGGTACAAAAATAGGCACATAGACCAACGGAGCAGAATAGAGAACCCAGAAACAAAGCCAAATGCTTACAGCCAACTGATCTTCAACAAAGCAAACAAAAACATAAAGTGGAGAAAGCACCTTTTCAACAAATGGTGCTGGGATAATTGGCTAACCACATGTAGGGGAATGAAACTGGATCTGCATCTCTCACCTTATACAAAAATCAACTCAAGATGAATTAAGGACATAAGCCTAAGACCTGAAACTATAAAAATTCTAGAAGATAACATTGGAGAAACCCTTGTAGACATTGGCTTAGGCAAGGATTTCATGACCAAGAACCCAAAAGCAAATGCAATAAAAACAAAGATAAATAGCTGGGACCTAATTAAACTAAAGAGCTTTTGCATGGCAAAAGAAACAGTCAGCAGAGTAAACAGACAACCCACAGAATGGGAGAAAACTTTTGCAGTCTATATATCTTACAAAGGACTTATACTCAGAATCTACAATGAACTCAAACAAATCAGTAAGAAAAAAACAAACGATCCCATCAAAAAGTGGGCTAAGGACATGAATAGAAAATTCACAAAAGAAGATATACAAATGGCTAACAAACATATGAAAAAAAGCTCAACATCACTAGTGATCAGAAAAATGCAAATCAAAACCACAATGCAATACCACCTCACTCCTGCAAGAATGACCATATTCAAAAAAATAAAAAAACTATAGGTGCTGGCATGGATGCATGAACAAGGAACACTTCTACATTGCTGGTGGGAATGTAAACTAGTACAGCCACTATGGAAAACAGTGGGAAGATTCCTTAAAGAAGTAAAAGTAGAACTACCATTTGATAAAGCAATCCCACTACTGGGTGTCTACCCAGAGGAAAGGAAGTCGTTCGCAAAAGATACTTGCACACACATGTTTATAGCAGCACAATTCACTATATATCGCATTGTATATACATTAGTGGAATAAGTATATATATACATACACACACACATTAGTGGAATAATATACATTATATATAATATATACATATGTGTATTATATATTAACATATACATTAGTGGAATTATATATATATATATATGATGGAATACTACACAGCCATAAAAACGAATGAATTAACAGCATTTGCAATGACCTGGATGAGATTGGAAACTATTATTCTAAGTGAAGTAACTCAGGAATTGAAAATGAAATACTGTATGTTCTCACTAATATGTGGGAGCTGAGCTATGAGGACACAAAGGCGTAAGAATGATGCAATGGACTTTGGGGACTTGAGGGAAAGACTGGGAGGGGGATGAGGGATAGAAGACTACAAATATGGTAGAGTGTATACTGCTCGGGTGATGGGTACACCAAAATCTCACAAATCATCACTAAAGAACTTACTCTTGTAAGCAAATACCACCTGTACCCCAATAACTTATGGAACAAAAAGCACATAAGATATCACCTCACCTCTGTTAGGATGGCTATTATCAAAAAAATGAGAGATAACAAGCACTGGTGAGACTATTAAAAAAATGGAACCACTGCACACTATTGGTGGGAATGCCAAATGGTGAAGCCATGGAAGACAGTATGGCAGTTCCTCAAGAAATTAAAAATAGAACTACCACATGGTCCAGCAGTGTCACTTCTGGGCATATATCCAAGAAAATTGGAAGTAAAATCTTGAAGAGATATCCGTACTCCTATGTTCATTGCAGCATGAACAATAGCCAAAGTATAGAAAAACCCCAAGTGTCCACTGACAGATAAATGGATAAAGAAATGTGATACATACATTCAGTGGAATATTATTCAGCCTTAAAACGGAAGGGAATCCTACCATTTGTGACAACATGGATGGACTGGAAGACATTAGTGGAATAAGTCAGTCACAGAAGAACAAATACTGCATGATTTCTCTTATATGAGGCATCTAAAATAGTCAAAGGTATAGAAGTAAACAATAGAATAGTGGTTACCAGGAGATGGGAAGAGAGTAATATGTCAAGTTGTCATTCAATAGGTTTAAAGTTACAGCTAGACGAGTAAGTTCCACGGACCTGCTGTACAACATAGTGCCTAGGGTTAAAAATAAGATATTGTGGGCCAGGCACGATGGCTCACGCCTGTAATCCCAGCACTTTGGGAGGCCGAGGCAGGCAGATCACCTGAGGTTGGGAGTTCGAGACCAGCCTGACCAACATACTAAAAATACAAAATTAGCCGAGTGTGCTGACACATGCTTCTGATCCCAGCTACTCAGGAGGCTGAGGCAGGAGAATCGCTTGAACCTGGGAGGTGGAGGTTGCAGTGAGCCGAGATCGCGCCATTGCACTCCAGCCTGGGAAACAAGAGCAGAACTCCATCTCACCAAAAAAAAAAAAAAAATTGTATATATACATATATATATACACACACATATATATACATGTATATATATATATATATATAGTACCTAAAAATTCATCAAGATGATAAATCTCATATTAAGTATTCTCACCAAAAAGAAAAAAGGAGGGAGGATTACAATGAAACTTTTGGAGGTGATAAATTTATTACCTGGATTATCGTAATGGTAACATGAGTGTATGCACATGTCTAAATTGTATATATTAAGTATGCACAGTTTTCAGTATACCAATTATACCTCATTAAAACTGGGGGAAAATGAACAGGAGAGTAACTTTGGGATTGCATTGCTAAGTAAGCTGCAGACTTCATGAAAAATTCACCTGTTTTTCACTAATGTCCTTTATCTGCTCCAGGGTCCATATTGCATTCAGGAGTGATTTCTCTTCAGTTGCCTCCAGTCCTTTCAAATTTTCTCAGTCTTGCCTTGTCTTTCATGACCTTGACGGATGTTTATTTTGCATAAGTCTTATGAGAAAGAAAAGTATCTGGATTAAAGAATATCTCACACACAAACACACATACACACACAAAATGCTATTAAGGGGCAGAAAACAAAATTGTGTGAGGACCAATATTTGTAAAGGAAAATAAACAAGCAGTTTTGATTGACCCCCTCCTGGTCTCCTAAGGCAGATAGCTCCTGCAGCTTCATTAGGAAATCCAGTTGATCTTCAGAAGAGTTCAAGGATCTCTAACGAACAGCAAATAATAAACAATGTATGGGTTTAAAATTCAGGAAGTCCAATCTTTTGACTTCCCTGGGTCACATTGGAAGAAGAAGAATTGTCTTGGGCCACACATAAAATACACTAACACTAACAATAGCTGATAAGCTTTAAAAAAATTGCAAAAAGTAATCTCATAATGTTTTAAGGAAGTTTATGAATTTGTATTGGGCCGCATTCAAAGCTATCCTGGGCTGCATGTGGCCCATGGGCCGCAGGTTGGACCAGCTTGATTTAAATGTTTTCAGAGAGGATGTGTTAGTTTCCCAATGAATGTGTTGCGCTGCCAAATGGATTTTTTTTCTTTTGTTATTTTGCTAAATTCTGTTAAAGGATGGCTGTAGGGGTGCATTCATTTAAATTTGGAGAAACTTCCAACCAAGATTATAAATTTAGCTTTAGTATAGCTGAAGTTAAGCCAATCTTATTGACAATAATGAACCCACAGGCTCAGATATCTTAAGACTATTCTTGTTCCCTAACAATAAACAATGTCATCAACATAGAAGAGGTTACTTGAGGTATGCAAGAGAGCATGCATCCAATAATTAAATGGCCTTGTCAGATTATTTAAATTTATGCTAGTAGGAAAGGAAGCAACTTTGCAACATTTAGAAATGAAATTCGCTTTGTAAGATAATTCTAATGCCAGTGGCATTATATACTAGAAGTTTTGAAAATGTGTTACAAGCAAGACTTTGAAAACATGTTACAAATGTTAAAATATGTTCTAGATAATATTCTTTTCTATTTCATTGATGTTTGTCAAGAAATAAAAGCAAAAATATCTATATCATCTTTTTCTTCTATATTACTCTTGTGTTTTTACTTGGGCAATGAAGAAGAAGATAGCAGTTACTAACAGTGAAATGGTTTTACCAAAACATTGATCAAGGGACTGTTCCACAGTGTTCATTTTGCTTCTTTCTTTTTTAGAAAACCTGTCCAAAGTTTTGAAGGAATATACAAGATACCAGTAGGTCTGTAAGTTGGGACAATAGAGAGTTTTTCTTTTATTAAAACTGAATAGACATCACTTCAAATCCACTCTGACAAACTTCTGCAAAAAATTATGTAAGGTAAAGTCTGCAAGAAAAAGTGATACTGCCTCCTGCTTCCAGTGCTGGTAGGGCAGAAAAGAAAAAAACCTATTTTGCTATTATTTACAGTTTTAAATATTCACTGATATTTTAATATGGCAAATGAAACCATCGATAAACTAATAATAACAAAAAATTCTATACAGTAAAATCCACCGTAATCAAAGTCAAAATACAAATGGAAAATCACAGGAAAAGGTATTTGAAACTCCTATTGTAGACAAAGGAATAATTTCCTTTTTAATGACCTCAGAAGAATCAATAACACAGACAAACCAAGGAAGAATGTACAAAGAACAGGAACATATAAGCTACAAAAACTATAAATAACTCTTAAATACAGGAAAAGATGCCCAATCTGAGGCAGAAAAAAGGAGAAGTAATATTTAAATGAAAATTAAATGCCATTCTTTATCAAATTGGCAAGTATCAAAAAGTTTTATAGTCCTCCACACTGGTGAAACTGAAGGAAACAAACCACCTCATATGTTGCTGATGGGAGTATAGAGACAAAGGGAGATAGTACAGACAACATGAAGATCAGCTGGAAAATGTCTATCAAATGTACAATTGTTCAAGGATATTTGCTGCCATATTATTTGCAATAGAAAAAGGTACCCATCAATGGTTAGATTATGGAAACATACATAGAGTGGAACATGATACTGGAAATGATAAGGAAGTTTCATATGTAATGACCTTGGGGGGAAACTTCAGCCTTTAAAGGCTCTGAACCCTTGATCTCCTACCCAGGATCAGGTCTTAGAGCATGGGGAAAGATGTAAAAATTCTTCTCTTCAGATAATTCTGGCATTCAGAGAGCAAAGGAGTACTAGGTTCATTTCCAATTGGACCCTATAAAGAGAGGCAAAATCCTTTTCTTAGCTTGAAAAAAAAAGTGGCAGGGGGGAAGCAGAGTCTTAAAAAGGTCTACTTGCTACTACTTTCTAGGGAGTGAAAAGAAGCAAGAGTGAGGGACTAGGGGAGTAAGGCAGGGAAGGAAATGGTGATGCATTGTCAAGCTGGCCACAGTAAAACATGACAAATTGCTGCATCTTTCTGAATCAGTCTCTGAGAAGTCAGATAAAATGGATCTCAAGACTGCCTGTTAGAAAGAGTTGAGGGAGGAGGATGGAAAACAAACATATCCATTACCCATCAGTTCCTGTATCATATTAGTAAAAGCCTTACTGCAGGCAGCACTAACTACCCAGTTCTTCCAAGTTGTAAATTTATGGGGCCAAGTAGAATTCCACAGAATTCCACATTTTCATGTCAACAGATAGGCCCTGGCCAGGCATAGGGTATTAGGCGAATCACCTTTGGGAACTCAGTCAGAGCCCTGCAAAGCTTGTCATTAGAGCAAAGGAGGGAACAAAAGACAGGCGAGGCTGAGAGAAGCAGAAGCAATGCGTGAGGAAGTCTGATATGGTCTCTGGACCTGTGGGAGTGTAGTAGAAGTGGTTGTATGGGGTATCTGGGGCAGATAAGTTCTAAGGAAGCCTTCCTGGTTCTCCAGCAGCAACGTAGCATCATAGGATAACGAAGTTGGAGGGCATCTGCAAAGGGCCATGGAAGAGGGCTCAGGAGAGAAAGAGATACCCAGTAGATCCTGAACAAGTCTTGCAGTTGTGACAGGTGGACATCTAAGTGGAAAGGGTTGGGCCATGCCACCAGACTCCAGTGGTGACATGCCACCTCAGCAGAGAACGCAACTGTGGATTGCACTCCTCAGCAGGTGTGCTGCCCCACAGCTGTCCCCAGGCCATGCTGTTAGGCCCCACAAAACTTCTTTCCCTGGGAAGAAGAAGGAGAAGAAAAAAGCCCCAAAATGGACTTAATCTGAAAGACTTAATCAAAACTAGAATAAAATGGGTAAATTTTCTGCCACTGAGCAGAAATGAGGCTCGAGAGAGATAAAGTTGAATTATGGAAAAATAAAGTCACATTTCTAGCATCCCTGAGGATGTGGTTTGAAGATATCAGTTTTGCTACTCGTGTATTGGCTGACAGTGGCAACAATATTGAGGCTCGGAATATGTTCAAATTGGTCTAAAATATCTCTCTCAGGAGTGGCATTTGCAAAGAAATTCCGACCACTAATTAATCGGTAAGGCTGGTGTCTTAATGAAAGTAATATTTTCTCTAGACAAGTGCATTACTTTGCTAGGACTGCCCTAACAAAGTACCACAGACTAGATTAAACAACAGACATTTATTTTCTCACAGTTCTGGAGGCTAAAAGACCAAAATCAAGGCATCAGTTGGATTGGTTCCTTCTAAGGGCCATGGGGGGTGGATCTGTTTTTCCAGGTCTCTCTCCTTGGCTTCTAGATGGCTATCTTCTCCCTCTGTCTTCACATCATCTTCCCTTTGTTCAGGTCTGTGTCTAAATTTCCTCTTCCTACAAAAATAAAAGTTACATCATATTAGGGCCCATCCTAACGACCTCACTTTAATCACCTCTATAAAGACTGTATTTCAAAAAAAGAGTCACATTCTGAGGTAATAGGAGTTAAGACTTCAACATATGAATTTTTTTGAGGGAGAGTGTCCATTCAGCCCATAACAACAAGCTATCTTCCTTCCTGCCCCTGCTATGTGTGTGAGATGCTATGAGGCAAGCCAGAGAGAGCCAACTGGAAGGAACACCAATGGCCAACGCTGGAACAATTTGAGCAAATAATAATAATGATAATATTGGATTACAAGTCACAAAATAAATGAGTCCCTACGGATACAAATAAACATTTGAATAAATACATAAATTGGAGATATGGGAGATCTCTTCTTTACAAAAGAATTCCAATTCATAAATGTAAAAGAAGAGGGGGAAATAAAACTTGCTGTTAAGTAAGCACTACAGTAATAGCTGTTACAGAAAAATCTATGAATGGATGCTAAAATTAGTGGGCACAAGCTCAAGGGAAAATAAGATACTCATGTACTTTTAAAGCATCTTCCCCTCTATTCATTTCATATGTAAAAATAACTTTACAGTTGAAATGCAGCAGGTAACATCTAAACCAAGTAATCTAAATTAACATCACCAATAATAGGACATCTCACTCCCTGATATGATGCACTGAAGAGGACACAGCATCACCTATGGTATTCTCACCAGCATTCCCATAAAAAATGCACAACCTCAATCTAATCATGGGAAAACGCCAGACAAGCCCAAATTTTGAGATAGTCTATAAAAATAACTAAGTGGTACTCATCAAAAGTATCAAGATCATGAGACACAGGAATAATGTGGAACTATCACAGTAGGGGAAGACTAACGAGATAAGACTAAGTTCAAGGGAAGTCCTAGATAGAATCTTGGAACAGAAAAAGGCTGTTAGGGGAAAAGGAAAAAAGAAAATGAGTGAAATTTGAGCAAGGCCTGTAGCTGAGTTAATAGAATTGTACCAATGTTAATTCCTTTTTTTTTTTTTTGATGGTTCAACCAACATGTTATTATGTCTTATTTTATTAGCTTTGACCATTGGTTTTGATCGCTGTCCTTTGGTTTGATAAGTTGTTAACATCAGGAGAAGCTTGGTGAAAGGCACATGTAAACTAGATACTATTTTCGCAACTTTTCTGTAAACCTAAAATTAAATAGTTTTTAAAAAGACATTGGAAATTGTCTCTTACAATATCCTGCTACGTTGGAAACAGGTTTTAAAGGAGAAGAATTCTGTGGTGAAAGAGCTTCCAAAAAACAAAGTAAAAGGAACTACAAACACGAAAAAGGAACTGCACATGGAAGACATGATTTAACTAACGAAACCCCCACACTTAGCCCAATGGCCGCCTTGTATCCTTAAGCCATGTCAGAGGACCTCTTCTGAGGGATGATGAGAGGGAGTAGACAGGAAATGACCTCTAGAGATCAAAGCATGTACTGGTGATGTCTGCCCACAAGATTTTTGTGAAGAGGAGGAAATATGTGAGAAAAGCCCAATTTGGTGACTGTTACATAAGCGGCTCTCAATAAAGTTTACTTTCTGAAGGGAAGGATATGAGTTAGTGTTTAAGCTCACCCTCATGTGTTCTCAGAGGAGAGGGGAGTTTTGTTACATTTCCAGTATAGCCATGGGAATAAAACATTCAGTCTCTCTCCTCGTTTTCCATTCTTCTTTGGGAGGAGGAATATCTTCTCTGAGTTTCAAAGTCACATAGTGACTAAAGAGACTGGGTCATTTAACCAGGGAGCTGCTCAACATCAAGACAGACTCCTTGGCCACTCGCTCACCACAGGCTGTCTGCCTTCGACGTCTGGGAGGAACCCTGGCTTCCTCGTCCAGAATATAAGTGAAGAGAGGCCTGCTTTGCCATGCTCATCCTCCTCCAGCTTTCCATCCACAAGTGAGTGGGTACGCCAGGATTGCACGGGTCCCAAGATCCTTTCTCAATGGGCAATCCTAGAAACAGATTAATAGACTACTGTCCAACCCTTTGATAACACATATATTTTTACCTCTGGTCTTGTCTTTATAGACATTCTCTTTGAACTTTAGAAAAGAAGAGGAGTAATAAAATCTAGGCATCAAGCTTGACTCAGAAGACTTGAATTTAGTGAAATTATGATATATGATCTTTGTCCAAGAGGGTTTCTGAATCCTAACCTTACCTGAATTGTCTATTTAAGATTTCTTCATACAAAAGAACAATAAAATCCAAGGGCAGGGATTTTACTATGTCTGAAAGATCTTGCTGGAATAGTTTAAATTCTAATCAATTTTGACTGCCAGAGTAGAAAAGGGGAATTTGAAAGTATATTAAAAGAATCCTTTGGCAGCTCTGTTTTAGAGATAAGTAGATCAATGAAGTGATTGTCATCCTAGGACAGAACCTCCACTATACTTACTTCCCCCAAAGACTGCCTCTTATATAATATTTAAAATAGTATTGAACAGCTTGGATGTATACAGCAGTTGGTAAATGCTGTGAGGAATACAAAAGATGCATGAATTGCCTCAGGAACTCACAATCTCATGGAGGAAATGACAGAATGACAAAATATATACTTAGATTAGCAAAAATCATAAAGAGTACTCAAGATCATGTGACAAAATGTGGCAGAACCAATAAGTGCCATAGGAAGTTAATGGAAGAAATGATCTGCATTGCCAAGAATATTTGGGGAATGCTCCGCAAGAATGTGAAAATTGAGATAGATTCTGAAGAATTTATATTTGCCATGGTCAAGACAAGCACACATCAAAAAATGGTGTAGTAGGCAAAATAATGTCACTTCCTCCCTCAAAGATGTCCATATCTCAGTCCCCAGAACCTGTGACTTACATTACCTTTCATGACAAGAGGGACTTTGCATATGTGATTACTGCTTGAAGAATGGGAGATTAACCTAGAATATCCTCATAGGCCCGCTCTAATTACATGGGCCTTTAAGAGCGAAGAAAAAGGCAAAAGGGTCAGTCAGGGAGATGGGAAGAGCGAAGAAGAAGCAGGAGAGATCTGGAGCTTGACAGCAACTTGACCCACTGTTGCTGCCTTTGAAGATGGAGAAAGAGGCCACAAGCCAAGGAATACAGGCAGCCTCTAGACACTGGGAATAACCCTCAGCTGACAAACAGCAAGGAAACAAGTCCTCAATCCTCCAATGACAAGGACTTGAACTCTGTCAATGATCCTGGAAACAGAACCTCCTCTAGAGCCTCCATAAAAGAATTCAGCCCTGCTGACAATTAGATTTCTATCCATTGATACTCATGGGAGGATTCTGACCTGCAGAACTGTAAAATAACAAAGTTTTGGTGCTTTAATCCACCAAGTTCATAGTCATTTGTTACAGCAGAAATAAAAATCTATACACATGGACACAGTTCCCACAGCTTACATAGAGAACCTCAGGCAAAAACATTAAGTTCTTATTTCTTGTACAGTACTTAGTCTATGCAGCCCCTTGGGAACACCATGAAATATGGCTGTAAATATACTGACCCTTCCTGAGGATCCTCAAATGGCTACCATGGCCGTAACTCACTTCTGAAAGTTTCCTGACATCTACATCTCCATGCACTGAACTATGCAGCCCTAACGCCTTGGAAGTAAATAAAGTAGGAAAGAAAACCTGATGTAAGGTGATCAAAGTAGTTCACCTGAAGCTTATCTGGTGATAAGTGACCCAGGAGAACGCTATATTTTGACACAATCAAATCCTCTATTTGACACTAAAAGAGTCATCAGACAGAGGGTTGTTGGAAAGAAGAGACAGAGAAAAATGATAAAAAGAAGGCATTCAGAAGCTTACAGAAGGCATGAGTACAACCAACAAGTTAGCAGAAATGTTGATATTGAAAGAAGGACAAAATGAGGAAACCACAGGAAGTTATTTGATGATGGTAGGAGCAAAAGAAGCAGAGTGTCCACAATTGTCCAACAGGAGAAGGAATCAAAAAACTCCTCTTACAGAGGGGGCATGAGAGAACAGGACTGCATGAACCATATTGTACTGGAATAAGCTTCCAGGCTCCATGAAGCCTTCTGAGAAAGTTTCCCATTGTTTATTTCCTTTCTTTGTAAACTTATATCAAGGCTTTTTCTCCTTGGGTGAACTGACATCTCTCTTATTTTGCAACCTGAAAGAACTGAACTAACACGCAGATTCACAAGACTCTACTTGCTGAGGGTGACCTGCTCTGCTGAATGAAAAGACAATTATTGCAAGGGACCCTCTTGACTTTTGACCTCTGTGGATTTCATTTATTATTGTCTGTTGGGTTATTTATTGAGAAGCTGGCTATGATTCCCCAAAAATTACTCTGATAACCAGCCATTTCAAACATCACAGAAATGAGCAGTTAGATTAGATAAACAGGAAATCAAAAACTAACTTTAATTCTACACAACTATATCATTTAGCAATTAAATATATACATAGTCATAGTCTACTATCATTTTCAGTTGTTTCAGGGTATTATTCCTCTTTCCTCTATTAAACTATAAATTGTTGAAGTGAGAGGATCTATATTTTGTATCTCAAAAATGCAGAATAATTAACTATATACCTAATATGTATGTATTGACCCATTGCCTATTGGAAGTTTTGACAAAATAATCTTGTTTCTGAGAAAGAGGATCAAAATTCTCATAGCATAATCCAAGACCATCTCTATTTCCTTTCTACCATGAAATGCTATCCCCCTTGACCCCTCTTCATGAAGGAATCTTCTTCTAAATGTTTCAGTTACAAGAATAATACCCCAGCAATAGCAGACATCAGATCTACTACTTGGAAATGTCTTTCCTTAAAAAAAAAAAAAAAAAAAAAAAAAAGGATCTAGAGTTACATTAGGTATACACATGGCTTCCTTACCTATCTTCCAGATACAGATAAATATAGCTACCATTTGCTGAACAACTATTATGTGCCAGTCATGGTGTATACATTATAACTAATCTTAACAAGAACTGTTGTGAAAGGAAGGCACTGGTCACTACTTTAGAGGTGAGGAGCTGGACTTCAGAGGGATTAAATTGCTTGGCCAAAAGTATTCAGCTCTAAATGGCTGATTCTAAGTCAGTATGTTCCAAGTCCTCATGCCTTCCACTTTCTCATGCCTACCTTATATTCTTTGTTTACTGATTTGAAGTGCGCAAGAAAGCAGACCCTAACTATCTCAGGAAGCAGGAAGCAGGGTTATGATTCCTACTTTAATCTGTCTAATTTAATTATCAAGTGCTCAAGGAAGGTCAGTAGTCTGTGCTATAGCTTTAAGGAGAAAAGGTTTGCATTAGGACCTGGTGCCACCTATTGGTTAATCCATGAGACCAGTGAGATAGTAGTTCAGTTTCACCTCTACTCCCTACCCCCAAAATCAACCAACCTAGAGGTCATGCACGAATTCTTTAAAAATAGAAGTCATGTCAAAAACTTTTCTCTCAGTTCCATTCTTTCCCACCTTCAGTCTCCAAAATCTGTGTTCAGCCAGTTGCCGCCATGTAAAAATGACTGAATTTAGAAATCAATTCCAGTTCTCCAATTAACTACTATAAACTCTGGGGAGGTGAGTTGGTTTCCTTGAGTCTGAGTTTCTCACCCACAAAATAAGATGATACCTGCCTTCCTTCATACCGAGTTTATTGTGAGGATCATATGAGACAACATATGAGAAAGTGCAGCATAAATAAGATAGCACTTTATTGACCTCATGTTATCGCCGCCTTTCATTGCCACCTATCACTACTTTTCATTTAAAGTTTGATTTCTGTGAGAGTGCTGCTCATATGCACATCTGCCCCGTCACTACTAAATCACAGATTTCCTAAATGTATTCTTGTCTGCCTATGTCAGAGTTCATGATCTCTTTTAGATTGTGAATTCCCAAGAAAATGGGCAGAACATAGCATCTTTATGTACTCATAGTACATACTACAAGGTTGCACATATACTGGGGTCTCAAAGAGATGTTTAATTTTTTCAAATATTGTTTCCTCAATGAGCATGTGGAAACAATAGTGAGATAGTAGTTCAGTTTCACTTCTAGTGAGAATCAACTTTGAAATGATTTATTGAGAGAAAAGGGATGACTTTTAACGGCAGGTAGTATTGGAGATCCAGAGGAGTAAGGGAGGTAATGTGAGTTTCAAATATACATGGTCATAAACTCTTTTGCGAAAGAACTGAGGATGGAAATGCTGAACAAATGATCCCCTTACATTTGTCCATAATTTTTTATTTTTTAAAATTTTCTGCACAAATACTATAATTATAGAGGCATTTTGGCTAAATCACTTATCCAAAAGTTACAGTGTACAGGCATGCCTCAGAGATATTGTAGGTTCAATCCCAGACCACTGCAATAAAGCAAATATTGCAATAAAGTAAGTCACATGAATTTTTTTGTTTTCCAGTGCACATGAAAGTTATGTCTACATTGGCCAGGCGCGGTGGCTCATGCCTATAATCTCAGCACTTTGGGAGGCCAAGATGGGTGGATCACCTGAGGTCGGGAGTTTGAGACCAGCCTGACCAACATGGAGAAACCCCATCTCTACTAAAAATACAAAATTAGCTGGGCGTGGTGGTGCATGCCTGCAATCCTAGCTACTCGGGAGGCTGAAGCAGGAGAATCGCTTGAACCCAGGAGGCGGAGGTTGCAGTGAGCTGAGATCATGCGATTGCACTCCAGCCTGGTCAACAAGAGCGAAACTCCATCTCCAAAAAAAAAAAAAAAAAAAGTTACGTTTACATTATAGTGTAGTCTATTAGGTGTGCAACTGCATTATGTCTAAAAAGTGTACATATCTTAATTAAATATGCTTTATTGCTAAAAAAAAAAATGCTGAAATCATCTAAGCCTTCGGCAAGTCATAACCTGTTTGCTGGTGGAGGGTTTTACCTCAATGTCGATGGTTGACCTGGGCGGTGGCTGCTGAATTTTCGGATGGCTGTGTCAATTTCTTAAAATAAGACAACAACTAGGTTGGCAATGTCAATTGACTTTTCTTGTCACAAAAGATTTCTCTATAGCATGTGACAATGTTTTATAGCATTTTACCCACAGAAAAATTTCTTTCAAAATTGGTGTCAATATTCTCAAACTCAGCCACTGCTTTATCAACTCAGCTTAATATTCTAGATACTTTGTTGTCATTGTTCACAGTATCTTCACCAGCAGTTGAGTCCATCTCAAGAAACTGCTTTCTTTGTTCATCCATAATAAGCAACTCCTCATCCATTCATGTTTTCTCATGAGATTGTGGCAATTCAGTCCCATCTGCAGGCTCCATTTTAATTATATTTCTCTCGCTGTTTTCACCACATCTGTAGTTACTTTCTCCACTGAAGTCTTGAACTCCTCAAAGTCATTCTTGAGGGTTGGAATCAACTTCTTCCAAACTCCTGTTAATGTTGACATTTAGACCTCCTCCCATGAATTATGAATGTTCTTAATGGCATCTGGAATGGTGAATCCTTTCCAGAAGGTTTTCAATTTCTTCTGCCCAGATCCATCAGAGGAATCATTATCTATGGCAGCTTACGAAATGAATATCTTAAATAATAAGACTTGAAAGTCAAAATTTTTCCATGATCCATGAGCTGCAGAATGGATGTTGTGTTAGTAGGCATGAATGCAACATTCATCCTCTTGTGCATCTCCAGCAGAGCTCTTTGGTGAACAGTTGCATTGTCAATGAGCAGTAATCTTTTAGAAGAAATATTTTTTTCTCAGCAGTAGGTCTCAACAGTGGGCTTAAAATATTCACTAAACAAATCTATAAAAAGATGTGCTGTCATCCAAGCTTTGTTGTTCCATTTCCAGAGCATAGGCAGAGTAGATTTACCATAATTCTAAAGGGCCCTGGAATTTTCAGAATGGCTAGTAAGTACTGGCTCCACCTTAAAGTCACCAGCTTCATTAGCCCTTAACAAGGGTCAGCCTGTTCTTTTAAGCTTTGAAGCCAGGCATTGACTTCTCCTCTCTAGCTATGAAAGTCCTAGACCCCCTTCCAATAGAAGGCTGTTTTATTTACATTGAAAATTTGTTGTTTAATATAGCTACCTTCATCAATGATCTTAGCTAGATCTTCTAAATAATGCTGCAGCTTGTGCATCAGCCCTTGTTGCTTCACGTTGCACTTTTGTGTTATGGAGGTGACTTCTTTCTTTAAATCTCAAGAACAAAAACTCTGTTAGCTTCCAACTTTTCTTCTGCAGCTCTCTCACCTTTTTCACGCTTCATAGAATTGAAGAAAGTTAGAGTCAAGACTGGACTGGACTTTTGCTTAAGGGAATGTTGTGGCTGGTTTGATCTTCTATCCAGACCACTAAAACTTTCTTCAGATCAGCAATAAGACTGTTTTGCTTTCTTATAATTTGTCTCCACTGAAGTAGCTCTTTTAATTTTTTTCAAGAACTCTTCCTTTGCATTCACAGCATAGCTGACTGTATGGCACAAGAGGCCTTGCTATTGGCCTATCTCAGCTTTTGACAGGCCTTCCTCACCAAGCTTAAGCATTTCTAGCTTTTGATTTAAAGAACGATATGTGACTATTTCTCTCACTTGACACTTAGAGGCCATTGGAGAGTTATTAATTGGCCTAATGTCAATATTGTTGTGTCTGAGAAAATAGGGAGGCCCAAAGAGAGAGAGAGAGACAAGTGTTCAGTCAGTCAGTGGAGCAGTCAGAACACACACAACATTTATCAATTAAGTTCACTGTCTTGTGGCAGCTCACAAAACTTACAATAGTAATATCAAAGATCACAGATACAATAATAATGAAAAACTTTGATATATTGCAAGAATTATCAAAATATGACACAGAGACCTGAATTAGGCATCTATTGTTGGAAAAATTGTACTGAGGGACTTGTTCATTTGTCACAAACCAATGTGCAGAAAATGCAATATCTGCAAAGCACAATAAAGTGAAATGCATAAAATGAGGTACGCTTGTATAAGTCAACACAGAAGCAAGGGTTTCCTGACCAATGTTCTTTCCACTAGATTGTGATATTACCTCACTGCATGACCAGAGCTCAGGTTATTCTGATACACACAAACTCCTATTCGCCCCTCAAAACCCAGCTGAAATGTCACTTCTTTGG
Source organism: Homo sapiens (assembly GCF_000001405.40). Taxonomy (NCBI): domain Eukaryota; kingdom Metazoa; phylum Chordata; class Mammalia; order Primates; family Hominidae; genus Homo; species Homo sapiens. The sequence continues at coordinate 214,805,244 of NC_000001.11, read as the reverse complement.
AAAGTCTTTCATGGTGCCCTCAAGTAGAGTTCATAGCATCATCCTCTTTAGTCATATGATGCACAGCAGCCCTTTTTTTCACTTTCAGGGTTTCCTCCCCACCACACACCTAAATCGTCAGTACCCTATCCCACCATTTAGCACAGTGCTTGACAAATTTAGATGATCTACAATCATGAATTCACACTGACTCAGTGCTGTCCTGAGCAACAACTGCATCTGGGAACTCACTGTTAATAGATAAAAGGCAGGATGACCTCTTTTACCTAGTTATAGCTAGGAAAGTATGAACAAAGAAACATGACAGAGAAGTACATCTCATGATTTAAAAGGTTAACCAAGACTTTGAACAGCATTTAGAAATTGCCCATTTTAAAATGTTAAATATCAGTCAACAACGAAGAACCCTAATAGCATCAGGATGTATAGCATTTTGTGGTAGGTAAAGGCTTTGGAGTCAAAGTCTTGAGTTCAAATCAAAATTTGTTTTCTCTAGACTTACACAAGTGATTTCATTTATCAAAACCAAATCTATTGTCTTTGATCCCACTTTTTTGTATCTTTTTGGCCAACTACATCCAGTCTCATTCCATCTACCTTTGTCTCTTTGCAGTATATTGTCAAGACCATATTCAGTGATCCCTTAGAAATTTAAGATGTTATTCTCCAAGGCCTTCAATTGCAATGTTCAACTGCATTCCCCCATGGGAATGAGGGTGATGAGACGGGAAGGCTGGGTGGGCACTCCTATAAATGTGACTCGAGGTGACAGCAGATCTTCATTACTCTAAAATGACAGCTGTGAAAAAGATTGGATTCAAAATCTATCCATCTTCACATGAAACTTTACTACTAACTCTTTCGACAAAATAAAGGGAATTCTTCAATTTATTAAATAAAATTGAGCTGTTGTAAATGGTTATTGAAATGAATTCAAATTTTTTCACCTGCTGGATTGTAGAACGTTTCTAATTGATGATATTATCAAGAATTTGAAGCAATTGTCATTAAAAAGTCTGGTCAGAATTGTCTTTGGTTGTTTGAGGCCTAAAATGATACAAAAATAAAATGTATGGTCATAGAAGTGAGTTCATGTCTCTTATTTAAAGTGAGACAAGATTTTATTTATAAGTTCTATAAAAAGTAAAAGTTTACTATTTTCCCTCATACTTTATTCTTAAAGTAATTACGTAACATAGAGAAAATATAATAATTTGTTTTTTACCAAACCCAATATAGATTATTTCAAATCCCCTCCAGTTTTCCCAGTCTGACTACAAATAGCTTCACTTTCTTTGTGTACAATTACATGAAAAATTATTGGAAAGTACTGGAATGATGGTCAAGACAGAGACAGCAAACCAATTCAAATCCATATTTCACTACTCACTGATGTTAAATGAAATCTTTCTGAAATTTTTTTTTTAATTTATGAAATGAGGATCGCCTTGTCCAGCTCTTATGAGGCGATGTCTGTAAAGCATTTGGCACAGTGCCCAGCATGTTGTAATTGCTTGGGGAATAACACCTGTGTCGTGACAGTAGTGGTGATGCAAATGGTTGATGCTAATGCAAAATTTCACATTACAAAATTGATTTTACATGTCAGTTTTTTAGGTTTCTTCAGATAACCAAAGCTATGACTAACCCATATCTGGAGACTTATGAAAGCATAGTAAGAATCGGCCAGGCGCGGTGGCTCACGCCTGTATCCCAGCACTTTGGGAGTCCAAAGCAGATAGATCACCTAAGGTCAGAGTTCGAGACCAGCCTGGCCAAAATGGCGAAACCCCGTCTCTACTAAAAAATAGAAAAACTTAGCCAGGCATAGTGCCAGGCTCCTGTAATCCCAGCTACTTGGGAGGTTGAGGCAGGAGAATTGCTTGAATCCGGGAGGCAGAGGTTGCAGTAAGCCAAGATCATGCCATTGCACTCAAGCTTGGGTGACAGAGCAAGACACTGTCTCAAAAAAAAAAAAAAAAGAAAGAAAAGAAAAAGTATAGTAAGAATCACACACGCATTGCATGAACAAAAGTTGAGAACCTTATTTCCTACACACTGTGCTGAAAATTTGCTAAAATTTATTAAATCAGGCTTGGCATTTAAATTAAATGGTCTCAGCATGTGACACAAATTAGAGAGCACTAAATGAGAATTTCCTTAATTCAATCTTGAAACCATAAAATGCAGCCTAAAGAAGATATTTCATTGTGTTCTGTCATAGTGTTCACTTTCCTCAGTTTTAAACATAGATAAAAAATAAAAATGGCATCATTCCCCCAAGAAAGAATCTCATGCATTTTTCATACATGTGTGAAATTAATATACCTTGAGTATCCTGAGTCTGTTACTGGTTTTTTGAGTTATATTTATGACATTCTACCATCTGCAACTAAGTTTCCAACTAGAAGGAAATATTTATATACACCAAGGAGTCATACATAATTTAATGCGGGAACTGGAAAGAAGAAAGAAAATGTTTCTTTTCTTTGTGTAGTACAACATCCCTTACAAGGAGATATAGCTGAGTAGGAGTCAAAGATCAAAGAAGTTTCCTCTTAAGCAGCACCAGATATTGAGAATAAGAAAAAAATTTAATTTGGATATTTTCACTGACTATTCCTTAGAAAAGCAGGGCTTGCTCTGAATTAAGAGATAACACTGAAATTGTCCTTGGAATATTAAGAGATAAATATTTAATATGGCACATAAATTTTTTCAGTTCTGAGAAAGCCAAACAAAACAGGTTGGTAAATGTTATCTACATAATAATAAACTAAATCATATTCTGGCAATAATCTCTAAGAATTAGCATTAGGTACATTTATTGCAACACTATATAACATATTTTCACTCTTAGCTCCTCATATTTATTGCTTTATTGGAAATTAATGTTATCTGAGGATTTTACAGCTCTTTAAAAATCTCGATTCTGCAATTTATAGTACATACATCTTAACAGCATGAACATTTTACATTAAAACCTTTAGATTATATGAAAATATATAAGGTAACAATTTAATAATATAGATATGATGGCAGTATAAAAACACAAAGACATGTTAATTAAATAATGTTAAAATGAAGAAAATAAAACAAATTTTTCTACAAACTTGGATTAAAACTAGTAAAAAATTATGTATATGTTATATAAATAAAGACGTAATTGTTATTAATGTTATTCAAAAATAGCCCAACTTTTTCCTTTTGGACACCTGGTAGATATATTAGCTTCTTGAGGCTGTCAGTAATAAAGTAACACAAACCAAGTGACTTAACACAACAGAAACGTATTGTCTCACAATTGTGGAGGCTACAAGTCCAAAATCAAGGTGTTGGAGGGTTAGTTCTTTCTCAGGGCCGTGAGGGAAAACATGTTCCAGGTTTTTCTTCTCGCTGCTGATAGCCTCGGGCATTCCTTGTTCCAAACCCCACTCCAAAACCCATATGATCCTCTCAATAGACACAGAAAAAGCATTCAGTAATATCCCAAATTCATGAATGGCATTCTCCCTGTATTTTTACATCATAATCTCCCTTCTGTGCATGCCTGTCCCTGTGTTCTGACATTCCTGTTTCATAAGGACACCAGTCATATTTGATTAGAGACTATCCTAATGTCCTCATTTTAACTTGATTGCCTCTGTAATGACTATTTCCGAATAAGGTCACATTCACAGGTGCTGGGGATTAGGACTTCAACATCTTTTGGGAGTACACAATTCAACCCATAATAGTAGAACTGCACTTTTCCTGCCCACTTTGAAATTAGGCCCAATTATATGAGTGGCTATGACCAATAAAATGTGGACAGAATAAAGTGTGTCATTTCAGTGCATGATCCTGCACATCTTTTTCCTGCCTGGTCAACCATCAAAACATGTGCTCAGATGGAGCTTCCATTAGCCTGAGGCCCTGAGTCATTATGATGAACTAAGCTTCTTTGGACATCATGAACAAGAACTAAATTTTCCCTATCTTAAGCCATTGAGATTTTAAGGTTGTTTTTTACTGCACCATAACCAAGAATGTTCAGACAGATATAAGAATTAGTACCCAAAAATAGAGTGATACCATAATAAAAACTTAAACTATGTTGCATGGGCTTAGTGGTCAATTGGCAGACAGCAAGAAAACTGTTAACAGGGCTTGGAAAGGTGGTAATCATGTTATACAGTGACAAAGCACTTGGAAAAATTTGTCACCTGTGACAAATTGGGAAGTAGATTATGCAGTGACTGAACTTGTACCTCTAAGGCAAGCTGTGGGGAAACAAACTCTTAATATTGTGTACTTGTTGCTATTGTGGCATTTGGCAAGGTTTACAAGAAGGAGATGAGCTCAGAAACAAATTGGTCCTGTTTGAAAGCAAGAAAGAGAGGTAACACAGTCCATCATAATTGCATTATTAACAGAGTTGTAGAGTGGAAAGTGATAACTGCTTCTCAGGTCCAAACAGAAAACATAAAATTTAGAAATGCTTAGAGGAACAAGGCTGATTAAAACCCAGCCTTGATGCAATGATCAAATCAAAAGGATCACACTCTTTTTTCAAACCTCTAAGTGGATTATAAGATTCATGAGTAATGGTCAGCTAAGAGTGTGGTGTCTCATAAAGCCTTTCAATGGGACAAAAAGGACTCTAAAAGAGACAGCAGAGCAACAGAGAGAGGTGAAAGTTTAGGCAAAGCCCACTATTGAGCCACTTTCATGTAGGAGAGAAAGAGATGCTTGCGAATTAGCAATTTACTCAAGAGAAAGAACCAAAGGAAGCAGAAAGCAATAAAAACATGAAGTATAGCAGTGTAAAAGTCTTAGTATGGAAATGTGGGTATGATTATTGATACATGAAATTGATTGAAATCAAACAGATGGGGTTTTTTTCAAGATAGCTGATTAGGGACAAGGGATGCCAGTTCTCCTGAGAAAGAAGATCAAAGTTACTGGTGAATGAACATATTCCAGAGGGAAAACTGGGGGAAGAGAACCAGGACATGCTAGAATTCCCACAGGAAGAAGCTGGGCTGCAGAAAGAGAAAGCAGCAAGAGTCTTGCAGAAGCTGATCTCTGAGGAACTTGAGGTCCCATAGAAAGGGTTAAGTGGGAGCACAATGTTTCCACTCCCTTCACCCTTCTGACAATCTGCTGATTGCCAATCTGTTGGGAAGCCCTTCTGCCCTCATGACCCACAGCAATGCTATACGTGGTGATTTGAGAACTTCCTGGGATGGGGAACTGGGTGGCCAGCTCACTTAGGCATTTTTGCATTCCCATCAGGTCCAAACTGAGATAGCAGGTGCCATACTGGTTGTGCACTCCATGTGGGCCACTGGTCTGCCCAGAGATTCTCTGCCTTTGAGTTATCACACACCACCAGATGCCTCATAAACATACCCCACAACCTGCTCTGATTTTGGCAAGCACAGAGAATAGGCAGGTCCTCGGAGAGCGGCAGAACCCTGGAGATCTAACTCTCAGCACAGACAACCCCTAAAGGAGGGAGGAGCACAGCCCCACAAAGCCCTGCTCAGACAAAGGAAATATGAATCCATCACTAATCACTGACGGGAGCAGCACTGATGCCAGGCACAGATGTGGAGAGGGTGTCATCTTCTTCCCCCTACTCCCTTCTACTGCTGCAGATGCAGCACTGGTTCTTCCCACTGGGGACCAGAACATGTGTACTTGGAGAAAACAATTGTCATATTTTTGTGGCATCTTCGCTCCCACTGAAAGTGAGACTGTGTCATTTGGGCTTGCACAAAGGGTAAGGCCCAACTCCCCATCCTTACACAGAGTGACAGCATCCTGGAAATGAAGGATAGACAAGCCATAGAGTTGTCTGCTGTGGTCTGGGAGTAGAGGCTTTGCCCCAAGCCCATTTTGGTGGCAGCCATCAGAGGGGCATATCTGCTGTCTGCACCCACACTGCAGCCAGGAAACAAAGGACAAAGTCTATGGGAACTGAAGGTCATGAGCCCTGCAACAGGGGCGTGATAGGGAAGCAGATTTTGTTCCTGCTGGCTCAGGACAAGGAGCTGGTGCACCACCCTACCCCTTACCCCAGGACCCCAGTGTACCCCAATATGATCTCTTCCCACCACTCCCCTTGTCAGGGTCATTGCTTCCACTCCACTCATCATCACTAACCTACCTGAAGGCCAGTTGGCTATAACTCTCAAGCACCGCCTACTGTACTGCAGCCTGAACTCCACCACAAGGAAAAAAACCTGTTACCAGAAGGGCTTAGTGCTAGTCCACAAGATCAGCTTCCTGAGACCCCTTTACCCTTGGCCCCAGAGGAGATAGTGTGTCAGCTCATGTGTCTGATACATCACTACAACAAGCTGCATCTTAAAAAGCCACTGCACAGAAGCTGTCCACAACTAAGTGACCAATACAGAGCCCTGGTCCTGAGAAAGCACCCAGAAACAAAGCCAAGCAGTCACACACAACATATGCCACAACCCTACCCTCAATGGCAAATATAATTTAAAAAAGAAGTCACTTCCAAATAGTAGCAAATTCAAAAATAGGAAGCAACAGGTGAGAGGGAATCAGTGCAAGAACTCCAGCAGTACAAAAAGGCAGAGTGTCTTGACACCTGCAAAGGATCACATTAGCTCTCTAGCAATGGATCCTTTGAATCTCTAGCAATTTGGATCTAACCAAATTGAAGAGTCTAAAATAAGAGATAAAGATAAAGAATTTAAAATATACGGCCTGGCCCGGTGGCTCACACCTGTAATCCCAGCAGGTTGGGAGGCCAAGGCGGGAGGATCACCTGAGGTCAGGAGTTCAAGATCAGCCTGGCCAAAATGGCAAAACTCTGTCTGTACTAAAAATACAAAAATAAAAATAAAAAATTAGCTGAGTGTGGTGACAGGTGCCTGTAATCCCAGCTACTCGGGAGGCTGAGGCAGGAGAATCACTTGAACCTGGGAGTTGAAGTTTACAGTAAGCAGAAATCACACCACTGCACTTCAGCCTAGGCAACAGAGCAAGGCTCCATCAAAAAAAAAAGAAAAGAAAAAAAAGAAAAAAAATATGAATTGCAAAGAAACTCAATGAGACCCAAGAGAAAACTGAAATCAAACATAAAGAAACAAAAAAAAGATTCAGAATATGAATAGATGTGTTAAGAAAAATAGAACTTCTAGAACTGAAATTTCACTAAAAGAATATCAAAACACAGGTGGAAGTTTTAACAGTAGACTGGACCAAGCAAAAGAAAGAATTTCAGAACTTGAAGACCAATCTTTCAAATTAACTCAGACAAAAATAAAAAAAGAAAAAAGAATTTTTAAAAATGAACAGAGCCTTTAAGAAATATGGGATTATGTAGTGAAATCTATGACTTATTGGCATTTCTGAGAGAAAAGAAGGAAAAGTAAGCAACTTGGAAAATTCATTTGAGGGACTAATTCAGGAAAATTTCCCTAAGTTTGCTAAAGAAGTTAACATCCAGATATAAGAAATTCAGAGAACACCTTTGAGGTACCATACAAGACAATTATCTCCAAGGGATATACTTATCAGACTATCCAAAGTCAAAACTAAAACTTAAAGGCAGCTAGAGAAAAGGGCCAAATTACCTAGGAAGGAAATTTCATCAGTCTAACAGCAGACTTTTCAGCACAAGCCTTAAAAGTCAGATGAGAACGGGGGTCTATTTTAGCCTTATTAAAGAAAAACAAAATGCCAGCCAAGAATATCATACCTTAGGCCAGGCACAGTGGCTCATGCCTGTAATCCCAGCGCTTTGGGAGGTCAAGATGGGAGGATCACTTGAGCCCAGGAGTTTGAGACCAGCCTAGGTAACAAAGCAAGACCTCATCTCTATTAAAATAAATAAATAAATAAGAATATCATACCCTGCCAAACTAAGTTTCATAAACAAAGGAGAAATAAAGTCTTTCCCAGAGAAGCAAATGCTAAAAGAATTCATCATCACCAGACCAGACCTACAAGAAATGGTCAACAGAGTTCTAAACATGGATACTTGCTACCATAAAAGCACATGTAAGTACAAAGTTCACAGATCCTATAAAGCAATTACACAATTGAGACTACAAAGCAACTAGGTAACAACACTATGACAGGAACAAAACCTCACATATCAATATTAACTGAGCATGAATGGCCTAAATGTTCCACTTAAATGACATAAAGTGGAAAACTGGATTTAAAAAAACAAGACCCAACATTCTTCCTTCAAGAGCCCCATCTCACATGTAACATAACTACTGGTACCACAGAAATACAAAAGATCCTCAGAGACTATTGTGAACATCTTTATGAGCAAAAACTAAAAAAACTAGAGAAAATTGATAAATTCCGTTTATTTATTGCTTACTTTTCCTTCCCTCTCAGGAATGCCAATAAGTCATAGATTTGATTGCTTTACATAATCCCATATTCCTTGAAGGCTCTGTTCACAAAAAAAAGTCATAAAATAACAAGTCACAAAATTGAATCCATAATAAAAAATCCAGCAACAAAATAATAATAGCCCAGGACCAGACAAATTTATAGCCAAATTCTACCAGATATACAAGGAAGAGCTGGTACCAATCTTACTGAAACTATTCCAAACAATTGAAGAGGTAGGATTCCTCCCTAACTCATTCTACAAAACTATTAACATCCTGATACCAAAATCTGCCAAGGACATGAAAGATGAAAGAAAGAGAGAAAAAAAGAGAGAGAGAGAGGAGAGAAAGAGAAAGGAAGAAAGGAAGAAAGGAGGAAAGGAGGAAAGGAAAGAAAGGAAAGAAAGAAAGGAAACAAAGAAAGAAAGAAAGAAAGAAAGAAAGAAAGAAAGAAAGAAAGAAAGGAAAAGAAAGAAAGAAAGAAAGAAAGAAAGGAAGAAGGGAGGGAGGGAGGGAGGGAGGGAGGGAGGGAGGAAGGAAGGAAGGAAGGAAATAGGTCAATATGCCTGAAGAATATAGACACAAAAATCCTCAACAAAATATTTGTAAACCAAATACAGCAGCATATCAAAAAGATAATTCATCACAATCAAGTGAGCTTTATTACTGGGATGCAAGGATTGTTCAACATATGCAAACCAATAAATGCAATTTAACACATAACAGAATTAAAAACAAAAATGAAGTGATGATCTCAATAGACAAGGGAAAAGCATTCGATACAATCCAATATCCCTTCATAATAAAAGCCCTCAACAAACTAGGCATTGAAGGAAAATACTTCAAAGTAATAAGAGTGTCTGACAAATCCACAGCCAACATCATACAGAATGGGCAAAAGTTGAGAGCATTCCACCTAAGAACTAAAACAAGACAAGGATGTCCACTCTCACCATTCCTATTTAACACAGTGCTGAAAGACATAGCTAGAGCAATCAGGCAAGAGAAAGAAATAAAAGGCATCCAAATAGAAAAAGGATAAGTCAGATTATCTCTGTCTCCTGATGACATGATCCTATACCTATACAACCCTAATGATTCCTCCAAAAGACTTCTAGACCTAATCAAAAGACTTCATTATGAAGTTTAGGGATACAAAATCAGCATATGAAAATCAGTAGCATTTCTATATGCCAATAACATTGAAGCTAAGAACAAAATAAAGAACTTAATCCCACTTACAATACCGAAAAATAAAACAAAATATCTGGGAATATATCTAACCAACAAGGTGAAAGATCTCTACAAGGAGAACTACAAAACACTGATGAAAGAAATCACAGATGGCATGAATAAATGGAAAAACATTCCATGCTCACATGTTGGAAGAATCAATATTGTTAAAATTACCATAGTGCCCAAAACAATCTACAGATTCAATGCAATTTCTATAAAATTGCCAATGTCTTTTTTCACAGAACTCACAAAAACAATTCTAAAAGTCATATGAAACCAAAAAAGAGCCCAAATAGCCCAAGCAATCCTAAGCACAAAGTACAAAGCTAGAAGCATCCCATTACCCAACTTCAAACTATACTATAAGTCTATAGTAACCAAAACATCATGGTACTGGTACAAAAATAGACACATAGATCAGTGGAACTAAATAGAGAATACACAAATAAAGCTACATACCTACAACCAACTGATCTTTAACAAAGTCAATAAAAATAGACAATGAGGAAAGGACTCCCTATCCAATAAATTGGGCAGGGAAAACTGGCTAGCCATATCTCTCACCATATCAAAAGTTAACTCTAGATAGATTAAAGACCTAAATGTAACATCTGAAACTACAGAAATCTTAGAAGAAAACTTAGGGAAAACTCTTCTGGACATTGGCCTAGGCAAATAATTTTTGACTGAGACCTCAAAAGCAAATGCAACAAAACCGAAAATAGACAAATGGGACTTAATTAAATGAAAGTGCTCCTGCACAGCGAAGAAACAATCAACAGAGTAAATGGACAACCTACAGTATGGGAGAAAATATTTGCAAGTTATGCATCTGGCAGAGGTCTAATATCCAGAATCTATAAGGAACTAGAATAAATCAACAAGATAAAAACAAGTAACTCCATTAAAAAGTGGGCAAAGGATATGAACAGACACTTCTCAAAAGAAGACACACACTGCTAATTCAAGCAGTGGAGATAAAAAGAAAAGACACACAAGTGGTCAACAAATGCATGAAAAACATGCTAAATGTCACTAACGGTCAGAGAAATGCAAATTTAAACCACAATGAGTTACCATCTCATACCATCCAGAATGATTATTATTTTAAAAAATCAAAAAATAACAGATATTGGTGAGGATTTGGAGAACAGGGAATGCTTATACACTGTTAGTGACTATGTAAATTAGTTCAACCCCTGTGGAAAATGACATGGAGATTTCTCAAATAACTAAAAACAGAAGTATCATTTGACCCAGCAATCTCATGACTAGGTATCTATCCGAAGGAAAAGTAATCACTTTATCAAAAACACCCCTGCAATTGTATGTTTATCACAGTGCTATTCACAATGGCAAAGTCAAAGAATCAACTTAAGTGTTGATAATGGTGGACTGAATAAAGAAAATGGGGTATATAGACACCATGGAATACTACACAGACATAAAAAGAATGAAATCATGTCCTTCACTACAATGTGGATACAATTGGATGTCATTATCCTAAATCAAGTAACTCAGAAACAGGTAATCAAATACCACATGTTCTCACTTATAAGTGGGAGCTAAACAATGAGTACACATGGGCATAAAGACGGAAATAATACACACTGGAGACTCCAAAAGAGGAGAGGAAGGCAGGGAGGAGCAAGGGCTAAAAAACTATCAATGGGGTACTACTTTCACTAGTTGGTGATGCATTCACTAGAAACCCAAACCTCAGCATTACGCAATATACTCATGTAACAAACCTGCTTGTGTACCCCATGAATCTATTTTTAAAAAGAAATCAAACAGATGAAAAGCCTAGTAAATGCCTAAGAAATTTGGGCTCCCCAAGAAGCCATAAGCATATCCTGATTGTTTGAAAAATGAAAGAAACACAAGAGAAAATAAAAATAGCTACTCTGTCAAGGAGTTAAAATTGGAGGTGAAACATTCTTTTCACAGTGTTTTATAGTTGTTTTAACGATGTCTTCATAAAAACAAGAAAAATTTAATATAGAAGAATTTTGAATTCAAGTGGCTAATATTGTTCTTTCTTTCTTAAGTAAATAACATTCTTCCAAGTAGTATCAGCCCAAGGTCATGGGTAAGAGAAATGACTTGGCATCATCAGAAGCTCAGCAGGAGCCAAAAGAAGTGGGTTCTTTTGCAAATGTCCACAGATTTCCATACAAATGGGTATTTGGGCAAAATAAATTATATTTCGTCAAACATTTATAGGATGTGTTCGTGTCTGAATTTTTTAATCATCTGTTATATTTTTTACTACAGAAATATGTCAGATTTATTATACTCATACAGTTCAAATTGATTTTTTATGTAAAATAAGCACCGTAATAAATGACATACAAGAGCTTCTGATTCTACTTTTAAACAAGCTCACTAAATTCCATGTCAATTCAAATTTGCAGTTATATGGCTGTACGCTCAAGAGCATATAGAAAATCAAGTTCTTGTTTAAGTCTAATACGCTATTATCTGTGATAAACAAATACATCGGATCTTTGGGAAGATCAGATGCTTTAACGAAGGAAAAAAACCCAAGGCTATACAAAGCAGAAGGAAATCTTTGATCATAAGGACTATCAGATTCAAAGCAAGGTCTCAGTGGAATTACGTGGGTCTTGATTTTGATTTAGAAGGTAAAAGACTGATTCTAACCCAGTCAAATCTAACCCCTTTGATCCAGGGAAATCTCCCTTAGTCTGGAAAAGTGATTTTATGGTAATGAATCCCTTGGGAAATCAGCCCTCAACCATTTGGCAACATTTTCTGAATGGTCATTATTTTTTATCTCTGCAGTTTACATATCAATCTGCAAACCCAAAGTGGATAGTCATATGGGGGATATATTTTTTAAATAGCTTCCTTGCCTTGGAGAGTTACCTATAAAGATGAAGCTAATTTTCATTACGTTCCATCCCTAGCACACATGTGGGTACAGTCAGGCACATATGCATGGAAGTGCACACGCACAAACACACACACCTCTCATTGTCACCAGTCCAATACTACAGTCAGATTCAAACATGCCCCAAGGGGCCAACAAAAAAGCCAAACCCAAGAGCAAATGATTACATACTGAAAACATTGTAGAATGTTACCGCTTACTATGTTGAGAAAACTCTATAGAATATATACAAGAATGTATTTTAAAGTATTAAAATATTGCTTTAGATCAGGCCTAAATTGATCATTAAGGAAACTCTTCGCATAAATTCTGGATTTGATGTCCCTCTCAAATAGCTGAGAGTGATTTTAAGAGTGTCCTTGCTGGTTCACAGAAATCTTGGCTCTGTGTTGGATTACACTAAGCAAAGATGAAATACCAGAAATTCTTCAGTGTAATGTAGTGAATGGATTCTGGAGACTTTAGTAGATAAGAAGACTGAAGTATGTTTATGATGTGACCATCCCCACTCACTCCCAGACCATGTGCCCCAAAGTGCTCCAGAGGATACTCTCTGCACTACATCCTTTCAGGGCAGTGCCAATATGTACAAAAAGTTCTTTAGTGGCTGATCTGCATAAGCAAGGTATTCTATTGCACAATACTGTATTGAAACGGGCTTTCTGATTTCAATTGGATCTGAAGGATTCTGGCAAAGGCCTTAATCTCCAGCAGCAAAGTAGGGTTGCTTTTATAACAGCCAAGGCAAGAAATCAAAATGGTTCAGTTTTTTGGCAGGGACCAGGAAGTCTTTAGGACAGAATATACGCGCAGGTTACTGAGACTCTATTTGATTTTTTAATGAAAAATGTTTCAAACCAGGTAGACAGACATCTGATGGGGCAAACAATAAATGGAGCTCACACATGGTAACTCCAGTAAATTTCCTAACACAGTCTGAAGTTGTTTCTCCCAACCATGAACCGATAGTTGAATTGGGTATCCTGAGGAATTAGAAGGCTGGCTCTCTGCATTGGCTCACTAGCCCAAGGCGATACAAGAGAAGATGGAAGAAAAGGCCAAGTAGAAGTCTGTTCTTCCTCCTTCTTACCAAAACAGTAAATTCAAGACTTTAAAAACTAAAAACCAAACACTCCTCTGGGGGAAATTGCAGAGATTAACATCATCATCAAAAATTTAAAAGATAAACGATGGTAAACAGACATATCACCTACTTAACTCTTTCATTTTGGCCAGTGCAGAAGATAGATAGGTCTTAGAAACAGAAAGTTGAGTGGTTACAAACAAGGGCACCTGTTTTATAGGTTGTCTTCATTATAGGAGCAAAGCAATTTAGGTCTGGCACCTGGGATTCAGTTCTTAATCTGGGAGGTTCTTCTTTGGCATCCCGATATATAGACAATGCAAGTAAATTTCTGGCATTTGGCAAGACAGCAGCAAACCTTAACAATCTTGCCCCAGAATTACATAGATCAATTCTCTGCTCTATGTCACAACTATTGACCACCTTACATTCATTGACATTGACCACCTTACATTCATACTGGTTCACTACCTCAATGATATCATCTCATGCTGGCAGGACCTGGAAAGCAGGAAGTAGCCATACTCTAGATGCCTTAGAAAAAGAGAAATGCATGCCAGAGAATTTGGGATAGATCCCATGAGAATAAAGAGGCCTGGTAACTCAGTGAAGAAGAAAAGTCACAGTTCCAGTGGCTTCAGGTGTATTGGATATTCCTCTGAAGTAAAGAACAAGTTTTTCCCTCCACCAATAAAATAGACACAATACATTCTCGATTTCTTTGAATGTGGAAAGCAAAATAAGTCAGGTTTGAGGGATGCTCTGGCACATTTACCAAGTGGCCTGACAGCCCCTAACCTTTAGTAAGCCCAACAGCAAGAAAACCTTCTCTGACTGGGTAGACAGCAGAGCCCACCAGTAGAGCCAGGAGTTCTGCCATCAACTTTATGACCCAAAGGTGCAGAGAAGTCAAAGAGTCTCAAGCAGATCAGCATATTGCACCAAGACCATAACAAACCCCTCTAGATGAGGCCCATTGGGTTCTAGAGGAAAGCCCTGTTTAGAAACTTATGTCTTGCCATGGATGAAGCTGGAAGCCATTATCCTCAGCAAACTAACGCAGGAACAGAAAACCGAACACCACATGTTCTCACTTATAAGTGGGAGCTAAACAATGAGCACACATGGACACAGGGAGGGGAAAAACACACCCTAGGCCCTGTAGGGGGTGGGGTAGGGAGAGGGAGAGTATTATGAAAAATAGCTAATGCATGCTGGGCTTAATACCGAGGTGATGGGTGGATAGGGGCAGCAAGCTACCATGGCACACATTTACCTATGTAACAAACCTGCACATCCTGTACACGTACCCCAGAGCTAACAATAAAATTAAAAATTAAAAAAAGGAAACTTATGTCTTGCTATTGAGCCCAGGTTCAGAGTAAATGACTTATGATAGGACACAAGTGACCACGGGCCCTGAGCTGTGTATATGGCCTGGTGGTCTCTGATCCACCCAGCCATAAATTCTGGCATATTTATCTTCAGATGCAAATGATGTACAGTCAGCTGGGTCCGAGCAAGTTCTGAAGACACAAGGAAGCTGCTTGATCAAGTTACTCGTACCTCCCAGTCTACCTACTTCTGCTGCCCTGCCAGCTGTTTTCTAAATATACCAACTATTTCACCTGAATCATAATCCCATTTTATAGTAGAAGGAGTAAGGCAATAAGTTGGTAGCCAAGGGATTTACTGGTGTCATCACATTCCACAACATCCAGATGCAGCAGATATTATATAATGATGGATTTGCCTTTTAGAGACTTGGTGACAGTACCCAAAAGGACACAACATTTGCAAGGTTGGACAGCTACTATGCAAGATTCTGCAAATGCTCTGACATAGAAACAAATTTATGGAATATAACAGTGTTTACACTGAATTGGAATCAGACTATTTCAGGTATCTCAGGCCAGTGAGTAAAAATGAAGGAAATGGTGTTAGGGAGCTAGTAAGTATTTCTAACCAGCAAAAAGAATAGGCTGGCAGCTACTTCCTGAGAAAGAGAGTGAGTGGAAGCCAGATTATCACTTTTAGAACTCTCCTTTTATAGATATGTCCTGCGAAAAAATTAATTCACCTACTCTGTGTCAGGCCCTATAATAGGCATTTAGAATATAACAGTGAAAAAACAAATAGGATTGGAATCATTCTGATCCCCAAACACCTGAAGCAAAGGTTTATCAAAAAGACTGTGGAGGAAGCGAATCATAAATTCTAAACGGCCTCTCGATCAGCTGCACAAACTTTCTCTTCTCTTTCTCTCCTCTTTCCCATTATTGTACATAAGTTTTATTGGTGATGGTCAGCTTTAAAAATTAGTTCAGAGATGACAGAATATTGAGATGGGACGAAGACACACCCAGAAGAAAAATGAGCATTTCTCACGGATACTGACTCAGATGCAAAATCTGACAAAGCTTTGGGTTAATTCCCACTGAAGAGGGAGTGAATACCTTCTTTGCTGTTTGAGCAATATTCCATATATTTTCTTTTTCAGTATAAGTGTAGAGAAGGGATGTGTCTCTTAAGTAGTCAGAGACATAGAGTCCAGGGAACACTGGCCTTTGTTCTTTTCGAACTCCCAGCACCCAAGCCCTCCTTTTCATAGAGTGCTCAATGAGGAGGTACAGTGCAACACCTCCCATTCTGGAACCCAAAGTCAGGGAGCCTCTCTCTTCCAGCCCTCTGGTACCTGGGAACAAAACTCAATCAGTAGGGTTCTTCTACCTGGGTCTTGGAAACTTAAGGAAAGGATATAAACATGTAGGAAGAGTTTAGAAAGTATACACAACAGTAAAATCAGTATGTCAAAGTCATGTCCACTGACGAGAGCCAGCAGCAAGACTCTAACCAGACTATTCATGTAGGTTCTCCTTGACTGTGGTTCTAGCTCACTCCCCTCCTCTGCACTCTTTTTGCCATAAATGTTTCTCCAGCTATCCCACCAATCCTTCCAATACTTATCTTTCAGTGAAGACTAACCAGAGATGCTCTACTGCTCACAACTAGGACTCCAAATGGATACACACCACCACCCCCATGCTCATGCCTTCTGGTCAGTCTACTGAGTTGTGACTGTAGCCTCCGTTCTTGTCCCCCCAACCCATTCAGCCTCTCTCTCCTCTAAGCAATCCAAGACATTCAAACCAGAGTCTTCTGGTTATGTTTAGACTCTGATCATATCATTCCATGGCTCAAGATCTTACTAACATCTCCTGTCAGTCCTCACCTCTACCACCACTGCATTCCCTACTCAATTAAGTGATATCCTCTCATCGCAGATGCGTTTTCTGACATTATACTCACTACCTCTCCATATTTCTATAGAATTTTAGGATTTTCTGTTCTCCAAGTCTGTCATGTCTTTATGGTGCTGTACCTTTACTCAACCTGTTCTCTTAGCTATAAGGCTACATCTGCACCTGTCAAAATACTATTTATCTGTTAACGCACACCTCAAATGCCACCTCCTCCATGATGTCTTTGAGGTCTTCCAAAAAATATACATATATGATCTCTCTTTCCTTTAAATTTTGTTACAGTATTTCATGTTTCTTCTCTTACATCAGCCATAGCATTCTGCATTATAGTTATCTGTGGACTTTTCTTCTCCTTTTATAATAAAAGTAGCTTGAATGCTTTTCTTTATAGATCCTCAAGCACTCAGTAGGTACCCCTAAGATACTATTAAATCAGATTGTTGAATGAATACAGTACTTTAGGCATCTCATCTAGCCCATGAGATGATACATGTTCTGTGTGAAGAAAAGAAGTTAAATCACCAGTGCCCCAGTCTGGCAAAGGTGCTTTCTATTAGGCTAAAAATTGGTAACTGGGGAGAAAAAATCAGCCAGAGATTTTGGACTTCCCAGATTCAATTACAACTAGGGCTCCTCACATGACTTGAATATCAACAAAGCAAACACAACCACACTACAGGGAAGTAGACATTATCAAAGGAGATGGTAGCCTCATCCCGGGAAACTAGACAGAGATATGGCCTAGTTATAATAGCAATGTACCATATATTCCCAGTGCTGTTAGACACAAAATGTAGGACGTGCTCTGTGCCTTTAAAAAATTCCTTTTCTTTCTGCCAGTTCAATTTTATATCTACCTTCAGTTGGTACATCATGTTTGTAGTTTTTCACTTTGTATTTCCTAGAAAAGACATGAGCCAGTTACTAAAGGGAATCATTACTTGTTTTCAAAGAATCTGAAATGAACATTTTGTTTAAATTTTTGACTTATTTATAACATGTCACATTGTAGTATCTTCCCTAGACAGTAAGATTTCAATGAATTTTAAATCATGGGCTTCATAAGAGATTTAAAATATTCAAAGCAATTAAATTTTTATGAATTAAATTCTTTCTAAGCAATATGTACAAATTCTAGTCATTATTAAAAACTAATTAGTTTAATTACCTAACAAAATATACCAGCTCTTTTGTTCTTTATCTTTCCTGGCCTTCACTAACAGTATTCCTTGGTTTTTATTATACTATATGACCTTGCTTCTTAACCTTTCATAAAGAATACAATAGGATAGAAAATAATCATGCCATCAAATTTACTGACATAAAATGATAATAATGTATTCATGCCTGACTAGAAAATACTGTCTGTGACCATCCTTCTAAAACAAAGGACATTAAAACTGCATTCCAGATACAGAATTTGAATCAGGCTTGAACTCATATTGCACCATATTCTATCAGCTTCCCAAAAGACACCCAAACCTTCACCATTCTGTTCTTTTAGGTCTGATCATATACCATATGCACTGCCTAAGTAGCAAAATTCAATGACAGGTCAGGCTTTTGACATCAGTAAAAAGCTTTTGGGAAGTTGTTTACATAGGCTATCACTACAAGGCCTTATTCTGACAAACCTATCAGGCAGATGTGCCTTCTACCTACACATCTCTCTCAAAACAGTCTGCTGTTCCTCAATGGCTCTCTCTGGCGTGCTGAATAATACTCTGAACTTATAATGCTTTCCATTCGAGATATGTGAATGCAAAGTCTTACTCTCTTACACTGTCATTGGTAAGATAGATGCATTGTTACAATATTTTTGCAAAATAGCTCTATAATGTATCAAGTCTTAATGTATCTATCAAAGCCTTGAAAAAACTCTTCACACATTTTCACCCAACAATGGCATTTCTAGAAATTTATCCTAAGAAAGACACATGCACAAGTATGTCTATTGTGGCACTATTCATGATAGCAAAGACTTGGAACCAACCCAAATGTCCATCAATGATAGACTGGATTAAGAAAATGTGGCACATATACACCATGGAATACTATGCAGCCATAAAAAGGATAATTTCATGTCCTTTGTAGGGACATGGATGAAGCTGGAAACCATCATTCTTAGCAAACTATTACAAGGACAGAAAACCAAACACCGCATGCTCTCACTCATAGGTGGGAATTGAACGAGAACACTTGGACACAGGTAGGAGAACATCACCCACTGGGGCCTGTTGTGGGGTGGGAGGATGGAGAATGGATAACATTAGGAGAAATGCCTAATGTAAATGACGAGTTAATGGGTGCAGCAAACCAACACGGCACATGTATACATATGTAACAAACTTGCACGTTGTGCACATGCACCCTAGAACTTAAAGTATAATTTAAAAAAAAAGAATAACTCAGCCTGATAGATGGCTTCAGACATGTGCATGGGAATGTTAGATGTAGTATTGTTTACAATATTAAAAAATTGGAAAACCACTAAAACATTCAGTAATAAAAGATAAGAAAATTCTGGTACATTTTTACATGATGAATACTGAACATCCATTAAACATTATGTTGTAGAAAAGTATTTTTAGCACAAAAAAATTACAATATACTGATAAATGAAAAAAAGCTGGTCATTCAAATACTATTTTTTAAAATATAAGAACAGGGTGGACTGACTAAAAGTCACCACACTTTGGATCTGGTTCCCTTCTTTATGCCACTTTTTCCAAGGTG
Organism: Homo sapiens; assembly: GCF_000001405.40. NCBI lineage: Eukaryota > Metazoa > Chordata > Mammalia > Primates > Hominidae > Homo > Homo sapiens. The sequence goes on along the minus strand of NC_000001.11, from coordinate 214,785,636 downwards.
GGCCATGACCTCTTTCAAGCAGATAGTGAAGCCATCCTCACAGGGTTAACTAGAATTCTGGACAGAAATCTAGTTATTAAGCATTAATCAGGCTGTGCTTTGACCCCCTTCTTTGGAACTGTAAGTCAGTTAGCACTAGATCCTGACCATTTGCATCCCAACTGTTGCTATAGATAGGATCTCTGACAGTAGAATCATAAGGCTTTTCTTTAAAGATCACCGGAGATATTTTTTGATGCAAATAATTGAGTAGAATCATTTAATTTGACATTAAATGCAATTACTTAAACAGCTAACGTGACATTTACTGCCCTGTAGTTTGAGTTTAATTTTTTTTTAATTTAAGTTCTAGGGTACATGTGTACAACGTGCAGGTTTGTTACATAGGTATACATGTGCCATGTTGGTTTGCTGCACCCATCAACTCATCACTTACATTAAGTATTTCTCCTAATGCTATCCCTCCCCCAGGCCCTCACCCCCCCAACAGGCCCCAGTGCATGATGTTCCCTGTCCTGTGTCCAAGTGTTCTGATTGTTCAATTCCCATGTATGAGTGAGAACATGTGGTGTTTGGTTTTCTGTCCTTGTAATAGTTTGCTGAGAATGATGGTTTCCAGCTTCATCCATGTCCCTGCAAAGGACATGAACTCATCCGTTTTTATGGCTGCACAGTATTCCATGGTGTATATGTGCCACATTTCCAGTCTATCAGTGATGGACATTTGGATTGGTTCCAAGTCTTTGCTATTGTGAATAGTGCCGCAATAAACATATGTGTGTATGTGTCTTTATAGTAGCATGATTCATAATCCTTTGGGTATATATCCAGTAATGGGATCACTGGGTCCAATGGCATTTCTGGTTCCAGATCCTTGTGGAATCACCACACTGTCTTCCACAATGGTTGAACTAATTTACACTCCCACTAACAGTGTAAAAGTGTTCCTATTTCTCCACATCCTCTCCAGCATCTGTTGTTTCCTGACTTTTTCAGTGATCGCCATTCTAACTGGCATGACATGGTATCTCATTGTGGACTTGATTTGCATTTCTCTGATGACCAGTGATGATGAGCATTTTTTCATGTGTCTGTTGGCTGCATAAATGTCTTCTTTTGAGAAGTGTCTGTTTATATCCTTTGCCCACTTTTTGATAGGGTTGTATTTTTCTTGTAAATCTGTTTAAGTTCTTTGTAGATTCTGGATATTTGTCCTTTGTCGCATGGGCAGAGTGCAAAAATTTTCTCCCATTCTGTAGGTTGCCTGTTCACTCTGATGGTAGTTTCTTTTGCTGTGCAGAAGCTCTTTGGTTTAATCTTTGGTTTAGATCCCATTTGTCTATTTTGGCCTTTGTTGCCATTGCTTTTGGTGTTTTACTCATGAAGTCCTTGCCCATGCCTATGTCCTGAATGGTATTGCCCAGGTTTTTTTCTAGGGTTTCTATGGTTTTAGGTCTAACATTTAAGTCCTTAATCCATCTTGAATCAATTTTTGTATAAACTGTAAGGAAGGGATCCAGTTTCAGCTTTCTACATATGGCTAGCCAGCTTTCCCAACACCATTTATAAAATAGGGAATCCTTTCCCCCTGCTTGTTTTTGTCAGGTTTGTGAAAGATCAGATAGTTACAGATGTGTGGTGTTATTTCTGAGGCCTCTGTTCTGTTCCATTGGTCTATATATCTGTTTTGGTACCAGATGCATGCTGTTTTGGTTACTGTAGCCTTGTAGCATAGTTTGAAGTCAGGTAGCATGATGCCTCCAGCTTTGTTCATTTTGCTTGGATTGTCTTGGCAATGTGGGCTCTTTTTTGGTTCCATATGAACTTTAAAATAGTTTTTTCCAGTTCTGTGAAGAAAGTCATTGGTAGCTTGTTAGGAATGGCATTGAATCTATGAATTACCTTGGGCAGTATGGCCCCTTGCACGATATTGATTCTTCCTATCCATGAGCATGGAATGTTCTTCCCTTTGTTTGTATCCTCTTTTATTTCGTTGAGCAGTGGTTTGTAGTTCTCCTTGAAGAGGTCCTTCACAGCTGTTGTAAGTTGTATTTCTAGGTATTTTATTCTCTTTGTAGCAATTGCAAATGGGAGTTCACTCAGGATTTGGCTCTCTGTTTGTCTGTTACTGGTGTATAGGAACACTTGTGATTTTTGCACATTGATTTTGTATCCTGACACTTTGCTGAAGTTATCAGCTTAAGGAGATTTTGGGCTCAGACAATGGGGTTTTCTAAATATACAATCATGTTATCTGCAAACAGGGACAATTTGACTTCCTCTTTTCCTAATTGAATACCCTTTATTTCTTTCTCTTGCCTGATTGCCCTGGCCAAAACTTCCAACACTATGTTGAACAGGAGTGGTGAGACAGGGCATCCTTGTCTTGTACCAGTTTTCAAAGGGAATGCTTCCAGTTTTTGCCAATTCAGTATGATATTGGCTGTGGGTTTGTCATAAATAGCTCTTATTATTTTGAGATACATTCCATCAATACCTAGTTTATTGAGAGTTTTTAGATGAAGGGCTGTTGAATTTTGTCAAAGGCCTTTTCTGCATCTATTGAGACAATCATGTGGTTTTTGTCTTTGGTTCTGTTTATATGATGGATTACGTTTATTGATTTGTGTATATTGAACCAGCCTTGCTTGCATCACAGGGATGAAGCCGAGTTGATCATGGTGGATAAGCTTTTTGATGTGCTGCTGGATTTAGTTTGCCAGTATTTTATTGAGGATTTTTGCATCAGTGTTCATCAGGGATATTGGTCTAAAATTGTCTCTTTTTGTTGTGTCTCTGCCAGGCTTTGGTATCAGGACAATGCTGGCCTCATAAAATGAGTTAGGGAGAATTCCCTCTATTTCTTTTGATTGGAATAGTTTCAGAAGGAATGATACCATCTCCTCTTTGTACCGCTGGTAGAATTTGGCTGTGAATCCGTCTGGTCCTGGACTTTTTTTGGTTGGTAGGCTATTAATTATTGCTTCAATTTCAGAGCCTGTTACTGGTCTATTCAGAGATTCAACTTCTTCCTGGTTTAGTCTTGGGAGGGTGTATGCGTCCATGAATTTATCCATTTCATCTAGATTTTCTAGTTTATTTGCATAGAGATGTTTATAGTATTCTATGATGGTAGTTTGTATTTCTGTGGGATAAGTGGTGATATCCCCTATATCATTTTTTATTGCATCTATTTGATTCTTCTCTCTTTTCTTCTTTATTAATCTTGCTAGCAGTCTATCAATTTTGTTGATCTTTTCAAAAAACCAGCTCCTGGATTCATTGATTTTTTTGAAGGGTTTTTTGTGTCTCTATCTCTCCTTCAGTTCTGCTCTGATCTTAGTTATTTCTTGCCTTCTGCTAGCTTTTGAATGTGTTTGCTCTTGCTTCTCTAGTTCTTTTAATTGTGATGTTAGGGTGTCGATTTTAGATCTTTCCTGCTTTCTCTTGTGGGCATTTAGTGCTATAAATTTCCCTCTACACACTGCTTTAAATGTGTCCCAGAGATTCTGGTATGTTGTGTCTTTGTTCTCATTGGTTTCAAAGACCATCTTTATTTCTGCCTTCATTTCATTATTTGCCCAGTAGTCACTCAGGAGCAGGTTGTTCAGTTTCCATGTAGTTGTGCGATTTTGAGTTAGTTTCTTAATCCTGTGTTCTAATTTGATTCCACTGTGGTCTGAGAGACAGTTTGTTGTGATTTCTGTTCTTTTATATTTGCTGAGGAGTGCTTAACTTCCAACTATATGGTCAATTTTAGAATAAGTGCGATGTGGTGCTGAGAAGAATGTATATTCTGTTGATTTGGGGTGGAGAGTTCTGTAGATGTCTATTAGGTCTGCTTGGTACAGAGCTGAGTTCAAGTCCTGGTTATCACTGGAGATATTTTTCGGATCCCAAATTCCAGTGCAACAGCTGGCACAACCAGTTTGAAGACCCCCACAGAAGTACAGAATTAGCATGAAAAATCAGTTTCTTCATCAACCAGTCACATGACTTCGCAATGCACTCTTCAACCAATCAACCATCTCTACTCTTCGACCCACTCCAAAACCCGTAGAAACTCCAGCCTCAAATTCTACAGGAAGCTGGATTTGAGGTTCTCTCCCATGTCATCCTTTGGCAGCCATATGATTAAACCTCTTTCTCTGCTGCAACCCAGTGTCTCGGCATATTGACTTGTTGTGAGCATTCAGCGACTGAGCTATTACGGTTGCAATAGGAAAAATTTCAGCTTCAGGGTGCCCCAGACTAGAGATCATCTTCTCCATTTTGGTGTTTTTCTTTGGGTTCAAGAGTCTGCCATCTGCCAGACCTACCTCCACAGCCACCAGGCCCAGCAAGAACCCACCCCTGGAAAATGTTATGCAGTACTTAGACCCTATATTTGTCCCCCAAGGAGAGAGATGGAAATGAGTCACTGTCCAGTTTCTGGTTCAGAGGGCCACTCAACCCCGACTGCATGGCCACTTCATCCCCTCTAGACTAGACACCTTTGTGGGAAAAGGGCTTGCATCCTAGCCAGAAACGCCCACCCCTCCCCACATCTGTAACTGAAGAAGTTACAGATGAAGTAATACCAATAAGGTGTGTGATTTTTTTATTAAAAAAGAACTCTTCCAAACTAGCAATAATACAAATATTAATTTTGATCACCCATGTGAGGGAGAAGACTGAATTATTCTTTTCATTCTCTTTCTAGTCTCCGTAGAAAATGCTATTATAAAATAATTGCCTTTCAAAGAGGTCACCAATGAGTATTCAATCCAAAATGTAGGGGTGGGAGAGGAGTGTCAAGCAATAAAAGAGTTAACATGCCAGGCGCGGTGGTTCACGCCTGTAATCCCAGGACTTTGGGAGGCTGAGGCAGGCAGATCATGAGTTCAAGAGATCAAGACCATCCTGGCCAACATGGTGAAACCCCATCTCCACTAAAAATACAAAAATTAGCTGGGCGTGGTGGCATGCACCTGTAGTCCCAGCTACGGGGGAAGCTGAAGCAGGAGACTCGCTTGAACCCGGGAGTTGGAGGTTGCAGTGAGCCGAGATCGCGCCACTGCACTCCAACCTGGTGATACAGTGAGACTCCGTCTCAAAAAAAAAAAAAAAAAAACAAAAACAAAAACAATTAATGCAATAATTGATTTTTCTGGATTGTATGGTATCTGGAGTATTTTTAACTTTATAAAATTTATAATTTTTAAGATTTTCTCTCTCATTCTATATAAATATTCATGTTCAAATTCAATTTTGCATTTATAATTTTATACTATTTTTCTTAAAGAAAGTCCCCCAAAATGTAAAAGTTCAGGCTTCAAAAGCATTCTGGATTCATTCTCACTCTAGAAAATGTACTGTAAGGGCCAAAATACCCAAGATATTAGTGAAGAGACCAAGAAGATTATGGGTGATTCTTTTGCTTTGTTTGCCTTTCTGCTTTTCTAGATGCTTCAAGTTTTCTGCATCAAGCATGTTCTACATTATAATTAGGAAAAAATAACTATAATAAAAATGTTTAGAGAATTGCAAAGTTCTTTAACAACCATACATTTTAGGTCTTAACAAACCCCCTAAGCCGAATGAAAAAGAGATAGAAAGAAGGAATCACCACTGCATACACTCTCTAGCCTGCTACAAAGAAGAGTGTTTACTTAGAGTAACTACTAAGTAACTGAGTTAAAAAATCTGAAATAAGACTCTTTTAAAATGTAGTCTTTTATATTTAATAGAGAGAAATGTCTTGCATGACATCTTTTAATTTTGTAAATTTATTAAATCAGCTAAATTAGGCTGGGGCAGCGGCTCACATCTATAATCCCAGCACTTTAGGAGCCCAAGGTGAAAGGATCACTTGAGGTCAAGAATTAGAGGCCAGTCAGGGTCTGGGCAACAATAGCGAAACCCTGTTTCTACCAAAAAAAAAAAAAAAAATTAAATAGGCTGGGAGCAGTGGCTCATGCCTGTAATCCCAGCACTTTTGGAGGCCAAGGTGGGCGAATCATCTGAGGTCAGGAGTTCGAGACCAGCCTGGCCAACATGGTGAAACCCTATCTTTACTGAAACTACAAAAGTTAGCCAGGCATGGTTGCACGTGCCTGTGATCCCAGCTACTCAGGAGGCTGAGACAGGAGAATCGCTTGAACCCAGGAGGCAGAGGTTCCAGTGAGCCGAGATCATGCCACTGCGCTCCAGCCTGAGTGATGGAGTGAGAGTCTGTCTCAAATATATACATAAATAAGCCAGGCGTGGTGGCACATGCCTTTAGCCCCAGCTACTAAGGAGCCTGAGGTGGGAGGATCTTGAGCCCGAGAGGTTGAGGCTAGTGAGCTATGGTCATGCCACTGCATTTCCGCCTGAGTGACAGAGCAGGGACCCTGTCTCTGTTTTTTAAAATAATAAATAAATTAGCTAAATTAGCCTATGAATGAAACTCCCCACAGATTAATTAAAAGCTATTCTGGAAAAATATTAAACTGCAACCAATGCCCAAGAAATTATTAAGCAACTCTGACAGACACCAGCCATCCACTAGGTGTGAAGAAATACAAAATAATTAAACTGAGTTATACAGCTTACTCTCTAGAGGATTATAATATAATTGAGGAAATAATTTATGTGAAAAATAAGTTATACATTAAGGAAATAAGTCATGAACAAACTAATATCCATTACTTCTTTTAGAAGTACACAACAGTACGTGTGTATCCACTACTGCTTGTATAAAAGTACATAACAGAGTCATGTAGAGAACAAGATAGCATATATTAAGATTCTGATTGGGTACTGCAGGCAAACTTGGAAGGATTTGGAGAAGGAAATTATCAAAACACATAGATATCCTAAGCAAGGCCTCAGAGGATGTGGGCAAAACTGGAAAAGGCCTTCCACATTAGGTAAACATAAGGAGGCAGAGTGTAGTGTGGCTAAGGAGCAGAAAGGAGACCAACCTGATTGAACCAAACAGCATTTGCCTAGCAGTAGAGGTTCATATTGACTTTTTTGATGGTGATGACTGCGTAGTGATGTCTGATAAAAAATTCATCTCTGCCATTGAATTCAAAACTGGGAAAGGCAATTACGTAAACATATTTTAATTGAGGGGACACATTTAATTAGAAAAACAAAAATGTATATTATTCATAATTATTCACTCAAATTCAGTTCAGTTAACCAAGATTTGTTTATATAACTAAGCACGGTTCTTTCTTATTCAACCTGAAAACATGGACATACATTTAAATTTTAAAATTTTTTATTAATTAGCAGATGTCTACCATTGAACTAGAATAATTTCTGAGTCCTTATATAAATACAGACATATTAAGAAATCAAGTTTATAATGATCCATTTAATAGACACCTAATGTACTCTAGTCAGTTTTCGTTTTTCTCGATAGTGAAAGGAAATTATTATTCACATGACCATCAGGAACTATATTAAATCTGTTTCAAGACATTATGACAGTTAATTCATTTCCTGGTAGAGAGAGAACATTTGCTCTTCTGGTTAAGAGTTGCAGGAGATAATATGATAATTCTAGAGAATTTCAACAAAGAAGGCATTACTGGTTCAGAAACCAGATTTTTTTTTCTGTTTTGAGTCTTCCTTCTGGTTCATGTAGGTAGATACAGACTTTAACCCACTTAACTATTTGTTCATATCAAATATTATGGGACTCATATAGGGTTTTTAATGCCCACTAGATGAGAATTTCAGATTGAAGATGTCAGCTCTTCTGTCTAGAAATGTGTTGTGTGTGTGGGCTCCACATTTACCCAGGTGTCACCTGCAGGCTGGCTGAGCCCTTATGGAATAAGTGGGTCAGAACTGGGAATCCTCATTGTTCATAGCCATCATTGCCATCATTGCCACATCAGCAGTGGAATGAGCCGATTTGATTCTCTGTTATTTAACTGAAATGACAAGTAAACCTGAATTATTTTTAGGTAATGCAACTAGCCCTATATGTTAACCGTTGCTCTGTTTCTTTTCCCTCTAGGCTCCGGTTATCATCTGTGAAATGGGGATAATTAAACAGCTACCTGAAAATAAATAAATAAATAAATAAATAAATAAATAAATAAATAAAGTCTGCCAGAATGGAGTATAAGACATAAGAAAATAAAAAAATATGTCTTGAAAATAGAAATCAGAGTATGAAAATGAACAACAGCATCCTGTTAGATTTTTTTTGTTCCTAAATAAAGGCAGACCCCTTTTTAGATCAAACAGCTCAATAATCACAGCACTGGCATATTGAGAGTTTAGAACCTCTTATGTTAAGTTTTTTACAAACAGATCTATAAACATCAGATTGCATGACCCGAAACTCCCCAAAACATATTGGCCTACAGGATACAAAAAAGGCCCAGTGACAGTGACAAACTCCACCTCCAAGTTTACTGGAAACCTAGCACCAGATCTAGATCTTCTTGATCTGGGAGTTTCTTGGGGCATCTCTAAAGACACTCAAATGACCATGACTGATACCCCTTCCCTTGCTGCTCCCATTCTCAAGAGGTTGCCGGAAACCATGATAATGGCCCCTGCCTCAGTCCTCTTCCATTCCCACCATCACTGGGCAAAGCTGGAGGAAACCCCCTAATGTTGCATCCTATTGCCCGCTCCACATAGTCACTCATTTTCTAACGAAATACTTAATGGGGCATATTTCATATTATTTCATTTTATTTAAGTTTTAACTTCTATTAAAAGAAAAACTTTAGGCAGTACATTTAACAGGGCTTATTTGAGCAAATAACAAATTAACTGGGCAGCGCTGAAAGCAGGAAGATATTCAGAGAGCTTTGCTCCAGCGGCATGAGCAGTGAGCTTTTATGAACTGGACACGGAAGCAAAGGGATTACTTGATTGGCTACAGCTAGGTGTTTGTCTTATACGGGTATGATTTGATAAAGGCCTCTAGTTATACAACCAACCTGCTAATTGGTTGTTTGTGATTGGCTAAAGCTTGATTCAAAATTAATCAACTGTAAGGAATGCCTCTAAGTGAAGTTTTGGGTTGCTTGGGTGAAAGTTCCAGGTACAGAAGCAATCGTATGCTAATGGCCTCCTGCTGATTTTGCTTTAACACTTTTTTTTCTTTTTCTTTTTTTTATTATTACTATACTTTAAATTTTAGGGTACATGTGCACAACATGCAGGTTTGTTACATACGTATACATGTGCCATGTTGGTGTGCTGCACCTATTAACTCGTCATTTAGCATTAGGTATATCTCCTAATGCTATCCCTCCCCACTCCCCCTACCCCACAACAGTCCCCAGTGTGTAATGTTCCCCTTCCTGTGTCCATGTGTTCTCACTGTTCAATTCCCACCTATGAGTGAAAACATGCGGTGTTTGGCTTTTTGTCCTTGCGATAGATTGCTGAGAATGATGGTGTCCAGCTTCGTCCATGTCCTTACAAAGGACATGAACTCATCCTTTTTTATGGCTGCATAGTATTCCATGGTTTATATGTGCCACATTTTCTTAATCCACTTTATCATTGTTGGACATTTGGGTTGGTTCCAAGTCTTTGCTATTGTGAATAGTGCCACAATAAACATACATGTGTCTTTATAGCAGCATGATTTATAATCCTTTGGGTATATACCCAGTAATGGGATGGCTGGGTCAAATGGTATTTCTAGTTCTAGATCCCTGAGGAATTGCCACACCGAGTTCCACAATGGTTGAACTAGTTTACAGTCCCACCAACAGTGTAAAAGTGTTCCTATTTCTCCACATCCTCTCCAGCACCTGTTGTTTCCTGACTTTTTAATGATCACCATTCTAACTGGTGTGAGATGGTATCTCATTGTGGTTTTGATTTGCATTTCTCTGATGGCCAGTGATGATAAGCATTTTTTCATGTGTTTTTTGGCTGCATAAATATCTTCTTTTGAGAAGTAACACTTTTTTTTTTCTTTTTCAAGACAGGGTCTTGCTATGTCACCCAGGCTGCAGTGCAGTGGCCTGATCTTGGCTCACTGCAACCTCCACCTTCTGGGCTCAAGTGACCTTCCCACCTCAGCTTCCTGAGAAGCTGGGACTACAGGCACACGCCACTACACCCAGCTAATTTTTGTGTTTTCTGTAGAGATGGGGTTTCACCACATTGCCCAGACTAGTCTCAAACTCCTAGCTTCAAGCAATCTTCCCACCTTGACCTCCCAAAGTTCTGGCATTAGAGACCTGAGCCACCACACCTGGCCAAAACTTCATGTTAACAGCTCCGTCCTTTAGGGCTTTGGCAAAGTCCCTTGGGAGACAGAGTCAGATGCTAATCTGTATTACACCATTAACCAGGCATTTTGGGCTGGTTTGCTGGGGTTCAAAGGTGATAAATACTGACAGATATTACTTATGTGCCTCATCCTCAATTCTGTACCTTACCTTACCCTGGTATTTATTTGCAACCACTAAAAGGGGGGAAGGGGTGTTTTTACTTTACAGACAAGGGTTGAGGGTTATGGAAAGGATTAAAAAGGTGGGCAGAGAGGACACAGTGGAGGATCTCATGTGTGTTCCTAATAATTCTCTTAGACTCTATTGGAGCACTTAGCACAGGCTTGCTCACCTACAAGGTGATAATAAGGAACCCAGGCTCTGAGGGTCACTGCCTGGGTGACATCCTGGCTCTTCTGTTTTTTTCATCTGTAAAAGGGGTTAAGATAGTTAGATAGTTATTGTAAATTCAGACATATGGTAAGCCCCCAAGTAATGTTCCCAATGGTAGAAAAAGTAGGCCTTGAGAAGAAAATTCCCTTGGTTTTGACTATTTTATAAGTAAATATGAAAATGTTTTGAAATAGCTGGTAGAACCTTCTATGATAGAGAACATTACCTTTCTATGGTACATATGTAATTGAAAAATGTGTGTTGATAGTGTCACAGAAGATCCTCCCAAGCCCTGTTTCCTAAAAGAGAAAATTTAATGAGTTCTGCCTAAGGAGGAAAAGATTTATTCCGAAGTTGAGGATTTTTTTTTTCTTAAAACAAGAAAATGAAAGACAAAAATATAAAGGAAAAGGGGATATTACTATTGGGATCACAGTTGCTACTATATCAGATTAGCATATTGACAGTCCAACCAAAACATTTTGGGGATAGCTCAACTTTTCAACATCAGCTCTTGGAAATCATTAAAAAGTAAACTACAATAATAAAGTATGTTTACTTGGGGAAATATCTACCAAGCATTATCTAAAGCTTCCAACAGGTATTCACAGCCATGACACAATGTGAGAATAGAAGCTGTTTCTCTGATTCATGAAAGAATCTAAAAGCTTTGAAAATGGTACCTAATGTAAATGACAAGTTAATGGGTGCAGCACACCAACATGGCACATGTATACATAAGTAACAAACCTGCACGTTGTGCACATGTACCCTAGAACTTAAAACTTAAAGTATAATAAAAAAAAAAGAAAGAAAATGGTAACCAGTCCTCAAGATGCAGCATAGCATGATCTCTAATGAATAGGAGTCTTACCATTTTCTGACTCCTACAAAGAGTCACAAATAAAATACCTTGAGTATGCAGTGAAGGACAATATATTTTGATTTATTTATACTTAGTTCCACTTGAAGGTTTTTCCTGCTGCTATATTTAAATTTCTGAAATTTCTCCTCTAAGAGGAATGTGTTTAGAATGAAAACAACCTTTCAGTTTCTCTCCTGTGTACAAACTAAAACTTTTACACTTAGTGGGAGGTGTGGTTTGAGCCTTGAGGTTTGTAGGATGATTAAGGCAAGTTCAAAAACCATGGCTTTATTTGCCTTATTCTCTAAGCATCAGGTAGGTTTGTCATTCATTATTTCAGTATCTATCATTCTCATGAAGTACTAATTTGAGAAATCTCTTTCTATTACACTTATACATAAATCTATTCTAACCCAGTCTTCTATATTCTAAAGAACATCTTGTTCACTGGAATTGGTTACTTTTACAGTACTTTGGCACAAGACTAGAAACTAGACATTCTAGATTTTCTCAAGAATGGTCTGAGGATCTGAGGAACACATTATCAATCCTATAGGACAGAAGAAAAAAAAGAATTTGGTGGTCAGAATGCCAAATGTTGCAATTATACCATAATCATGCCATACTAAAAGATATGAGAAGTACTACTTACAGAACACAACTTTTTCATTGAGCTCTTCCATGTTTTTTCTTTACTACAAAATCTTTTTTACATGCAACAGCCATAAACATCCTAAACATTGCTTGTATTTGGCCTATTGGGAAATTCTAGATTAGAGAGCATGGAGGCAGAAGGCTGTATGGAAGGCCTTGCAGAATCCTCCTAGTGTTTGGCCTAGGATGCTTTGACTGATGGTGTTCTAGGACTTCTCTAGAAGAAGCACACTTTTATGTTACTCTAAGCGAATTTTCTAGATCATAAAATAATCCTCAGCAACAGTGAATTTGTATTCTGTATACCTTTCAACCAAAACATCTATCAAGCTCATCCTAACTGCTGAGTGTTTACAACAATCCTGTGTAGGTGGTATTGTTATTATTTCATTTTACACATGAGGAAACTGAGTTCATAGAGGTTAATTATCTTGTCCAGGATCATATTGCTTTTAAGGAGCAGAACCACGTTCTGTCAAAAGCTAATGCATTGTCTAATAGTTTAGAATACAACATTAATATTAATATTTTGAGCTTCTGTTATGGGTTTATCTCCTGTGTTCAGCCCTAAGAATTTAATATTCAGCAAAAATAAACATGATTCTTACCATCATGCAGCATAGAGGTCAAAGGGTATGTATTAGGCCATTCTCACATTTCTATAAAGAAACGCTTGAGACTGGGTAGTTTATTTTAAAAAAATAAAATAAAAAGAGGTTTAATTGGCTCATGGTTCTGCAGGCTGTACAAAGAGCATAGTGGTTTCTGCTTCTGAGGAGACTTCAGGAAACTTACAATCATGGTGGATGGTGAAGGAGAAGCAGGTGCATCTTACATGGCTGGAGCAGAAGGAAGAGCGAGGCAGGGAAAGGTGCTACACACTTTTAAACAACCAGTTCTCATGATAACTCACTCACTATCATGAGAACAGCACGGAGAGGATGGTGTAATCCATTCATATGAGAACTTTGCACCTATAATCCAATCACCTCCTGCCAGGCCCCACCTTCAGCATTAAGGATTACAACTGAACATGAGGTTTGTGTGGAGATGTAGATCCAAACTATATCAGGGTGAGACCAACCTGAGTCAAATAATCTTGAAATGAGCAAGGCACTGGGTTTGTGATTCAAGGAATTACAGAAACTATGTATTCCTCAAAGACATTACCATCTGGTGGAATAAATGTTTTAAATGAGACAGTAAATGATGTGGTTTAGGTGTTTGTCCCCTCCAAATCTCATGTTAAAATGCAATTCACAGTGGAGGTGGGGCCTGGTGGGAGATAATTGGATCGTGAGGGCAAATCCTCTTGAAAGGTTTAGCACCATCCGCTTTATGATAAGTGAGTTCTTACTCAGTTCACACAAGATCTGGTTATTTAAAAGTCTGGGATCTCCCCCCACATCACTCTCTTGCTCCTGCTTTCACCATGTGATGTGTCTGCTCCCCCTTCACCTTCCACCGCAATTATAAGCTTCCTGAGGCCTAACCAGAAGCAGATGTTGACACCATGCTTCCTGTACACTCTGCATCCTGCAGGCCAATTGAACCTCTTTTCTTTATAAATTACCCAGTGTCAGGCATTCCTTTATAGTAACACAAATGGACTAATACCATAAATAACAATACACAGTGTAAATAATAATATAAATTAAAACACAAGTAGTATCAAGAGGGGGATGTATGACTGTCAGAATCAAAATGGACTATATGAATAGAGCCTCCAATAGTTATATAAACTAAAAGAATGTAAAGGCATTCATTCATTCATCAATAAATATATACTGAGCAACTACTACATGCCAGGCAGTATGCTGCATTTTGAATAAATTGTAGAGGACTTTTTGAAATCAAGCCCAAGAGTTTGGACAGGAGACAAGGTCTCATATCCTGGTTCTGCCATGTAGAAGTTGCAGGAGAATGGGCAAAGGGCTCTCTAAACTTCACTTTTTTCATCCCTGAAATGGAAACAGCAGGAACATCTACCTCATTGGGGGTTTTGTGATACCTAAGCCATGGCTTAACATGGAAATTAGGGCATAGTATATGCTCAATAAATAGCAGTGATTAGCAGTCCACAGAAGTGAAAGGTCATAGGAATTTTCTGAGAATACACAAGACATAACCAGTGAGTGACTTGAGAAGATTACTGCAAAGCACCACAGTGACTTTCTATGTTGTTATGCCAAAGAAAATGCCATGGATAGTCTTCAATGAAGATTCCAAGCTACTTCTGATTTGTTTAAAATTATTACTGTTCATTGACAATGCATCTGATCACCCAAGAGCTTGATGAAGATGTATAGGAGATGAATGTCACTTTCATGCCTCTTAATGCAGCATTCATTCTACAGCCCATGAATCAAGGAGTCATTTTGATTTTTGAGTTTTATTATTTAAGAAATAAATTTCATAGGGCTTTAGCCGCCATACATAGTAATTCCTCTGATAGATCTGGGCAGTTGAAAACCATCTGAATAGGAGTCACCATTCAACATGCATTAAGAATGTGATTCATGGGAAAAGGTAACATATGAAGATTAACAGGAGTTTGGAAGAAGTTGATTCCAACCCTCATGCATGACTTTGAGGGGTTCAGGACTTCAGTGGAGGAAGTACAGATGTGACAGAAATAGCAAGAGAACTACAATGAGAACATATGGACACAGGGAGGGAAATATCACACACTGGGGCCTGTTGGGGATGGGGGGCTGGGAAAGGGATAGCATTAGGAGAAATATCTAACGTAAAAAAAAAAAGAAAGAAAGGCTTCCTTTACTCTGAGGTTTTTGTCTTTCTAGATTCAGTTTAAAATCTTGCTGGGAGGTCCTATCTTTGAGGCTTCTGATTTTATATATGTATATGTATATGTGTATATATATGTATATATATTTCTGAGTCATTTGAGAGTAAGTTGCATACATTATGCTCCTTTGCCTCTCTATCCTTAAATAATCCCGTGTGTATTTATTAAAAATAAAAAATGTTATCCAGGCCTTTTGCCGTCATGATTACCCGCATCTGAACCTGACTCTGTAGGTCAATATTTATCTTAAGTGTCTAACCCAGAAATGTACACATTATTATTAAAGATATAACCTAAGCAAAATGATCAAAATTAAGACATTTTCCTGGATGAAATATTTATCTAAGAAACAACTAGCCTTGATAAAAGTTATATATAGATTTAGTCAAATTTAGTCAAATCATATCTGGAATAATGTTTTCATTTCTGAATTAGACATACAAGAGCCACACACAACTTTTTCATTTCTTAGTGCATATAAAATTTAAGTTTACACTATATATTATAGTCTATGAAGTTTGTAGTAGTATTATGTCTAAAAAATGTATGTACTTTAATTAAAATATTTTACTGCTAAAATATACTAATGATCATCTGAGCCTTCAGGGAGTCATTTTTTTTTTTGCTGGTGTAGGGTCTTGCCTTTATGTTGATGGCTGCTGACTGATCAGGGTGGTGGTTGTTGAAACCTAGGGTGGCTGTGGCCATTTCCCAAAATAAGGCAATAATGGAATTGTTTTCTCTTCATGTGTTACTTTGCTGAGAATGATGGTTTGCAGTTTCATCCATGTCCCTGCAAAGGACATGAACTCATCCTTTTTTATGGCTGCATAGTATTCCATGGTGCATATGTGCCACATTTTTTTTATCTAGTCTGCAAGGCAAAAGAAACTATCAGCAGAGTGAACAGGCAACCTACAGATTGAGAGAAAAATTTTGCAATCTATCCATCTAATAAAGGGCTAATATCCAGAATCTACAAAGAACTTAAACAAATTTATAAGAAAAAGACAAACAACCCCATCAAAAAATGGGTGAAGGATATGAACAGACACTTCTCAAAAGAAGACATTTATTCAGTCAACATACTTAAGAAAAAATGCTTATCATCACTTGTCATTAGAGAAATGCAAATCAAAATCACAATGAGAAACCATCTCATGCCAGTGAGAATGGCGATCATTAAAAAGTCAGGAAACAACAGATGCTGGAGAGGATGTGAAGAAATAAGAACGCTTTTACACTGTTGGTGGGAGTGTAAATTAGTTCAACCATTGTGGAAAACAGTGGCGATTCCTCCAGGGTCTAGAACTAGAAATACCAAAGCCCACTTTCTACTCGCCTCAGCCTGCACCATTCTGATCACAGTGAGGAAGAATAAACCTCTCAAGCTCTCTGGGGTGTCTATCAGATTTATTTTTATCTTGCCAGTCCTCACTCCATGACCACACTGTTGGACTGATGACCAGAAACAGGAGGGAATGGAGTAGGGGAGACAAGAAATCAAACACAGTAGTCTCACTCTAGCCTTTACCCAACTCCCCTTCTATTTCTCCTGTCTCCCTTCTCCCCCTCCAACTCTCCCCTTGTTCCCTCCCAGGGCAGGCACTTTCCATATTTTATATTCTGATTTTTCGTTCTCTGCATGGTTTGTAGTAAAACTCTTTGATCAAACTGCTAAACTCCTCTTGGCATGTAAGAGGAAAGTTGTTGAATTTTGAAAATTCTTTTCTGCCTTGACAAAGCCTGGCTTTTATGACTGTCTTACCATGGACTTCAAGATCCTGTATTGAAAGTTGAAAGTATCTGTGCCTCTCTGCTAAAAGAACTATAGGGAAGTTTAAACTTTCTCTCTGAAGTTTCAATCATTGAATCTGCGGAAATAAACTGACCAAAGACAGATTAACAGGAGAAACGGCATACAAATATATTAATATCCAAGCTTGTAGGATGAAGAACAGACAATAGCCTGGGCTAAAGTTCCTGAGGGCTCCAAGGGAAGTGATGGCAAGTTATAGGCAGGTGAGGGGCAGAACTGCACAGTGAACAGAGGTTGTTTTATTTTGCAGATAAAGTCTCTCAGGTAATAGCTCCCAGAAGAATAGATGAAAAGTCTGTCTAGGCAGGCAGGGTGACCTTTAGTTTCTTCTTCAGTGGTTAAGCTTCCCTAGTTAGTGAAATTTCAGACAGGGGATTGAAGACAATTGTGTTTCTTGTGGAAGAACGTCCCCCAGTCAGATAAAGGAATTTCAGAAAGAGTTCCTCCCCTCTCTCTATGGGGAGATACAAGGTAAGATCAGAGAGACCTTGATTCTGAGGCAGCTTCTAAGTCCTTCCAATTTCCTTTAATTCTAAGTGCTCAGCATGACAAAGTGACATACTTTAGGGTACCATTTTCTGAGCCTCGACAGAACCTTCATTTTCTTGTTGGCAAATAATGTGTTTGGCTGAATCTTGGGCAAATCACACTTAAGTATATGTGAAAAAGAACAGTGTATTAATATGTTTTATATTATTCCTTTTACTTTGGAAAATGATTAAAGAAAATAATACACAAAAATGGATGATAATAGTAATTATCACTGAATGAGGAGAGATTATTGATGAGTGTGTTTACTTTTTATTCTTTTCTGAGTTTTCAGAATATAATACAATGAGCATGTACAACTTCCAAAATCAAAGGGAAAAAGGAAGGAAAGTGACCATCTAGCTACATTCATGTTTATTTTTAACAGACTAAATGATCCTGTCAGAGGAAATGGATCTGTTTGAACATACCAACACCTATGTTCATGGGTATGTTTGAATATACCAACACCTACTATCTTCTACTTGTCATATCTAATCTCCCTCAGTATACCATGTCAAGGTTTTATCTGGAATTGTCACTAATTACAGGTTTCTAAATTATCTTTAAAGCTAAATATTTCCCTAGACTGCAATTTCTGTAACAATATGCTCTAAGAGAAAAAGAAACTAGCTCACTCCTACTCCCACACTCAACAGGGCCTCAGCTCCTTTGGGAATCATCCTTCTCAAAGTTCTGGGTATAATTAAGGTCAAATCTCTAACCATACAGCATTGTTGTGTCTAAATTGGTGTTAAATACTATCATCCCATAGGGAAGGAAGGAAGGAAAGAAGGAAGAGAAGAAGGAAGGGAAGAAGCAAGGAAGGAAGGAAGGAAGGAAGGAGAAAGGAAAAAAGGAAGAAAGAAAGAAAGAAAAAGAAAGAAAGAAAGGGAAAGAGAGAAAAGAAAGAAAGAAAGAAAAGAAAAGAAAGAAAGGGAAAGAGAAGAAAGAAAGAAAGAGAGAAAGTAGGAAGGAGGGAAGGGGAAGGTATTGAAACAAAGGGACTAAAACTTGCTCTTAAGGAATAAATTGGTTATTAAAAATGTGTAAAACAGTGTGAATTCCTTGAACCTCCAACAGGCTGCTGAGCCTGTCTCATGTTCCAGACAAAGCTATAACCAGCCTACAAGGACAACTGGGTAAAATTTTTTCTTGAATTGAACATATATCATTCTATCAAGTAGGAGAAATAAAGGGAAAAAGAACTCTTTGGCTTTCTTTTTATGACTTGACTTCTATACCACATTTTTTACAGCTTTTTAACTGTAAACCCCTGTAAAATCATTTACTTGCTTTTTTTTTCCTCTTCCTCGTCTTAATTTTCTATAACATTAAGTTTCCTCACTTTCTCCTCAATAACTGAAATCCTAAAATGAAGATTGGAAAGAGTGTTATGGCTAGAAATAACAGAAAATGATCTTCTTAAATTTCATTCTGAACACCAATCCCCAAGCTCCTCAATTCATGGGTTCCAGGGACTAAGGAATTTAACCAAAGGAAAACCTTGGTTGAATACAGAGACCCAGTGCAAATCTTTACTGGAAAATTTAAAACTGAACCCTGAACTCATAGAAGAAAACATAAGAACAAATATTTATTATCTTGTATTTGTCAATGGAATCTTAGATATGACACAAAAGCATTAGCAATGAAAGAAAAATAAGATAAACTGGGCTTCATCAAAAGTAAAAAGCATTCGGGCATCAAGGCACATTATAGATAAAGTGAGAAGACAACCTACAGAATAAGAGTAAATATATTTTCTCTTATTATCTTCTCATATATATGTATATGATAAGGATCTAGTATCCAGAGCGTAAAGAACTGTTACAATTCAACCAAAAGTCAAGCAACCCAATTTAAAAATGGGCAAAAGACATGAGTAGACATTTCTCCAAAGAACATATACCAATAAATGGCTAATAAACACATTAAAAGCTACTCCACATCATTAGTCATTAGGGAAATGCAAATTCCACTTCACACCTACAAGGATGAATATAATCAGAAAATAACAGGGATTGTTGAAGATATGGAGAAACTAGAATCTTTGTACATCGCTGGTGGGAACATAAAATAGTCCAGACACTGTGAATAGCAGTGTTGTGGTTCCCCAAAAAGGTAAACATAGAATTAATATATGATCCAGCAATTCTACTCCTAGGTATATACCCAAAAGTATTAAAACAGTTATTTGTACACCAATGTTCATAGCAGGGTTATTCACAAAAGCTGGAAATATTCCAAATGTCTATCAGTTGACAGATGAATAAACAAATTGTAGTATATACTTACAATGAAATATTATTCAGCCATAAAAAAGAATAGTCATCATACATGCTGCAACATGAATAAACCCTCAAAAACATTAAGTGAAAAAGCCAGAAGCAAAAGGCCACATAGAGTATCATTTCATTTATATGAAATATAGGTAAATCCATAGAGACAGAAGCAGATTGGTTCTTCAGGAACTGTGAAAAGGGGAGAAATGGGAAGTGACTTCTTAATAAGAATGAAGTTCTTTGGGGAGGGGGTGAAAAAAATGTTTTGAAACTAGATCAACTTCAGAGGAAAGGCACCAAGAGTGGACGGAGGGACAGTGCAGAAGCTGGTCTGAAGCAGGTGGAAGCTAGGAAGCCTGCACAGGGCTACTGAACACTGGGACTCATTCCTGGCACACAATGACTCCAGGGGAACAGGTGAGTTGAACTGGCAAGGAGTAACCTGTTCTCACCACAGCCCTCTGGAAACCCAGCAGGAGGAGAACTTTTGCCCATTACCAACACTTGAGTTGGCAGGGAAAGCTGCTTAGAGAAGTAGGGGAAACAAGCCAGCTGATGTGGGGCCCAGAGGGTTTGTTGCGGGAGCATTTGTAGCAGAGCATGGCCAGGCACAGCCATCCTTCAAGGCTCAGCTTGCTCCCATAGGAAACATTAGCCTTAGAGGAACTGTCGGACCTGGACTCTGCAAGGCAGTCTTGCCTATCAGACTGAGTCAGTCCAACCTGAGCACCCCTTGGCCTGCTGGCCTCTTCCAGGTCCACAACCTGGCTGTACCTGCTTGCAGAGCAGCCTTGGGTGCTGTGGGGATCTACATCATAGCTTCTGCACTGGCAGACTGTGCCTGACTGGTGGAGAGCTCCAGTGGGGCGGCCCCCATGGCCACACACCAGCCCACCTGCTCCCTCCCTACACTGCAGCTTCCCCCAGGCCCACAGAAATCCCCCACATTACTTTGTTGGCACATATGTGCATGGGTGGGTTTTGCCTTCCTTGCCCCTCCAGTACTGTCTGTGCATGCATCACCCTGTCCTACCACTGCTGTGATGGGAGTGCAATCCACCTCTCCTCCCCCTACCAACTACCATTGCAGTTAGAGCCTTGGTGGGCACACAGCTAGACAGCCTCACCCCTGCCAGCACCCTACCCTTGCACCAACACAGCCATGGGAATGAAACTAGGCACAGAGAAGAGTGGACCCTTCCCTGCCCAGAGCAACCACCCCTGCCTGTGGCTCACAGAGAACACACACAAACCTGTGCCTGCCAGAGCCCCGCCCCTGTGCCAACACCACCACCAGCACCACCAAACACACAGTTGCCAGCAGGGGCCCCCAGCTCCCAGAGCCACATTGCTTCTGCCACTTTGGTGAATGCCCACACATAGGCAGACACCCTGGCACCCACTAGCACCCTGCCACAGCTGACCAGCATGCACCCCACCACACTGCCACTGCTGGTGCCACTGGTACATGTGAACAAAGACAAATCCCACAGTCACCTCACTAAAAAATACTTTGGCTGACACCACCCATCAGAGTGAACTGACCAGTGGTCCAGGAGTACATCGGCCCCTGCAACACAGAGGATTTGTAACCTCAAGAAGCCATATAACAAAGTTGGGGCCTGATACAAGTTCTCCAGAGTTAAAGCACACAGTCCAGGAGTTGGGAGCTGAGCCTTGGCCCCCTAACTCTTCAAGAAATAAAGCCCAATAGCTGAATCCATCTTATACCACAATCAAACACTCAAAGTCATGAAATAGGATGTAAAAATTCCAAAGGACAGCAACTTCAAAGATGAGAAAGAACCAGCACAATAACCCTAACAACTGAAAAAGAGTATCTTTTTTCCTCCAAATGACAGCACCACCTCTCCAACAAAGGTTCTGAACCCAGCTGAGATGGCTGAAATGACAGAAACAGAATTCAGAATATGGATAGAAAGAAAGATCACTGAGATGCAGAAGTACATTGAAACCCAAACCAAGGAAGCTAAGAATCACAATAAAATTATTCCAGAGCTGACAGACAAAATAGCCAGTATAGAAAAGAATGTAACCAACCTGATGGAGCTGAAAACACATCACAAGAATTTCATAATGCAATCACAAACATTAATAGCAGAATAAAACAAGTGAAGGAAAGAATCTCAGAGCTTGAAGATTGGCCTTTTTAAAATAATGCAGTCAGAAGCACAAAGAGAGAAAAGAGTAGAAAGTAAGAAAGAAAAGCTTCTGGGAAACATGGGATTATGTAAAGAGACCAAATCTATGACTCATTGGTGTCCCTGAAAGAGATGGGGACAATGGAAGCAACTTCAAAAACATATTTTAGGATATCATTCATGAAAACTTTCCCAACCCAGCTAGAGTGGCCAACATTCATATTCAGGAGATGCAGATAACCCTAGTAATATACTTCACAAGAAATCATCCCCAAGACACATAACCATCAGATTCTCCCAGGTTGAAATGAAAGGAAAAAAAAAAAAAAACATGTTAAAGGTAACTAGAGAGAAAGATCAGGTCACCTACAAAAGGAAGCCCGTGAGATTAACAGTGGACCTCTCAGCAGAAACCCTACAAACCAGAAAAGATTGGGTGCCAATATTCATTCTTAAAGAAAAGAAATTCCAACCAAGAATTTCATATCCAGCCAAACTATGCTTTATGAGCGAAAGAGAAATAAGACCCTCTACAGACAAGCAAATGCTGAGGCAATCTGTTACCACCAGACCTGCCTTATAAGAGTTCCTGAAAGAAACACTAAATATGGAAAGCCACTACAAAAAAACACACTTAAGTACAAAGACCAGTGACTGTAATGTGACCACACAAACAAGACTGATTAATAACCAGCTAACATCATTATGACAGGATAAAATCCACACATATCAATATTAACCATGAATGTAAATGAACAAAATGCTCCAATTAAAAGGCACAGAGTGGCAAGCTGGATAAAGAACCAAGACCCATTGATATGCTGTCTTTAAGAGACCCATCTCACATGCAATGACACCCATAGGCTCAAAATAAAAGGATGGAGGAAAATCTACCAAACAAATGGAAAACAGAAAAAAGCATGGGTTGCAATCATAGTACCTGACAAAACAGATTTTAAACCAACAAAGATTAAAAAAAAGATAAAGAAGGGCATTACATAATGGTAAAGGGTTCAATTCAAAAAGAAGATCTAAATACCCTAAATAAATATGCACCCAAAACAGGAGCACCCAGATTTATAAAGCAAGTTATTAGAGACCTTCAAAGAGACTTAGGCTGGCACAACAATAATGGGAGACTCCAACACCCCACTAAAAGTATGAAACAATTCATCAGGGCAGAAAATTAACAAAGATTTTCAGGACCTGAATTCAGCACTGGATCAAATGAACTTGGTAGACATCTACAGAACTCTCCACCCAAAAACAACAGAATATACATTCATATCATCACCACATGACACATATTCAAAAATTGATAACATAATCAGACACAAAACTGTCTTCAGCAATGCAAAAGACCTGAAATCATAACATTCACTCTCAGACCACAGCACAATCAAATTAGAAATCCTGACTAAGAAATTTGCTCAAAACCATACGATCACATGGAAATTGAATAACCTGCTCCTAAATGACTTTTGGGTAAACAATAGAATTAAGGCAGGAATCAAGATTTTTTTAAACTAATGAGATCAAAAATACAACATACCAAAATCTCTGGGACACAGCTAAGGCAGTTTTAAGAGGGAAATTTATAGCACTAAATGCCCACATCAAAAAGTTAGAAAGATCTCACTCTAACAACCTCAGATCACAACTAAAAGAAATAGAGAACCAAGAGAAAACCAACCCTGAAACTGGCAGAAGACAGGAAATCAGAACTGAATTGGCTAGGCATGGTGGCTCATGCCTGTAGTCCCACTACTTTGGGAGGCCAAAGCAGGTGAATCACTTGAGGCCAGGAATTCAAGACCAGGCCTGGCCAATACAGCAAAACCTCATCTCTACTGAAAATACGAAAATTAGCTGGGTGTGGTGGCACACACCTATAGTCCCACCTACTCAGAAGGCTGGGGCACAAGAATTGCCTGATCCCAGGAGGCAGAGGTTGCAGTCAGCTGAGATTGAACCACTGCAATCCAGCCTGAGCAACAGAGTGAGACCCTGTCTTAAAAGAAAGAACTGAACCGAACTGAACTGAAGGAGATTGAGACACACATAAAAAAAATTCAAAAGATCAATGAATACACTAGTTGATTTTTTAAAAAAATTAATAATATATATAGACCGCCAACTAAACTGATAAAAAAGAAAGAGAGAAGATGCAAAAAAAAATTAGAAATGACAATGGGGATATCACAACTGACCCCATAGAAATACAAATAACTATTAGAGAATATTATAAATACCTCTATGATCATAAGCTAGAAAATCTAGAAGAAAGGGATAAATTCTTGGACACTTACACCCTTTCAAGACTGAGCCAGGAAGAAACTGAATCCCTGAACAGACCAGTAATGAGCTCCAAAATTGAATTAGTAATAAATAGTCTACCAAGAGCTGGTACCATTCCCACTGAAACTATTCCAAAAATTGAGGAGGAAGGACTCATTCTATGAGGCCACCATCATCCTGATACCAAAACCTGGCAGAGACACAACAACAAAAAAAGGAAACTTCAGGCCAATATTCTTGATCAATATTGATGCAAAAATCCTCAATAAACTACTGGCAACTGAATCCAGCAGCACATCAAAAATCTTATCCACTACAATCAAGTAGGATTTATCCCTGGAATGCAAGGTTGGTTCAACATATGCAAATCAATAAATGTGATTTATCACATAAACAGAACTAAAGACACAAACCACATGATTATCTTAATTGATGCAGAAAAGGCTTTCTATAAAATTCAACATCGCTTTGTATTAAAAACTCTCAATAAACAAGGTTTTAAAGGAACATACCTCAAAATAATAAGAATCACCTATGACAAATGCACAGTCAGTATCATACTGAATGGACAAAAGCTGGAAGCATTATAATTGAAAACTGACACAAAACACCCTCTCTCACCATTCCTGTTCAACATAGTATTGGAAGTCCAGAGCAATCAGGCAAGAGAAATTATAAAGTGCATCCAAATAGGAAGAGAGGAAGTCAAACTCTCTGTTTTCAAACAACATAATCCTGTATCTAGAAAACCCCATACTTTAGCTAATAAACAACTTCAGCAAAGCCTCAGGATACAAAATCAATGTATTAAAACAAAAATTACTAGCATTCTTATACACCAACAACAGTCAAGCTGAGTGCCAAATCAGGAATGCAATCCCATTCACAATTGCCATAAAAAGAATAAAATACCTAGGAATAGAGCTAACCAGGGAAGTGGAAGATCTCTACAAGGAAAACTATACAACACTGTCCAAAAAAATCAGAGATGACATAAATAAATGGGAAAACATCATGGAAGACAGTGTGATGATACCTCAAAGACCTAAAAACAATGCCATTACTGGGTATATACACAAGGGAATATAAATCATTCTATCATAAAGACACATTAATGCATTATGTTCACTGCAGCACTGTTCACAATAACAAAGATATGGAATCAACCTAAATGCTCATCAATGGTAGACTGGATAAAGAAAATGTGGTACATATACACCATGGAATACTATGCAGCCATAAAAATAATATCATATCCTTCTCAGGGAAATGGATGGAGCTGCAGGCCATTAACCTTAGAAAACTAACACAGGAACAGGGAACCAAATACCATATGTTCTCACTTATAAATGGGAGGTAAATGATGAGAACACATGGTCACATAGAGGGGAACAACAGAAACTGGGGCTTATTGGAGGATGGAGAGTGGGACAAGGGAGAGGATCAGAAAAAATAACTAATAGACACTAGGCTTAATACCTGGGTGATAAAATAATCTGTGCAACAAACCCCCATGACACAAGCTTACTTATATAATAAACCTGCACAGGTACCCCTGAACTTAAAATAAAAGTTTTTTACAAAAAATGCTGATGTATAAATTACAGTGACCTGCTTCCCTCTATCTGCATTTCTTTTTAATAAATCTGTAGCTTGTTGAGATTAATCCACTGAAAATAAAAAATTAAAGAATAGAAACTAGATAAATGTGGCAGTTGCCTGACAATGTAAATGTACTAAATGTGGCTGAATTGTGTTTTTAAATGGTTAATTTTATGTTAAGTGAATTTTACCTCAATGAAAAATTAAACAATTAAAAACCTTAGGGCTGTATCATTGTCAAAATGAGCCTGTAGTGACCATGTTATTTGGGACTGACATGCAGATATTAAAGAATATCTCTACATTTTGATAGTTTTCATATTGTGATTCTTCTCAATCTGAAGAATAATGTATTAGTCCGTTTTCACACTGCTATAAAGAATTGCCCAACATTGGGTAATTTATAAAGAAAAGAGATTTAATTGGCTCACAGTTTCACATGGTTGGGGAGGCCTCAGGAAAATTACAGTCATGGCAGAAAAGGAAGCAGGCATGTCTTACATGGTGGCAGACAAGACAGCGAGAGCAAAGAGGGAAGAGCCCATTATAAAACCAACAGATCTCTTCGATAATTCACTCACTGTCACAAGAACAACATGGGGGAAACTGCCCCCATGATCCAATCAGCTCCCACCAGGTGCCTCCTTCAACACCTGGGGATTACAATTCAAGATAAGATTTGGGTGGTGGCACAAAGCCAAACCATATCAAATAATCAAAAATATTTTTTAAAACTATGATTTTCCACAGCATTGCAATATAGATTCAGACAAGTAACATAGATTCTGCCAATAATGTGCATGCATTCAAGACTTGGATGTGGAAGGGAGAAAAATGAAGCAGAAGTCATGTGCAAAAAACTCAGTCATCTAGTCACCATGATAATGTAAGCACCTGGTTCTTCTGAGTCAGGTGTGTTGGGTATCTGCCATCTAGTCTCTACCGTGATCATTGTCATGACACAAGCAATGATTATTGTTGAGGTTTCACCAGGATGCTCATACAACATAATTGGGATTATTCCTGGATGATGGTAGAACCCAGCCCTGGTTCCTAGTTGTCCTGGAGATACTGTGAGTTACCTAGTTTTTAAAATCCCTTTCTACTTAACTAGCTAGAGTGGATTTCATTGTTTGCAACTAGGAACACTGACAAATACAGTAATTTGTTTCTGAAAAAGGATGGTAGTGTGAGTGGCATCTGTTACTATACCTCTAGTCTATTTGCCAAGTTCTGCTTCTCATGTCCATGACTCTGAGCTCTATGAGTTTAGAGATAATGGTAGGCATAGAAAAAATAACTACATAGAACATATCAGTGATCCCATTAAACTTAATATTGACATTGACACTAGACTATATGGGGCTACTCAAACCACTAGAAAAATAGGCTACAAAATGGGACTACAATGTGGACTGGGTTTTCTGGTCTTGGTTAGCAGCAGAAAATAGGGTTTCTGATATACTACTTGGGCACATGAAAATAAAAATGGAATTCCTGAGACTTCTGGAACATTTCCTCGTACCATCATGTCCAGTGGTAGAGTCTCATAGAAAACTACAACATCCTCCTAGAAGTAGTACCAACAAGGGCTCAGGTGTCCCACAAATGAAGATGCGGGTCACTCCACAAAGAAAAGAAAGCTGACCAGTTTAGATGTTGTCTAAGGGTAAATGGAACTTGAGCAACAAAGTTATAAATACTATTTATAGTTTTAGGACTAGTCACAGAAAGACACCTGAAGTAGCTATCCATAAATTTGTATCAATATATGCCAACTAATTTTAACATACATTCATATGTGATAACTAATTTTCCTTTATTTCTCTCTTCCTTTTCCTATTTTTATAAGATAAAGGCAGTGAACTTTAAAGTTTAGTGTGAAACTACCTTTGTAAAGATTGTGATAGTGAGAGAACTCTAGCATCGCTGAATCCATCCTGCTTTTAGCCTTATAGGCTAGCTGTCCTGGCTCATTCTTGGGCATAAGCCAAGCTAACCATGGGAGGAATTTAGTTTATGGTTTAACTTTGAATCAAGGATAATAATAGTCCCTCCATAAAACTGACCCCCTCCTTTTTCAGAGACTGAAACTGCTTCTGTAAGACTGAAGAAAGCCCACAAGATTAAGATTATGGAACTGGCCTGAATTCTGCTAAGCTATGGGTATAGCTTGACTTTCCATAATCATTTACTGCATCAAAGCTAACAAGATTAGTAACTTCCCCAATTGCTCCTATGGATAATATCACTATTGTAGAATCTGAGATTGGTCATCTGAGATGTTTTCCAGACTTTTGCATTCTGGCAACCAACTGACTCCTCCCAGGCCCATGACTCATGACTCAGCTGGTCCTGTGGCCCCCATCCAGAGCCTCACTCAAAGCACAAGGACCATTTTTCACACACATGATTTTATCCCCAACCAATCAGTAGCACCCATTCCTTAGTCCCCTGCCCACCAAATTATCCATAAAAACCCTGGCCTCTGTGTTCTTAGGGAGGCTGATTTGAGTACTAAGCTCCATCTCCCACTTGGCTACCCCTGTGTTAATTAAACTCTATTTGCTGCCAAAAACAAACAAATAAAAAAAAAAAACAGCTGCTTTTCTCAGTGCATTGGCTTTTCTGAGCAATGGGAAAGATGAACCCACTGAGATATCACAAGTGCATAGGTTACAAAATATAAAGACAGGTTTGCAGCAGAATTACAACAGAACTACATCTAGACATCTGGACTTGGAAATGGGTACAGTAGCTGAGACTTTGGGAATCTTCTTTTGAGGAGAATGAGAATGTGCTTTTATTTACACAAAAGGACAGTTTAATTATGTCAAGCAACAGTAGACTGCAGAGGTTAGGGGGAAGAGTTGCTTTGTTCTGGAAGTTCAAGTGGGGAAGAATGATCTGTTAATGTTGGGCATTAATGACTTCTAATCCAAATTCTGTATCCGTTAAGGATTGGGTTTGACTGCAAGTAATAGAAAATCTGACCAAACAGTGGCTTAAATTAATTAGACATTTCATTTTTCTTGCAAACAAATATAAGTCCAGAGGTAGGTGTTACCAGAATACAAAGATAAAGACAGTTTAACATTCATGGAGAGGGACAATCAAAGTATCAGCATAGTGCCGAGTCACTAAATAAAAGATAATCATGCATGTTATGTTAAGCTCACCCATTCAAAATTCAATTTCTAAATATCTTTAATGACTACCATGTGTTAAGTATCCTGGCAGGCAATTAGCATAGTATCATTAAAACAATCATAAAAGCTTACTAAGGCTGCTTTATGTGTTTCATATAAAATAATCTTTATATGAAATTAATTTTATGAGTTAATTTTTATCTTTATCCCTGTTTTTCAAGTAAGGAAACTGAGGCTCACAGAGGTTAAGCAACTTTCCCAAGATCATGTAGCAAGTGAATGGACAAGACATCCATACTCCTTGCTCTAGTGCATCTTAGAATCTGATGTTGTCACTGAAAATTTCTCTCCTGGATTCTTTCAAAAGACAACATCAACTCACTCACATCATGTAGTCAATGAAACATGGTGCTTTCTGAGCTTCTCTAATTATGATTTAAATCCAATAAGCTCAGCAAGCAAATTATGTTTAACAACAAAAACCAGGGTTTATTAGACAAAAATAATAATAAAGAGGAAAAACTGTGGAAGAGGGAAATATAGAAAGAGGAAAAAGTATGGAAGAGGGAAGATAGAAAGTAGTGAAAGAAGCTAAAGAAAAGCACTTCCTGAAAAACAAACATTAACCTTCAAAAAGATAAATAAGACTTCCGTTTCCAGCATACAGAGACTAGATATCCTGAAAGCCATTGGCCATAAAACACCTGGAAATGCCAGATAAAAATAGTTGAAACACTTTTAAATGAATTGCTGAGCTTATAAGAAAGTATGACAAATCTCCAGATTCAAAAATAAAATCATGAAATGAAAGCCCAGCCCAGCAGCTGGCTATCTATTTCCAGTATATTTGAACTTTCAGTTTTAATAGGTGGCTCTTTGCATATAAATAGTAAATTAGTAAGAAAAACAGGAAGAATGCGCAAATATGGTAATAATACTACAAAGCAAAACAGATCTCTCAATTATGTGCAAATAAATATAAAAACATGGATGAACTGCTATCTAGAAGAGTCAGAAAGCAAAAAGATAGTTTCTGTTAAGTCAAAGACAAGACTAGACAGTTAACTGTCACCACTTTATAACTCTGTTCTCAACATACTAATCAATGCAGTTAAACAAAAGAAAAAAATAAGAGATATAAACAGTAAAAATGAGGAGGTGACATTTACATTTTTTGAAGATTAGGTGTTTATAAGCCTGGAAAATCCAAAACAACCCACTCAAAATGACCACACTGCAAAAAAAAATATGAAAATTCAGAAAGGTAAACGAGTTCAAAAAGTTCAAAATCAATTCAAAACACAGACA
Source organism: Homo sapiens (assembly GCF_000001405.40). Classification (NCBI taxonomy): domain Eukaryota; kingdom Metazoa; phylum Chordata; class Mammalia; order Primates; family Hominidae; genus Homo; species Homo sapiens. The sequence continues at coordinate 214,755,532 of NC_000001.11, read as the reverse complement.
AAAACCAGTTATAAGACATGCTAGGCCAGGCGCGGTGGCTCACGCCTGTAATCCCAGCACTTTGGGAGGCCGAGGCGGGTGGATCACGAGGTCAGGAGATCGAGACCATCCTGGCTAACATGGTGAAACCCCGTCTCTACTAAAAATACAAAAAAATTAGCCAGGCATGGTAGCGGGTGCCTGTAGTCCCAGCTACTCGGGAGGCTGAGGCAGGAGAATGGCGTGAACCCGGGAGGCGGAGCTTGCAGTGAGCCGAGATCGCGCCACTGCACTCCAGCTTGGGCGAGAGCGAGACTCTGACTCAAAAAAAAAAAAAAGAAAAAAAGGCATGCTAAAGAAGAAAACGCACACTCAGAATAGTGTCAGAAAGATAAAATATCTAGAAATAACCCTAATCTAAATGTAAAAACTCTAAGAAGAAATATTTTAAACACTATTGAGAGAGACACAACATAAGGCCTTAATAACTGGGAAGACATATCCTTTTATTGGATAAGAATAGTCAATGTTGCAAAAATGCCAATTCTCCATAAATAAGTATGTTTGCTGTAACTGAAGTTAAAATAAAATAAGATTTTCTTTATAAATAGGCAAGCTGAGTCCAAAATTCCCATGGAAAAAAAAGAATTGGAAAATTCTTAAAAAATAAAAAGAGCAATTAAAATAGTATAATGGTACTAAAACACTCAAGAGACACCCAATGAAACAAAATAAAAAATCTGAAACTTTACTGAAGTCGTTTATCAAATCTAGGAGTCTTTTGGAGGAGTCTTTAGGGTTTTCTTTTTAGGATCATATCATCAACAGAGATAATTTTACTTCTTTTCCAATTTGGATAACTTTTATTTTTTCTCTTGCCTGATTGGTATAGCTAGGACTTCCAGTACTATGCTGAATAGGAGTAGTGAAAGTGAGCATCCTTGTCTTGTTCCAGTTCTTAGGAGGAATGCTTTCAACTTTTTCCCATTCAGTAGGATGTTGTCTGTGGGTTTGTTGTATATGGACTTTTATTATTTTAAGGTACATGTTTAGCATATTGAGAGTTTTCATTATGATGCAATGGTGAATTTTATTATATGCTTTTTCTGCATCTATTGAGATAATCGCATAGTTTTTATTTTTAAGTCTGTTTATGTGTTGAATCACATTTATTGATTTGATTATTGAATACTTTTGCATCCTTGCATATGTTGAATCATCCTTGCATCCCTGGAATAAAACCCTTGATCATGATGTATCATCTTTTTGATGTGCTGTTGGATTCAATTGCTAGTATTTTGTTAAGGGTTTTGCATCTATGTTCATCAGAGTTATTGGCCTGTAGTTTTCTTTTTCTGTTATGTCTTTGCCTAGCTTTGGTATTAAGATGATACTGGCTTTGTAGAAGAAGTTGGGGAGGATTACTTTCTCCTTAATTTTTTAGAACAATTGCAGTAGGATTGGTACCAATTTTTTGTATGGCCGATAGAATTCAGCTATGAATCTGTCTGGTCCTGGGCTTTTTTTTTTTTTTTTTTTTTGGAAGATTTTTTATTATTGATTCAATCGCATTAGTCATTATTGGTCTGTTCAGGATTTTTATTTCTTTTGGTTCAGTCTTGGGAGGTTGTATTTTTCAGGAACTTACTCATTTCCTCTATGTTTTCTAGTTTGTAGATAAAACGGGAAAAGTTCCCTTGTTCCCCTCCCAGGGCATGCAATGGAGGTGTAGCTCACTTCCTCGGTGCCCTGCTGCTCAAACCCCTGGGGGAGCATGCAGAAGGGCACGTTGTGGGGCTCCGACACCCTCTAGGATTGAGTGTTTACGGCTCCCAAAGTCTCAGTGGGCGTGTGTTACAGCGTGCTCTTTCAGCTTAGCATGCAGCTCGTGTTAATCAGCTCGATTACACCCTGTGCCTTATCGCGAGGACAGAGGGCTTTCTGTATTCCGGGTTCCCAGGTGCTTGCCTTAGTGTACCGATCGGAACACACATGGGCTTGGAGGATGGGCGCGAGGTTTTTTACTGGGTGGTGGAAGTAGCTCTCAGCAGGTGGATGGGGAGCCAGAAGAGGGATGGAGTAGGAAGCTGGTCTTCCCTGGAGTCCGGCCGCTCAGCGGCCGGGCTCTCCTCTGACCACCCTTGGCCAAATTCCACGTCATCCACATCGTTCTGCTGTCAATGGTCGGCCAGCGTCTCTGGGTATGTTCTTCTGCTGGTGTGTTCCTCTCGACGTTCAGTCGCCTGTGTCTGTGCCTGCTAGGGCCTCAGGGTTTTCATAGGCACAGGAGAGGGGTCATGGTAGGCCAGAGTGGTCTTAGAAAATGCAACATTTGGGCTTGAAAACAGAAGTGCCTATTGTCACTTAGGTCCATGGGCACAGGCCTCAGGGTGGAGCCCTCACCAGGGATCCCACCCTTCTCTACCCAGCACTTCCCTGACCCCCTCCCATATCATAGAGATGCTCATAGTAGTCAATGATAATGTTTTGCATTTCTATGGCATCAGTTGTAATGTCACCTTTGTCATTTCTAGTTGTGCTTACTTGAAGCTTGTCTTTTTTTTTTTTTTTTTTTTTTGCTTAATGCAGCTAATGAACAATCAATTTGTTTATCTTTTCGAAGAACCAACTTTTCGTTTCATTTATCCTTTGTATGACTGTGTGGTGAATGCGCGTGTGTGGGTTGGGGTGTTGGAGGCAGCTTTTTTTTAATCTCAATTTCATTTAGTTCTGCTCTGATATTTGTTATTTCTTGTCTTCTGCTAGCTTTGGGTTTGGTTTGTCCTTGTTTTTCCTAATGTTGTTCCTTGAGGCACATTAGGTTGTTAACTGATGATCTTTCTATATTTTTATATAGGCTTTTAACACTATAAACTTTCCTCTTAGCACTGCTTTTGCTGTATCCTAGAAGCATTGGTATGTTGTGTCTCTATTTTCATTCATTTAAATTTTTTTTAATGTTCACCTTAACTTTGTGTTGAATGGAAGTGTTAAAGAAACATCTTTCTAAGCTAACTTTTAGAATGTATTATTAGAACATGTTTTCTTTCTCCATTAGGCCCCAACAGGTCAAGTAGAGAAATCCAGGAAGAAAAGACAAATGCAAGCATGCTGTCTTTAAAATGCATCACAGACTGTTTTCTTTCAGTGAATGGAAGAGTTTGACAGAGCAACAACTTTGTAAGAAGACACTAAGAGTTTTTTTTTTTTAACCCAGGAATAGGTGGAAATACTTTTAGGTCTTTGAGATGTGATTTAGTTGTCATTTCATTCCAGAAGTAAAGATGGATTGCTAGATAAATTTATTATTCAATAAATAATACTGTATCAACAAGGCAGCCATATGAAGAAATATTACTTTATTCCTATCTTCCTCCTTATTTCCAAGCAAATATCAAATAGAACAATGATTTAAAACATTTATTTAAAGAAGTAGAAAAGAAAAAGAAACCATGAAATGTTAGCAAACACTAAGGAAAAACATTTTTTTCTTTAATCTTAGAGTGGAAAAGGCCTTTATAAGTGTGACACAAATAAATCCAGAAGCCAAAAGAACAAAGATTAACAAACCCAAATACATGTAGAAAAAGATGCATTTCTTGGCCGGGCACAGTGGCTCACGCCTACTATAATCCCAGCACTTTGGGAGGTGAAGGTGGGCGGATCACGTGAGGTCAGGAGTTCAAGACCAGCCTGGCCAACATGGTGAAACCCAGTATCTACTAAAAATACAAAAATTATTATTATTATTTTTTGGGGAATGGTGGTGGGCACCTGTAGTCTCAGCTCTCGGGAGGCTGAGGCAGGAGAATCGCTTGAATACAGGAGTCGGAGGTTGCAGTGAGCTGAGATCGCACCACTTGCGCCACTGCACTCCAACCTGGCCAACAGAGTGAGACTTTGTCTCAAAAAAAAAAGAAGTAGAAGAAAAAGAAAAAGATACATTGCATCATGGTGAAAAACAAATAGAAAAAAATATTTGCAGCAGTATGTTCTTAACCACTAATATAAAATAAATTTCTAAGGCCCACAGACCAACAGAAATAGACAAAGAATCTTAACAGATGATTTACAATACAATACAAATGGCTTATAACATTTATAAGATGTTGACCTTCACTCACATTAAAAGAAATGCTTAATAAAACTACAAGATTCAATTTATTATCTTAATAGAAATGGCTCTTAAACATTTTGAATGTTTCTATTACGATAATGTTGAACTTCATTAACAAAAGAAATTCTAAATACAACCAAAGGATACAATTTTTTATCTTATTTATTACCTCATTAAATCAGAACTCCAAAAACCAAAAAGTTTGATAATTATCGGTGAGGTTAAAGATAAACAGGTTCTTATCCTCTTCATGGAGGTGAAACTAGTGCTATGATTCAGGTAATCTAACAATGTCTACCAAATTTTAAAAGGCACATTTCTTGTCCCAACAACTCTATATCTGCAAATTTGTCCTTTAGAAATGCAACATGTGCTCAGCATTGTAAGTACAAAGCTACTCACTGGGCATGAGCAAAAGATTGAGCAAAAGACTGGAGGAAACCCATTGGTAGGGGATGGATTAAATGCAGTTTGGTACATTTGTATAATAGATTAATAAACAGCCACTGAAATGTGTAACTCTATAGGTTCTGAAACTGAACAGTCCCCAATATATGTTGCTTAGTGCAAAAAGATGGGAAACCATGTTATATGCCATTTGTGTGAAAAATAGAACACGGATATATTTATGGCTCTGTTAAGTATAGACCATATCTGAAATGACATGTAATAAACTGATTGCAGTTGACTCAGACAGAAAGTTGCATTGCTGGTAGATAATTTTCTACCAACTGGAAGACATAGATAAGTAAGAAATTTGCTTTTCATTGCATCTTTTTATGTACCATTTAAACTGTGTACAACATACAGTTGTCTCTGAGTATCCTCAGGACATTGGCCCTGGGATCCCCGACAAATAACAAAAATCATGGATGCTCCAGCCCCGTATACAAATGATGTAGTATTTGCATGTAACCTACACATATCCTCCCCCGTATAATATTATATACTCTTCTTGAACAAAAGAAGAGATGTCTCTTTGCCAATGGGAGTTAGAAATAATATACCAACATAAGCAGAATTTGAAAAGTAAAATGCAGAAGGAAAATATATCTATTTGCTCTGTTGTTAAAGTCACATTAGTAATTTGACTGAGTATAATTCTGCATCGTTTCTTCTAATAAGCTTCTTAAGAAGAATTTAGCAAATCAAGTAAAATAGCAACATTATTTTAACGTAACTGCTCTTTAAAAATTGTATAGGTCTTACAAAAAAAACATTAAAAAAAGAAATGTGTATTACTTCACCTAACTTTCAGTTCAGACGCTCCACATTTATTGGAGTACGATGCATCTATATTCATAAACAAAAATTTCTCTAAATCTGTTTTAGCCATTCAGGTGTGAACAATTTTTTTTAATTATACTTTAAGTTTTAGGGTACATATGCACAACGTGCAGGTTTGTTACATATGTATACACGTGCCATGTTGGTGTGCTGCACCCATTAACTCGTCATTTAACATTAGGTATATCTCCTAATGCTATCCCTCCCCCCTCCCCCCACCGAACAATTTTCTTAGTTGACTAGAATCATATACATAATAATAATGATCTTATTGGCAAAAGTTTTATTTTAACTGATCTATTGTGATAATGTAATTTTAGAAAATATCATAACTACTTTTAATATGTGATAAATTTTAAAGCTTACTGTATAGGGCATAAACATTAAAAGATAATAAATTCTGTTAAGATAATATTCAGGGATCTCCTGATGGAAATATAAAATTTTTTAGGGAGGAAAACACAGCTGTGTGGCTATTCACCTAAAATTATGAAACTATCATATATGAAAATGTTATAAGACACATTCTAAAAATAGATTTTATTATTTATGCTCCCCGAGACCTATTTCCAAGATTTCATTCTTATTTCCTACGAGTTTTTACTGTGAAAGATCTCAAAAAATTAAAATGACACTCTGGTCGATATGGCGGCTTCATTTTCCCCCTTAACTTCTAAACACAAACTTTACCAAACAATCTTTAAGAAGATCAAAGTAAGCAACCCAAAAAATTCCAAAAATTCAACAATGTCAGCCCCACTTTGGGAGGCTGAGGCAGGCGGATCACGAGGTCAGGAGATCGAGACCATCCTGGCTAACACGGTGAAACCCCGTCTCTACTAAAAATACAAAAAAGTAGCCGGGCTTGGTGGCAGGCGCCTGTAGTCCCAGCTACTCGGGAGGCTGAGGCAGGAGAATGGCGCAAACCCGGGAGGCAGAGCTTGCTGTGAGCCAAGATAAAGCCACCGCACTCCAGCCTGGGCGACAGAGCAAGACACTGTCTCAAAAAAAAATCAGCCCATTGCCTTAACTGACATATGAACAATGAACCTATAGTGTGGATTCAATATTATACCATGGCCGCTGCTATTTAAAAAATTGTAACCAAGTGAGAAACACACAAATACGTACTCAAAAATATACATAATATGAGAGAATTTATGGGTAAGAATTGAATGGGGGTGGGAGTGCTATAGATCCAAAATGTTTTAGGAGTCCAAAGGAGAGGAAGACCAAAGAAGGCCAAGATAACCTGCAAAGGCCTCAAGCCTTCATCATATTGTTACAAACAGGAAGGATTTTTTAAAAAATGTTTATTCTGAGTAAAAGATATGAAAGTAGAAGTTTATGGAAAGTAGAAGAAATTAGATTGACACTTGTGAAATGTGCATGTTGGAAAATAACAGGAAGTAAATAAAGCAAATAGAAAGAAGACAGGCTATGGAGCCTTTGGAATCTTAGCAAGTTAAAATACGATCCTACTATCGCACAACCAGACAGGGCTCAAACCGAGACACAGCCCACACAGAACTGTTGCATTATTTGTTCACGAAGCCCTACCTCAAACATATTTTACAAAATTTGCATGGTAGAAAAAAATTATTTCCAGAGAAACTAGCTGTTCTGATAGGCTAATGATGATCATCATGCAAACATGTCTTTAACTTTTTTCCTGTATTACAGATCTTCTCCAGTCAGATCCTCCTCCAGCAGGTGCCCATTTGGCAAAACTCCTCCTTTGTCACCTCTTTGTCTTTGCTGGCCGCTGCTCCATCTGGAGACAGCACACCTCTTCTTAATGGCTTCGGAAGGAATTCTATCTGCTCTTAGATCATGAACTCCCAGAACATTCTGCTGTCCACCCCAGTCCTCTAAACCCACACTGATATCTCCTTTCTCTGAATCTTTTTAGGATTTACAATTTATACCACATGATTGAGCCCTATACAAGATAACCTATCTTGTATTGTTCTCTAATCTTTATGTCATTAAGTGTCTTAGTAAAAACAGCATATGTATATACAAGAATCACTTCATATTTTTTTCTCTGTCCTGCATAGCTCCAGATGTGTATTATCTTTATTCTCTTCCCTTTTCTTCAGTACGGTGTTGCTCACATAGTCCCAGGGATCAGCAATGCTGATGGCTAACATGGCCAGTATCTTCAGTATCCTCTCCTGGGACAGCTGAATAGAACATGAAACTAGGAACATTTTGCAAATTTCCAAGTCACTTAACCTTTTAAAGATGATCTCACTGAACACTATGGCAGATAATACAGAGAGTTAAAATAATGAAGATGGATTTTTCCTTTGTTCTTTTTTCCGTTTGAAAAACATAGAGAAATAAATTATGGGTTCTAAAGTCTGAAATGTTCAATTCACCCACTTCAGAAAAATAAGTATATTAAAATGCAATGTTTACTTAAAAGTTTCTCCTAGTAGCATCCAAAATTTAAAATCCAGATGAGTCACAAGTTTCTCTATGTTTAATTCAGGGACTAGAACTTAGTCCAAGGTCAGCAAAGACCAGATTGATATGTAAAATGGTGCCCCCTAGTAGTTTATAGCACTCCTTCAAGGAGCGAACTAGTCCCAGAGTTACTCAATCTGCAATGGATTAATTTGATAGTTGGGTAGTTAGAATTTAAAATATTTCATTAGGAAAAGTATTTGCTGAAGTGTTAATTCTTGCCATTCTTGCAAAATGATGTGGCATTTACCTTTCTATTTTCCTTTGTAATAACTTTGGCATGTACACATGTATGAGGTAAGATGATTTAAGAGGGGGATTTTATAATGTTATCAGGCGCTTCTTAAACCTCTTCCACTGAAGATAGACAGTATATTCTCAGCATGCCATAATTCTCCTCATTATTCCCAGATGACAATTTGACATGTCAAGAGATACAGGAAGATTTTGATATATGCAAACATTTCTCTTTATCATCGCTCACAGTCTCTAGTAACAATTCAACAGGGCAGTCAGTGTGTGGGAGGCTCTGCAAGGCCCTTATTACAGGAATTATGAACTAAAAAGGCTAGGCCTGGAATTAGCCTAGCCATGAGTGACTCCCTTCTGGTTTGGTCGGGTGCGTTGGGGCCTACGATAGGAGCTCCATCCAAAACAATGGCCTCCCATAAATTGTATTTAACACTGATCAGAGCACCTCATTAAACAGGTAAATCATTAATTCTGCAGTCCCCTGAGCATGATTTTCAGGGTCAAGGAGCAGATAAGTGGAGGTCTTGGAGGAGAGAAAGAATTCAATACAGCAAAAGAAAAAAAAAAAGAGGCCATGATTCCTTTCTTCAAAGGAGGTTATACTCTGCACAAGAAAAAACATTCAATCATCCTTTCAGAGTAAAGTAAGAATTTATATAAAACAAAGTACTCTTTTGCTTACACAGAGTAAGGAATAGTTTATGATTTAACATATATGAGAAAGTCTATTTCTTACTATCAGCTTTCCCTTAAAATTCCACATTCCATAGGATGTAAGGTCACTTCTTAATTTGAAACAAATTATACTATTAATTCATTAAAGGTCAATCTTAGTTGTTAATGTAAAGAGCTCTAAAAATCAGTTCATTCTCCAGTGAATCCCATGAGATGACAAACTTCCTCATAAACATGGAGCCTCTCATCCATTTAGCATCCTAGGCTTTAGTAGGAACAGCCTAGAATCACCAGGCGTTTGGGGAAAGTCTCAATTGTCAAAGACAAAGACAAAAATAAACAAGTGGGGAAAACTGCAAAAAAAAAAAAAAAAAAAAAGACTGGCCTGAAAGAAGGAAACTTAAAAAGAAAACTATCACTAAAAATCCACAGAGAAGGGCTTCTGAATCTCACCAGGATAGAGTAACAGCAACTGAATGTATCAATCTTCCTGCCTTAAACACCTAGAAAACCAGATATGAAAAGATGGTTTTCAGACAGTGGACAATAGGTAGGGCAGGGCTGTGGTCTCTGAGAGAAGGGAAACCAGCCAGATGAGCCCCACAGTTGGCCCAGATGAAGGCAGTCTCTGGGCTGCAAGGAAGGGAGAGGGATCTAAAGAGAGCACAGAATGGAGGAGACAGAGATGGAGTGCAGGGAGGCCTGGACAGTTAGAATTTGCAGAATCAAGCACAAGGGAGGAGGAGCTGTTGGCGGGGCAGTGCGCCTGAGCCCTGGAGACCTGAGGCTGAGGGCTGATTGCAACATGTGTGCAAGGCAGAAAAGCACTTCCAGAAAGGAATAGAACAATTCCTACAGGAAACACAGACCCAGAAATAGTTCATATTCCCACTCACCTTTGGGAGTAGGAAAACAGTAGCAAAGTGGGATGAGAGATGTTCAAGGAACTGCCGCTTTTCCTAAGAGGCCTTGTGGAACTATTTGACTCTTGAAGCTATGTGCCTACATAGCCCTAATCAAAACAACGTTTAAAGAAACACATATTATAGCAGCACTATTCACAACAGCCAAAAAGTGGAAACAGCCCAAACATCCATCGACAGATAAATGGATAAACAAACTGGTATAGCCATACAATAGAATATTATTCTGCTATGAAAAGGAAGACAGTCCTGATACATGCTAAAATGTAGATGAATCTGCATTATGCTGAGTGAGAGAAACTGGACACATAATATATGATTCCACTTATATGAAATAGCCAGAATAGACAAATCCATCCAGGCAAAGTGCAGTGATGATTGCCAGGGGCTGGGGAAAGGAAGGAGTGGGCAGAAACTCCTTAATTATGCCTAGTGTTCCATTATTGGAATGCTAAGTTTGTCGGAGTTATTTACATGCTACTGCTCAAGGTCATTGCCTAAGTCTGATTTTTCACAAAAAAATTTGTGACCTCTAGCATAAATGGGTTAATGGGTAAAGGACTTTACTTTGGAGCGATGGATTTTTTGGGAGCCAGATAGAGCTGATGGTTGCACAACATCATGATTGTACTAAATGCCACTGAATTGTTCACTTTAAAACAATTCATGTTATGTTTTGTGAATTTCACCTCAATAAATTATTTCTAAAAAAACACTTACTAGACAAAAACAACAGATGCTATATGTAGTCAAGTTTTGAATGTGAATTGCCAATTAGTTGAGCTCTAGTTAAGCTTTGTAGTAACTAACACGATTTATTTTCTCCAGAAAGCTTGATGGAAAGACTTCCGAAAGATTACATCTTCAGTACATGGTGGTCGCCATTGCTGAAATATTAACATAACAAAGTTGTTAATTTGTTTGTAATTTACCGAAGAAGTAAACGGTGCCAAGAGAGTGGGGGGTGGTCGTTGATGCTAAAATCTCTACCACATTTGTACAGGGAAGCTTTGAAGCACCTTTGTTGTTTAGCAAAATATAAATTGCTTTTTGATTCAACACTGCTGCCACAAGTGGAAAATTTCTCCTAAACTCAGCTGAAGAAGAGAATTAGATCTAAGTGTATAATGAATGAGAGCTATTTGGAAACATGAATATAAACGTCCCATGGTTTATGGTCATTCCTTCCATTTCAACAGCTTATGCGTTTGTCTTCTCCAGCTTGTATTTGTATTCTGATAGCAAAGATTTTATCTGTATCTATGTTCCTCATATTTCTATGCCATTTGACACAGGAAAAGCTGAAAGATACAATGACTTTGGGTTTGGATTTCTTTTTATTTGAAGGAAGATTAAAGTGACAAAGAAACATCATAAGCATGCTTTTTTGTGGGGTTTTGTTTTGGGGTTTTTTTTGTTTGTTCTTTTTTTTGCAACCTACCTTTTTCCTTTGTTTTTAACAAGAAAAAAATTAACAAGAGTGTTTTGGTTTTTGGTTTTTGGTTTTTCCTTTTGAATTTCAATATAGAGGCAATGTAAGGCAGGGAAAAGCAAGTGGGGTTTGAGAGTCAGGACTTACATTTTAATCCCGGTCCTGCACCTTATAAACTTACTTGCATTTCAGTACACGTAGTAGAAGCTCAATACATGGTACCTGTAATTATTGCCATTATCCCAAAGGAACAGAGGTTTGAAAGATAAGAGAAGGGAAGAACATGAGGAAGGAAGGAAAATGGGAAAAACAGGGATCAGAAATGGGCAAGGAAAGAGTAAGGAAAAACCTTGAGAGAATCTAGTGAGTTATCTAGTGTACATGCTGCATGAAATGCAAGCATCCTGAATCTCCTCTCAAATTCTGCTTTTACTATTATCTTCCTCACTGTCTCTGCTCTTTTCACTCTTTGAAGATGTTATTCTAAGTGTCTCATAAGTTTCCATCTCCACTTGGGTAATGCAATATGAATATACAGAATTCATTAATGGGGTAAAGGGATGGAAAACCAACAAGGTAAACAAGGTCTATGGGGTCAAATTTTAACTAGATCTGAACATAAAGGAAACCCAGTTGTTTAAGGCAAAAGGTCAGGACAGAACTTTATTTTTCCTGATGCAACTTTTCTATAACTATTAAAAGTAATAAACAGGCACACCTTGTTTTATTGTGCTCACTTTATTGCACTTCATGAATGCTGCTTTTTTTTTGTATGTGTGTGATGGAGTCTCACTCTGTTGCCCAGGCTGGAGTGGGGTGCAGTGACACAACCTTGGCTCACTGCAACCTCCACCTCCTGGGTTCAAGCAATTCTCCTGCCTCAGCTTCCCAAGTAGATGGGATTACAGGCATCCGCCACCATGCCCAGCTAATTTTTATATTTTTAGTAGAGATGGGGTTTCACCATCTTGGCCAAGCTGTCTCTCCAAAAGTGCTGGGATTACAGGTGAGGTGTGAGCCACTACACCCAGCCACAAATGTCACTTTTTTTTTTTTTTAACAAATTGAAGGTTTGTGGCAACCCTGCATCTAGCAAGTCTATTGGTCCCAATTTTCCAACTACATGTGCTCACTTTGTGTTTCTCTATCACATTTTGGCAGTTCTGGAAATGTCTCAAACTTTTTCATTGCTAAGGTGATCCGTGTTGGGTGATTTTTGATGTTACTATTGTCATTGTTTGGGGAGCTGCCATGGACTGTGCCCATCCAAGACAGCAAACGTAAGCAATAAATTGTGTGTGCTCTGACTGCTCCACTGACTGGCCACTCCCCCATCTCTCTCCTTCTCCTCAGTCCTTCCTATTACCTGAGACACAACAACACTGAGTTAGGCCAGTTAGTAACCCTAAAATGGCATCTAGGTGTTCAAGTAAAATGAAGATTCACATGTCTCTCACTTTAAATCAAAAGCTAGAAATGACTAAGCTTAATGAGGAAGGCATGTCAAAAACAAACATAGGCCAAAAGCTAGGTTTCTTGAGCCAGAACGGTTGGCCAAATTATGCATGCAAAAGAAAAATTCCTGAAGGAAATTAAGAACTACTCCAGGGAACACAAAAATGACAAGAAAGTGAAATAGCTTTGTTGCTGAAAAGTTTGAGTGGTCAGGATAGAAGATCAAACTAGACATGACATTTCCTTAAGCCAAACTCTTATTCAGAGCAAGACTCTAATTCTCTTCAATTCTATGAAGCCTGAGAGAGGTGAAGAAGCTGCAGAAGAAGAGTTGGAAACTAGCAGAGATTGGTTCATGAGGTTTAAAAAGCCATCTCCATAACATAAAAGTGCAAGACTAAGCAGCAAGTGCTGATGTAGAAGCTGCATAAGTTATCCAGAAGATCTAATATCATTGATGAAGGTGGCTACACTAAACCACAAAGGAGATGAAACAGTCTTCTATTGGAAGATGTCACCGAGAACTTTCATAACTAGAGAGGAGAAGTCAATGCCTGGCTTCAAAGAGTCAAAAGACAAGCTGATTCTCTTTAGGGGCTAATTCAGCTGATGACTCTCAGTTGACGCTAATGCTCAAAGACCATTCTGAAAAATCCTGAGGTCTTTAAGAATTATGCTAAACCACTCTGCCTTTGCTCTAGGAATGGAACAAGAAAGCCTGGATGACAGTGTATCTGTTTACAGCATGATTTACTGAATATTTTAAGCACATTGTTGATGTGTACTGCTTAGGAAAAAAAGATTCCTTTCAAAATATTGTTGCTTACTAACAATGCATCTGGTCACCCAAGAGCTCTGGTGGAGATGTGCAAAGAAGATGAATGTTATTTTCATGCATCATAACACAGCATACATTCTGCAACCCATGGATCAAGTTATTATTTCGACCGTCAAGTCTTGTTATTTAAGAAATGCATTTCATAAGGCTATGTCTGCCATAGATAGTGATTCCTCTGATGGATCTGGGCAAAGTGAAAACTTGCTGGAAAGAAGTCACCATTCTACACGCCATTAAGAATGTGATTCATGGGAGAAGGTCAACATATTAACATTAACAGGAGTTGGGAAGAAGCTGATTCCAACCTTCATGCATGACTTCAAGGAATTCAAGAGTAACTGTAGATGTGGTGGAAATAGAATGAGAACTAGAATTAGAAGTGGAGCCTGAAGATATGAATGAGTTGCTGCAATCTCATGATAAAATGTTAACAGATTGAACATGGTGGTTCACACCTGTAATAGCAACACTTTGGGAGACCAAGGCGGGAGGATCACTTGAGGAGTTTTTGGCAAAAAAACTGAAGTTTGAGACCAGCCTGGGCAACATGGTGAAATCTCATCTCTACAAAAATACAAAAAAATTAGCTGGGACCAGGCACAGTGGTTCATGCCTGTAATCTCAGCACTTTGGGAGGTCAAGGCAGGCAGATCACTTGAGACCAGGAGTTTGAGACCAGCCTGGCCAACATGGCGAAACCCTATCTCTACTAAAAATACAAAAATTATCTGGTGTGGTGGCTCATACCTGTAATCCCAGCTACTTGAGAGGCTGAGGCATAAGAATCACTTGAGCGTGGGAGGCAGAGGTTGCAGTGAGCTGAGTTCAGGCCACTACACTCCAGCCTGGGTGACAGAGTAGGACCCCGTCTAAAAAAAAAAAAAAAGTCAACAGATGAGGAGTTGGTTTTTATAGATGAGCAAAGAAAGTGGTTTCTTGAGATGAAATCTACTCCTGGTGAAGATGCTGTGAACATTGTTGAAATGACCACAAAGGACTTAGGATGTCACATAAATGTATTTGATAAAACAATGGCAGTGTTTGAGAGATTGACTCCAATTTCGGAAGACGTTCTACTGTGTGTAAAATGCTATCAACAGTATCACATGCTACAGAGAAACTTTCCTGAAAGGAAGAAAACTGATGCAACAAACTTCATTGTTATATTATTTTAAGAAATGGCCACAACTGCTCCATCCTTCAGCAATCACCATCCTCATCAGTCAACAGCTATCAACATCAAGGCAAAATCCTCTACTTGCAAAGAGAAAACAACGTGCTGAAGGTTCAGTTAGCAATTTTTAGAAATAAAGTATTTTTTAAAATATGTACTTTTTTACATAATGTTATTGCACACTTAATAGACTACAGCATAGTGTAAACATAACTTTTATATGCACTGAGAAACTTTTATATGTGACTCACTTTATTGCAATATTCACTTTATTGAGGTGGTCTGGAACCGAACCTGCATTATCTCTGAGGTATGTTTGTACATGATCACCACAGAGAGTTTAGAAACACAAGAAGGTACAATGAGAAAAATAATATCACAGTAAACATTCCCACCCAGAGATAACAAAGTTTTTTTTTTCCTTTCAGTCTTTTATTTTTCTAGTCTTATGGTCTCAGGCTATAGTATATTGTCTCCTGATTTTTTAGTTTTTATTATATCATGAGCATTTTCCATGTCATTAAGTATTTTTTCAAAACATCATTTCTCTTGTGAAGATGTACCTTAGTCCATTTACCATTAATAAAATACTAATAATAAGGTTTCTACCCCAAACCTAGCCCCACTCCAAACACTTCTCATAATCATACCATAGTTGTAAAACACATGGTTGATGCAAAAGGTAACATCTACCTTAAGGTTTAAGTATATAATTATTGCAATATGTCTCTTAGTTTTACAAATAAAAATTAAGGGTATAATCTAGAAAATTAAAGAAGTTGGAAGAGAATTAGAAATGTTGCCTTCCTTTCCCAAGTACTTTTTACTTTTCATATTATACCTGTCATTTCTGTCAGTTTCCATGCTACCACAAGCACACATGTCATAGAAATGGCATGTATATAGAAACTGACATAGAAATGACAAGTATAATAAGAAAAGTAAAAAAATACTTGGGAAAGGAAGGCATTATTTCTAATTCTCTTGATTTTCTCTTAGAAAAGTGCTTCTTCTCTCTTAAGTCCTTTTTTGACTTGAGTTTGTGACTTGCTTTAGAGTAGGCAAGGCCATAGCCTCTATGACACAAAGAGATCATTCTAGCCACGGACATACATAGGCCTTGACTTTTTCTTAGTCAAGGAGGCAATTTGCCAACAAAATAAACTAGGTCATTCATTCTCAGCTAACTGCAAGTAAATGGTTTTCTTTAAAATTTGATCCAACCTACCCCAGACCAGACATAAAAATTAAAAATAAAAATAAAATCTCAGTCAGATGCCATCTTGAGCTGTTGCTTTTTGTTTCAAACAAGAAAAGATGAAATGCACATTTTTTAAAAATCTCAGGAGACAAGATTTAGGGAAAAGCATCTTAACTATTTCAACCCCCTTAAATATTTTTCCTTCCTAATAAAATACTTTGCACTAACTAAATGTTTATTGATACGTGAATAAATGAAGTAAGGAATAAATCTCAACATTTAGTGATGTGGAGAAACCAGAAACCAGAGAGCAAGAGTTGACTCGCAAGCTTTGGCACTGGGGAAAGAGACGGCAATTAGAAATGCCTATGTGCCCTGACCCCTCTGTTTACTAGTTTTGTTTTTGTGCAAGTCACTCTACATTTTTTTTTCCTGCATGGAAAAAAATAATCTTTAAGCCTCAGTTTCTCCACCTATAAAATTACATTATAATAGTCTTCACAGGGTTATGGGGGTGATAGTTGAGATTATAATGTTTCTTCATATATGTTGTAAACCAGGGTCTCCAGGTACCAGTCCGTGGCCTGTTAGAAACTGGGCTTCACAGCAAGAGGTGAGCAGTGGGTGAGTGAGCAAAGCTTCATCTGTATTCACAGCCACTCCTCATCACTTGCATTACCACCTGAGCTCCACCTCCTATCAGATCAGCGGCAGCATTAGATTCTCATAGGAGCACAAACCCTATTGTGAACTGCGTGTGCAAGAGATCTAGGTTACACACTCCTTATGAGACTCTAATGCCTGATGATCTGTCACTGTCTCCCATTACCCCCAGATGGGACCGTCTAGTTGCAGAAAAACATGCTCAGGGCTCCCACTGATTCTACATTATGGTGAGTTGTATAATTATTTCATTATATATTACAATGTAATAATACTAGAAATAACATGCACGATAAATGTAATAGGCTGAATTAGCCCAAAACCATTCCCCCTTGACCCCCTGGTCCATGGAAAAATTGTCTCCCACAAAACTGGTCCCTGATGCCAAAAAGTTTGAGGACTGCTGTGGTAAATAGCAGGGTGAATGGATTTTGGAGACCAGTGGACTTTGGACCACATTCGAGTTCCTCATTTTCAACCACATCCCCCTGGTCAAGTTACTCGAACTCAATAAGCTTGTTTTCTCACCAGTGAAATGGGGATAACATTGATTTACAATACTATGGGTTTTAAATGTCATGATATGTATATGCCATGCTAAAAAGAAGCCTGGCTTTTTATCAGTAGGAGAACCCTCTTTACCATTCTCCTTCATGACAGAAACTGATTTGGGAACTGTCACTTATGCTTATCATGGGACATATAGCCCAAGTCAAGAAGTATTGGAGCCCAAGGCAACCAGAACTCTACGATCTTCTTCCATAGTTTCCAGCCTCCATCTCTTCTTCAGTGCTGATCTTTTCCAGCCATTAAATACTCATTTTCTCTGGAATTATAATTGTTTAAACTTGTTAAAAATTGTGTAGATATAGAATAAATTATATCTCAAGAACTCTTGATGTTACAAAAGCTGGAAAAAATATTCATATTTAATTTTGTTTTTGTTTCCTCCCTCTACTAGTTTCCCAAGAATACAATAACTTTTACTTTTCATGACATAGGTATCAAGCAGTAGAATTTTAGGAGACTCCTAGTATTTAAGCTCAAAGACATTTGACAGGTTTTAATAATGAAAATTTGTGTTCAAACTTTAATAGTCTCATAAGAAGTTTAAAGAGTCAACTTCAGAATTGTAGTTATGCTTCATTAATGAAATTATTACCAGCAGACACTATCTTTTCAAGCACATATTTTAAAGAAAAAGCATAAATATTACAATGCTAAAGTACAATAGCGAATATATTAAGCTATGGTAGAGGGTACATTTTTTCAAACATCATTTCTCTTGTGTAGATGTACTTTAGTCCATTTACCATTAACAAAACATTAATAATAAGGTTTCTACCTTATTATTATAATTATACAATAATTGTAATGTTGAAGTTGCTAAAGTGATTTAAGTTTTTTCAAAATATTTTTGCTTCCATTCACCCTCAGCTGCAAAGTTAATGTCTATGTTTTCCAAAATACAGAGGATTTGAGCCTCAGAAGCCATCCCCTTCCTAAGGAGATCACCCATTCAGAAATCATGTAAACAATTGCAGGAAACAGTTTAATCCAGAGTCATAGATTATGGCCTTCAAAGTCTTGTAATAGTTAATTTACACGCCATGCAAAGAATGATCCTTGTGATAGCTTATTTCCAGAAAGCTGCCACCAGCTTTTTTTCCTCCCTATACAAACATGCCATCCCCCTATCAAAAAATGAAGTCAATTCCCTCCCTCCTCTTGAAACTGGGCTGGATGGGAGACTTGCTTGATCGATAGAATGCAAACAAAAAAAACTGATACTCTGAAGCCAACATGAGCAAGGTAGAGGAATTCAAAATTCTTTTGATAATGTATATGTTCTTCACTGTGGTTTTAGAAACTAGAGAGTATTGAAACAAAAAAATATGATCAGAAGTAACAATATAAAAATTCCGTCCTAAGATAATCTCCCGATGAAAATAACCTACTGTATTATAAATGTATCCTCTACCATAGCTTAATGTATCCTCTATTGTACTTTAGTATTGTAATATTTATGCTTTTAAATTCTTTTTATTCAACTCTTTCAGCCCTACTTGGAGACAATAAATTAGAAAGTTTAAAACTCTAACGTTTTAGACTTTTTCCAGTCTGACATGTCATTGATTAATGTAAATATCTGAAATTATATTTAAATATAAGAAAAAATATGGCCAGGTGCAGCGGCTCATGCCTATAATCCCAGCACTTTGGAAGGCTGAGGCGGGCGGATCATCTGAGCTTGGGAGTTCAAGACCAGCCTGACCAACATGGAGAAACCCTGTCTCTATTAAAAATACAAAATTAGCCAGGCGTGGTGGCGCATGCCTGTAATCCCAGCTATTCAGGAGGCCGAGGCAGGAGAATTGCTTGAACCCCAGGCAGAGGTTGCAGTGAGCTGAGATCACGCCATCGTACTCCAACCTGGGCAAGAAGAGTGAAACTGTCTCAAAAAAAAAAAATTACTTTTTTTAGAAAACAAGAGAACTTGCAGTATAGTTACAATGTCTGTCTATTGTATCACAATCAATTAGCCCATCAATAGTTTTGCTTTTTTTAAAAAAGGAAACTAGATATTGTGTTTTTATTTTCTTTTTCAGAGAATCTCTTTTTATTCTTTTATTCTATTTCAAAGGTCATTTGGCTGCATTTTAAATATATATTAAGAATAGATTAAATCTGAGATTGACGAGATGTGTTAAAGTATCCTAAATTTGCATTTTTGCAATCACCTCGCAATCATTTTCACATATGCCAAAGCAAGCTTGCAAATTAACCAGTTGTTTTAATCCATGGTGCTCACAGACAGTAAAAGGAACCTCCGATTTTCCTTTTTTTTTTTTTTTTTGAACAGAGTTTCACTCTTGTTGCCTAGGCTAGAGTCCAATGGCACAGTCTCGGCTCACTGCAACCTCTGCTTCCCAGGTTCAGGTGATTCCCCTGCCTCAGCCTCCTGAGTAGCTGGGATTACAGGCATGCGCCACCACGCCCAGCTAATTTTTGTATTTTTAGTAGAGACGGGGTTTCACCAGGTTGGTCAGGCTGGTCTCGAACTCCCGACCTCAGGTGATCCACCCGCCTCGGCCTCCCAAAGTGCTGCGATTACAGGCATGAGCCACCACGCCCAGTCCAATTTTCCTTTTATAAAACATTTTTACTACTGTCTTCAAATTCTTAAGTTAAATGCCTTAACTACTGTGTTTATTGGCTTAAATTCATTAGGCTTTGGTAGAGGTGCTATGTGCCACCACAAATTTCTTCTCTGTCATGTATGAAGCACAAGAAAGAATGCTATATAATTATCTTGTTTTGAAAATTAGTTTCAGGTGAGATCCACTTCAAAAGCTTGGTGCCCAACTTTGAAGTTTCTTCCACTTCAAAAGCTTTGTCTTGAAGTGTATTATAGAGACAAACACACACACACACACACACACACAGAGAGAGAGAGAGAGAGAGACACGCATGCACACATGAAGGCATCCTGCATTTTAAGATTTATTGAGAATTACTTCCTGCCGTGAAAAATAAAAGCCATACAATGAACAGGGAAAGTCAGTCTGACAGAGAACTTAGATATAGAAATCAAATTTTCTCTTATAAAAAAAAAAGCCACTAAATGTTTACTTTGCAAGAGTCTTAGGATGCTTTGTGTGTGTGTGTGTGTGTGTGGCTTATTCCATTACTAACTTTCATCAAAATAATACAAGTTGTTCATTCTAAACAAGATAATATTGTAAATGGCTTATTTTTGAAAACTGTAATAAAATTTAAAATAGTATTAAAAAAGAAAGATACCACATGAAGCCAAGGCTAAAAAGGGGTACTATTATTTGTCTTGGTTACCCAAAAATAAGGTGTAGTGTTATTTCATGAAATCAGGAACAGAAAAAAAAAGGTAGCATAAAAGAGTACACGGTATTTGTTTTTTATTTATAAGTTGCATTTGTGGTAGTTCCTTAAAGACAGGGGTGTTTGTTTTGTTCACTTTCACATGTCTTTCACTAGATTGGTGCCAACTACATTACAGGTACTCAAAAAGCATTTGCTAACTCAATTAATGAATCGCTAATAAACCAGAGAGGAAACAGAGAAAAGATAGCAAAGCGAATAGAATGTTACAGTTTACTACTCACAGATCAGAAAAAACCAGTGCTGGAAGAAGCCTTCAGAAGTTGCCTAGACCTTTGCTCCTCTAAGTGTGGTCCACAGACTAGCAGCAGCTGCGTCGCCTGAGAGTTTGTTAGACACGCAGGTTCTCAGAGGCTACTCAGATGTAGTGAATCAGAATCTGCATTTTAACAAGATCCCGAGGTGATTCACACGCACAGTGAAGCTTGCAAAGCCCAGAGTGAGAGGATTCTGGTACTCACAGTAGAGTCGTATCTTGGGACTCAGTGAGTGTCTGATAATTTACTGCAGGATGGGATAGAAATAAGAGAGGCCTGGCCGGGCGTGGTGGCTCACGCCCGTAATCCCAGTACTTTGGGACGACGAGGCGGGTGGATTACGACGTCAGGAGATGGAGACCATCCTGGCTAACACGGTGAAACCCCGTCTCTACTAAAAATAGAAAAAATTAGCCAGGCATGGTGTCTGGCGCCTGTAGTCCCATCTACTCGGGAGGCTGAGGCAGGAGAATGGCGTGAACCCGGGAGGCGGAGCTTGCAGTAAGCCGAGATCGCGCCACTGCACTCCAGCCTGGGCGGCAGAGCGAGACTCCGTCTCAAAAAAAAAAAGAGAAAGAAAGAAATAAGAGAGGCCTTGGAGAAAATGATCTCTCAGCTGATATTGATAAAGAAGAGTAGATCTGAGGAATAGGCACAGGGTTCAAAAGAAAACAGAAGTCTCTGGTCAGAGGCTGGACAAATTGTCAACAAAACATGGTTGCAGACAAAATAGA
This sequence comes from Homo sapiens, assembly GCF_000001405.40. Lineage (NCBI taxonomy): Eukaryota > Metazoa > Chordata > Mammalia > Primates > Hominidae > Homo > Homo sapiens. The sequence goes on along the minus strand of NC_000001.11, from coordinate 214,734,155 downwards.
AGTATTTCTCAATAGGTGGAGAAAACAACAGCGGTGGTGCATTCAGCTGAGTTTCTTAGAGTCCAAAAAGGTAGTAAGCACCTTTTGCTTCCTTGGATGGTCCATAAAGGTTACAGAGCTTCAGACACTGAACTGAGTATAAGAGAAGGGCTCTGAAGTTGGCATAAAAAAGGAAGGAAGGAAGGAAGGAGGAAGGAAGGAGCAAGGGAGAAGGGAGAGAGAGGGAAGGATCTAGAAAAGCACAAAAGGCCACAAGATGACCTTAGGAACAAAGAAAAATGATTAAATATTAAATATTAAAGATCTACTATGTGACAGACACTGAGCCAGATTTTTGCATACAATATCTGATTAAATCCCATACAGTATGCATTAATAACCGAATTTCACAGATGAAAAAATAACTGAGGCTCAGAGAACCAAAAATAAAACATTAACAGTCACGTCACAAGAATCACACATGAGCAATAAACCTACAAAGAGCTCAGGATCAGCAGAAATCAGGGAAATGCAAACCAAGACCAAATGAGATTCCATATTATACCTATATGATTGATAAAAATGAAAAAGACTGCAACATTAAGTGTAGTAGCAGGTGTCGATCAATAGAATCTCTTATGCATTACTAGTGAAGTATAAATTGGTAAAATTACTTTGGACAAATTTTAGCATTATCTTCTAAAATTGAAGGTGTGCATATGCTTCAACCTAGCAATTTCATTCTTAGACATATGCTCTCAGCTAAAGACAATCTCACAAGTACGAGCAAGAAGACATCAACAAGAATGTTCATACCAACACTTTATAATAGCAGAAAACTGGAAACAACTAAAAGATGCACTGACTGAACAGGAGATAAATAAGTTGTCGTATATTCACACAATGGAATAATACACAGCATTGAACATGAATTAATTAGAGGCACATTTAGCAACGTGGTATTATCTGTGTAATACACAGCTATCGAGAGAAATAAGCAAGCCTAAAAGACTACATATGAGATCTTTGAAAGTTCAAAAACAAACAAAACTAAGTATAATGTTAAAGGAAATGTAAGGCCTAAAACTAAGAAAATAAAGATTAGAGAATGATAAGCATAATATTCAAGATAGTGATAACAGGAAGGATAGAGGCAGATGGAAGGAAGAGAGAGAAGCAGAAATGAAGATGTAAGTTGCACCATAGCTCTTGAATTGAAAATGAATGCAAGGGTATCAGTTATATTACTAAATAAATAAATAAATCCAAAGACAAACAATTAGACTATAGACTATATCACAAGCAAGGATTATGACTAACTCAGTATTGTACAGTGGACATTCAAATTAGGAAAGAAAAAGAAAAGAAGAAAAATATTGAAAAAGCATTGAATGTTTTTGACCAAGTTGCAAAAGTCAAACTTGTGAAGATTATCACACCTTACTATGATATAATTTAATAAGAAATATGTTATTGAAAGTCATTTGATTCATTTTCATTTTAAGAATTAGTATGTATATATATATATATTTAAAACCAGAATTTTGGTAACTGTAAGATAAAAGTTTAGATGAATTCTCTTTAAGATATGAAAGAAGACAGGAATGTCCTTAGCGTAATGGAGAGGCTTTGTTTGCCACAGTGACTAGAACAGTGTCCTCCATAAAACAGGTGCTGAATAAGTTTTTGTAAAATAAATGACCATTAGTACTGCCAAGTCCTGGCCAGTACACTGAGACAATGAGGAAAATTGTTCTTATAAGAAAAAAGTGGGAGGGTAGAGGCAGTTTAGCATTATTTGCAAATGGTTTGATTATATACATAGAAAACTCAAGCAAATCAATCTAACAGGTAGTTCAATAAAGTTAATAAAATTAAGCAAGATTATTAGACATGAGCTCAATCTACAAAAGTCAGTAGTGTTCCCTTATGCCACCAATATCCAGTTAGGAAATACAATGGAAAATACATTACATACCAGTTTAAGCTTTTGTTCAGCTACACATACCAGAAAAGCCCCACTTATGACAATTTAAACAATTAAAAGTTGATTTTTCTCACATATCTGAAGGTGGGTGCATGCTTGCATTTGTTCAGAGGAACAATAATATCAGGGATATTGTCTTTGTACCACTCTTGTCTTTTCCCTTATGATTGCAAGACAGCTACTCCAGCTTTAGGCATGTCCACATTTAAAGCAGAATGAAAGGGAAAAGATGGTGCCAGGCTCATCTGTTCCTTTTTTCAGGAAATCAGAATTTTTCACAGGAACCCTCTTTACCACAGACTCCAGCTTATATTTCATTGGCAGAACTCTATCCCAGACTACCCTCTAGCTAGGAAATAGAACTATTCATGAGGGTGTCCTCTGTAACCACAGAAGGGGTTGGAAATAGTGTTTGGGTCATCCGAGCAATAATATATGACACAGATAATGGTAACAACTCTCAAAAACTTCATTGAGAAGTTTTTTTTTTTCAATTCTACTAATGAAAAATGTTAAACACTACATAAAGGAAATTAAAACATGTCCACAGATGGAATGACTTAACAGTATAAGGACATCAATTCTTCTTCCAGAATTAACTTATAAAATGAATGGAATTCAAATGAAAATCTCTGCAAAATTTGCAGGGGAAACTTAACAAACAATTCAAAATATATAACAATAAATAAAGTTTACAAAGACCTAAGATACTTTGGAAAAAGAAGAAGAGGCCGGGCACAGTGGCACACACCTGTAATCACAGCACTTTGGGAGGCAGATGCGAGTGGATCACAAAGTCGAGAGATCAAGACCATCCTGGCCAACATGGTGAAACCCCGTCTCTACTAAAAATACAGAACTTAGCTGGGCATGGTGGCATGTGCCTGTAGTCCCAGCTACTTGGGAGGCTGAGGCAGGAGAATCGCTTGAACCCTGGAGGTGGAGGTTGCAGTGAGCCAAGATCGCGCCACTGCACTCCAGCCTGGCAACAGAGTGAGACTCCATCAAAAAAAAAAACAAAAAAAAAAAAAAAAGAAGAAGGACAGGACCAGGGGACATGAAGGAACTCCTTTCAACATATGTTAAGACAAACTACAAAACCATAGTAATAAAAGCACAGGATTGGCACACATACAAAAATCAACACACCAGAGTGGAGAGCACAAAAATAGTATTTAGAAGCTTGGTATATGATTAATGTCATCAAAAATCTATTGATTATACATGTATCAAAATATCACATGTGCTTCAAAAATATGAGCTATTATATATCAATAATAAATAAATACATAAAATTTTTAAGACACACAAGAAATATATTTATATAACAGAAAATACAGTGCTCAAAAAGAAGAAAAATGGGAAAATGTCCAAAGGACACAGGGGCCAGCCAACCTGATAGAACTTCCATTGGCCATGGATGCAACAAGTTCAGCAATAACATAAACAATGTAGTATTGGGTTATAATACAAAATATAAAATAAATATACATGAGTTCATTGTGACATAAATAAATAACTGAATGAATAAATGGAAGAGAAGAAACAAACTTTCTTTACAGGGGAATTCAAAATAATACATGTTGACACTATTTCTTTCAGGACTTGGAGCTTAATTTCCCTATCCTTTGAGTGTGGACTGGACTTAATGACTTGTTTCCAAAGGACAGATAATAGAAAGGGGAAAACAGTAACATTATAATGAAGAAACCTGGCCAAATTGTATTAGTTTCCTAGGGCTGCCACAAAAAATTACTACAAACTTAGTGGCTTAATAAAACAAAACTTTATTCTCTAACAATGCTGAAGACTGCAAGTCCAAAATCAAGGTGTAATCAGTTTCACCTTCCTCCCGAAGGTTCTAAGGAGAATCCTTCCTTTCCTTTTCCAGCTTCTGCTATCTCCAAGTTTCCTTGGCTTGTGGCTGCATCACTCTAATATCTGCCTGTGTCTTCAGTGATATTCTGTACTGTATGTCTGTGTACAAATCTCCCTCTTCTTTCTCTTATAAAGACACTAGTGATTGGATTTAGGACTCACTCTAAATCCCAGATGATTTCATCTCAAGATCTTTAACTAATTACATTTGTAAAGATCCTACTGACAAATAAGGTCATGTTCTGAGGTTCTGTGTGGACATAAATTTTGGGGAGATACTATTCAACCTACAGTGATGTCAATGCGGACATCATGTATCCTCTAATATTATGCAATGAGAAGGGCAGTTTACTTCTGTGGTATTCTTCTCAAACATCTATAAAGCAAAATCTTATTATGAGGAAAACATCAGACAAATGCAAATGAAAAACATTGTGCAAAATACCTCACTATACTCCTTGAAACTGTCAAGTTCAGAAAGAACAAGGAAGACTGAGAAACTGTCCTAAACCAGAGGAGACTAAGGAGACATGAAAACTAAATGCAATATAATAATCTGGACTGGATCCTGGAACAGAAAAGGCAAAGGCTTTTTAGTGGAAAATTGGTAAAATCTGAATAAAAGTCTGCAGCTTAGTTAACAGTTATTGTACCAATATTGTTCTCTTAGTTTTGGAAAATGTGCCACAGTGATATAAAATGATGACATTAAAAGAAACTGAAATTGGGTGAGGTGTACGCAAGTGCTCTCTGTACCATCTTGGCAACTTTCCTATAAAAATGATGAACTGTTTAATGGGGGTAATGAAGAAAATGACTAATAATATGAAGAAAAAATAAGTTAGATACATACCTCACACCATATATAAAGGTGAGTTCCTAAATGTAAAAGAGCCAAAGGAACTAAGCATAGTAAAAATATCCTCGTGACTTTGTACTGAAGAATTTTCTCATATGTAAGACTTCGAAACCAAAAGCCACAAGTTTAAATATTGAGGAATTTCAATAATTTCTATTCAACAAAAATCATCATGGACAACACATTCACAGGGAAGAGATGAAGAGAAAATACTTGCAATTTCCAAAACTGTTAAGAGATTAATATCTAAAATATAAAAAGAACTCCTTCTAGTCAACAAGAAAAAGTCAAAACCCAATAAAAAATGAATAAAAAATATGAATAGACAATTTATAGATGGCAAATCTTAAATGAATTACAAGTACCTTATTAGTTATAAAAGAAATACAAACTAAAACAAGTATATACACTCCTCAGGTTGCAAAAATTTGATGTAAGATAGTATAGTACAGTATGAAAATTGGATTCTCATGCAGTGCTGATGGAAGTACAAATTGGTATGGTTATTCTTGAAAACAATCAGGTAGTCTTTGAAGAAATTAATTATGCCTATAGTCTATAATCTAGCAATCCTCCTCTTGAGTATATATCCCAGAACACTTTCATATGGATATATAAGGGAGCATGTATTATGGTTATTCATTCCAATATTAGTTTTGGCAACAGAGTTGAGGTCAGCCTAGATGTCCATCAATGAAGAAGTGGAAAGGTTTAAAAAATATGTAATAATACCACCCTGTAGTTAACAGAGTTCTCTTAAAAACAACGCTGAAAGAACACAAGAAGCAGGATGGGATCTGGAGCACTATAACACAGAAATTTAAAACACTATTTTTAGTGTTTTAAATTTATATCCAAAGAAATATATAACCAAAGAGAAATTTCAGAATCATTAGCATAGATGCCTTGAGAGAAAAGAGGAGTAAGAGGAAACGAGTATGGATATGGAGTAAGATTTTTTTAAAGTAATAAAAAGGAGGCTTTTTGTTAACTAATCACAATGTTATATCATGATTTGGGTAGGGTTAACTCTGAGCTTGGGGTTGAGAAAAAAAGAACGATATTCAAAAGCCAATTTTTGTTAGTGCATTTATTGCATACCTCCTATTTGCCCAACACTATTCTAGGCACTGGTGCTCCCAGGCTGCAAAAGACGAAACCCTTGCCCTCATTAAGTTTACCTTCTAGTGTCAATGACAAACAATAAACAAGTAAGCAAGTACGCATCCATTATAATGTCGAGTGTAACTCAGTGAAGAAAGAAAAAGCAGAAGTAGGGGTTAATAGTCATGTGGGTTATAGGAGCTATTTTAGATAGAGGGATCACTGATCATAAAAGGCCATCTAGGTTGCTGGCAAGATGGCCGAATAGGAACAGCTCCGGTCTGCAGCTCCCAGAGAGATCAACTCAGAAGGTGAGTGATTTCTGCATTTCCAACTGAGGTAGGTACCCAGTTCATCTCATTGGGACTGGTTGGACAGTGGGTGCAGCCCAAGGAGGGCGAGCCAAAGCAGGGTGGGGCATTGCCTCACCTGGGAAGTGCAAGGGGTCGGGGAACTCCATCTCCCAGCCAAGGGAAGCCATTAGGGACTGTACCGTGCACTCTGGGCAAGATACTGCACTTTTCCTACAGTTTTTGCAACCCACAGACCAGGAGATTCCTTCCAGTGCGCACGCCACCAGGGCCCTGGGTTTCCAGCACAAAACCGGGCAGCCATTTGGGCAGACACTGAGCTAGGCGCAGGAGCTTTCTTTCATACCCCAGTGGTGACTGGAACGCCAGAGAGACAGAACCATTCACTCCCCTGGAAGGGGGGCTGAAGCCAGGGAGCCAAGTGGTCTAGCTTGGTGGGTCCCACCCCCACGGAGCCCAGCAAGCTCAGATCCACTGACTTGAAAGTCTCGCGGCCAGCACAGCAGTCTGAGCTCGACCTGGGATGCTTGAGCTTGGTGGGGGAGGGGCATACACCATTGCTGAGGCGTGAGTAGGCGTTTCACCCTCACAGTGTAAACAAAGCCACAGGGAAGTTCAAACTAGGTGGAGCCCACCCCAGCTCAGCAAAACCCTGCGGCCAGACTGCCTCCTCTCTAGACAGGGCATCTCTGAAAAAAAGGCAGCAGCCCCAGTCAGGGAATTATAGATAAAAGCCCCACCTCCCTGGGACAGAACACCTGGGGGAAGGGGTGATTGTGGACACAGCTTCAGAAGACTTAAACAGAGAGCAGCAGATCTACCAGCACAGCGTTCGAGCTCTGATAAGGGACAGACTGCCTCCTTAAGTGGGTCCCTGACCCCCATGTATCCTGACTAGGAGACACTTCCCAGTAGGAGCCAACAGACACCTCATATAGGAAAGCTCTGGCTGGCATCTGGTGGGTGCCCCTCTGGGATGAAGCTTCCAGAAGAAGGAACAGGCAGCAATCTTTGCTGGTCTGCATCTTCTGCCAGTGATACCCAGGCAAACAGGGTCTGGAGCGGACCTCCAGCAAACCCCAGCAGACCTGCAGCAGAGGGGCCTGACTGTGAGAAGGAAAACTAACAAACAGAAAAGAATAGTATCAATATCAACAAAAAGGACATTCACTCAGAGACCCCATCCAAAGGTCACCAACTTCAAAGACCAAAAGTAGATAAATCCATGAAGATGGGGAGAAACCAGCACAAAAAGTCTGAAAATTCCAAAAACCAGAACACCTCTTCTCCTCCAAAGGATCACAACTCCTCACCAACAAGGGAACAAAACTGGACAGAGAATGAGTTTGACAAATTGACAGAAGTAGGCTTCAAAAGGTAGGTAATAACAAACTCCTCAGAGCTAAAGGAGCATGTTCTAACCCAATGCAAGGAAGCTAAGAACCTTGAAAAAAGGTTGGATGACTTGCTGACTAGAATAACCAGTTTAGAGAAGAACATAAGTGACCTGATGGAGCTGAAAAACACAGCATGAGAACTTCGTGAAGCATACACAAGTATCAATAGCCAAATCGATCAAGCGGAATAAAGGATATCAGACATTGAAGATCAATTCAATGAAATAAAGTGAGAAAACAAGATTAGAGAAAAAAGAGTGAAAAGAAATGAACAAAGCCTCCAAGAAGTATGGGACTATGTGAAAAGACCAAATCTACATTTGTTTGGTGTACTGAAAATGACAGGGAGAATGGAACCAAGTTGGAAAACACTCTGCAGGATATTATCCAGGAGAACTTCCCCAACCTAGCAAGACTGGCCAACATTCAAATTCAGGAAATACAGAGAACACCACAAAATTACTCCATGAAAAGAGCAACTCCAAGACAGATAATTGTCAGATTCATCAAAATTGAAATGAAGGAAAAAATGTTAAGGGCAGCTAGAGAGAAAGGTCAGGTTACCCACAGAGAGAAGCCCATCAGACTAACAGCAGATGTCGTGGCAGAAAACCTACAAGCCAGAAGAGAGTGGGGGCCAATATTCAACATTCTTAAAGAAAAGAATTTTCAACTCAGAATTTAATATCCAGCCAAACTAAGTTTCATAAGTGAAGGAGAAATAAAATCCTTTACAGACAAGCAAATGATGAGAGATTTTGTCATCACCAGGCCTGCCCTACAAGAGCTCCTGAAGGAAGCACTAAACATGGAAAGGAACAACTGGTACCAGTCACTGCAAAAGCATACCAAATTGTAAAGACCATTGATGCTATGAAGAAACTGCATCAACTAACTGACAAAATAACCAACTAGCATCATAATGGCAGGATCAAATTCACACATAACAATATTAACCTTAAATGCAGATGGGCTAAATGCCCCAATTAAAAGACACAGACTGACAAATTGCATAGAGTTAAGACCCATCGGTGTGCTGTATTCAGGAGACCCATCTCACGTGCAAAGACACACATAGGCTCAAAATAAAGGGATGGAGGAAGATCTACCAAGCAAATAGAAAGCAAAAAAAAGCAGGGGTTGCAATCCTAGTCTCTGATAAAACAGACTTTAAACCAACAAAGATCAAAAGAGACAAAGAAGGCCATTACATAATGGTAAAGGGATCAATTCAACGAGAAAAGCTAACTATCCTAAATATATACGCACCCAATACAGGAGCACCCAGAATCATAAAGCAAGTTCTTAGAGACCTACAAAGAGATTTAGACTCCCACAAAAAAATAGTGGGAGACTTTAACACCCCACTGTCAATATTAGGCAAATCAACGCGAGAGAAAATTAACAAGGATATCCAGGACTTCAACTCAGCTCTGGACCAAGCGAACCTAATAGACATCTACAGAACCCTCCACCCCAAATCAACAGAATATACATTCTTCTCAGCACCACATCACACTTATTCTAAAATTGACCACATAATTGGAAGTAAAACACTCCTCAGCAAATGTAAAAGAACAGAAATCAAAACAAACTGTCTCTCAGACCACAGTGTAATCAAATTAGAACACAGGATTAAAAAACCCACTCAAAACCACACAACTACATGGAAACTGAACAACCTGCTCTGAATGACTACTGGGTAAATAATGAAATGAAGGCAGAAATAAAGATGTTCTTTGAACCCGATGAGAAAAAGACACAATGTACCAGAATTTCTGGGACATATTTAAAGCAGTGTGTAGAAGGAAATTTATAACCCACAAGAGAAAGCAGGAAAGATCTAAAATTGACACCCTAACATCACAATTAAAAGAACTAGAGAACCAAGAGCAAACAAATTCAAAAGCTAGCAGAAGGCAAGAAATAACTAAGATCAGAGCATAACTGAAGGAGATAGACACACAAAAAACCCTTCAAAAAATCAGTGAATCCAGGAGCTGGTTTTTCGAAAAGATCAACAAAATAGACCACTAGCCAGACTAATAAATAAGAAAAGAGAGAAGAATCAAATAGACACAGTAAAAAATGATAAAGGGGATATCACCACCAATCCCACAGCAATACAAACTATCATCAGAGCATACTATAAATATCTCTATGCAAATAAACTAGAAAATCTAGACAAAATGGATAAATTCCTGGATGCATACACTCTCCCAAGACTAAACCAGGAAGAAGTAGAATCCCTGAATAGAACAATAACAAGTTCTGAAATTGAGGCAGCAATTAATAGCCTACCAACCAAAAAAAGTTCAGGACCAGACAAATTCACAGCTGAATTCTACCAGAGGTACAAAGAGGAGTTGTTACTATTCCTTCTGAAACTATTCCAAACAACAGAAAAAGAGGGAATCCTGCCTAACTCATTTTATGAGGCCAGCATTGTCCTGATACCAAAACCTGGCAGAGACACAACAAAAAAAAGAAAAATTCAGGCCAATATCCCTGATGAACATCGAAGCAAAAATCCTCTATAAAATATTGGCAAACCGAATCCAGCAGCCCATCAAAAAGCTTATCCACCATGATCAAGTCGGCTTCATCCCTGGGATGCAAGGCTGGTTCAACATGCACAAATCAATAAACATAATCCATCACATAAACAGAAACAATGAAAAAAACCACATGATTATCTCAATAGATACAGAAAAGGCCTTCGACAAAATTCAACAGCCCTTCATGCTAAAAACTCCCAATAAACTAGGCATTGATGGAACGTATCTCAAAATAATAAAATCTATTTACGGCAAACCAACAGCCAGTATTACACTGAACGGGCAAAAACTGAAAGCATTCCCTTTGAAAATGGGCACAAGACAAGGATGCCCTCTCTCATCACTCCTATTCAACATGGTATTGGAAGTTCTGGCCAGGGCAATCAGACAAGAGAAAGAAATAAAGGGTACTCAATTAGGAAAAGAGGAAGTCAAATTGCCTCTGTTTGCAGGTGACATGATTGTATATTTAGAAAAGCACATCGTCTCAGCCCGAAATCTCCTTAAGCTGATAAGCAACTTCAGCAAAGTCTTGGGATACAAAATCAACGTCCAAAAATCACAAGCATTCCTATACATCAATAACAGACAAACACAGAGCCAAATCATGAGTGAACTCCCATTCACAATTGCTACAAAGAGAATAAAATACCTAGGAATACAACTTACAAGGGATGTGAAGGACCTCTTCAAGGAGAACTACAAACCACTGCTCAAGGAAATAAGAAAGGACACTAACAAATGGAAAAACATTCCATGCTCATGGACAGGAAGAATCAATATTGTCAAAATGGCCATACTGCCCAAAGTAATTTATAGATTCAATGCCATCCCCATCAAGCTACCATTGACTTTCTTCACAGAATTGGAAAAAACTACTTTAAATTTTATATAGAACCAAAAAAAGAGCCCGAATAGCCAAGACAATCCTAAGCAAAAAGAACAAAGCTGGAGGCATCACGCTACCTGACTTTAAACTATACTACAAGGCTACAGTAACAAAAACAGCATGGTACTGGTACCAAAACAGATACACAGACCAGTGGAACAGAACAGAGGCCTCAGAAGTAATGCCACACATCTACAACCATCTGATCTCTACAAACCTGACAAAAACAAGCAAGGGGGAAAGGATTCCCTATTTTATAAATGGTGTTGGGAAAACTGGCTAGCCATATGTAGAAAGCTACAACTGGATCCCTTTCTTACACCTTATACAAAAATTAACTCAAGATGAATTAAAGACTTAAACGTAAGACCTAAAACCATAAAAACCCTAGAAGAAAACCTAAGGAATACCATTCAGGACATAGGCATGGGCAAGGACTTCATGACTAAAACACAAAAAGAAATGGCAACAAAAGCCAAAATAGATGAATGGGATCTAATTAAACTAAAGAGCTTCTGCACAGCAAAGGAAACTATCAGCAGAGTGAAAAGGCAACCTACAGAATGGGAGAAAATTTTTGCAATCTAACCATCTGAAAAAGGGCTAATATCCAAAATCTACAAAGAACTTAAACGAATTTACAAGAAAAAAAAACAACCCCATCAAAAAGTGGGCAAAGGATATGAACAGACACTTCTCAAAAGATGACATTTATGCAGCCAACAAACATATGAAAAAAGCTCATCATCACTGGTCATTAGAGAAATGCAAATCAAAACCACAATGAGATACCATCTCACACCAGTTAGAATGGCATCATTAAAAAGTCAGGAAACAACAGATGCTGGAGAGGATGTGGAAAAATGGGAACACTTTTATGCTGTTGGTGGGAGTGTAAATTAGTTCAACCATTATGGAAGACAGTATGGCAATTCCTCAAGGATCTAGAACTAGAAATACCATTTGACCCAGCAATCCCATTACTGGGTATATATCCAAAGGGTTATAAATCATTGTACTATAAAAACACATGCACATGTATGTTTATTGCAGCACTGCTCACAATAGCAAAGACTTGGAACCAGCCCAGATGCCCATCAATGATAGACTGGATAAAGAAAATGTGGCACATATACACCATGGAATACTATGCAGCCATAAAAAAGGATGAGTTCATGTCCTTTGCAGGGACATGGATGATGCTGGAAACCATCATTCTCAGCAAACTAACACAAGAACAGAAAATCAAACATCGCATGTTCTCACTTTTAAGTGGGAGTTGAACAATGAGAACACATGGACACAGGGAGGGGAACATCGCACACTGGGGCTTGTTGGGAGGTGGGGGGCTTGGGGAGGGATAGCACTAGGAGAAATACCTAATGTAGATGACGGGTTGATCAGTGCAGCAAACCACCATGGCACATGTATACCTATGTAACAAGCTTGCATGTCCTGCATATGTACCCCAGAACTTAAAGTATAATAATAAAAAAAAAAAGTCTTCTAAAGAGAGTGACAGGTGTGTATTTGGAGGTGAAAATAAATTATGATGGGAAATAAAAGTGTGTTATGAAAAAAAGTCACTGAAAATGGTCATGAGGATTGTTGGATCTTGGAAAGTGATATTCCCAAAGTGAAGGGATTATCTCTGGCGAAACCCTGCTGAATTTGACTGTTCTCTAAAAATGTGTGATGGAATCCAAAAGGAAGGTCAACATTAGAGACCAAGTGTGGCTTAGAGGCAAACACCAGAGCAGGAGCAGTGAAAAAGATTGATGAAGAAACAAAGAAAAGAGACCTCTAGAGAATATCTGCCTTCAGAGGGCAGAAAGAGGAAGAGAAATCAGTGAAGGAGACAATAAAAGCAAAGCGGTAGAAAACTTAAAAGGATTCAGTATTATGGAAGTTCAGATCGAGAGTAATAAAATACATGAAATAATGCAAAAGGGCCAAGGAGATGAAGGACTGAGAAATCACCATTGGATTCATACATTTTTGTTTTGCATTGTTTTGATTATTAAAGACAATTTTAGTAGAGTGTGAAAATTAAGCAAATGCACACTTAATGAACATTTTCTATGTTCTGAGCACTTTACATATGCCATCTAAGTTAATTTCCCAACCTTAAACATAAGAGTAGACATTATTGTTTCTGTCTTAGATATTTTTTTAAAAAACTGTCAGAAACACAGAGGGAAGAAGTAAGAATTCAAATCAGGTTTATTTAACTATAAAGTTCATGCTTTATCCCCACAGTGCTCCCAAAGGTTTAAGAAGTAAATGAAATGGGAAGGATTTTTTTAAGTCTCCCTATAAGGAAATAGTAGCTAGCACTTACTGAATGCTTACATGCAATAGGTCCTGTTCTCAGAGCTTTGCTTATTTCATCTTAATCATCACAATAACCCTAGGGGGACTCAGTGGTGTGCTTGAGCCATCTGGCATTTGCTCTACAGAGCTAAACGTGGGCATCTCATCCCAACTCAGAGATCAGTGAAGTCATATTAGTAGCATGAAGTCAGCCAGTGTGGGAGTATTTTCACAATGGAAATTGGCATACTCACAAATCAGGGCTTCCTCTCTCACCTGCCCCTAGAACTGTTTCTAATAACACACCACAGTTATGTTTATGCCCATTTTATAGCTGAGGGAGCTCTTTCACATCACACAGCTAATAAGAGGCAGAACTAAAATTGAAACCAGGCAGTCTAGCTATCAAGTCTAGATGTTTAGAACTTGAGATGGTGACAGGATCCAGGGAAAGTATGTTGTAGCAGAAAATCGCTATGTTTAGAGGCGGAGGAAGCAGGGCAAGTGGAGGAGGCAAAACTGAAGATGTGAAAGAGTCTGGGGGTTACACATAAAGTGTGATCAAGTAAGAGGACAGGGAAAACAGAACTACCAGCTCAGATATCAGCTTTAGACTCAGCAAAGACAAGCGACAGTTTTTACCTAGAAAAGATGGAACACAGGTCCATAGGCATTTTGGAGGTGGCGAGGAGGAAAATTAAGACATACATGTGATAGAGAGCTCAATCTTGTCAATAAAATTGAAGCCAAGGTTATTTGTCAAGAGCAACATGACAGAGATAAGTTGGAAACATAGAGAGCTCAATCTTGTCAATAAAATTGAAGCCAAGGTTATTTGTCAAGAGCAACATGACAGAGATAAGTTGGAAACATAGAGAGCTCAATCTTGTCAATAAAATTGAGGCCAAGGTTATTTGTCAAGAGCAACATGACAGATATAAGTTTGAAATATTTAAAAAGCAAGGGCTGGGCACTGTGGCTCAAGCCTGTAATCCCAGCACTTTGAGAGGCCAAGGTGGGTGGATCATCCGAGGTCAGGAGTTCGAGACCAGCTTGGCCAACATGGTGAAAACCCCATCTCTACTAAAAATACAAAAATTAGCCAGGCATGGGTTGTGGGCGCCTGTAATCCCAGCTACTCAGGAGGCTGAGGCAGGAGAATCACTTGAGCCGAGGAATTGGAGGTTGGAGTGAGCGGAGATAGTGCCACTGCGCTCCAGCCTGTGCAACAGAGCGAGACTCCATCTCAAAAAAAAAAAGCAAAAAAGTTTTGAAATATTATTGTCTATAATCTTTCATCAGCCCTATCTTAGATATTTGAAAATGAATATCATACATAGAAAAATATTAAATGAGAGGCCGGAATCCCACTATTTGATTAATATGCTACAATGAAATTGCAAACAACCACTTCGTTCACTCAACAGGCATAGGTAATGCAATCTGCATATCTGCTATCTGGCCAGTAGGGCTATCTGCCAGTGTTAGGCCATGTGGAAGAAGTTGGCTTTATTTCACTAGTTTGCATTGCCTAGGGAGAAGAATGATTAGTAAAATACATTCAGTAGGATGATTATTATTTGCAGTTATTTTGACCGTATGGATAAGAACACTACGAAATAAAACCAGATATCTGCCCTGAAGGAAGTATGTTTGCAACCAATTTGATTTCATTTAAAATAATTATAATAATATACCTGAATCTTAGTAGTGATAGCTTCCTCAAATTTTTCTAATAATAGTTCTAATAATATTCATGTGATATGAGTTTAACTAATTTCTGGTAACTAAATCAGAAGCAGAGGATGTCTCTGAAATGAACTTACACAGTTTTAAAGTGATTCAAATTGTGGAAGAATCAAGTTGACTCTACTTTTTTGAAGTTTTGCCAGAACTTTTTTCTGGCATTATCTTCTTACACACAGATGCTGACATCAGGATGTCAGCAACCTGATGTTTGGTTTTACATTGTTTTTTTACATGATAGATATGTGGGAGTGAAATGTGCACAATGTATAAAAAGTGAGTCATAAACTACACATCAAAAGTATACTAAGTGCAAAAAGAATCTTAGATTCTTCATGAAGTCTCCATTTGTATAGAATTGATGTTTTCAGGGTTGCTAAAATTTTAATTTGACTGACAGTGCACAGCAAATAAATTTAAAAGATTCCATTTATTTTATTTTTATTCTTAAGGAAAAATAAACTGAAGTCTTTTAAAATCAGTTAATCTTTTTGACAAAAAGGAACCTTGTAGGAAGAAATGTGTGCCTATAAGGATCTAAGCTTTCTTTCCTCCCAGACTTTCTTCTGAATTGTTCTCCTCTTGAATAGCTTCTCTTCCACATGAGTATACCCATATTGGGTTGATTTTCAACTAGTTATTGCTATGTGGGTGTTCTCTTAAGACTCAGAGTCAGCCAAAGGCATAAACTCAATCAACCCTTTTCCACAGGACATTGTGATGTATTTCCTTGGGCTTTATCAATGTAAGTTAAATTTTTATTTTATTTACTAGGTGCAGTAGTTGCCTTCCATGTATTTTTCCTAGTGAACAAGGAAAGCCCCTTGAGAATAATTCGAAAACTCTCTGCAGCTTTGTATCTTTTACATTTCGCCTCTTCGACTAGAGTGAACAAACACAGAGACAGTAACTGCACATAGCAAAGGAAATGATGACTGCCTTTTGAGCTACTTTTTCTTTTATCTCCCTGTTGTGCACAGTCAGTGCTCCACACTCAAGAGCAAAATGGCATCTGTGATGTACTTCTTCTTAATATACCACAGATATCACATTTGGCCAAAAACAACTCTCAGAAATTTAGATTCTGAAGGTTGTATGATTTTTTAAAACTTACATTGGCTACTTGTGCCAACGACTAAAACAACTAGTTCTAGAAAGCCAGCTACATTTCAGGTAGAGAACTTTGGCTTTGTTCCTCACTGAAGTATGTTAGTTCATAAATTCAAACTAGTTCTCAAGTGATACAATAGGTAAGCACAGAAATCTGTCTGTAAGAAAAAAACATCAGAGCTTTCCTAGAATTATTCTGCAAAGCACCAAATAAATATTAGGGATCCCACACCAGGATAGCAATAGATCTAAGGCATTGTTCCTTTTAATATAGATCTGTATACATCCGTAATTGTTTTTTCTGCAGATCATGCTGTTTTAGCACCAAGCCAGCCTGCATTTTATGTTCGCTGTAGAGAAGCATCTGTCTTTCTGACCGCAGTTACGCTAAGTTTAGATTTGAGAAGCACCATCAGCCATGATTTACATAGCTCACATTAGTCCTGTTTGGTTTGCACAGAGTTTACGGAGCTTACTGTGTCTTTTCATGGTGCAACACTAGCTGCAGCTCCCTGTCATGCTGGGAGTGGCTGGTTCCTATTACTCTGGACTGATTCAGACTTTCACGCTTCAATCCACCTGTGAGTCCATCTGTGCACACAAGTGCTCATGAAGTTGCGGGTGGAGTGAAGATTTGATAATTAACCTGTTCTCCCACCCACTGTACAAAACAAGTGACTTTCTTATTTCCAGTCCCATGTGGTCTAACATGCTATACTTTCTCTTCCCAACCTCTTTTCTACTCACCCACTGCAATGAAAGCTGTCTATGAGTTTGCTATTTAAAAATATCTTGCCCATTATGTGGGGACTGTTTAAGGAATTTGTATAGATCAATCCATATGAAGTTGTCCATATTTGACCTCCAAAAATGGCAATTCCATATGATTCCAACCTAAAAGCTCTGTTCAAATACTGCTTTCCAGTAGAGTAAAATATACTGCTAGTCCAATAAATGTTGATTTTCAGGCTGTTAAGTATTGCATACTGCCACTTTTTTCACAATGCAATAATCAATCACATTTTTGTATTAAATACGTACATCATGTCATGAAGACATTTAAATAGAATTTCAGATTCTATAATTTGGGAAGAAAATTTTTCAGCCAACTGTGGCTAATTCACTCATCGGTTTCTCTTTGTTATTCTCCCTACACATCTTTCATATTGCATTAACAACTGTCTCAGAAAATAAGCAGGTAGAGGCAAGTGTAAATCAAACTGATTTTCCTGATGGTTTACAGTTCTGGTGACTTTTTATTAAGAATAAGATTGAAATGAGGTTTCAAGATTAAGCAAATGTCTATGTTCTCTTTCCTTGTAGAAAATTGAATGCCAATTGCAGATATAATAGGAAAATAGACACCTATGTTATCATCCATAAAATCTCCCAGAACTTCCAAAGTAATTTTCATCCAGTCGAATACAGCATTATGTGATTATGTGGAGCCAATAACACAAAACCAAACAATGGAATCCTCTAAAACACTTTTCTGGGGAAACTAGATAAGCTGTGAATTCTCAAGAGCATTGTATCACAAAATTAATACTACATACAAAAAGCATGTAAAAGGTAGAAGGCAACTTGGGAAACAGGAAAGTAAGACATCACTCTAAAAGGAAACTCATATTTATGAAATATTTTTTTCTTTATGTGGGGCCTAGTAATTAGATGCATTTAGTAAATTATGTTTCCGTTGTAAACTTAAAAAATCATTTAATTCTCACAGAGTATTTATCTTACCTAGATTACCAGGAATTCTACACCTTTGAAAAGAATTATTATCTATGTACTTCCAGTGCTTTAATTTCATAGCTCTTTTGTAGATTACACAAGAATAGCAAAAACTAAAGTAAACCAGATACTCTACATCTCTGGCTTTAAAATAATTTCTAGCATTTTCATGATATTTCTTATCAATTGTTCATCTTCACTTGGTTTATATTTTCCTTTTTGTACAACTAGAGATATCACAGTAAAATGAAAAGTTTTCCAAAATTGTGTATACCTTTCAAAGTGCCTTATAGATACAAGAAACCTTGGATTGACTGATATTTAACTAAATATTGTCATCAAATCTTTACATTTTGAATCTTAAAATTTGTAGCACTTCTATAATTTCATTATTTTGCTTCAAACTGAATTAATTAATATCAGATATTGTATACTGATTTTTAGCCAGTCATATTTCCTTCTATTTTAATCATCTATCTTTCCTTTCCCCAGTTTTAATAATTTTTGTCTTCTTAATAATTCCTACATGATAAAAGACTTCCAAAGAAAATTAAAAGACAAGTAGTAATTGGGAGAAAATATTTTCAACATACGTAACAGGAAAAGTATTAATACCAACATATTAGAAGAATTCCTAAAAACCAATGATAGAAATACTTCCACATCTGGAAAGATAGAATAAATGTACTTTACCCTATTCGTCTCACCAGAAACAACTAAAAGCCCTGGACATTACACATAAAACAAACATAAGAAACCTGAAAGATGGAGAGAACAAAGCAGACTGGCTGGAGACCCGGGAACGTGAGGTACAACACAGTGGCGAGTTCCCTGGATCTTCTTTCTGCCTCATTTAGCCCAGACTTCAAGCTGAAGAAGCTGACAACCGAGAAATGCCAATAGGCACAGACAAAATAAACCCCAACAAAAGTCACTGTCTCTAGACAAAAGACCATGAGAGGGGCAGCCTAGCAAAACAGAAAAATCTTAGACAATAACCATTCTACACCACCAAACACCACAAAAAACACTGCCTCTCACCCACCCCTACTCATGCCAGCAAAGAGAAGTAAAGAGCCCACATTTCCATTTTTGCAAAGCTGTAGCCAGGAACCCAAACACTGCCCCATTGGGATGGCATCAGAGGTGGCCTAGTGGAAACTCAATTTTCACTATCACCCAGCAGTAGTAAGACCACTCCACAATGGTGACAGTGGAGACACGTGGGGAACAGGAACTTTCCCCATTGCCCAGCAGTAAAAAGGAGGAACCTCCTTCACATGTCCATGGAGGCCAAGGGGAACCTGGATTTGTATCTCTGCTTGGCAGTAACAAGGCAGATCTCTCCATTTCCTTGCCACAGCACTGTCAGAAAAAGCCAGTTCAAATTTAAATAAGATCTATAGTCTCGTAACACAATACAAAAGTGGGAATGAAAATCATTCATCATACCATAAATAGGGAATATCTCAAACTGAATGAGAAGACAGTCAACACAAATCAACACTAAGATGTTAGAGATGTTTAAAATATCTGACAAAGACCTTAAAGCAGCCATGATAAAGATGCTGCAATAAACAATTATGAAAATGCTCAAAACAAATGAAACAGTAGAAAGCCTCAGTAGAGGAATATGAAGAAGACATAAAGAAGAATCAGGTGTAAATTTTAGAACTAAAAAATACAATAACAAAAATAAATAGCTCAGTAGGGGGAATGAACAGCAGAATGGAAGAGAGGAAAGACTCAGTGAATTGGAAGATAGAACAATCAAAATCACCCAATCTGAGCAACAAAGAAAAAAAATAGACTGAAAAAGTGTACAGTGTTTCAGGGACCTGTGAGACTGTAATAAAAGATCTTATGTTCATGTCATTGTAGTCCTGGAAGGAGGGGAGAAAGACATTGAGGCTGAAAGTTCTTGAAGAAATAATGATTGAAAACTTTTCAAATTTGGCAGAAGACATAAACCTACAGAATTAAGAATGTGAGCAAATCCCAAACAAGATAAACTCAAAGAAATTCACACCAAAATGCATCATAATTAAAATTCTGAGAAAGAAGAGATCTTTAAAGCAGCCAGAGAAAACAGCACCTTACTTATAGGAGAAAAATAATTAGAATGAGAGCAGACTTCTCGTCAGAAACCATAAAAGCAAGAAGGAAGTGACACAATATTTTCAGGTACTGAAAGACAAGCACTTTCAACCCAGAATCCTGTATCCTTCAGAAATATCCAGTGAAAATATCCTTCAGAAATAAAATGGGCTAGATGTAGTATCTCACGCCTGTAAACCCAGCACTTTGGGAGGCTGAGGCAGGTGGATCACTTGAGGTCAGGAATTCAAGACCAGCCTGGCCAACATGGTGAAATCTCATCTCAACTGAAACCACAAAAATTATCCAAGTGTGATGGCACGTGCCTGTAATCCCAACTACTTGGGAAGCTGAGGCCAGAGAACTGTGTGAACCTGGGAGGCAAAGGGTGCAATCAGCTGAGATTGTGCCACAGAACTCTAGCCTAGGTGACAGAGCAAGACTCTGTCTCAAAAAAATAATAATAATAATTTAAAAAAAGAAAGTGGAGGCTGGGCATGGTGGCTCACACCTGTAATCTCAACACTTTGGGAGGCCAAGGTAAGGGGAGCATCACTTGAGTTTAGGAGTTTGAGGCCAGCCTGGGCAACACAGTGAGACCCTGTGTCTACTAAAAATTAAAAAAAAAAAATCAGCCAGACATGGTAGCTACCCAGGAGGCCAAGGCAGAGGGATCACTTGAGCCCAGGAGTTTGAGGCTGCAGGGAGCTGTCATCAAACCACTGCACTCCAGCCTGGGCAACAGAGCAAGACTCGGTCTCTAAAATATAAAGATAAACAAATAAATGATAAAGGGGAAAGCAAGATATTCTCAGATAAAGAGAAACTAAAAGAATTTGTCACCAGCAGACCTACCTTAAAAGATTGGCTAATGAGGTTGGGCGCAGTGGCTCACGCCTGTAATCCCAGCACTTTGGGAGGCTAAGGAGGGTGGACCACGTGAGGTCAGTAGTTTGAGACCAGCATGGTCAACGTGGTGAAACCCCTTCCCTACTAAAAATACAAAAATTAGCCAGGTGTGGTAGTGCACGCCTGTAATCCCAGTTACACAGGAGGCTGAAACAGGAGAATTGCTTGAATCTGGAAGGTGGAGGCTGCAGTGAGCCAAGATCACGCCATTGCACTCCAGCTTGGGCAACACAGCAAGACTTCATCTCAAAAAAAAAAAAAAAAAGAAAAAAGAGAATGACTAATGATAGTCCTGTAAACGAAAGGGAATCATTTAAAAAGGAACTTTGGAACATCAGAAAGAAAGAGCACAGTAAGCAAAAATATAGGCACTTACAGTAGGCTTTCCTTCTCCCCTACAGGTTTCTAAATTATGGTTAGTGACTGAAGCAAAAATTAAACTGTCTGATATGGTTCTACATATACAAGTATAAAGAGGAAATATTTAAGACAGTTATACTATAAATGAGGAAGACAAGAAGATATAAATAAAGGTAAGTTCTCTATATTTTACTCAAACTGGTAAAATGACAGCAATCAACTGAGACACCAGTCAAGGTTATATATAATGTAATACCTAGAGCAATCACTAACATACAAAGAGATACACTCAAAAAAATTATAAATAAATCAAAATGGAGTTCTAAAATTCTAGGAAATGTTCAAGTAAATCACAGGAAGGTAGGAAAAAAAACTAAATGGAAAATGTAGAGAATAAACAAAGACAAAAAGTAAAAGTGACAGACTTAAACCCTAAAACATCAATAATTATACTAAATGCAAATGCTCTAAATATACCAATTAAAAGACAGCGATTCTAAATGTGTACCCACCAAAAAAAAGCAAAACAGTAAATTATGTGAAGCAAATACTTATGGAATAATTATAGTTGGAAACCTCCATGTTCTCTCAATGGTTGATAAATTAAATAGACAGAAAATCAGACAGAATATAAAACTCAACAACACCATCAACCAACAGCGTCTAATGACATTTTTAGAACGCTATACCCAACAACAGAATATTTTTCAAGTTCTCGTGAAACATATACCAAGATAGACCATATAGTAAGCCATAAAACAAACCTTAGCAATTTTAAAAGAATTGAAATCATACCAAGTGTGTTCTTTGAACACAATGTAATCAAACTAGAAATCAATGACAGAAAAGGAACAGAAAAATCTCCAGACATCTTGAAACTAAACATACTAAATAATACATGGGTCAAAAAAGAAATCATAAGGGAAATTTAAAAGTACATTGAACTGAATTAAAACACAATATATCGCTGGGCACGGTGGCTCACATCTGTAATCCCAGCACTTTGGGAGGCCAGAGTGGGTGGATCACTTGAGCCCAGGAATTCAAGACTAGCCAGTAACATGGAGAAATCCTGTCTCTACCAAAAATACAAAAAATTTCCTAGGCACGGTGGCTTGTGCCTGTGGTCCCAGCTAATCAGGAGGCTGAGATGGGAGGATCACTTGAGCCTGAGAAGTGGAGGTTGTAGTAAGCCAAGATAGCACACCACTGCACTCCAACCTGGGTGATAGAATGAGACCCTGTCTCTCTCTCTCTCTCTCTCTCTCTCTCTCTCTCTCTCTCTCTCTCCCTCTCCCTCTCCCTCTCTCTCTCTCTCTCTCTCTCTATATATATATATATATATATATGTCCATCTCAGCTAAAGCAGTGCTTAGAGAGAAATTTATAGCACTAAATGCATATATTAGAAAAGAAGAAAAGTCTCAAATCAATCATCCAAGCCCTGTTCACAATAGCAAAGACTTGGAACCAACCCAAATGCCCATCAGTGATAGACTGGATAAAGAAAATGTGGCACACATACACCATGGAATACTATGCAGCCATAGGACATCAAAGCATGAGTTCATGTCCTTTGCAGGGACATGGATGAAGCTGGAAACCATCCTTCTCAGCAAACTAACACAGGAACAAAAAACCAAACACCGCATGTTCTCACTCATAAGTGGGAGTTGAACAATGAGAACACATGGACACAGGGAGGGGAACATCATACACCAGGTCCTGTCGGGGGGTGGGGGGCTAGGGGAGGGATAGCATTAGGAGAAATACATAATGTAGATAACAGGTTGATGGGTGCAGCAAACCACCATGGCTCGTGTATACCTATGTAACAAACCTGCACGTCCTGCACATGTATCCCAGAACTTAAAGTATAATAAAAAATAAAATACATAATAAAAAATTAAAAAATCATCCAAGCCCTCACTTCAACAACTTAGAAACTCTAAGAAGATCAAAATAAATCTGAAGAAAGCAGAAAAATAAGAAATTATCACTTCTATGTACTAGCAAAGAGTCCAGGCACAATAACATTAGAAAGCAATAACATTTAGAGTAACCTAAAGACAAAAATAACTATATAGCTGTAAATCTAACAAAACAGGTACAGGACATGTATGCTGAAAACTATAAAATGCTGATGAGTAAAATCAAAGAATATCTAAACAAATGAATAGAAGATATACTATATTCACAGACTAGATGATCCAACATAGTAAAGACCCCAACTGATATACTGGCTTAAAGCAATTCCCACCAAAATTCCAGCAAGATTTTTGTAGACATAAAAGATACTATTCTAAAATTTAGATGGAAAGAAAAAGGAAGTAGAATAGCTAAAACAATTTTGTAAAGAATTGATAAAATAGGAGGAATCAGTCTGCATGATGATTTCAACACTTATAAAAGTTGTCAAAACTGTGTGGTGGTATTGGTGGAGGGATAGACACATAGATTAATGGAACATAATAAAGAACCCCAAAATAGACCTATACAAATATGTCCAACTGATTTTTGACAAATGTGCAATATCAATTTAATGAAGGAAAGTGCCATTTCAACAAATGGTGCTGGAGTAATTGAACGTTCATACACACACCATAAAGAAAAAACAACCTCAAACTAAGTCTCACACCTTATACAAAAAGTTACTCAAAATTGTTGTAACAGACTTATATGCGGAAGGTAAAACTGTAAACTTTTAAGAAAAAAATCATGGGACAAAAAGCTTCAGAATCTAGAGCTAACCAAAGAGTTCTTAAACCTGACCCAAAAAGCTTAATCTATTAAATTTAAAAATTGATCATTGGATTTCATCAACACTAAAAATGTTTCCTCTACAAAAGTTTTTGTTAAAAGCATGAAAAGACAAGCGAACTGGCCAGGTGCAGTGGCGCACACCTGTAATCCTAACACTATGGGAGGCTGGGGTTGGCTTGAAACCAGGAGTTCAAGACCAGCCTGGGCAACAAAGTGAAACCCTGTCTCTGCAAAAAAAAATTAAAAATTAACTTGGTGCAGTGGCATGTGCCCACAGTCCCAGCTACTTTGGAGGCTAAGATGGAAGGATCACACCACTGCATTCCAGCCTGGGCAACAAAAAGAGATCCCACCTCTTTAAAAATAAAAATAAAAATAAAAAAAGACAAGCTGCAAAGTGAGAGAAAACATTTGCAAATCACATATCCAACAAATAACTTCTATGTAAAAAATATGTATATAACTCTCAAAACTCATCAGTTAAAAAAAAGCAAACAATACAATTAGAATATGAGCAAAAGACGTGAAGTGACATTTCACCAAAAAAGCTATACAGATGGCAAATAAGCACAGTTATGCACCATATAACAATGTTTCAGTCAACGACAGACTGCATATATGACCACGGTCTCAAAAGATTATAGTGGAGTTGAAAAATTCCTATGGCCTAGTAAGTCGTAGCCATCACAGCTTCATACTGCAATGCATTACTCACATGTTTGTGGTGATGCTGGTGTAAACAAACCTGCTGTCCTGCCAGTTGTATAAAAGTATAGCACATGCAATTTTTATAGTATGTAAACTTGATCATGATAACGGATGACTGTGTTACTGGTTTATGTATTTACTATACCTTTTATTTTTATTTTGGAGTGTACTCTTCCTACTTACAAAACAAAAAGTTAATGTAAAATAGCCTCAGGCAAGTCCTTTGGGAGGTATTCTAGAAGAAGGCATTGTTACCACAGGAGAGGACAACTCCATGTGTGTTGCTGCCCCTGAAGACCTTCCAGTGGGAAAATGTGAAGGTGGAAGACAGTGACATGGAAGATTCTGATCCTGTGTAGGCCTAGGCTGATGTCTGTCCTTCTGTCTTAGTTTTCAACAAAAAAAAATTCTTAAAAAGCAAAAGATTTAAAAAAAATTACATAGAAAAAAGCTCATAGAATAAAGACATAAAGAAAAATATTTTTGCACAGCTGTATGATATGTTTGTGTTTTAAGCTAAGTATTATTACAAAAGAGTCAAAAAGTTTAAAAAATTAAAACTTTATGAAGTAAAAACCTACAGCAAGCTATGGTTAATTTATTATTGAAGAAAGACTTTTTATAAATTTAGTAGTCTAAATGTACAGTGTTTACAAAGTCCACAGTAGTGTGTAGTAATGTCCTAGGCCTCCACATTCACTCACCACTCACTCACTGACTCACCCAGAGCAACTTCCAGTCCTGCAAGCTGTATTCATGGTAAGTGCCCCATATAGATCTAACATTTTTTATCTTTTATACTATATTTTATTGTATCATGTTTATATTTCAATATGTTTAGATATACAAACACCAAGTATTATAGCTACCTACTATATTCAGTGCAGTAATATGCTGTACAGGTTTGTAGTATAGAAGCAGTAGGCTATGCCACATAGCCTAGGGGTAGAGTAGGCTATAGCATCTAGATTTGTTTAAGTACAC
The DNA here is from genome assembly GCF_000001405.40 of Homo sapiens. Taxonomy (NCBI): domain Eukaryota; kingdom Metazoa; phylum Chordata; class Mammalia; order Primates; family Hominidae; genus Homo; species Homo sapiens. The sequence goes on along the minus strand of NC_000001.11, from coordinate 214,708,469 downwards.
TCTGTGGTGTTCACACAACGACACAATCACCCAATGGGAAGCAAGAGGCAGAGAAAGATGGCAGAATAGAAGGATCCATTGATTGCCCCCCACCCTCAGACCCCCTGCAAGGACATCAAGTTAACAACTATCTACACAGAAAAAAAAACACCCTCATAAGAACCAAAAATCAAGTAAGCACTCATTGTACCTGGTTTTAACTTCATAGCACTGAAAAAGGCAATGAAAGGATAGAAAAAACAGTCCTGAATCATGGATGCCACCCCATTCCCACCCCTGGTGGCAGCAACTCTGTGTGCTGAGGGAGGGAGAACACAGTGATTGTGAGGCATTGAACTCAGTGCTGTCTGGTTAGAGCAGGAAGAAAACCCGGACAAAACTCAATTAAAGCCACACACAGAGGGAGCATTTAAACCAGCCCTAGCCAGAGGAGAATGGCAGATCCCAGCAGTCTGAAGTTGAGTGTCTGCAAACGTTGCCACCCAGGGTCAAAGAGCTCTGTGTCTCTAAGTAAACTTGAAAGGCAGTCTAGACACAGGATTAAGATGGTGGATAGGAGGCAGGACTAGCTTGTAGCTCGTGCTCAGACAAACAGAGCAACGTGTGGAGGCTCACATCGTGAACTTTTGCTCCAAGAACTGCTGGCAGGAACATACCAGAAAACTGAGACAATCCACAAACCCGTTGAAGGAACTGGATCGCTGTTGCAAACTCCCTCAGATGCCAAAAAACTGAGTTGGCTTGCTTTCTCAGTGGGTATGCTGGTGGTCTAAGGCAAGTGTTCAGCCCTGGTCACCAGCTGCTTGAAAATAGACTTGGTACTATTGTGGGGCCACAGTGGGAGTGAGACCAGCCTTTAGGACTACAGGCTGTGTGGGAGTGGGGTGAGGCCTGTGACTGCCAGCTTTACCCCACTTCCCTGGTGACCTATATGACTCGGCAGAGGTAGCCATAATTCCCCTGGGAACATAGCTCCATTGGCCTGGGAACCTGTGATGAAGAAATACCCAAGACTGCGTAATTTATAAAGGAAAGAGGTTTAATTGACTCACGGTTCCACATGGAGGAAGGGGAATCAAAAGCAAATACATCCTTCTTCACATGGCAGCAGGACGGAGAAGTACTGAGTGAAGAGGGAAAAGATCCTCATCATCAGATCTCGTGAGAACTCACTTACTATAACGAGAACAGCAGCATGGTGGTAACCACCCCCATTATTCAATTACCTTCCACTGGGTCCCTCCCATGATATGTGGGGATTATGGAAACTACAATTCAATATGAGATTTGGGTGGGGACACAGCCAAACCATATGATGGACTAAACTCTCTAATCAAAAGACATAGAGTGGCTAAATGGATTTTTTTAAAAGACCTCATAATCTGTTGCCTACCAAAAATCCACTTCATCTATAAAGACACATATAGACTGAAAACAAAGGGGTGCAAAAAGATATTTTGTGCCAATGGAAACCAAAAAAAGAGCAGGAGTCACTATATTATATCATACAAAATAGATTTCAAGACAAAAACTGTAAGATGAGACCAAGAAGGTCACAATATAATGATAAAGGAGTCAATTCAGCAAAAGGATATAACAATTTTAAATATATGTGCACCCAACACTGGAGAACCTAGATATATAAAGGAGATATCATTAGAGCTAAAGAGAGAGATAGGCCTCAATACAATCATAGATGGAGACTTCAACACCCTGCTTTCAGATCTGCCAGACAGAAAAGCAGCAAAGAAACATCAGACTTAATCTGCACTATAAAAGAAATGGATTTAATAGATATTTGCAGAATATTTCATCCAAGAGCTGCAAAATGTACATTCTTTTCTTCAGCACGTGGATCATTCTCAAGGATAGACCACATGTTAGGTCACAAAACAAGTCTCAAAACACTCAAGAAAACTGAAATAATACCAAGAATCTTCTCTGACCACAGTAGAATTAAACCAGAAATTAAAAATGGGAGGAATTTTAGAAGCTACACAAATACAAAGAAATTAAACAATATGCTCCTGAATGATGAGTGGGTCAGTGAATAAATTAAAAACCAAATTGAAAAATTTCTTGAAGCAAATGATAATGAAAATACAACATCCCAAAACCTATGGAATACAGCAAAAGTATTAGTAAGAGGGAATTTTATAGCTACAAGTGCCTATATCAAAATGAGGGAAAACTTTGTATAAACAATCTAACAATGAATCTTAAAGAACTAGAAAAGCAGGAGCAAACCAAACCCAAAATTAGTAGAAGAAAAGAAATAATAAAGATCAGAGCAGAAATAAATGAAATTGAAATAAAAAACAGAAAAGATCAAAGAAACAAAAAGTTACTTTTTTGAAAATTAACAAAATTGACAAACCTTTAGCCAGACTAAGAAAAAAAGAGAGAAGATGCCAACAAATAAAATCAGAAATGAAACGGGAGAAATTACAACTGGTACTGCAGAAATTCAAAGGATCATTAGTACTGAGTATGGAAAATGTAGACAAAATGGACAAATTCCTGGACACATACAACCTATTACAATTGAACCAGGAAGAAATTCAAAACTGAACAGACCAATAGCAAGTAGCAAGGTTTAAGTCATAATAAAAAGTCTCCCGGTAAAGAAAAGCCCAGGACCTGATGGCTTCACTGCTGAATTTTACCAAAAATTTAAAGAACTAATACAAGTCCTACTCAAACTATTCTGAAAAACAGAGGTGAAGGGAATACTTCCAAACTCATTCCACAAGACCAGTATTGCCCTGATACCAAAACCAGAAAAAGATACATCAAAAAAAAGAAGAAATAAAGAAAGAAAGAGAGAAAGAAAGAAAGAAACAAGGAAAGAAAGAGAAAGAGAAAGAAAGAAAGAGAAAGAAAGAAAGAAAAAGAAAGAAAGAAAGAAAGAAAGAAAGAAAAAGAAAGAAAGAAAGAAAGAAAGAAAGAAAGAAAGAAAGAAAGAAAGAAAGAAAGAAAGAAAGAAAGAAAACTAAAAAAAAACTACAGGCCAATATCTCTGATGAATACTGATGCCAAAATCCTCAACAAAATACTAGCAAACTGAATTCAGCAATACATTATGACCAAGTGTGATTTATCCCTGGGATGCAAGGATGGTTCAACATATGCAAATCAATCAATGTGATACATCATATCAAAATAATGAATGATAAAAACCATATGATCATTTCGACTGATGCTGAAAAAGAATTTGATAACATTCAACATCCCTTCATGATAAAAAACCCCTCAAAAAACTGGGTATAGAAGAAACATATCTCAACATAATAAAAGCCATAAAAGACATACCCAGAGCAAGTATATATTGAGTAAGGAGAAACTGAAAGCCTTTCCTCTAAGATCTAGAACATGACAAAGAAGTGAAAGATCTCTATAATGAAAACTATAAAACACCAATGAAAGAAACTGAAGAGAACATTAAAAAGTTAAAAAATATTTCATGTTCATGGTTTGGAAGAATCAATATTGTTAAAATGTCTGTACAACCCAAAGCAATGTACAGATTCAGTGCAATCCCTATCAAAATACCAATGACATTCTTCATAGAAAAAACAATCCTAAAATTTATACAGAACCACAGAAGACCCAGATGGCCAAAGCTTTTCTAAGCAAAAAGAAGAAAACTGGAGGAATCACATTACCTGACTTCAAATTATACTACTGAGCTATAGTAACCAAAACAGCACGGTATGGGCATAAAAACAGACACATAAACCAATGGAACAGAATTAGAGGACCCAGAAACAAATCCACACACCTACAGGGAACTTATTTTCAATGAAGGTGCCAAGAACATGCACTGGGGAAAGACAGTATCTTCAATAAACAATGCTGGGAAAACTGGATATATATATGCAGAAAAATGAAGATAGACCCCTAGCTCTCACATATGCAAAAATCAAACCAAAATGGATTAAAGACTTAAATCTAAGACCTCAAGCTATGAAACTACTACAAGAAAACATTGGGAAAAATCTCCAGGACATTAATATGGGCTAAAATTTCTTGAGCAATAACCCACAAGCACAGGCAACCAAAGCAAAAATGGTAAAATGGGATCACATCAAGTTACAAAGCTTCTGCACAGCAAAGGATATGATCAACACAGTGAAGATACAACCCACAGAATGGGAGGGAATATTTGCAAACTATTCTTCTGACAAGGGATTAATAACCAGAATACATAAGGAACTCAAACAACTCTATAAGAAAATAATCTTTTTCCCAATCAAAAAATGGGGAAAAGATTTGAATAGACATTTATGAAAAGAAGACATACAAATGGCAAACAAGAATATGAAAAGGTGCTCAACATCATTGATCATCATAGAAATGCAAATCAAACTACAATGAGATACCATCTCACCCCAGTTAAAATGTTTTATATCCAAAAGTCAGGCAATAATAAATGGTGGCAAGGATGTGGAGAAAAGGGAACACTTATACCTTGTTGATGGGAATGCAAATTAGTACAACCACTAATTGTTGGAGGTTCCTCAAAAAACTAAAAATTGAATTACCATATTATCCAGTAATCCCACTGCTGGGTATATATTCAAAAAAGAGGAAATCAGTATATCGGAGAGATATCTGCACTCCTGTTTGTTGCAGCACTATTTACAATAGCTGAGATTTGGAACCAACTTAAATGTCCATCAGCAGATGAATGGATAAAGAAAATGTACGTACACAAGATGGAGCACTATGCTGCCATAAAAAAGAATGGAATCCAGTCATTTGCAATAACGTGTGTATTAGTCCATTCTCATGCTGCTAATAAAGACATTTCCAAGACTGGGTAATTTATAAAGGAAAGAAGTTTAATTGGCTCACAGTTCTGCAGGGCTGGGAAAGCCTCAGGAAACTTACAATCATGGCGGAAGGAGAAGCAAACACATCCTTCGTCACATGGCAGCACCAAGGAGAAGTGCAGAGTGAAGAGGTCGGGGAAGCCCCTTATAAAACCATCAGATCTCGTGAGATCTAACTCTCACAAGGATGGGGGAAACCACCACCTGATCCCTCCCACAACACATGGAGATTATGGAACTACAATTCAAGATGAGATTTGGATGGGGACCAAACCACATCAACGTGGATGGAACTGGAGTTCATTATGTTAAGAGAAATAAGCCAGGGACAGAAGGACAAATATTGTATGTTCTCACTTATTTGTGGGATCTAAAAATCAAAACAATTGAACTCATGGACATAGAAAGTAGAATAATGGTTACCAGAGGCTAAGAAGAGTAGTGGGGGTGTGGAGGAGAGGTGAGGATGGTTAATGGGTACAAAAAAATAGAAAGAATGAACAAGACTACTATTTGATAGTACAAACACGGTGATTATAGTCAATAATAACTCTACATTTTAAAATAATTTAAAGACTATAATTGCATTGTTTGCAACTGAAAGAATAAATGTTTTATATTTATGGGGATGGATGGATGGATATCCCATCTCCAGGATGTGATTATTTCACATCACACTCCTGTATCAAAACATCTCATGTATCCCATAAATGTATATACCTACTATGTATTCACAAAAACTAAGAAGAAAAAAAAATCACCTAGTGCCACATTTCTCAGAATGTATCCCCTTGGTTAAGTGATGCATGACTGTACATGAAAAGATGTACAACATCATTAGCCACTAGAGAAATGCAAATTAAAACCACAGTGAGACATCACTACACATCTATCAGAATGGCTGAAGTAAAAATACAGTGGCAACACCAAATGTTGGCAAGAATGCAGAGAAACTGGATCACTCATACATTGCCGGTGGGAATATAAAATATTACAGCCTCTCTGGAAAATTGTCTGGCAGTTTCTTTATTTAAAAAAAAACTGAAATATGAACTACTGTATGGCTCAGAAATTGCACTCCTGGGCATTTATCCTATAGAAATGAAAACTTATGTCCAAAAATCCTGTAAAAGAATCCTTACAACAGCCTTATTTATAATAGTCAAAAACCGGAAACAGCCCAGATGTCCTTCAAGGAGTGAATGCTTAAACAAATTGTGGTACATCTATACCATGGAATACTACTCAGAACCCAAAGGAACAAACTATCAATAGGCACAACATCCTAGATGAATGTCCAGATAATTATGCTCAGTTAAAAAAAAAAAAATCCCACTTACTAGGTAGGCTGAGGCGGGAAGATCACTTGAGCCTAGGAGTTCAAGTCCAGCCTGGGCAATCTAGCAATACTCTGCTTTAAAAAAAAAAAAAAATCCTGAAAGGTTACATACTGTATTATTCCATTTCTATATCACTGAAATTACAAAATTATACAAATGGAGAAGAGATTTATAGTTGCAAGGGGTGTTTGTTTGTTTGTTTGTTTGTTCGTTTTGAGATGGGGTCTCGCTCTGTTGCCCAGGCTGGAGTGTAGTGGCTTGATCTCAGCTCACTGCAAGCTCCACCTCCTGGGTTCACACCATCCTCCTGCCTCAGCCTCCCAAGTAGCTGGGACTACAGGCGCCCACCACCACACTTGGCTAATTTTTTTGTATTTTTTTAGTAGAGATGAGGTTTCACCGTGTTAGCCAGGATGGTCTCTATCTCCTGACCTCGTGATCCACCCGTCTCAGCCTCCCAAAGTGGTGGGATCACAGGTGTGAGCCACCGCACCCGGCCCAGTTGCAAGGGTTTAAGGAGGGAGAGCGGACAGAAGGAAAGTGGATATGATTATAAAAAAGTTAACTGAAGATTCCTTTTGGTGATAGAAATGTTCTGTGTCTTGACTGGATCGATGTTAATATTTCCATTGTGATATTGTACTATAGTTTTGCAAGATGTTATCATTGGCGGAAACCGGATATCTGTATTGTTTGTTACAACTGTAAGTGAATCTACAATTATCTAAAAATAAAAAGGTCAATTAAAAGCAAAAAAATGAGAAATTAATTTTATAAAGTCAATTCTGCAAGTTTTTCCTTTGTGATTTCTGGTGTTGTATCTGCTTAGGAACGCTTCTCCCCTCTTCAAGATTACAAAAATACTTTTCTATATATAATTATTTTCCAGTTTTATTTCTAACATATGGAACTTTTTTCTTCATTTGAATGTTTTTAATTCAAGTAAGCACCTTATCTGCATTCTCTAAGAGACGAGGAGTGATGTTGATATTCTATATTCTCTCTTAAATCCACAAACTGTGCTTTTGACAACTTTGATGGATGGTATACATTCTCAAAGGAAATTGCTAATAAAATACTTTATATTTCTGATGTAATGGAAGTGTTCCATAAGCAAAACCTAGAGGCTTAATTAGAACATTAGTTGCCAACACTAAAAGCAAGTCAATAAACCTGTTTCAAGTTAAATTTCTGTTGTACCGTTATGCTGGATAAGGTCACCTGATGCAGTAGTGCAGGTACACACAGCTCCGAATGGCACCATTACTGTGGACTGCAACCTGCACACACTTAGATGCAGCACTTTTAATTCAGCCAGGTCACCCTCGGATCCATTCCCTCTCTGCTTGTCTATAATGTCCAGCTGCATCAGACCATGACTCTGTAACAGAAGAAGAAAAGCTTTTGGATGAAAGGAGGAAGGTTAATTATAAGGAAAGTTGATAAGAAAGGCTTGTCGGGAGGATGACTGAGTGCTAAGTCTCCTCCCAAACACCCTAACCAGGCATCTCAGTGTACTGAGAAATGCAAAGAAAAGCCTCTTTTCTCTACCACATTCCCCATCTCCCAAGCTTTGGCTCTCTGAATCTAGAATAGGAGTGAGGAGACGAGCAAACAATAGCCTGAACTCTCAGTGAAAACATGCAGAAAGAAAGTCACAGAGGAAACAGTCGCAGGGTGGAGACGCAACCCAGGGGCTTGACCTGCCTGAGGCCACGGGGCTCCCTGACATTTGGAACAGTTTCTCTGACATTCTACAGCTGACAATTTAGAAGTGCAGCCTGGGGAGATGAAAGAAAGTATAATAACCCTGGGTTTCTGGTCAGCAACAGAAACATGTGATTGTCATGAGCAAACTAGTAACCACAGATTTGGAATCCTGCTGAATGCGTTACTTGAACATCCATAAACACTGACCCAAAAAAAAAGTTTAAAATCTATCTTAATTATTTAGCTTCCTTGAGAAAACAAAACAAAAAAAATGCTATCACATCAAGTATACATAATTATGTTAGGCCATTCTTGCATTGCTATTAAAAAAAAAGTCTGAGACTGGATAATTCATAAGAAAAGAGATTTAATTGGCTCACAGTTCTGCAGGCTGTACAGGAAGCATGGCAGCATCTGCTTCCGGGGAGCCCTCAGCCAGCTTCCAATCATGGTGGAAGGGGAAGCAGGCATATCACATGGCCAGAGCAGGAGAGAGAAAGAGAGAGAAAATGGGTGGGCGGGAGGGAGGTGCCACACACTTTTAAATTATCAGATCTCACAGAACTCACTATCATGAAGATAGCAGCAAGCCATCAGGGATCCGCCCCCATGATCCAAACACCTCCCACCAGGCCACACATCCAGCATTGGGAATTACAATTCAACATGAGATTTGAGCAGGGATAAATATCCAAGCTGTATCAATAATCAAAAAGAATTGCCCAAGAAATGGACCAAGCAAATGTTCTCAAAATATTTAATCATCGAGATTGATTATAAGAAGAAGTTGTTAATGGCCGCACCTAGGCCACGTGCTCTGAGCCTATTCTGAACAGAGATGTAATCTTATAGGTAGAATGTCTTTGTAAACTGTATTTTCCCCCGACTGCCACTTAAAATACACTGGGTATTTGTTGAATAACACAAGTTATTCAAAGAAGTAAATGTAAATTAAATTATTTCTAAATGGAAATCTAGCTTTGTCATCCGAATTATCATAGAACTAACTAGAAATCTGCATCTCTAAAGTAATTCAAACTTATGTTTCCCAGTAAATCAGATACTGAGGATTTCGTATTAAAGTTTTCCAGATTAAAAACTAAGAAATTTATTTGTGTGCGGAGAAGGCTATTCCAGTCGGTTTCATTGAGATACCACCAGTACCTCTGACTTACATGGCACCTTCAGTGCTAAGAGTTCTATGTGCCTTCATGAGGAGGTGCTTCATGTGCCTGTAAATTCAGGGATGATTGGGATTCTAATCATTCTTCACATATGCAATCCGATTTATGTTACATACTAGAAACTAATCATAGTAAATATTACTCGAAATAAGCAGGGATTGAAACTGAGATTCCTTTTTTTCTTGGTTTTCCTTATAATGAGGTTATACTTCTTGCAAAAAACAAAAACACACTCTATATGGAATTTCTAAAAATTTACCTCTAAAGTACAGAGTCCTTATCCACTATTTGTGTATGGCTTTAACTAGTGTTAGTAGTAAAATATTAATGATAGCTGTTTCCAACAATTTAAGATGTGTGAAATACTACTATGTATCCAAAATCATATAATCCTTACAAAACTCTGTAAGATAGGTACTACTATTGTTCCCATTTTAAATACAAGCATGCCTTGAAGATATTTTAGGTTCAGTTTCAGATCATTACAATAAAGAGAATATCACAATAAAGCAAGTCACAGAATATTTTGCTATCCCTGGGCATATAAAGTTATGTTTACTCTATACTGTCATCTCTTACATGTGCCATAGGATTATGTCCAAAAAATGTAAATAATTTAAAAATATTTTACTACTTAAAAATGCTAACAATAACCTCAACCTCCAGTGAGTCATAATCTTTTTGCTGGTGGGGGGTTTTGCCTGAATGCTGATGGCTGCTGACTGCTCCGGGTGGTATTTGCTGAAGGTTGGGGTGTCTGTGGCAATTTCTCAAATAAAAGACAACAATGAAGTTTGCCACATCACTTGACTCTTTTTTTTTTTTTTTTTTTTTTTTCTGGGATGGAGTCTCAATCTGTCGCCCAGGCTGGAGTGCAGTGGCGCGATCTCAGCTCACTGCAACTTCCACCTCCTGGGTTCAAGCGATCTTCCTGCCTCAGCCTCCGAGTAGCTGGGACTACAGGCACCCACTATGCCTGGTTAATTTTTGTGTTTTTAGTAGAGACAGGGTTTCGCCATGTTGGCCAGACTGGTCTCGAACTTCTAACCTCAGGTGATCTGCCCACCTCGGCCTCCCAAAGTGCTGGGATTACAGTCATGAGCCACCGTTCCTGGCCACTTAACTCTTTCTTTTGTGAAAGATTTATCTGTAGCATGTGATACTCTTTGTTAGCATTTTACCCACAGTAGAACTTCTATCAAAACTAGAGTCAGTCCTCTCACACCTGCCACTCCTGTATCAACTAAGTGTGTGTAATGTTGTGAATTCTTTGTCTTTTCAGCAATGTTCACAGTATCTTCACTTCAGAGTAGATTATGTCTCAATAAACACTGTCTTTGCTCAGCCATAAAAAACAACTCCTCATCCATTCAAGTTTTATCATAAGATTACAGCAATTCAATCACTTCTTCAGGCTATACTTCTAATTCTCTTGTTATTTCTACCACCTTCAATTCCTTCCTCCACCGAAGTCTTGAACCCCTCAAAATCAACCAGCAGAGTTGGAAGCAATTGCCTCCAAACTCCTGTTAATGTTGATATTTTGACCTCCACCCATGAATCACAAATATTCTTAATTGCATTTCGAATGATGAATCCTTTTCAGTATGTTTTCAATCTACTTTGCCCAGATCCATCAGAGGTGACACTATTTATGACAGCTGTAGCCTCATGAAAAGTTTTTCTTAAATAGCAAGACTTGAAAGTTGAAATTACTCCTTGATCCATGGGCTATAGAATGAATTGTGTTCGCAGGAATGAAAACAACATTCATCTTCTTGTACATCTCCATCAGAGCTCTTGAGTGACCAGGTGCATTGTTAATGAACAATAACATTTTGAAAATAATCATTTCGGTTGGGTGCAGTGGCTCACACCTGCAATTCCAGCACTTTGGGAGGCCAAGGCAGGCAGATCACTTAAGCTCAGAAGTTCAAGTCCAGCCTGGACAACATGACGAAACCCTGTCCTACATAAAATACAAAAATTAGCCAGGCATGGTGGTGCATGCGTGTGGTCTCAGCTACTCAGGAGGCTAAGCCAGAGGATCACTTGAGTGTCAAAGTCAGAGGTTGCAGTGAGCCAAGATCATGCCACTGCACTCCAGCTGGGCAACAGAGCAAGACACTGTCTCAGAAAAAAATTTTTAAAAAGACAAAAGAAAAGTATCAATTTGCTGAGCAGTAGGTCTTAACAGTGAGCTTAAAATATTCAGTAAACCATGCTGTGAACAGATATGCAGTCATCTAGGCTTTTTTCCATTTCTAGAGCACAAGCAGTATAGATTTGCGTAATTCTTAAGGGTCCTAGGATTTTCACAATGGCCAACAAGCATGGGCTTCAACTTGAAGTCATCAGCTCACTGGCCTCTAACAAGAGAGTCAGCACCTTCTTTGAAGATTTGAATTGAGGCATTAACTTCTCTCTAGCTATGAAATTCCTAAAATAATATCTTCTCCCAATAGAAAGCTGTTTCTTCTCCACTGAAAATCTGTTGTTTAGTTTAACTAACTTCATCAATGTTCTTAGCTAGATCTTCTGGATAACTTGCTGCAGCTTCTACATCAGCACCTGCCGCTTCATCTTGCACTTTTACGACAATGGAGATGGTTTCTTTCTTTAAACTTCATGAACCCAACCTTGCTTGCTTCTAATTTTTCTTACACAGTTTCCTCACCTCTCTCAGCTTTCATAGAATTGAAGAGAGTTAGGACTCTGCTCTGGATTAGGCTTGGTTTAAGGAAATGTGGCTGGCTTGATCTTTCATCCAGACCACTCGAATTTTTCCTCTATCAGCAATAAGGCTATTTCACTTATCTTTTGTGGATTCCCTGAAGTAGCACTTTTAATTTCCTTCCAAAACCTTTCCTTTGCATTCACAATTTGGCTAACTGGTGCAAGAGGCTTAGCTTTTGGCCTGTCTCAGCTTTGATTATGCCTTTCTCACTAAGCTTAATCATTTCTAGCTTTTGATTTAAAGTGAAAGATGTAAGACTCTTCCTTTCCCTTGAACACTTAGAATCCATTGTAGGGTTACCAACTGGCCCAATTTCAATATTGTTGGATGTCAGGGAATAGAGAGGCCCCAGGAGAGAGAGAGAGACAGGGAAATAGCCAGTTGGTGGAGCAGTCGGAACAAACACAGCATTCATCATTTAAGTTTGCCAACTTATGTAGGCATAGTTTATGACACCCCCAAAAATGACAACAGTAATATTAAAGATAACTGATTACAAGTCACCATGACAGATATAGTAGTAATGAAGAAGTTTGAAGTATTGCAAAAATTACCAAAATGTGGCGCAGGAACATGAAGTGAACACATGCTGTTGGAAAAATTGTACCAATAGACTTGCTTGATGCAAGGTTGACACAAAACCTTCAATTTATAAAAACAAAGACAAAAACGTAGTGTCTGCAAAGCATACTAAAGCAAAGCACAATAAAATGAGGTATGCCTGTGTAAATAAACTGAGCCTCAGAGATAAATTGAGTACCTCTCCAAAATTACAGTTTCTAAGTGAAAGAGGCAAGATTTGATCGTGATCTGTCTACCTCCAAAGCCTGTGCTTGAGCCATTGAACTAGATTGCTATTCTGAATGTTCTCTCCCCAGATCTGTGTGATGTGATACAAGGGGCAGCTCTCAGTTCTAGGGTATTGGGGATGACTTCCTATTTCCTGAAACGCACTACACCAGCGAGTTTTCTTCAGCTTGTTGTGAAAAGATAGTTCTTTGTTAACTGAATATTCCCTAAAAACACTTTCTCTACTACATAGAAGACAATGCTTCACCCATGCAGTTAATAATAATAGCACACACTTTTAAAGCACTTACTATGTGCCATGAACTCCTTTTAAGTACTTTATATTAATTTATATAACACTTAATATTTGGTACTATTATTGTCCCAGTTTTACAACTGAGGAAATTGAGGCACAAAAAAGTAAATGGTTTTCCTGAGAGCACATGGTTAGTAAGCAACGGATGTCCACACCCAGGCAGTGGAGCTCCAAGACAAGAGCTCTAAACTATATTGGAGTATACCCTAACATTTCTGAGCATGAGCCCCATAATAAACTCTGTGCTGGGCTCCAGGGAAGCCACTATGAACCAAGCAGATATAGCTAATAGTCTGGTGTAGGAGACAGAAATTAATCACCTAAATATATATATATGATTCCAAACTGTAATAAATATGTGAAGGAAAAGAAGAGGGAGCTGAGAGAGTACAACAGGGACCTGCTTTAGGCTGGATGGGCAAAGCAGGCCTCTGAGGACAGCTACACCTAAGCTGAGACCTGAAACGAAGGAGGAGCCAGCCACACGAAGTCTCTGAGCCCGGAATGGGGCAGCGTGTGGGAACAGGGAGAATTAGAGGATATCCTGACAACCTCAACTCATACCTTTACATCTTAAACTTATAAGCTGGGTGCTGAAATATGACTCATTCTATCTCTGTTTGATCTTCCCATTGGCTGACAACAAAATAATAGGCCCCAGGCACTTCCACAAGACTTGCAAACAGGGTACTCAGCAACCCATTTGTCAATCCCTAGTCCATCACCTATCTCAGGAGTCCAACAGGGTTGGAGTTGAAAAACTTAAGAGCAGGAATTTCTCTGGAGAAGCTGTAATTATGTTCTGCATCCCCTCTCTGGCCCTGTTTCTCCCACAAGGGGAAGAAGAGGGGTGTTTTCCCCCCGCACCTTGAGATCTAGTGAGAGGCTTAAGGGTCTAATTAATGGGCTGGTCTCTGATTGAGCTGAAAAGTCTAAAGGCGAGATGCCATGGCTCAGCCAGGCTAAGGGGCAGCGTTCAGGGAAAGTGGACACCCCTGAGAGAGAGTTGCATTTTCACACAGGCGAGGATGGAGGAGAGGTTCCCACTAACCACGGCTTTTGTGGGTCTTGTGGGAGCCAGGCTGGAGCCGTGTTCAAAGAGACCTTGCTCAAGAGGTTTACCAGAGAGAATCTTGCGGGGCGGGAGGCCAGATGCCCACAGACTGAGAGTTTGTGTTGAGTGGCCAATCGCATCCCACATCACAGGACTAGTCATTGGAGGTTCCCAATGAGGAGTTTTTTAGAAACCCGCAAAATGGATCCTAAGGGGAAGATCTGGATTTATATTTGCCAAGCCTCATGAACACTAAGAACATATCATGAAAATACCAATCTCTGAATACTGTGCATTTCCTTAATTCCTTCTTCCCAATTCTGAAGGAGTCAGAAGCCTGGGCTAGTGAGCTGGGTTGGAGGAGTAGAACTAGGTTGCAGGGGATGTGGAGCCAGAGCCATTTGTGCTTCCTCCTCATTACGGACTCAAAAGCTAGGACGGGGGAAATACTTTCAATTTGACTGTTATTACATGGAAGTGGGCCATTTAAAGCCCTGAAATAATTCTGTCCCTGTAGCAAAAACTGTCTCAAGGATTTTTATTATCTAACTCTAAATGGAAAAGCTAGAGCACCTGGTCAATATTTCTAAGGAGCAGGGGGAGAATGTCACCTTCACTGTACATGTTTGAAGACTCTTGGATGGGTTACAAAGAAAATATTTTAAAATCATTCAACAAATATTCATGTACTGCCTACAGTGTGCCACGTATAATTCCAATACTTGGAATATATCAGTGAATAGACAAAATGTCTGCCTTCATATAGCTTACATTCTGCAGGAGTGGGGGATGAGAGACAGTCAATAAACATGATAAATGGGTGAATTACATATTGTGAGAAAAAGCAATTAGTACTGTGAAAAATTGATCAGGCTAATGTCATTGAGAATGCTAAGGAAAGATAGCCTGTCATTTAAATCAGGTGTTTATAGTGGGCTTTACCGAGTGGGTGATTGCCTTAGTCCACTTGTATTGCTATAAGGGAAAACCTGAGGCTGGGTAATTTATAAAGAAAAAGTGTTCATTTGGCTCACAGTTTATTTGGCTCACAGCAGGCTGTACAAGAAGCATGACACTAGCATCTGCATCTGGTGAGGGCCTCAGGAATCTTCCATTCAAGGTGGAAGGCAAAAGGGGGCAGTTATCACATGATGAGAAAGAAACCCAGAGAGAGAAGAGGAGGTACCAGGCTCTTTTCAACAAGCAATTCTTGTGGGAACCTAGAGTGACAATTCACTCCCATGAGAATGGCACCAAGCCATTCATGAGCGATCCATCCCCACAATCCAAACATCTTCCACCAGACCCCACCTCCAACACCGGGGATCAAAGTTTAACATGAGACTAGGTGGGACCAAACACACCATCTCTGAACCATAGCAGTGATATTTGAAAAAGGAGGTTGTTTTAAAACGTAAGTCTGGGCCGGGTGTGGTGGCTCATGCCTGTAATCCTAGCACTTTGGGAGGCCAAGGCGAATGGATCACCTGAGGTCAGGAGTTCAAGACCAGCCTGACCAACATGGTGAAACCCTGTCTCTATTAAAAAATACAAAAAATTAGCCAGGCGTGGTGGTGGGCACCTGTAATCCCAGCTACTTGGGAGGCTGAGGCAGGAGAATCACTTGAACCTGAGCAGCAGAGGTTGCAGTGAGCCGAGATTGTGCCATTGCACTCCAGCCTGGGCAACAAGAGCTAGACTCCATCTCAAAAAAAAAAAGTAAGTCTGATCACGTCACTCCTCTGCTAAAAACTCTGCAATGGCTCCAAAACTCTGACTGCTAGGTCAAGAAACTATAAAGAGTAAAGATGGAAGCAGAGAACTGCTGAGTGGCTAGCGTAATACTAATCAAAGTGAGAGATGGTGGTGGCAAATGGTAACTGTAGGAGAGTTAAGAAGTGGACAGACTGGAGATATTTTGAAAGAGAATTTCCTGACTGGGTAGATGTGTGATGTGAAAAACAAGAGTCAAGGTTGACTCCCAGGTTTTGGGGCTAAGCAACTGGAATGCTGGAAGCAACTGGAATCTTGTCCATTGGGACACCAAGTGGAGTAGGATCGAATACATGGATCTAAAGTCCAAGAAAGAGATCTGGGCTGCAGTTACAAATTTGGAAGTAGAGATTAAGAATTATCTATAAATTGCAATAAAAACCCCATAATAACAGAAAGAGCAGCCCATGGTAAACCAGCTTCAGTGAATAGTGAGATATCCAGAACCTAGATAGAAAAGAAACAAAATTGATTTGCATAAAATCTGAACAAAGATTTCGGCCAAATCTCACTACTCAAAGAAATCTTGTATGTTTATACTTTGGTAATTTAGAAAGTTTTTTCATACTAGCTATTCTTCTTAAATGCTCAGGGTCTTTTGGCTTAGATTTTTGTTTTTTGATTTCTTAAAATGGGAAATGCCATGTATCTTCCATACTGAAGGGAAGGACAGACTGGCTAGGATGAGAAGCAGCTAGAAAATGTAATAAAACATCTCTACCCTCTACATAGAAAATGTTCTCTTATTCAATTTCTCTCTCCTGTTTCATCTATTCCTCTTTAATCTTAATTGACATAATAATCTGCCAATCATATCAGTGGCTTGCTGGTCTTGGAAAGGTGAGAATCCCACTGCGTCCCAGTGGCCTGCTTTTCTAGGGAATTAACAAGGCCTTCACAGAGTCCCAGCCTGCTTTTCCAGGAGAATATCCTCCTCTTCATCATGCCATCGTAATAAGCTTTATCAGAGCCCAGCCAGCTCTGTATCTCTTGCAACACAACTGACACAACATTTTTTGGTAGAACAAAAGAAATAAACATCCAAATCACTGTTCTCAATAAAACTGAGTAGGATGACTGTCCTTGCTTAGAAGTTGGGGTGAGGTCCTTCTCCAGCAATTTATTTAAAACTTAGAACACCACATTTCTCTTAAGTACAGACAGAATTTTTTTAATAGAAGAGTGTGTTAATTTCTTCAAGCCAAGTCAGTGAAGAATATTTTTGAAGTCTCCTCTGTCTATAAAGTATCACTTAGTTATTTAAGAATTTAGAGCTACATTCCTGCCACTGTTCCTTGGTGAGACCTCTAACCACAATAAAAAGGGATATTTTGTCTCCCTCTGTGTAGTTCAGACAAAGAAAATTGCAGCTAGAAGTCAGAGGGGCAAACTAAATGTCACTCTGACCCAAAGATCTGGAAAAAATGTAAAAATTCCATTACGAAAAATGAGGTAGCAAGAAAAATGGTGCTAGTAATATCATACTAGGTATCCTCTGGAGCTGATTATGTTTTCATGAAGGATGGGGATCAGTACACAGCAATATATAGACAGCCTGCTCAGTTGAATTCCAGACTGGAGGCAAAGAGACAAATTATACTACCCAGTCCTTAACAGTCCTATGGCTCTGAGACAATAAGTAATTAGGGTTATAGATTGTTATAGATCATTTTCAGTGAAACAAACACTGAAAAAAAAAATAGATGTGAGAATAAACATAGCCAAACAAAGAAAAACATTTGTCATATATTCAAGCTCAGAGGACTTAGCCTCAACTTTGAAGGCAGTAGAACTGATTCCAAATCGGGCTGGGAGGGTTGTTTATTTTGCATCACTTGAGTCAGATCTAATGATCCTAATGACTTTAAATGTTCCTAAATTATTCCCCAGAGTGGTTAGATTTTGTATTTGGGCCATAGTTGAGACAGAAAATGCTGATTTATTTAGCATTCAATCAACCCAGCTTTCCATTTGCCAACATTCTGGCCCTCTGTCAGTACAGTGAGTATTGAAAGTCATACTCCTACCCCTAAAATATTTCAAAACTATAACATGCCTTCAGATTTATGAAAGCACTATTTTAGAGGTAACTGTATCAGCTTCTTTTTTGTTTTCTTTCCTTTCTTTTTTCAAAGGATATGTGGTATTTCTCAGTTAACCAGTACAACCAACTGAAAAGAATATTTCATTCTCTAGAACAGCACTGTCCAACAGAACTTTCTGCAATGATGAACATGTTCTACATCTGTGGTGTCCAATACGGTGACAAGTCATCATGACTATTGAGCACTTGATATCGGGCTAATGTGGCTAAGAATTTTTAATTTAATCATTTGAACTGAAATTTCATTTTAGACACTCACATGTGGCTAATGGTGTTTTGGACAGTGCAGCTCTAGAATAGCAGAGAGGGCATTATACTGTATCTAGAACCTGTATTGTAACATGGAAGGTGTTATCAGCCTATAGCTGAATACTGATTTTGTGTCCAAATGTGTCGGCAATATACTCTCTAAGCAGAAGCAGCTTACTTTGTATTAGTTGGCCTGTGGTAGGCTGTAGGCCGACCTGCTGTGGGACTGTTGACAAAGTAAAGGAGGAGTATTAGTTTTCTATGACTGCCTTAGCAAAGTCATCTGCCATCTAACCATCATCTGCCTGTGTATCTTCACATTATCTTCCCTCTCTGCGTGTCTGTATCTGTCCCAACTTTCTCTAAGGACAGCATTTTATTAGATTAAGGCCCATCCTAATGACCTCATTTCAACTTAGTTGCTCCTGTAAAGACCCTACTTCTAAGTAAGGTCACATTCTAAGGTACCAGGGTTAGGACTTCAACATATCTTTGGGGGATGGGGGGCAAAATTCAATACATAATATTTGGTATGGCAGTAATTTCTTTATATAGCAGTAAGTGAATCTCTGAAAATTGACATGGCCACTTTCTCACTCTAATCCCTTAAAGGCAACAGGACCAGATCAGAGGTCCTGGCACACCCTCATTTCCATGTAAATAGCCTTGACCACAGAAATCTGGGAAAGAGACACATTGAAGAACGGCATTCACTCATCTAACCTTACCGCATGTCTTCTCTGCTTGACTTAGCGCAGGTTTGGCAGTAAACTGGGGAAAAAGCAACTTGAATGGAATCCAAGGCATCGTTCTCTTCCACCTGTGAAACGGACCAATCTCTATGGTGTGGCCTGCACAGAGCTGCTTCAGGACTCACCACTGTTCACAGCCTCTTAGAAGTTTAGAAGAGGGAAGCCTTTCCTTTTAAAAATTATAATTAAAAGTACATTTACCCTTCTCTCTTTTGTCTTTTTCCCCAGTTCCTTTTGCTAAGTCAGTCTGGTGCTCCTTTTTGTCAAGCAGCGTCCTTCCCTTATTGGATGTGGCATTTCACATTGCACCTAATCCTTTAGGAAACGTGTTAACAGTATGTCCCAGCCAAGGGCAGAGGGCACGGATCTCCCCAGATGAGGTGTGATCTCAGCTATAAAGACTCAGAGAAAGCCATAGGCCTTAGTGCACTGGGTTGATAAACATTTTCCTGGTGAAGTGGGAGATCTGAGGGTGCAGGAGGGCTCAGCAAGGGAAAGGGAATTTGGATTGACCAAGCAAGTCTGAACGCCACAAAGGGAAAGGGGGAGGGTGTGGAGGGACTGGGAGATGACATGGTCCAGGGACTTCATAAGGACTATGAGACACAGAACAAGAATGAGGCCGTTGGGATGGTTAATTTTTTGTACTGCTGTTAAAACATTATTTCTGGGTGTGTCTGTGAGAAAGTTTCCAGAGGAGATCATCATTTGAATCAGTAAACTGAGTAAAAGAAGATCTTTGCTGGGCAACATCCAGTACATTGAGGGCCTAGAATAGAATAGAACAAAAGGGCAAAGGAAGGATGAATTCCCACTCTCTCTCTACTTGAGCTGGGACATGCATCTGCTCCTGCCTTCAAACATCACAGCTCCTGACTCTCAAACCTTCAGCCTCAGACTGAGAATTCTACCATCAACTCTCCTGGTTCTCAGGCCTCAGATTCAGACTCAATTATGTCACCATCTCTCCTGGGTCTCCAGCCCACAGATGGCATATTGTGGGACTTCCTGAGCTCCACAATCCTGCAAGCCAATTCTCATAATAAATCTTCTCATATATTTATATATATATATCTACCTATGTATCTATTTCTCTGTATCCTATTGGTTCTGTTTCTCTGGAGAACCCTGATTAATACACCCCTGATATGAGATGCTGAGGAAATCACTATGGTAGCATGAGGAAAGAGGGTAAACAGAGAGAGAGAGAGAAGACCATTCAATCAGCATCTCTAAGGATTAAATAAGACGATGGCAGCCAGAACCTCAATAAGACTTTGTCGATGGATAGTTGAGTCAAGTTAGACAGCAAGCTCCTCGATGGCTATAAGAAGCTGTCTTATAATTTTTTTTATACCAGCACCTAGCATGGTGCCTTGTGCATGGAAGTTGTCCAATAATTATTAAATGGAAATACAAAAAAATGAATTTTGAGAATAATAAGCAAAATAATAAGCATCACTGTATGATGTCAAAGTGCAGGAAAGTAAGGCTAGGTACTGTTCTGAGAGTTAATTGGGAGATGGAGATGCATAGCCTAACAATAAAGGTATTAGAAAATAAATGATGTGAAATGTAAGGAAAAAGAAGTAGTCTTCAGTAGTGTTGGATAAATAAATGAAGAAATAGAGAAATGAATGAAAAGGTTAAAATAAACCCTGAGGTTTCTTACTTGAAGCATTGGTGTTAAAATTCATTAGCTATTAAGATAGAAATCTGGGTATGAAGTCTCATGTAACGATAAATGCCCATGACCATCCTGCATATGTGTTTTGTTTCATCTGCACAGGGTAAAAGAGTCATTTTAAAAAAGGATATTTCCAATGCACATACAAATCCACTGGACTCCGTTCCAATGCACTCAGGGGTGCAGGCTGCGCAGGCTGCTCAAGCTTACTACAGTCCGCACCACACTCTATAGTCTCCTCATAGAGCCCACTTTACCCACGTGGAAAGTGATAGCTCTCTAGCACACATCTATTTAGCCAAACAGGCTGTTAAAACATTGAAATAATTTAGATGGTTGGTAAATGTGACGGTTCATATTAAGTGTCAACTTGATTGGATCGAAGGATGCGAAGTATTGTTCCTGGATATGTCTGTGAGGGTGTTGCCAAAGGAGATTAACATTTGAGTCAGTGGACTGGAAGAGGCAGACTCACCTAATCAATTCCAGCACTGCTAAAATAAAGCAGACAGAAGGTGAGAGAAGCCCACTTGCTGAGTCTTCCAGTCTTCATCTTTCTCCCGTGCTGAATGCTTTCTGCCCTCGAACATCAGGCTCCAAGTTCTTTAACTTTTGGACTCTTGGGCTTACACCAGTGGTTTGCAAGGGACTCTCCGGTGTTCGGCCACAGACTGAAGGGTGCATTGTCAGCCTCCTTACTTTTGAGGTTTTGGGACTCAGACTGGCTTTCTTGCTCCTCATCTTGCAGATGGCCTATTGTGGGACTTCTCCTTGTGATCGTATGAGTCAATATTCCTTAATAAATTCCGCTTCATATATATTATACATCTATCCTATTAGTTCTGTCCCTCTAGAGAACCCTACTAATACAGTAATTCAGCATTGTACTACAATGAAACACCGCCTCCTCCCTTTCTCTGGACTTTTCCCTACCCCATGATTGCCACTTTTTACTGTATTTGAATACTGAATTCTTGGGTATCTTTTGTTTACCTAAATGTATCTCTCCAAATGTACCTCTGCTTTGCCAACTGTTCCAGACCCAACCTCTGAGCACCCTCCAGACTCTCCTAACATTCAGCAGATAAAGAAGAAATTCTAGTGGCACAGGGAACCCATTGGCCCGGTTTCTGATTGGGAAGTGTTGGTGCCTCATCAGCTGTTAGATGTTATCAATAGTATCTCTGCATGTAAGTCACCTCTACTCCTTGCAGGTATTTCAGTTTGTCATCTTTGCTTAAACTTTAGATGCCTCTGACCCTTATCCACAGGTGCTTATCTGAAGTCCTGTCGTTCTTCTACTACCCCATAAATCTCAAAATATTTGTCTTGTTGACATTATCCTTAAGTGACCTTTAGAACATGGTTTTGTTATAGACCTCCGTCCCATGGAGGGCCCTAAACAACTTCTACGCTCAGTGCTCAGCGTCTCAGCACAATCACCCTTCTAATTCACTGCATTCTGGTTGTCAATTTTTATTTGACATCTTCCCAGAAAACCCCCCCACCTCCTCCCTTTTTCTGGACTTGTCCCTACCCCATGGTTGCTACTTTTTACTGTACTTGAATACTGAATTCTTGGGCATCTTTTATTTACCTAAACTGTAGGCAAAATAAAGCAGGAAGAGGAAGGTTTAATTATAGACAGAGTTTCATCAAATAAAAGGTTACTATCAGTTTTCTAATGAAACTCCAATAATCTGAAGATAGGAAGGGAAATCAAAAACATCAGTTTTCTGTCCAATGTTTTAAGTGTTTCTGCCTAAGCCAAGAAAATATCTAATGTGTTAGGAGCTTCATCTTAACAGTGGACTCCTGTGGTGACCAGAATTTGGCTGCATTTCAAAATAATAAGCATTTGCTTCCGAAGGCTGTTTAAAGGAAATAAAAAGGCATAAAAGCTCCACCGTCCAATATGGTTTGTATTAGAATAAATTGATTATCTAAAACCTAACGTGATCAGAACTCTGCCAAAAGCCTGGCAAGCAACAATTGTTGACATAGCCCAAATCCTAATCAGCTATTTGTAACAAGTGATTATTTAATAAGCATTCACATTCATCTGTGCTTCTTCAGCCAATGAAGGAGGAAGAGAGGGGGAACCCTCAGAGGAAATCAAAAGAGCTGCAAGCCGATGTTTTTTTCTTCTTATGAGTATTAAAAAATATGTCCATAGGCAAAGAAAAAACTCAGTGTTGTCAGTCAGACACTGCACAGTTAAAAGTCTGTCACTCTTTCCATCTCTGAAACTCCTAAAGAGCAGTTGACTTACTAAACTGTTTCTAAAAGTAGAACTAGCGGGTGAGGAGATTCCACATCATGATGCTTTTCCTAAAGCACAAATTCTTTTTTTCTGTTGTTATTTATATATATGTGTGTGTATGTGTATATATATATGTATGTGTGTATATATATATATATATGAAACTATAGAATTACAATAAGAGGTACAGAAAATATACAAGATGAGCCTGGAACAAGAAACAAGTTCCAGAAAATAAGGAAGTGCTCAAAGAAAAAAAAAGGCATGGATAAAGGGTTTGTTAAAGAGACACGGGGACCAACTGAAAGAGCTCCCAGTGTCCAAAGCTGGAATCATGTAAGCAAAAAATAAAATGGTACTGGATTAAAATCTAAAGGATGAAAGAAATACCCATCGTTCCACAATAATATAAATAAATAATTGAACGCATTAATAAATGAGAGAGAAAAGTCTCCCATGCGGAAGAATTCCAAATAATTTATTTAGATACCTCACCCTGGAGGAGCAAGAACAAAATTCTCCACTCCTTAAGTGTGGGCTGCACATACTGACTTCCTTCCAAAGAGCAAGCTACGGAAAGGGGCCGGGGAAGCAGCTTTACAATGGAGAAACCTAACAAGCACTACCTTAGCCAGGTGATCAATGTCAATATCAACAGTCATGAGTCATGTTGATAGTATGTGCCCTTGGTATCATGGGATGAAAATGTCACTTTACCTCTGTGATCTTCTTCCCAGAAATCTATTAACCCATTCAAATCATGAAAAAAAAAATCAGGTAAATTTCAGTAAAGAGATGTCCTACAAAATGCCTGACCAACAATCCTCAAAACTGTCAAACTGTCAAAGTCATCAAAAACAAGGAAAGTCTGAGAAACTGTCACTGCCAAGAGGAGCCTAAGAAGCGATCATGACTAAATGTAACATGGTGTCCTGGATGGGATGCCGGAGCAGAAAAGGGATGTTAGGTAAAAATCCAAGGAAATCTGGGAAAACTATGGATTTTAGTTAATAAAAATGTATCAAGAGTAGCTCATTAACTTTAACAAATGTGTCATGCTAATATAAGATGTTAACAATAGGCGAAACTGGCTGTGCCGTAGGGTATGTGGGAATTCTTTGTTCCAGTTTCTCAATTTTTCTGTAAGTCTAAAACTGTTCCAAAAAAGTGAAATTTATTTAGAAAAATGGGTGGGCCATTAGATTGTGGATCTCTAACACAATGCCCATGTTTTTTCTTTTCTTCAGTATTCCAAATAATTTTCTGACTCGAAGAACGTTCAAAAATTGTTAAAGCCAATTATTTTCCCTGTCAACATGCACAAGTATGATATAGTGGGCAGAATGCGGGATTTAAAGAAGCACAGGCCCGAATTAAGGAACATGTCTGTCCTTGACTAGAGGGATGGCTTTCAGTTAATTAACTCAAAGAGCTTCAGTTCCATCATCTGCAAAATAGAGATCAAACCATTACTTCACAGAATTACTGTCAAGAAAGCCCCCAGCTCTTGTATCACATAGAAGACACTTAATAAACGTTGCATTTTCTCCTTTCTGTAACTCAGCTGTGCCTTCACTTAGTAAATTCTATTAAACTTACTGTGAATGAATTCATGCTTACCAGCCCACAATGGGGGGGGGAATCTGATGGAGGAGCAAAAGTAGCTATCAAATGTTTAAGAGCCACAAATACCACCTCTGAGCACAGAGCACAGATTTCTCAAGGGAGAAATTTTCTTCTGACCTCAGAATAGCCAAGTTCAAGCCAAAGTTTCTATCCTTGAAATCCATTCACGTTCATGCTGAGCCACATTGAAAGGAATATTTAAGTCAATTCTATGGCTCTCCCTGGGGCTACTCCTCCCCCTGGCAGGGCTAAGAAAGGCCCAGGGTCATCCGCTTCCTGGGGGTGATGAATTTCAGTGGCCTGTGCTGCTCCCTCCTGTGATTTGGAAATGTCACAAGAGTGGGGCTGACTTGGATATTACTGTTCCAAGTCATCCTCTCTCTCTAGGGTGTCGGGACAGGGCAACACAGAACAATAGCAATTTTTACTTGCTGGAAATGGTAATTTTTGGATTATTTTTAAGTCTTGAGGTACAGTATTAGCATCAAGCTGGTAAGTGGGTGATTATAGAGAGGGAAATAATGACTTCTACAATATGGCACTAATTCAGATATATTTAGTGGAAATTTGGAAAGGTGAAATATAGGTGATTATAGAGAGGGAAATAATGACTTCTACAATATGGCACTAATTCAGATATATTTAGTGGAAATTTGGAAAGGTGAAATATAGGTGATTATAGAGAGGGAAATAATGACTTCTACAATATGGCACTAATTCAGATATATTTAGTGGAAATTTGGAAAGGTGAAATATAGGTGATTATAGAGAGGGAAATAATGACTTCTACAATATGGCACTAATTCAGATATATTTAGTGGAAATTTGGAAAGGTGAAATATAGGTGATTATAGAGAGGGAAATAATGACTTCTACAATATGGCACTAATTCAGATATATTTAGTGGAAATTTGGAAAGGTGAAATATATGGATTAAAGGATTTATTTAAAATAATTTTAAGCCAGGCACAATGGCTAACACCTGTAATCTCAGCACTTTGGGAGGCCAAGGCAGGAGGATCCCTTGAGCCCAGGGGTTCAAGGCCAGCCTGAGCAACATTTTGTAGAGACTCTGTCTCTACAAAAAATAAAATAAAATAAAAATAGTTGGGCACAGTGGTACGTGCCTATAGTCCTAGCTACTTGGGAAGCTGAGGTGGGAGGATCACTTGAGCCTGGGAGGTTGAGGCTGCAGTGAGCTGTGATTATACCACTGCACTCCAGCCTGAGTGACAGAATAGGAGTCTGTCTCACATACTCATATATATGAGAGACAGAAAAATATATATTAATATATATATAAACCTTCAAATACATAAGACAACCTATATGATCTGTATCAGTCACAGTCCAGTCAAGAGACAGAAATGCTACTAGTTATTTAAACAAGGTGAATTTAATATAAAGAATTGTTAACTGAATATTGAAGAATGGAAAATGCAAAAAAAAAAAACCCACAGAGGATTCCCAAACTTGCAACCACAGTAAGCAACTACTACACTCTTAAGTCCAAAGGAACAAATGGAAGGTGTAAAAATTATTAAAAAGCAAAAACTAGGCCGGGTGCTGTGCCTCGCACCTGTAATCCCAACACTTTGGGAGGCAGAGGTGGGCGGATTACTTGAGGTCAGGAGCTCGAGACCAGCCTGGCCAACATGGTGAAACCCCATCTCTACTAAAAATACAAAAATTAGCTGGGCATAATGGCACATGCCTGTAATCCCAGCTACCTAGGAGGCTGAGGCGGGAGAATTGCTTGAACCCGGGAGGCAGAGGTTGCAGTGAGCTGAGATCATGCCACTGCATTACAGCCTGGGTGACAAAGCTAGACTCCATCTCAGGGTAAAAAAATTAAAAAAGCAAAAACTTGGAAGAAGGACCTCACTGTTGCTGGTTCTGTAAGGGAGTACAATGAGGCTGGTGATTGTTGGGAAAATTGTAAACTAAATCGAGATGCTGCTACTGAAATAGACTGCCACTGCCAGAGTGAAAAAGAGAGGCTGAGGGTGATGCTGACCAGCAGCAAACAAGAAGGAGCTAGTTCCTTCTTCTAACTTTCCAGTATCCCTCAAGTGCTTATTACTGAGAAAGCCAAGAGCCAAATCACAAAACAGAAACATGATTTCTTTCACAAAACAAGGATAGAAGGGGAGGTCTGAAGCAGAGAAAATAGGTTTTATAAACTACTATAGATGAAAGAGGAAACCTTTTTTTTTTTCTTTTAGACAGGGTCTCATTCTGTCTCCTAACTGGAGTGCAAATGGCACATTCTCAGAGCTCAGTGCAGCCTCGAACTCCTGGGCTCAAGCAACCCTCCCACCTCAGCCTTCTGAGTAGCTGAGACTACAGGTGTGTACCACCAGGCCCAGTTAAATTTTTTTTAGAGGTAGGGGTCTCACTATGTTCCCAGGATGGTCTCGAGGTTCTGGCCTCAAGCAATTCTCCCATCTTGGCCTCCCAGAGTCCTGGATTACAGGCACGAGCCACCATGCCTAGCTTAGGAAAAAAATTTAAAGCAAAGATGGAATCTTAAAAAATAAAAATAAACTTTAAAAGTTAATGTGATAAGAATTCCTCTTGATCTTATTTATCATTTTTAATTCATTTGGAAAACATGTTCTTCCCAGATAATGCAAAGACAGATGGTAATCTGTCTACAGTGTATCACACATTTTCACAAATCCAATATTTATAAGGAATGGATACATTAGGTCCTATTGTACTTGCAAAGTCATATAAGGTAGTCTTATTAAAAGAGAAAAGATGAAATACATGCAACTCCCCGGGCATCAATTTATTGACCTTTCTGTGATTCGATCCTTGAACTATATACTGTTTGAACTTATCTGAAAGAAAAGGTGAGAATTAGTTGTTTTGAATGGCAAGTAAACAAGTGGTTTACTTATTTGCAAATAAGTAAATGGCAAGTAAACAATGGCTAACAAGTGGAAGGAAAGTGCTTGTCTGTGTACCTTTCTCTCTATCCAAGAGATAATGAGAATAACTCTGTGGATTCTGGGACAAGATTAATCACATGAGAATTTTCTGTGAGATGTTCGCCCAATCCATCAATTGAGGCAGCTATGGAAAAAGACGTGGTTGTTTAAGATGTATTTAGTCTGGCTTTAACAAAAACAAATCCTGTAAGGTAGCTCTTGCTACCAGCCAGGGCTAAGACTGGGAAGTCAGTACATCTTTGTCAATTTCTCATGCTTCTTGTGTCCAGGTAAAAGAGAGAAGCAACTGTCATCCAGGTAATAATCATCAGTAAATATTTATAGACTGGTCCCCACACTTGAACTGGGAGTATAAAAACATGTAGGACACTCTCCCCAAAGAAATGATGAGGAGGTAGAAATATACAGAGAAATACAGCATCTGTTACACTGTTGTGCTTAAACTGAAAACCAAATGGGAGGCCACTGTATCATCCCAGGAGGAAGTGATAACCAAGGAGGTGGTTGCAGAAGGCTATACCAAAAAAGCAAGACTTACATTGGGTGTTACGGGATTAGGTAGGACTTGGAATCAGGAAGAGTCCAAGGAATGTTAGAAATAGTTTAAATGCAGGAATAGAAATGAGTAGATTAGGGAAGCATAAACCATCTAATTAGGTTACAGTAAGTGTTTGTTCTAAGGTTTAAGTAAAATATAGTGTTTTGAGAGGTGATCATGTTTACTGCTGCTTTAAAAATAAAACTCACGTAACTCTGGAGTTTTCTTCTTTTTATAAAAATCTAAGACCACAATTACATTCTTGATTTTCCAATTGGAAAAAAAAATCTATATCTAGACTTTGAGCAATTATGGTTCAGTTCTTCAAAATTAATTGTTCAGCTATAGAGTGATCAATAACTATTTATTAAAGCTTTCTCCATGCAGGGTAGTGTGCTAGGGATGACCAAATCTACAAAAAATTTTAGGGTATGTTCTATTTAGCGACAATGGATGTGACAGGATAAGCAATACAAATTTAAGCCAATGCATGGTAAATAGAGAATGAATAATGCAAGTAGTGATGCTTGCTGTGTTTTATAGCATGTCTGAAACTTAAGTAACTGCCACCAGGTGTACATTGGTCTTGGACTAAGTATAAGCCAGTATTGTGCCAGAGAGGAGGACGAAGAGAAAAAGAAGAAGAAGAAGGAGAAGGAGAAGGAGGAGAGGAGGAGGAGGAGGAGAAGGGGGGAGGAGGAGGAGGAGGTGGAGGAGGTGGAGGAGGAGGAGGAAGAAGAAGAAGAAGAAGAAGAAGAGGAAGAGGAAGAGGAAGAGGAGGAAGAAGAAGAAGAAGAGGAAGAAGAAGAAGAAGAGGAAGAAGAAGAAGAAGAAGAAGAAGAAGAAGAAGAAGAAGAAGAAGAAGAAGGAGAAGGAGAAGGAGAAGGAGAAGGAGAAGGAGAAGGAGAAGGAGAAGGAGAAGAAGAAGAAGAATGGAGGCTGGGCATGGTGGTTCGTGCCTGTAATCTCAGCACTTTGGGAGGCCAAGACAGGCGGATCACCTGAGATCGGGAGTTTGAGACAAGCCTGGGCAACATAGTGAAACCCAGTCTCTACTAAAAATACAAAAATTAGCCGGGTGTGGTGGTACATGCCTGTAATCCCAGCTACTCGGAAGGCTGAGGCAGGAGAATTGCTTGAACTCAGGAGGCAGAGATTGCAAGGAGCTGAGATTGTGTCACATCACTCCAGACTGGGTTACAAAGCGAGACTATGTCTCAAAAAAAAAAAAAAAAAAAGAATGGATGGAGCTGGTTAGATGGGGGAGAGAGGGCATGCAAGACGACAGCAAGCCAAGGGATACAGGCAGACCCGTTAAAAAGCTGATGTGGTGAGCAATTCAGGTGGCTTGTACTAGGGTGGTGTCAATGGTCATGAAAATGGAATAAAGAGATTTTTAGAGAATAGAATCAACAATCTTTAGTGATTGCTTGTATATGGGATATAAGGCAGAAAAGCAACCAATGATGTCTTCTAGATTCCTAGCTTAAGACACAGAGTGGACAGAATGGCCATTTAGTCAATTGGAGGAGGGGGGTGAAGAGTGGAGGGAAAATGAGGCCATCTCTTAATGATAAATGATGAGACCACTTTTTGTGTTTATTTTTCTATATTTCCCAAATTTTCCCTGTTGAACACTCATTACTTGCACAATAAAAATTAAAAGGAGAATTCATATTTAAAATATCAATATATAGAATAAAGAGATTAAACAGGTGTTTGAGTCATGACTAAATGTTGGAATAATATGTGAATTCTTTTATTCCCACATTTTAAAAAAAATTTTAATTTGCCTACAATGAATATGTACGCAGAGAAGTTTTGTTTTTAGTTAGTCTGCTTTCTTTGGTAGAAAGTCAAAGCCATACTTGGGTTCAACAACAAATAAGTCAGCCTGGTCAGGAACAGATGAGTCACAGGGTCCAGGCCAAGGGAAAGATAAAAGGGAGCAGAACAGACAGCAGCAGAGAACCAGGGTCCAAATGTTACATTCAGATGGCCTTCATAGCTGAGCCACCACCCTGTTGACACAAGAGCCGGTTCCTGAATGACTGTAGCCCTCCAGGCTGCAGAGAATAAACTGAGAGGAGTTTCTCAGAGAAGGGAAAAGTGGGTACACAGAAAGTTATCAAGTCTAGAGTCCAACTTTTATATGAAATTTGCCTTCCCTGCCTCTAGCTTTATTTTCTAATGAATGTTCAATTTCCATGGAATGGATCTCATAGGTAACTGCTGCAATCACATGAAGATGTTAGTTTTCAGCATCACTTAAGGAATTATGAATCTTTGTATTAGTGAGGATTAGTTTTGGCTTCTGAAAAGAAAACAAAATAGTCTTCAAACAAGAAAGCAATTTAGTCCACAGTTAGAAGGTCCAGGGCTCCACAAAGCCACCTGGGATCCACCCTCCTATTTCTCTGCTCTCCCACATATAGAGTGTAGCTCTCTTTCTCCTGGCCTAAGTCGGAGTTCTAGTCACCATATCCATATATTAGAAGCACAAAGGATGACAAACAGAAGAAAGCCATGTCCCCTCTCTTTAAGATTTCCCAGGAGTCTCAAAAGACAATTTTGCTTATATATTATTGGTCAGAACTTAATCACGTGAGCCTACGTATCGGCAAATGAGGCCGATAAAAATTTTTAATAAAGGCAGTAATATGCTCAGACAGAAAGTGGAGTTCTGCTGATGAAGGGGGAAGAAGAAGAAGAAGGAGGAGGAGGAGGAAGGAGGGAGGAGGGAGGAGGGAGAAGGGGGAGGAGAAGGGAGGAGGAGGAAGAGTAACTATTGGGAACAACTAGCAGTCACTTACATAAGCTTTGATACAAAATATATCTCTCAACATTTAAATAAGGAATAATGTAATTGTAAAGCAGGTTGTGGAGATAGAAGAGAGAAATCAAAGGTAATTCAGAAGAATTCTGCCCAGAAAAGTAGCAGAGAAGGGATATGGAAATAGGAAAATTAGATGAGGAAGCCTTTGAAGGTTAAAGACAGAAATAATACATTCTATTTTAAGGTGATTACAGGTCATTTTACTCAGTCCTTTAGGGATTATCTGCATCTTCTGACTTTCCTCCTAGTTGTTTCCTAGACTATGGAAAATTGAATAGAATAAAGACTGAATGAAGAGGGTAATAGAGAAACTTCTTTTAGAAAATTAAGTAGTACTAGGGTGGAAGAATCTAAACTAGTCCAAGTCAATACTGGAAAACATCACTGGTCAAAAATGTGGTGGCAGAAGCTAAAACTATTAGGTTAGAGTTTGGGTTGAATTAATCTGATTTTCAGTTCAAAGCTAACCTCTTTAAATAAGCTGAGGGTTTTTTTTCTGTGCCCGGAAAATAGATGAGAGTAGAAAGAAATCCAAGGAGAGTGATGTAGTGGCCTCCATGTGTCTGTAGTGGTAAAATAAGGGCCTTAACAGGAAATAGCTATTAGATTGAGGTCCAACGTCTTCCCTTCCCAGTCTGCAATTAGCAGTTCTCCACAAGACAATCAAACTTCCAGTTCTTGAGCTGAAACTGGAACAGAGCAAATGCTCCTTTATTTGGGATAGGCATATCTCACCCCAACCTTGCATTCCTTTCTTACCCACATCGTGTCTCCTCTTCCCATCTGCTCAGTGCTCCTCTTTCCCGCCTTGTTTTTTGTTTTGTTTCTTTCCTCACTGATCATCTCTCAGCTCTTCCTGACCCATCACCATTCATAGATCATCATTCATAGATTACCACCATTCGAAGATTATGACCACCATTCATTGATTATCAATTACTTGTGAAATGGATATGGTATCAAAGCAGACCAATCTTTAAAAAAAAAAAAATCCCTGGCTTATTTACCTTAATCAGTTTTATTTTATTTTGGACACGAGAAACCAGTTAAAGTGGGAATTTAATGCAGAAAACCAGAAAGCAAAGACTTCTTTAAAATGTTCATCTTTTTCAGACATTAAAAAAGTAACAATAAACAAAGGTCAGAGGAAACCCTGGTAAACAGCTATCTCAATAGACCATGTGGTAAAGATCTTGTAGTGGTTTTTTTGTTTTTGTTTTTGTTTTGAGATGGAGTCTCACTCTGTCTCCCAGGCTGGAGTGCAGTGGCGCGATCTCAGCTCACTGCAACCTCCGCCTCCCGGGTTCAAGAGATTCTCCTGCCTCAGCCTCCCAAGTAGCTGGGATTACAGGTACGCACCACCATGCCCAGCTAATTTTTGTATTTTTAGTATAGATGGGGTTTCATCATGTTGGTCAGGCTGGTCTTGAACGCCTGACCTCAAGTGATCTGCCCGCCTCGGCTCCCCAAAGTGCTGGGATTATTACAGGCGTGAGCCACCACACCCAGCCTTGAAGTTAGTTTTTATATATTGATCTTATATCCACCAACATTGCCAAGCCCTTACTTGTTCTAGTAATTTGAATGTAAATTCTTTTGGATTTTCTATGTAAAGAATTGTATCAACTGTGATTTATAAAGGCTTTTTTTTCTTTTTTTAATTATTATTGTTATACTTCTAAGTTATTGTTATAAGTTCTAGGGTACATGTGCACAACGTGCAGGTTTGTTACATATGTATACATGTGCCATGTTGGTGTGCTGCACCCATTAACTCGTCATTTACATTAGGTATATCTCCTAATGCTATCCCTCCTCCACCCACCCCAGGAAAGGCCCTGGTGGGTGATGTTTCCCACCCTGTGTCCAAGTGTTCTCATTGTTCAATTCCCACCTATGAGTGAGAACATGCAGTGTTTGGTTTTCTGTCCTTGCAATAGTTTGCTCAGAATGATGGTTTCTAGCTTCATCCATGTCCCTACAAAGGACATGAACTCATCCTTTTTTATGGCTGCATAGTATTCCATGGTGTATATGTGCCACATTTTCTTAATCCAGTCTATCATTGATGGACATTTGGATTGGTTCCAAGTCTTTGCTATTGTGAATAGTGCCGCTATAAACATATGTGTCCATGTGTCTTTATAGCAGCATGATTTATAATCCTTTGGGTATATGCCCAGTAATGGGATGGCTGGGTCAAATGGTATTTCTAGTACTAGATCCTTGAGGAATTGCCACACTGTCTTCTACAATGGTTGAACTAGTTTACAGTCCCACCAACAATGTAAAAGTGTTCCTATTTCTCCACATCCTCTCCAGCACCTGTTTTTTCCTGACCTTTTAATGATCGCCATTCTAACTGGTGTTAAGATGGTATCTCATTGTTGTTTTGATTTGCTTTTCTCTGATAGCCAGTGATGATGAGCATTTTTTCATATGTCTGTTGGCTGCATAAATGTCTTCTTTTGAGAAATGTCTGTTCATATCCTTTGCCCACTTTTTGATGGAAAGGTTTTTTTTTAACCCCTATATCTGATTTTTTTAAAAAAATGCTTTTGATGTATTTTTGTCATTATTATAGAGTTTTGATTGCTTTATGAGGTAAATAAATTTCCTTTCTATTTCTAGTTTGCTAGAAGCTTTTACCACAAGTAAGCATTGACACTTATCAAATGCTTTTTTGGTACCTGCTAAGACGATCATATGGGGTTTCTTTCATAATTTATTAGGTGAATTGTCTCAGTAGGTTTTTTGTTTTGTTTGTGATAAGCCAAGCTTGCATTTCTGGGATAAATCCAATTTGGTCAGAAAAAAAAAAAGAAAGAAAAAAAAACATACGATAAAGACCTTTCTCTATGGATGTGTCATGAACAGTTACACGAGAAGACCCTGTTCTCACTATTGATATTACAGATAAAAATCATAATTTTTTGAGTTGGAGTGGGTTGATAAACAATATTTTTTTCTATTTTCTGAGTTTTCTGTTGCTATAATATTGACCAAAAAGATACTTTGCTTTTCCAATGAACACTGCAGAGACTCTTCATTTGTATTTCAACTTGATCTTCAGTGGGGTACAACCCTTTAATACCTTACTGTTAAATTTCTCTCCAAAGCCCAATCTTTCTGTCAAGTGGTTAGCTATTTCAAAAATAATATGGTAGGGCCCATCCACTGTTATTTAAATGCCATACTAAGCAATCAAATGGAAAGGTCAATATTCATCCTCTGATTTTCCTCTGGTTTTCATAAATTTAATCTAATTCAAGTAAGTTCTATGCATAAAGGGAAGGAGTCTGGGAGAAGAAAAGAGAAGGTCTTATGGAGTCAACTTACATGCCCATGAATGGTGGACTGGATAAAGAAAACGTGGTACATATACACCATGGAATACTACACAGTCATAAAAACAAACTAAATCATGTTCTTTGCAGCAACATGGATAGAGCTGGAAGCCATTCTTTTAAGCCAACTAATACAGAAACAGAAAACCAAATAGCACATGTTCTGACTTATAAGTGGGAGCTAAACATTGAGTACACATGGACACAAAGAAGAGAACAACAGACATCAGGGCTTACTTGAGGATGGAGGGTGGGAAGTGGATGAGGATCGCAAAACTGCCTATTAGGCACTATGCTTATTACCTGGGTGACAAAATAATCTGTACGCCAAATCCCATCCCCGCACCATGCAATGTACCTGCATAACAAACCCGCACACAAACCCTTGAACTAAAACAAAAGTTAAAAAAAAAAAAAAGAAAGAAAGAAAGAAAAGAGGAGATCTTAAAATTCTGACAGGCTTTATCCAAAGATATTTTTTAAAAATGTAAAGCCCAAATTGTGTAAAAGGCACACACTGCCGTGTTTGAAAACTACTAAAAAGAAGCCCTGGGATGCATAAACAGGCTGGCTTTTAGCATGGGCTTTGGCTTGGGGAAAAGCCTGGCGAGGGAAAGAAAGGTTCTGTGATGCTGCCACTATAAACACTGGGCATTCATACTGAGAGGTGACAGACTGCTGGCAGTCCCCACAGCCCTCGCTCGCTCTCGGCGCCTCCTCTGCCTGGACTCCCACTTTGGCGGCACTTGAGGAGCCCTTCAGCCCACCGCTGCACTGTGGGAGCCCCTTTCTGAGCTGGCCAAGGCCAGAGCCGGCTCCCTCAGCTTGCAGGGAGGTGTGGAGGGAGAGGGGCGAGCGGGAACCGGGGCTGCGCGCTGCGCTTGCGGGCCAGCTGGAGTTCCGGGTGGGCGTGGGCTTGGCGGGCCCCGCACTCGGAGCAGCCGGCCGGCCCTGCCGGCCCCGGGCAATGAGGGGCTTAGCACCCAGGCCAGCGGCTGCGGAGGGTGTACTGGGTCCCCCAGCAGTGCCAGCCCACCCGCGCTGCGCTCGATTTCTCGCCGGGCCTTAGCTGCCTTCCCGCGGGGCAGGGCTCGGGACCTGCAGCCCGCCATGCCTGAGCTTCCCACCCCCTCCATGGGCTCCTGTGCGGCCGAGCCTCCCCGACCAGCGCCACCCCCTGCTCCACGGCGCCCAGTCCCATCGACCACCCAAGGGCTGAGGAGTGCCGGCGCACAGCGCGGGACTGGCAGGCAGCTCCACCTGCAGCCCGGGTGCGGGATCCACTGGGTGAAGCCAGCTGGGCTCCTGAGTCTGGTGGGGACGTGGAGAACCTTTATGTCTAGCTCAGGGATTGTAAATACACCAATCGACACTCTGTATCTAGCTCAAGGTTTGTAAACACACCAATCAGCACCCTGTGTCTAGCTGAGGGTTTGTGAATGCACCAATCGACACTCTGTATCTAGCTACTCTGGTGGGGGCTTGGAGAACCTTTGTGTCCACACTCTGTATCTAGCTAATCTGGTGGGGAAGTGGAGAATCTTTGTGTCTAGCTCAGGGATTGTAAACGCACCAATCAGCGCCCTGTCAAAACAGACCACTCAGCTCTACCAATCAGCAGGATGTGGGTGGGGCCAGATAAGAGAATAAAAGCAGGCTGCCCAAGCCAGCAGTGGCAACCCGATCAGGTCCCCTTCCACACTGTGGAAGGTTTGTTCCTTCCCTCTTTGCAATAAATCTTGCTACCGCTCACTCTTTAGGTCCACACGGCCTTTATGAGCTGTAACACTCACCGTGAAGATCTGCAGCTTCACTCCTGAGCCAGCGAGACCAGGAGCCCACCAGGAGGAACCATCAACTCCAGACGCGCAGCCTTAAGAACTGTAACACTCACCGCGAAGGTCTGCAGCTTCACTCCTGAGCCAGCGAGACCACGAACCCACCAGAAGGAAGAAACTCCGAACACATCTGAACATCAGAAGGAACAAACTCCGGACACGCCGCCTTTAAGAACTGTAACACTCACCGCCAGGGTCCGCGGCTTCATTCTTGAAGTCAGTGAAACCAAGAACCCACCAATTCCGGACACAATACTTTATGTGTCAGTCTTCATGACTATCCCATTAATATGTGCACACATATATCTCTCCAAGCTGGCAATCTGATAGTGGTTTCCCTGCTAGTAGGGACTAATATATCCCCTGGTCTTAAAGGCAGGGCAGAGTAGAGAGCTATTCCACCTGCAGGGAACTCAAGATCCAATTTTCTTAATGTCATCAAAACTTATTACTCCTTCCATTGCCACAAATGATCATTTCTAGAAAAGAAAATGTGCAAATAAGTATTCACATTGACTGGCCATATGTTCTATTTCTTAAAAAGCACCATTCTGGGCAGCTGGCATATAGGTTTTAGGACGTGGTATGGGGTGTAGAAAAAAACTATTTCCCACTTAGGATCTCAATTTCTTCATCTTCAAAGTGATAAGAAAAACCTAGATAATTAAACCATATTGTTATAATAGAAGTATGAACTCTCCAAAGTCATTTGATTTTGGATTTTTAGTGATTATAATTTAAATTATGTGATGTTTAGTAAAATCACAATAGGCAGAATAATGAATCGCCTAGTTTGAATCAAGTTTGAATCAAGAGGCATTGGAAAGTTGTATACTTCCTTCATCTATTGCCCTGTGTAACTCAGTCCATTTCAGAGGGTAAAATTAGGTTTCAGACAGGTGTCTTGTACCAATCTAAGTAGAATTGCTTTTCAGGACAGACTTGGAGAAATTAAGATCATTAAGCAACTGGGTTTTCAAGTGCTCTCTTGTTCAGTAGCAGGCCAAACCCAAAGCAAAGGTAAAGAGAGTAGATGTTGACTAACAAAAAATCTGAAAACAGGATTTGCAATTCGATCAGGAAGTTCGTGGGTGATGTAACAGGATTTTCTACTGGAAGTTGCTTTAGAAAATAATTTTTCATTTTCTGACATGACAAGTCCAAGGTTGGTTCAGAAGCTTAGCAAAGTAATCGAGGACCCAGTCTCTTCCGATCTTTCTGACCTAGCATCCTCAGTGTCTTGGAAATGCCTCATTTCTAGTCTCAAAATTAGTCATTGTAGGGTGGTTATCATAACCAATCACTGGCAAAAGACAATGGGATCACCATAATTGGCTTGTGCTAATTATCCTTTACTGGGAATGGGTCCATATTCTCTGAGCAAACTGCTGCCCAACCCAATAGTGGGGTTCTATTGACAAGAAAGAAGGCAGAAGTGACCGTTGGATAGGCAATCACCATCTCTGCCACAGCAACAAAAAAATTTCTGTCTGGGGACAATTAAAAAATAGTTGAACTTGGTTTAAAAAACATCTCTTCATTGACTGCAATCTACACCAGATTTGGGAAATCAGTATGAGATGCTTCCTAACCAACATATTCTTTTCTTAAACGAGTTTATGACAATCTCAAGGGGGAAATAATTTAATTTTGCTACACATGTTGGAACAAGATTTAGGATGTAACTTGGGCTTCTGGTTTTCATATGAACAGATTGGTAGGCAGAATTTGCAGTAAATTTCAATAAGAACTTGTTCAATAAGAACTTGTTTTAAATTCTAGGAATGATGGGTATCCTCCATTTATTTGTCCTGCCATTTAAATAGGCTATATGCAAGTCCATGAACATCTGCTGTTTCTACATGGATCGAGTCTCTGATGGTCTCATAGGTTGAATGTCCAACCTCTGAAAAAGCTAGCTGGGCAGAGCCAAGATGTAGCTCATGGATATGGTCAAGTCTTGGCTTTTTTGGAAGGAAAATCATCTCCACACTCAGTACACCTGTTTACAAACCAGAGCATTGGCACTTCTTTCCTTCCCCACCTGTTTATGCTTCCAAGGAAAGTGACCATGCCTCTGTGTAGGCATACAATGTAGGCTGTGCATAAATAGCACAAAGGGAACAAAGCATTGTGGGTGAACACAGGGCACCCTCATGACCCTCTGCTGGTCTAAATCCAAGAAGATGACCGTTAAAACAACAAACAGCTGGTATCCAGGACAAATAACACCCTCATGTGAACTGCCCAAGGAGTCAGGGTCTAGCAGGAGGGAGTGGGCACCCGGCCAGCAAATGCTCTGTTAGATAACACAGCTGTGATTTCAACACCAAGAGGATCTGTTCACATTTAAAACTCAGAAATATCCCAATGTTTCTCTAGAAAGTCTGTAACTATAGAAAGCTGCTCATTTTTCCACACTCTTGCAAAAGCAGTGTTGGAGAAAACAAAAGTAGGAGAAGTGAAATTTCTTATTATTACAACAGTGTAATTTTTGCTAGGAACCGGGATGCCAAATCAAAAGGTTAAATGAAGCAAATTTTCCTTTGGCATGGAGTTGACCTAAGCCCTAATAGAAGGAAACTTCCCCTATTGAGCTCAGAATTGGGTTCTGAAAAGAACCTACCAGGCTGGTAGTTTTCTTCCTAGACCAAATCCCCTTACTCTCTACTGGGAAGTTGTACGGTCATATATGAAGAACTTTGTGCTGCGGTCCAAGACTAGAACCCTCAGTTTTGTTTTGACACAAACTTAACAACTCCATTGGTTCCCTTCTTAAATCAGGACCCACTTGACAGCATTATTAAATATCAAATGAGATAAAGCATTTGAAACTTTAAGCATTTGGTTTGGCAAATGGGGTATTTTTATACATTATTCTCAGGTCATCCTCAAGGCATCCTAGAAAGGGAGGAATAACAAAGTATAGTAATCTTATTCATCTGCCACCATCTTTGAATTGAGGGGATGGAGGCTGGTGGAAATTTTGGGGGCTGGAAGTCGACTTGCAAGTCAACAAAAGTGTACGAAGCTTGGGGATATGTATTTCCTTGTAATTTTCTAAAACATCAAAAATGTTAAGTAGTTTAACAAACCACTTAAATTTACACACACAAATACACCAACATTACATAAAACTGGCATTGCCTGCAGCATAAAAACTATCACTTTCCCTTTCAGCCTGGGAGCAGCTGCTGTTCTAGAAATGTGGTGGACAGGACTCTACATCTCGATTTCTCCATCCTGAGACTGCTAAATCATTGCTGTCCAATATCACAA
Organism: Homo sapiens; assembly: GCF_000001405.40. Classification (NCBI taxonomy): domain Eukaryota; kingdom Metazoa; phylum Chordata; class Mammalia; order Primates; family Hominidae; genus Homo; species Homo sapiens. The sequence continues at coordinate 214,669,255 of NC_000001.11, read as the reverse complement.
AATGGAAAGGGAAGAGTGGGATACACTGGGAAGACAGTTGAGGAGTAAAAAATTGAGTTTATGGCAACTTCATCCTTAAAATACACTTTTCCAAAGAAACAATATTATCAATGTAGGTTCCATATGGTTGAAATAAACTTAATTGTCATTTTAACATAGTAAGAGCTAACTTGGCTTCCTGGGCTTACACTTATGCACAACTTACAATGTTGTTTCTACAAGGAAATGTATTCTGAGTTCCAAACAACTAATTTATATTTGTACTTCAGGAGCACAACCCATTCGTAAATAAAATTGTAGTGATTGTTTTCTTTAGATATTTTTAATGACCCAAGCAAACAAAAACTAAAAACCTGTAAATGATTCATTTGCAAGATCAATAATCGAATGATATGTGCAAATCTGTAGTGATTAAACTCATTTGCAAGATAAGCATTATGGTATTGACATTAGTGAAGATTTCAGATCAGAACTTGACCTGAAAGAAATTATGTGTAATTATACAGAATAACCAACATTCTATTGAGTGTAAAATCATAAGTGTAAAGTATTAACAAATTAACTAATCATCATGACAACTTCAAGAGGTATTATTATTTATATCCAATTTTAACAATAAAGAAACTGAGGCCGGGCATGGTGGCTCATGCCTGTAATCCCAGCAGTTTGGTAGGCCAAGGCAGGGGGATTAGCAGAGGCCAGCAGTTCAAGACCAGCCTGGCCAACATGGTGAAACCCGTCTCTTCTAAAAATACAAAAATTAGCCTGGCGTGGTGGCAGGTGCCTGTAAATCCCAGTTACTCCGGAGGCTGAGGCAGGAGAATCGCTTGAACACAGGAGGTGGAGGTTGCAGTGAGCCAAGATTACACTACTGCACTCCAGCCTGGGCGACAGAGCAAGACTCTGTCTCAAAAAAAAAAAAAGAAAAGAAAAGAAACTGAGGCACAGAGAATTAAGTAATTTGTCCAAGGTCAAATGGGACCCCAAGGCATTCTGACACCTTTCACTTTTAATATCCACATTATACTAAACATTTGTATTTGAAATATTTTGTATTTGGTTTTCCAAACCAAACTTTTTTTAATACATAACTTCCACTTTTTAGATACAGGCAGTACATGTGCAGGTTTGTTACATGGGTATATCTCATAATGCTGAGGTTTGGGATATGATCTATCCCATCATCAAAGTAGTGAGCATAGTACCCAATAGTTTTTCAACTCTTGGTCCCCCCTTCCTCCTTCCCCCATCTAGTAGTCCTCAGTGTCTATTGTTCCCATCTTTATGTCCACATGTACCCAATATTTAGCTCCAACTTATAAGTGAGAACCTGTGGTATTTGGTTTCCTGAGTTAATTTGCTTAGGATAATGGCCTCCAGTTGTATCCATGTTGCTGCAAAGTACATGATTGAATTTTTATTTATGGCATCATAGTGTTCCATGGCGTATATGTAGCACATTTTCTTTATCCAGTCCACTATTGATGGGCACCTAGGTTGATTCCGTATCTTTCCTATTGTGAATAGTGCTGTGATGAACATAGGAGTGCATGTGTCTTTTTGGCAGAATGATTTATTTGCCTTTGGGTATATACCCAGTAATGGGATTGCTGGGTAGAATGGTAGTTCTATTGTATAAGTTCTTTGAGAAATCTCCAAATTGCTTTCCTGAGTGGCTGAATTAATTTGTATTCCCACCATCACTGTATAGGCATTCCCTTTTCACCACAACCTTGCCAGCATGTTAATTTCTGATGTTTTCATAATACCCATTCTGACTGGTGTGAGATGGTGTCTTATTGTGGTTTTGATTTGTATTTCTCTGATGATTAGTGATGTCGAGCAATTTTTCATGTTTGTTGGTCACTTGTATGTCTTCTTTTGAGAAGTGTCTGTTCATGCCCACTTTTTAATAAGGTTTCTTTGTTGAATTGCAAAAAAGACTCTTTGAAAGGATTTACCTCTACATAAATAATGCGTATGCATTCAGTTAGTAGACAACTTTTAGTTGGTAGACAACTTTTAGGAGTTAAAATGTATAGCTAGTCCCATTTTACATTTTTGAAATTAAATATAAGGTAACCCAAATCAGATGCAGACAGCCTAGATATCTTCATTGCCATTGCACATAGAAAGTGGAAAAGCTACTTAATATCATCTGAAAATCTATACTATCAGAATTATTCTGGAAAAGACTGCTTCCAGAGAAGCTACAGGACAAACAAGAGAATGGGTTTTGTATTTGCAAAGCTGAGGTCGAAACTCAACTCTGCTACTTCCTGGGCCAAATACGCTGAGCCTATTTTATCTTCTGTTTGATAAGGATAATCTTCATTTTGCAAGGTTGTGGGGAGACACACAATTATCATTAAGCAAGATCTCCCCAGGCCTATGAGTGAGAAGTTTGACCTCTGTCTCTTACCTCACAAAGGTGGAAGTTTCAGCACACATGAAAATACCTTGTAAAATGTAAGACTTTCCATCCAGTATTTTAAGTAGTTGAGCCAAAGCTAAAGTGAGTAGTAGCATTAGATACATAGCTGGGCTTGCAGGTAGGATGGCAGCTTCAGGTCCTCAGACTTTTCAAATGAGAATAGCCAGGCTCTTCTGAAGCACTCAAGGCTCTATTCTCTCCTCGGTCAGTGAGTTAGCATACAACCCCTTTCCCTTCAAAGAGAAGTCAGCTCACATGAACCGAAGCGGGAGAGCACATAACTCTCAACTACCAAGTGGTAGTTAATTTTAGGTACTTACTGTTCTCTTCAAAAATAATTGTATCCCCCTCCTTAACTACAGAAGAGAAATATGAAAAACATGCTAATGATCAGTGCAACTTCCGACTGTGGTGCAATAAACCTATGGCTTACAAGAACTCATCAGTTTATTTACTATTTAAATTTCTTTCACGACATACTGCCCATAGCCTGAAGGATTTTGGAAGAACTTGGAAATTCTAAAATAACAATTGGTGTTGAGCCATGCTAAGAGAAGTTAGAAACTTCTGCAGACTCAAACCAGTTGGAAAGTGGAAGAGGTCTCCCCTCCTTGAGTTACGGGCCCCCAGGAAGAAGTGCCCTGACTTCTTCCCAGGTGCAAACAAATCTGTGAAAATTTAGTAGTTCCAACAAAATAAATAAACTGGAATCAAATGAGAAAAATCACAAATAAATCTCAAAGAAGGCAAGTGAGAGGGTGAGGGGAGGAGTGTCTCAAGAAATAGAAATCAGGCTACATTTAAATTTTGGTTCTTATTTCTTTCTTACTGAAGATGCAGTCCCCTTAGACTGCCAGCAACTCCCAATAACACAAAGGTCCATTTCAGCTCTTATCCAATATTTACGGTAAAAGAATCATCTCAACCAAGCTCCTCATTGTACAGATGAGAATCTGATTCCCAGATCTCTGAACTTGATTCATTTTCCCATATGATTTGTCAGCGGGGGATCTTACTCATGACTCAACTGGCTTATAAGGTACTTGAAAGTTGGAATGGTAGCATGTTTACTTTCATCCCGTATGCAGCTCAGCTCATAGCAGAACAAGTACTGTCAGCTTGAGGAAAAGAATAATGTCCTGGCTGTCCACTTACAAGATTTTGAACAACTCTCTACAATTATAAAGATGATCGAGACCAGCCTGGCCAGCATGGTGAAACCCCATCTCTACTAAAAATACAAAAAAAACTGCCAGGCATGGTGGCACATGCCTGTAGTCCCAGCCACCTGGGAGGCTGAGGCAGGAGAATGGCTTGAAGCTAGGAAGCAGAGGTTGCAGCGAGCCGAGATCATGCCACTTCACTCCAGCCTGGACGACAGAGCAAGACTCCCTCTCAAATAAAAAAAAACAAAGAACAAAAAAACAAGTATCCAAGTAATAAGAGCAGCAGCTATGGCATACCTAGGAAAATACAAAGAGATGCTTTCAAGGACCCACGATGCTACCCAGCAAAGCCTACAGAGTGGAATCTTCCAATCACTGGAGACAGCCAATAAAGCTGATGGCCTGATCCCAACAATGTCTGCTCGGGGTCATGCCCTTGAGCACATGGGGGCCCTGGGATGATTTACGGTAAGGATATTGCACCAGACCTCAACCCCAAGCAACTGAAGAAACAAGAGGAAAGTCAGGATATCACTTTCAGCTGATGAATATTAAGTAGCTTAATATTATTGAAGCATTATCCAACAACAGAGGCCACCTTGCGAAGGACAACTTTTAAATATAAATGATGGTGCTTATCGGAATTTGTGCATCAATTTGGACTGAAAGCCAAGAACAAATGATCTTTTACTAGCGCATGCCCTGGGAAACTTTTTTACCCTGATTCAAGGATGTAAGAACTTGTTCAAATGTTTTTGGATCTGACATGGCTTATAATGCCTGCATGCTTTCAAAACTATATCATCATCAAGTGAGCTGGGAAATACCACATACTTGTATCCTTGATGATGTGGTTTAATGGGGACACAGAATGTAGGAGGCACTGGGCTGGACGTCTTATATTCCCATATACTCCTTATGACCCGTATTCCAAATTGTGTCTTTTAATACAACTAAAGATGCTAAGATCATTTGTTTAAAGATCTGTATCATTTGTTCAAACATTTTCACGTGTATAAGAGGCTGTTGTAATTAGCAAGAAATAGTACCAATATTCGAATGCCTTTACACTTAGGAATCATTCTTACAGAAAACGAAGGCGACTATTTTATTAGAAAACAAAGGCTATATGTTAATCCATCACCAGATACGACAATGCTTACCAAAGAACTGTAAAAAATTGGTCTAAAAACAGAAAAAAGCACAACGACAGACGCATGGTATAGCACACCTCTAGGAAGCCTGCAGCCCTCACTGGAAATAAACACATACCCACACACACATATGTACAGGTTTCATAAGCAAAGATGTCTAAAACAGATTGTAAGAGAAAGATAAACACTCCTACATGTATATGTGTGCACATTTTCCTTAAAAACACATAACATGCTTTTCCTTCATTTTACTCAGCTCTGAGAAATTCCCGATACAAAACTATTCCATGCCTCATACTACAGATAGAATATCATAAAGCAAAAGTCTACATTTTCCTAGGAGCTGTTAATTAGAAGAATAAAATGTGTTTTGCATTTTTTTAGTGTAAAACCCACATACAAACAGAGATTGTGATATAGTGCTTGTCATTTTAATTGTAACATATTACCAAAAAGCTTTATATACATAGCTTTATACTATTTACATTGCAGTAGAGGAATGGCAATGCTAACAGGTGATCAGTGCTTCCAAACTTTTTCAATACCTACACATGGGAGATCTAAAGAGTACAATATATTTAAGACTTCTAAGGAATTGTTTTCTCCTCACTAATAAAGCATGCCCTGACTAAAGAGAAGTCCTGTAGGCACAGCCTTATCTATTCAATGACTGGCACCTCCCAGGGGTACTGACACACAAAGTGCCTTCACTGGACCTTACAGTTCTCACTGCCGTTGGACTCCAGTCCAGCTTTGGGGCTGGGGACAAGTCGGCCTCGCTTGACCCTCAGGCCCTCTCTGGGGCTGTCAGTCGGACTTCTCTCAGGAAGATTATTGACTGGGACGGATTTCGTGGTGGGTTCTCGGAGGATGGTGCCTGAATCTACTGGGCTCCGCTGAGCAACTTTGACCTGCAACACAAACATCTCTGTTAGAGGTTCAATCACATTCACATTTCCACAACATGAAAAATAAAGCACTATGTCACTAAGTTTTAAATTAAGTTCTTCTTCTCTAGGAGTTATATATAATTGAAGTATTTCCTCTTCCTTGAGAACAGGCCCCATCTAACAGAGAACTTAGGAGGATACCAGGTACAACCTCTAACCAGTCATCAGACGTCCCTTGGCACCTCTGATGGCAAAGACTATGCCCTATTTACCTATGTATCCCTAGAGCCCACAACATGCTTGACCACATGGTACACATCCAGTGAATTCCTAAGTGAAAAACCTGCCTCTGTTGTCCTAACTAGCCATTCCTGTTGTTTAAAACAAGTGTAACCCAAATGAGTAATACTACCTCCACAGGGTGGAAAATTTTAAAATGACCAAGGACCAGTTCAGGGTATTTTAATCATTCTCCCTTTATGGCTGACTGTTTCCATATTGAATTTGGACTAGAGCAGAAGGGCAGCTATCTAACAATAAAGTCCGGAAAGAATAAATCCCCTCTCAAACATCCTGCCTTTTAAAGGAAAGAGATATCTCAGAAAATTTGAGACTTTAAGTAGATGAGAGAGTAAGGTAACTGGTGAGTGAAGATTTTTTGAAATTGGGTCAGGCTTAGTGGCTCACATCTATAGTTCCAGCTACTCAGGAGGCTGAGGCAAGAGGATCGCTTGAGCCCAGGAGTTTGAAGCTGCAGTGAGCCGTGATAGTGCCACTGCACTCCAGCCTGGGGGACAGAGCAAGATTTAAAAAAAAAAAAATTGAAATTTATATAGTAGTGAAAAAAGATACACGGTCAAAAAAGAGAAAAAAGTGCAAGAAAAATGAAGTATAGGAAAGCTTCACCTAAGCAAAGTTAAAGGCAAGAGTGGAAGATTCAAGTAGGAAGATCTTTCAAAGAGAAAGGAGAAGGGCCTCTTGCATAATGGACACAAGGATCTGTGTCCAGCACAGTTGCTGGGAAGTAACTACGTGACAGACACTCCCTGAGCAACTGACTTCCAGGGATCTCCTTCTGATGCAAGAAGAAAAGGGAATGGAAATTATTTTCCCATTTATATTCTTTCCATAGGAAGCATGTGATTTGAAAAAGGCAGTTAAATACTTTTCATTACATGAAACATAGTAAATCTGGCCAACAGATCAAATCCCAGGAAAGCTCACTTCTCCCTCAGAGTGTGTCCAGGACACTGAAAAGACGCAGCCTTGGAAGGTCAGGACTTAATGGAAAATTACCATCCATGGAAAGTTGAAGGAAAAAAATAAAACAAAGTTTTGCTGGTACTTTTTTTTTTTTTTAAAGAGAAATAGTGATTCCAAAGACAAGGTTTCCCTGGAACCCACCAGATGTACAAGAAACAAATCTTTAGGTTTGCCATTTAAAAAGAGAGAGACAGATAGCCCATAGGAAACAGAAAGTTTGAGCCTATAAGCCTCTTTATCCCAATCAAATGGCTAACGTCCACTCTTTCTGGCTTCTCCCCTCTAGACTCAATTTCTGATACTGAATTGAGGACACTTTAGTTGTGATCAGAATTTAAACTGTGGATTTGACCCTCCTGTTGGTTAGTTAGCTTCAGAATGGTCTATAACCAGACAAAGTCAAATTCACCAAGTATTTAATCTATTAAGATAGTACATCCTCCTAGAATAACACAGGGGAGGGAAAAAAAAAAAGTGCAAGCATACCCTAATTGTCTCATAAATGATTCTGCAGTAGCAACAGAGAGAGGGCAAATATGCATGTAGTTCAGTGAAAATGACCCTCACAAGTAGGAAAAAATGCAAGATCCCCACAAAACTAACACCACCATCCACGATGGGCTCTACAGCTTACTGGCCAGTCCTCTGGAACTGATCACAAAGCCCAGGTTCAGGAGATCAGGTCTACAAGCGCTGTCTCCCTTGTTCCCAACAAACGAGGGGTTCCTGAGCTAATCCATCCCAGTGACATAATAGAGAATGATCCTTACCTAATGTGCATTTTGCCAGTTTTTTCCCCTTTGAACTTGTCAGATGTTACTAAAGGTCTTGCTAAATGACCTAGGAAACTGTCTCTCATAACCCAGCCAGTCACCTCAAAGGAGAACTCACAACCCTGAGTTTCTAAGCAACTGCTTTGGGAAATAATACCTCATTCTAGATTTTTAAAACTAAGTGATGTAATACGCTTAACAGATGAGGCAGCAAGCATTTTACAGGGCAACTCAGAAAATGCTGAATTAAATTAAAAATTACTGGGCTAGGTTTTGAAGAGTTTGAATCTAATCATGAATTCTCCTATAACTGCTCTCAAAAGGTCCCTCTCCTCATTTGCAAGTGCACAAAATTGCTTAGCAATTCATAACTGCTGGTGCCTACTGAACAGCATGTAGCTAATGCACTGAACAAAATCTGCAGAAACCATGGTTACTACTCCCTACTCAGCAGATTCAACAGCAGTGAGGAGAGCAGGCCCCCTAGCGTGCAAAGCTCTTTTTCCTAGATAGTAAGTCTGAACGCCGCATGCAAACTGCTTTTACCATCAGTTCTTCGCAACAGAAAAAAAATGACTTGTGATGATTTCATAAGACCATTTCCTAGCATGCCTTTATAAACATCTATTAATGCAATCACTTCAGGACATTCACAGTTCCATTCATTCAGTGAATATTTGTTGAATGTCAGACACTGCATAGACATAAACTATAGATGTAATCAGTAACCTCACAGAACTCAGATTGCAAATCAGAAGACAGATATTTAAACAAGAGATTACAATAAAGTGAGCTGCCTAAAGACAGTGGAGGCATAGAGTACCAGCTATATGTCATGGTTTTCTAAGAGAGTCAAATACTTCGTTTGATCTCCAGAAGTGTGAGACAAACAGGAATGGATGTTACTTTTTACTGAGGTTTGGGAAAGGGTGGCTCCCAGTCACCCTTCTGAGAAAATGGTATGGCCCATATCGGGACCCTAAACCTGACTTCTCCTGTATTCAGTATCCAGTGGATATCTTGTAGTTGACAGCTTTGGACAAGCTTGGTAGCTCCACGGTTTAGGGGCACTAGTTGCTTAAAAGAGAAGCTGTTCTCATGTTCATTGGAAAGTCAGTATATTCAGTATATTAAATATATATTCTCCAGTATATACTTCAGTATTTTGTTGTTGGCAGCATGCCAAAGTTAAATCCGAATGTGAGTAACAGAGAGAATTTGGTAGGGGAGGGGAGAAAAATTTGCACAAAATGGTAGACTATTTCTAATAAGAGTAACAAATGGGTCCACTTTAGTGAAAGAAAATCTCAGAGCATTCTTCTTCATACTTGAAGAAAAATTTTAATATAATGTATATGATGAACAAATTTATTACTAAGTATAATTCCTTAATGCTTATAGCTCTTATACATCAACAAAAAGAAATTTGCAAATCTGTTGTTGTGATGTTTAGATCAAGAAATCTAAATATATTGTACTCTTTAGATCGCCCACGTGTAACCACCAATGTGTTCATATTTGGTATCCCAAATCCTAAGAACGTGCTTGCTCACTTATGAATTATCACATTACACAAATAGGGGTTATTACACTTTCAAAGCTTTGTTTTCTGGTTCAAGGTTATCAGCTCGCATACTTGATCAAACTCTGACAAGTGAGCAATCAAGGTAAAATCACAGACTGTTCAAACTCTTTGAAGCTATTCCAGCAACTTCCAAAAATATCCCCCTAGTCCCCAGTCTGAGAAACACTGGTATCGTAGAAAGATCAAGACTGTGGAGTTGAGAGGAAGTAGGGGTTCACACTGGGAGGTTACATCTTTATGAGTCTCACGTTCTTCACTCTTTTATAATACCACTTACTGTGAGAGTTCAATAAAATGAGAAAGATAAATAAAATGCATATACTTTGCATACTTAAATGGCAGCTGCTGGTATGGATCATAGTAACAGGAATAAAGATCTGTTAAGCAAATATTCTCTATGCTCTACATAACATTTTCTGGGATGTTGTAGGGTACACAGAAGTCACTAAGATCCTGTTGTATCCTCAACAATCAAAATAGAGAGATCTATAAACAGAGTTCCTTTCCTTAGATATCTATTGAAATATGTGCTTTTTTTTTTTTTAAGAAAGTAAAGGATTAATAAAAACAATAAAGAATTAGCAGCTGGGGGCAGATAAGTGAGAGTAAAGTTTGAAACAAACAATGACTAATACCAGTGGCGAAAGGGAAAATTACCTCTTCAAATCCTTCATCAGTAACGCCTGAAACTTTCTTAGAAATCCACTGAGTTTTGATGTAACAATGCCATTTTCCATCAAACTACATATAAGCGGCCTGTTGACTGAAGGATGAGATCATGTACCCTGATACTGTAATGCTCACCCGGTCACTTGCTCACTACTGACTGACTTACACCACACCAAGAAGGTCAGACTTTTTGAAAGCGCTCCTGAATCGGGGGTGCAGTGTCCAATCCTCACCCAGGTACTACTGCAATTTTCTGGATCTCAAACAGTAGACGGATGTTGACAGTAGTTTACCTTTTGTGATCTGCTGCCACCAGCTGTTGGTTTGGAGGACTCTGCAAGATTTTCTTTGCCGAGACTCAGTGGGGATAGCGCTAACTTCTGTGCAGCCAGGCGGGGGCTGGTCCGAGTTGCCATGGTTGTTCTTCGCAGGATATATGGGCTAGTCTTTCCTGTCGGGATGTCAGCAAACCCTAAGGGCAAAAAAAATAACTGTCAGCACTGCTAGGTCCAATTCTATCTACAGTGGAAAAGATATTCATTAGGTGGTTTTAACAAGGATAATGCAAACTCCAAAAAATACTTTGTCCTAGCCACTGTGGTCAATGGATTACACTTCACAGTTGCCCTGGGAGTCACCAAATTGAATCAAATAACTTAACAGGTTTTTCTCTTATTAGAAACATAGAAAACAACAATGGGAGAAGAAGGGGAAAATAACACTACACAGAAAAAATTTTTTCTGCTTCTATCTTCTATGTAGATGTTTTATTTTGCATTTTTCTAAGATCTAAAGAATGCCAGCAGGCCTTATTGTAAAATTGGGTTGGGGAAAAAAGGAGGGTATAATGGAAAAATAAAAGATAAAAAAAAAAAGAAAGGGAAAGGGGGGAAATGTAAAATGGTAACAGCTACTTCAGGCCAGCACTCTCATGTAGGTGGGAGGAGAGAAACTGACCTTTCTAAAGGTGATTTCACACTCACTCACGTTGTCTCTTTCCACAGAAGGAAGTGACATGACTTTGGATGACCCAGGAAAGAAAGTCAATCCCAGGGATACTAAGAGTTAGTGTATCAACACACACTCCAGAACTGCATTCAGGGCTAACTAAAGCAGCATTTGTTTTTGTTTTTTTCACACTTTAACTACATATAAAAATTACCAGTGAGAGATAGATAACTATTTTTGGGCTAGAGTTACTCAGAACAATGCTTTTCAAACCATCAATGGCAAAGCATCAGTTTTGATATTTGGGGGCAGAGGGGGTTCGAAGAATTTCCAATGTGCTGTGGAATAATATTTTTGTATAATATAATGAGAACAAATCAATAGAAAACATGATATGTGCTTGGATGTTACAAAAATATCAAGTTGCTATGAAAATTTCTAAATTCCTACTTAATTACAATACATTGTTTCAGTTGGGAACCAATAACAAACAGTTCCTAGAATGGCACCAGTCCTTGGGCCAGACTTGGGGGAAAACCAAGATTAAAACAACAAAACAAAAACAAAACAAAGTGTAGTCAGTGGCTCCAGTCAGGGGGCCAGCATCACAGGGTGCACCCTCCAGCTCACCTGCTAGCTAGGTCAGACATGACCAACGGGTAGGAAACGCTGACGGGAGTCCTTAATTTAATAATTTTTTTCAGCATTCAAATAACAAATTCCAAACAGATTTTAGACAGCCATTTTTCCAATCTACCAGCTCTTTTGTTAATGTGACACAAGTAATTAGATCCTAGAGGAAAACATATGCCTCATCCATTTAAAAGCAGACTATTGCTTATGAACGTCAATGAGATTATTGCACAATAATGTAAAAAAGCAAATACTTTTGTCTTTTTATATGTGAACCATTATATGGAATTTCAAAAGAACACAAATAATTTTGTCTTTAAATTAGGCATACCTTTCTTTACAACTTCTGGAAGTCCCTCTGGCTCAAACTCAGTACCTTCCGTGTCTTCTGCAGGGTGAATACCACTCATGACTGCTTTCTTGCTTTTTTTAGAAAAGCTCTCTGGGGTAGCAGGTGTTGGTCCTCTACCATTCTCCCATATTCCACTGGATCTTTGCCTCTTGCCTGAAGCTTTATTTTGGCCAGATGATAACCTCTTTTCAGTAACAGAAGGGATTGGAGATGGTCCTGGAACAACTGGACCTAGCAAAGGAGACCCTCGGGAATCTTGTTTAGATTGCTGTGAACACAGATGGGCCACTTGTGTCTCTAACATCTCTTTAGCTTTCTCTAACTTTTCATGGCTTATAAGCAAGGAACAGTACTTATCCAAGTATTCATCTGCCTCCTTGGTTTTTTCTTCAAGAGTTTCTTTCAGTTCTTTGATCTCAGTTGTTAATTCATCGACCTTGGTATCCATAACAGTACCTGTCCAAAGTAAAGCAACACATCATGTGCAACTTGATGCTTCTCTAGTTAACAATGGGCATCGTGAAGCAGATAATCTTAGACGTGTTCTTTCTTTGATTTTTTTTTTTAAGAGGTTGGGGAGATATATCTGTATATGTTCTTATAGTTCAAACAACTCTTGTTCGGGAGGTATATCATATCAAGGCAGATATTCTAGTCCTGTGACACTCATTGGGACAGCTTAAATAAAATCCACCAAAGTCTCAAACTCATATTTCAGCCAACTCATTAAACGTTCTTGCAGCGTCAGTTATATCCAATCAAATAAATTCATTTTTTTACATCCTTATTTTCCCCAGTCCATTCTGTCTACCATAAGTGGATGAACAGAAGTCAGCAAAGATTATGAAGCTTCTGTTGTATGGCTTTGGGAGACAAGATTCTAACAGATGACCAGGCAAATCCAAAAAAACACTCTGAAAGCATCTGAAGGCAATGGAGGATCTGATGAAAAAGGGTTTGGGGGAACACTATAAAGGTGGGAATCTTGGTCAACTTGTAGCTGCCATGGGTGTATTAAATCCATTAGAAAAATCCCCTGAAGCCCCAATCTACCCTGAGCACTGTTTCCAACAGGGAAGACTGTTGACCCACATCCTGCTACACTACAGACCAGAGAAGCCAGTCAGATTATGCTTGTCATCATCTATCCACACGGTAAGCACATGCCACTCCAGGGGTATAAGTGGATAAAAGTGACAAGGAGAGTTATCATTTCTTTCCTTTTCTATTTTGCCTGCACAACTAAAAATATGCCTCCCACCCTCACCCGTTCCCTTTAGTTGACCCATACGAATGGACTGAGGATAACCAGAATCAGCTATTTATAAATTACCAAAGCCAATTCTGATGCCAATCTATTGACAAAGAAACCACGTAACTGGACATCGACATAAAAAACTCTTCTTAGAATGGCTCATTAGCAAAAAGTTCCACCAGTTTTTTCCATGTTTTATAGAATGGAAGATGCGATAATTCTATTTCAAAATGGCTTCATTCAGGCCAGGCATGGTGGCTCCTGCCTATAATCCCAGCACTTTGGGAGGCCAAGGTGGGCAGATTGCTTGAGCCCACAAATTCAAGACCAGCCTGGGCAACATGGCAAAACCTTGTCTCTACAAAAAATACAAAAATTAGTCGGGTGTGGTGGCACCTGTCTATTGTTCCAGCTACTCGGGAGGCTGAGGTGGGAGGATCGCTTTGAGGTCGAGGCTGCAATGAGCCATAATGGCACCACTGCACTCCCACCTGGGTGACACAGCAAGATCCTGTCTCAAAAACGAAACAAAAAAAGGCTTCATTCTGAGTCCTATAATGATCCCAAGATAAGCACAAAATTCAGAAATTGGAAAATGGATTAATGGTAAAAAATCAGCACTCAGTAATAGAACACAGCACTAAAAATAGTTCCTATGCACGCATACCATATGTTATTTCACTACTGGAAAAGAGTTCTGGCTAGTTGATGTGCCCCAGTTAACACCCACCTGTTTTCTGCTTCTCCTGTGCAGCTTGAAGTTGAGAGAGTTCTTTCTGCAGTATCTCCTTTTCCTCTTCCAGCTGTTTACAGGATTTGATCAACAACTTCATTTTCCCCTGGGCACGTTCATTTTCCTTCTTCAACTGATTTACATATTTTAGATTGTCCATCTACAAAATAAAAGTAATTCCATTTAAAACCTTGAATTTCTTTTTATAAGCATATGGAAAAATAATTATAAGATATAAGATTCATATATTGTAAATTTAAGAATTATTAGATTCAATACAAAACATCTAAAGATGCACAAAACCATTCACGTTCTCTACTCAGTTTCCTAAGTCCCCCCAACTGACAATGTGGTTTTGTCATTCTCTTTCTTAGTATCACAAGTATAAACTACAGTTCCTGAGATGTCTATTAAGTGCCCACTATGTCTGTATTTATCCAATGGGAATCGCATTGGATTACTGGACAGGGAGACAACGAACATATTCTTGGTGAGTCCAAAATTCTCAATGACAGAATTGTGTTCCCATTTGTAATCACACTGTTACAGTTTCAATACCTGCCTTGGTATTTGTTTTAGCCATACCAAGTGAAGGCCAAATGATATTCTAGCTCACTATACAAATTTAAATTTCATTGTGGCTCGAGTAGAAAGACAACAGAATGATGGGAGAATTGTGTCCTCATACGCTTCTCAGTGGTACAAGTTCACATTCTTATTCACAATTCCCAAATCAAAAAAAAAGAGCTATGAAAATGATTTAGAGGCAAAACCCAACCTGAAGAGATATAAAGGTGTTCATGTCTTTATTAATTAATTAATTTACTTATTTTTAAGACAGGATCTCCCTCTGTCACCCAGGCTGGAATGCAGTGGCACCATCATGGCTCACTGTGTGACCTCCTGGGCTCAAGCAATCCTCCCACTTCAGCCTCCTGCATAGCTGGGACTATAGGTACGTGCCATCACAACCAACTATTTTTTTTTTTTTTAAGAGATGAGGTCTCACTATGTTGCCCAGGCTGGTCTCAAATTCCTGGCCTCAAGTGATCCTCCTGCCCTGGCCTCCCAAAGTGCTGGGATTCTAGGCATGAGTCACCACACCTGGCCCAGTATATATAGTCTCTATTTATCCTGCCTTGTGAGAGTATCCACACATTTTGCTGCAGAAATATGAATTCGATTATGCAATATTATAGCAGATCCCTCTGGGATATTATATATGGCATATGCATTACATTATTAAAGTGCAGAATTCTAAAACCATCTGATATGGCATCATGAATTTCCAAAGGAAGACCAAACAGCAGCAGGAGGAGGAGGGGGAATGAGGATGGGGGACGGAGAAGAACACAGTACCATATTCATGTTGCAAGTAAATGTTAGAGCTTGGATCTCATCTTTGTATATTTCATCTTGAAATTATTTATTAGCAATGTTGCAGTAAACCTTACCCTTTCAGAACTTGCGACTTCTGATTCCAATCACAAATGAATTCAAGACCCATTTAATTCTATTTCAACAGTGCTACTTCCTTCTATTATTAAACCCAACATCTCATTTTGTAGCAGCAGAACATTATTAATTATTGTGATTTTGAATTTTACTACTTTGTATTTAATTGGTAAATTTCCTTTACCTTGATAGTTGTATAAGAGCCATAAACATAATAAATTTGTACCTAATTTTCTGTTTGTATATATTCAATTAATCTCAAAATTTAAAAAATATAATCGTCTTCTAAGTAAAATATTTTCTGGAAGATATTTATTATCCAGGTTCATTACTATACACTGTGGGTATTTATCTTATGAAAAATATCTGTAGGAATGAAAACACCTCCTTTTCCAGGTAGAATTACAGTGGTACCATCTTGAGACTAGCAATCCTGAGACTAGGGTTCACCTTCATTGTTCCTAAAAAAAAAAAAAAAGTTCTATGATCCTTGCGTGAAGAGGAAGAGGAGAATATCCACACGTCTGCCTGACCAAGGTGCTCTGCCACACTTTGATCTCCCCGTAAGCCACAGAAAAGTGAGTATGGTGACAGTGAAGTTGGAGACAGCTCATTCAAGATTTTGGAATTGCCCGTCAGACTGTTTTCTATAGCTTAAGAGGCCTGCCCTCATCTGCTGTGTGGCTGGATCTTCAAATCTATCTCAAGAAGTCTTTAACATCCTCTAGTTTGAGAGGATGCATGAGGCAATGGATAGCTTATTCAAGCTATGAGACTGTAGATGACCCACTGATTTTTTTTAAAGATAACTCAGCAGAGAACTGATGAATGACATCATTTTTGACTACCAAAAATTTTCATAAAATGAAAATGAAAACGTTTAATGCTATACCATTAAAATCACTACCACCTGTATAAACCATTCGAAATCATGAAGCAAATTAAAGTGAACATACCTTGGTTTTCTTCAATTCTTCCAAAATCTGAGTAGTAGCTTTCAATGAATTATTGAGCTCTTCTTTACTAGACTTTAAAAGGTCTATCTCCAGCTTCTGTGAACTGAGACATTCTTCTTTAGAAGTCAATTTCTCTCGGTATGTCTGGATTTCTACTTCATACTAGAGCAAAACAAACAAAAAAAACCAAAATGTTACTTTAGCCAGGAGGCACAGCTAAAAAAAAATAGTCAGAAAAACAAAAAACAGCTGGGCGCAGTGTTTCACACCTGTAATCCCAGCACTTTGGGAGGCCAAGGTGGGCAGATCACGAGGTCAGGAGTTCAAGGCCATCCTGGCCAACATGGTGAAACCCCTGTCTCTACTAAAAATACAAAAATTAGCTGGGCGTGGTGGCAGGCGCCTATAATCCCAGCTACTCGGGAGGCTGAGACAGGAGAATTGCTTGAACCCAGGAGGCAGAGGCTGCAGTGAGCCAAGATTGTGCCACTGCACTCTAGCCTGGGTGACAGAGTGAGGCTCAGTCTCAAAAAAAAAAAAAAAAAGAAAAGAAAAACAAAAACAAAACCCTGCCTTTCCAAGGACTATTTCGACTTTGCAGCTCTCCTATTATTCTACTCCAAAATGGAAATATACCTTTTTAAAAAATCAACCGGGCCAGGCGCAGTGGCTCACGCCTGTAATCCCAGCACTTTGGGAGGCCAAGGTGGGCAGATCACAAGATCAGGAGATCGAGACCATCCTGGCTAACACAGTGAAACCCCATCACTACTAAAAATACAAAAAATTAGCCGGGCGTGGTGGCGGGCACCTGTAGTCCCAGCTACTCGGGAGGCTGAGGTAGGAGAATGGTGCAAACCTGGGAGACGGAGCTTGCAGTGCGACAGAGAGAGACCCCATCTCAAAAAAAAAAAAAAAAAATCAACTGATAAAATAAGAGAGGGACCTGGGGAAAAGATCGTGAAGTTAATGTGAGACCTTTTAAAAGATTATATAGCATAGTAATAACCCAGAATATTGATTTTTTTTGGAAAAAAAAAAAAGCCTTACCATGATCAAAATACACTCTCCAGCTCCCCCAGTAACCAAACCCCACATTTCACCTGTTTGTTTGTGTCCAAAAGCAAAGCCTGGTGTTTCTTTTCAGCTTCATGAAGCCGTAGCTGATATTCAGCTATTTCCTCTCTCACTTTCCCTTCCTTTTCCACCTGGTCTTTGTGCATGCAATCTAGGCTCTTCTTCAATTCACTATTTTCTAGTGTGAGCTCCTTCAATTGATCCTAAACAGAAAAATAATAAAATCATAATAGCACCTCCTCATAATTAAGAACCTGGAAATATTTTTAGGAAATAATGTGTACTGTGTAGAAAAAAAATATTTATGGGCAAGATAAAATCTGTACAGAATAGTGCTATAATCCTTAGCAATGTATTCACTTTTAATTGTGACTTCACCTCCAATAACACTTTCCTCTGCTCCAGCCCAACCACCTCGCAAGGTCATATCCAGAGACCACAGAAACTCTGAAACCTTGAATTCAATTAAACCACTCTGGGACCACACCTTCCTATGCTTCCAACCTTGTTTATTAAAGTACTTCCATTGCAATAATTCCTGACCTCATCAACAGAACCACTACCATCTTCACACCAAATCCCCTCCGGACTTGCATTTTCTTCCTTGACCAGCTTAGACTCCAGTTCTGTCACTATAAGAATTTCCTTCCAAATGCCCTCCAATCTTTTGCCCCATCCCTTCACTGTGAAGAACTGGCCAAACTCCAACCCTGGAAGCATTTGTCTTCTCCGTGCCTGACCCTGAGTAGCTGTCTCTGTATGTGTTTCTGTATGTGTGGTGTCTACTTCCTCATCTCCAATTCTTTAACCTGCTCCAATCAATTCGTCCCAGCTCTTCCTAAAAAAGCTTTTCATGGCATCAGCAACCTCCATGCTGCAAACTAAAGGCACATTCTTCTAAGCTCATCTCAATCGACATCTAAGTAGTATCTGGGGCTGCTGACCACTCCTTCCTTCTTTTGTTTTTTGTTATTATTGTTGTTGCTGTTGTTGTTTGGTTGGTTGGTTGGTTTGGCTTAGTTTTCTTGAGACAGGGTCTCACTATGTTGCCCAGGCTGGAGTGCGGTGGCACAATCATGGCTCACTGCAGCCTCAATCTCCAGGGCTCAGGTGATCCCCCACCTCAGCCTCCCAAGTATGTGCCACCACGTCTGGCTAATTTTACTGTTTTTTTGTAGAAACAGAGTTTTGCCATGTTGCCCAGGCTGGTCTTGAACTTCTGGACTCAAGTTATCAGCTCACCTCGGCCTCCCAAAATGCTGGGATTACAGGCATGAGCCACTATATCCAGCCACTCCCTCCTTCTTGAGACATTCCTTCCTCTTGATTTCCAGAACATGAGACCCCCCTGGGTGTTTGCCTTATCAAGCCTTCTCTCTGTCTTCTTTGCTGGCTCTTCTTCCTCCATCTCACCTTGTGTGCTAGAGTTCCTCCAGGCTAGGCCCTGAGCCGCCTTCTCTTCTCCATCATTTTCTACCATTCCCATAATTTCTAAATACTCCCTATATGTTGAACTAGCCAAGTGAATATTCCCACCCCAAACCTTTCCCACCCCCTCCATACCCTTCCTACCCCTCCAATCTTTGTGCATGTCATTTTCCATCTGGCTCCAGCCACAATGGCTTCCTTTCAATTTCTAAAAAAAATACAAAGATCTTTCTAGTCCCAGAGCTTTGACCACACTGCTCTCTAGACCTAGAAGGCTCCCCACCACTGCCTGGTCGTTGCATAGCTGACTCGTCATCTTGCAAGTGACATCTGCTGACCACCCTATCTAAATCTGCTGACCACCCTATCTAAATTAGGTTGTTTCCTACCCTGATATCCCCACATCCCAATTATTCCACAGCAAAGAATCTTATTTGTTTCCTTTATAGTATTTATCCGCTTATTTGTTACATGTTGCCTATTTCATGATTTATTATGTGTCTAGACTGTAAGCTGCATGAGTGCAGGAAACACAGGATAGGTATGGTTCAATAGTCTATCCCCTGACCTTACTAGCACTTATTATTTAGAGAATGAATAAATGAATGAATAAAGCCAATGCAAACTAACACACTCATATGTATGGGGCTGAGGCCAAACTACTCCTCTCAGTAGTGCCCATACATAAAATACAATAATGACGCACTTGGGACACTCCCAAGCTACTCAACACCAAAAGAGATTTCAGCAGACGCAATACACAAATATCATTCAGAGGAACTCCTTCCATGCAGTATGGCCAGAATATGGTCTAAGTCCATTCCTGAGATTTGATGCCAAAACCTTTCCATTTTCATAGATTAAATACTATATTTAAAGAAAAGAACAAATCTCTCCAACTCTTTATACAGAATATTACATGTATCATTTCAAATTTCTGTGATTATTCAGGGTCGCAATCATGACTATCTTATTTTGCTGTTCTTTAAATACTACTCAGGGATGAAGTTGCATGAGGACTAAACAGCTATAGGGATGTTTATAATTTAATCAGGTATGACAAACAGGTTTCATTTCATCTGCCAGCTCTCTCTGCATGGTAGCAGCTACCCAGTACACAGTGTTAGGAGACTCAGGAAAAAGGGAGGGTATGAATTAGTAATATCTACTATGGAAATGGCAGTGGGCAGTGGCAGCCCAAGTGCTATAGGTGTGCCACATTAACCCTGCCTAAAACTATGACTTTAGTTCTGTTACTTTGTTAGTTCTTAGCAGATCAATGAATGTGTTTCTAGCAACATTCCACCCTGTAATCTGTGGCAAGCTAGGGAGGCAGATAAACTTGTTGAAAGCGGCATGAGATCTACTTCTGTTGTGCGTTAATGTGGTCCAAGGGTCCTCTTCCATGAAAATGTATTTGGGCTCTGAGACAGATACTTTCATGTGTTCAGAGGCTTCTCACGACTCCTTGTGGGCTCCTGATAGTGCTGGATGGTAGAGATTACTATAAATCAGATTATGACATAAGCACAGGGTTATTTTTTTCAAGAGCTAAAAATAAGTTAGGTAAACAACAGAAGGTCTTACAGGAACCAATAAGGAGAGTGTGCACAATGAATTAACAGATCATAATAACACTTGTCACAAAGAAACTTACTTTGCTGCTCTTTATTTCTTCCAACAGTAACTGCAACTCTCCAGCTAGCCTATTTTTCTCTCCACTGAGTTCTTCTTGCAGCTCTGCTGTTTTCTGTGCCATCTCATGCATTTCCCTCTGCAGCTCAGTTTCCTTTGCAGTCATTTTGTTTACCTGAAATTTCATCTTTCATTAGAATCTGCTTTTTGGTGGTCTGTTTTGATCAGATCGACCACTCTGATACAACATATTCATGCCATTTATTTTAGCCTTCAATCATAAAATGGAAGCTGGCTAATCCCGCCTTTACTAATCCACTCAACTCAACATTCTCAAAACCTACTAGTAAGCTTACCTTTTCTTCCCAGAAAAGATTTAATAGAAGAATAGTAATAAGGGAAGGAATGACAAGGAAAGATAATATCCCTAAGTCTTAAAATCTTTCACAAAGGTATTAATTTGAATTAAACTTAAACATCAAAGATTATCATTATCAGGCAGTATCTTATCACTTCTTGGATCTCTACTAATCCCCCAGTGCCATACTAATCTGCAATAAACATGCTTATGATTACTGAAAAACAGTTAAAAAGCTATTGTTTGCATTTGTCCCTTGAAGTGAAACAGCTTGCTATGGTTTGTCTCATCATCTCTATACTGACTGCCATCTCTTGCAAGGTATCCAAAACCCCAAAATTCTTAGAAAATACAGGGTGGAGATGAATTTTGTGGATAGTCCTTTTATTCTTTAATATTTGTTCAGCAAGAATTAAGTGTGACAAAATCACTTTCCTAGATCACTAAGTAAGCTCACTGGGCCAAAACTTAATTTTTCTTTAATAATTGAGCCTCTTGATGGCAGATCTTCCCTTTAATCATCAACTAATACAATAGAAGACTGCACAAAGAGAAGGTATAAGAGGGACTGAAAGCACGAAATCCCCAAAACACACCCTAGAAGCCATGAGTGCTCTGTTGGTTACAAATCTATCAGTATCTTTAAAAGTGCTTTGTCCTGAAGGCAAAAAAGACACAGTAAGGCAGGCAGATCCTTTCCGATCCTAGATAATGTCTGTTATACTCTCTATAGCAGTGAGTCTCAACTGGATATGGGGAGGCCACTATTCTGATGTACTCTAAGAAAAGGAAATATAACTAGAACAAGGAACTGTGCATAAACCAAAGCTTTGCCCTTATGTAGGTGCCACATTAAAAACCTGGTCCAATCCATGAACATGTCCCAAAGAATCAGCCAGAATAGTGACTACTGCCAGAGCCAACTCAGTGTTTCTGCAATTCAAGACCCAGTAAACATAAAGCCTTTACAAAGTTTGGTCCAATATAGCAGACACGGTCTAGAAGTAAATACAATTCACAGTGTCTAGAAGAAAATATGGTTTCCTGCCTCATGACTACATATTTAAACATAAACAGATATAGCCACTTACTTTTTCAACAAAGGACATTTTGTCCATTTTTGTCAATTCAAGCTCATTCTCTAGATTCTTGTAAGAACTCTGCAGCACTTCTAATGTGTCCTGCAAAGAGGCATTTTTGGATTGTAGCACTTGGATCTTCTGCTCCAATTCCACTGTCAGATTTCTCAGTTCTAAGTTTTGCTCCTTCCAAAGTTGGTGCTCTCCTTCCACCTGGGACAGTTTAGAGACAAGCTGCTCTTGGTCTTGAATTTGATTTTTCAGTCTACTGATTTCTTCATCCTTCTTCTCCAGTTTCTGCTTGCCATCTTCTACTTCTTGAATGAGGCCATTCACTGAAGATTGCAAAACAATATAATTATTTTTGGCCTCATCAAGGCCTTGTAGCAACTGAGCCTTCTCAAGTTCAAGACACTCTACTTGACTACTAAGATTCTGCTCTTTGGCCTTACAGGCTTCTTGGTCATTATGCAGGGCTGCCACTCTCTCATTGAGCTCTTTTAATTGTGTTTGAAGCATCTCCATGGCAGTGCTTGATTTTTCTTTCATCTGTACTTTCTCTTGCTCTTTTTCTTGCAAAATATTTTCAAATGATGAATTTATTATTTCTAATTCAGATATTCGCTCTTGCTCTTTTTGTAATTCATTTGTCAGATTTTCTTTTTCTGACCTTATAGTAACAACATCTAATTCCAGACCTCTCAGACTTTGGGTCATCCCTTCTATTTTTGCTTTTAGGGTCTCTACCTCTCCTTTGGAATTCTCTGCCTCAAGAGCTGCATGCTCTTGGTTTGTCCTGGCTATCTCTAGCTCTCTTTCAAGGTTCTCCACTCTACCCTTAAGTAAATCTGCATGATGCTCACTTTCCTTCAGTTGTTGTAAGACACAGAGCTGCTTCTTTTCATCAGCTTCTAGGCGGGCTCTCAGCTTTTCAATGCTATTTCTCAGCTGATGCTCTTCCTCTATTGGTGGGTCTAGACTCTGTTCTGTGGCCTTCATAATTTCTTGGTCACCACACAAGGCTGCTACTGCCTCATTTAGCTCCTTTAACTGATTCTGAAGCATCTCCACTGCAGTTTTAGATTCTTCTTTGATCTGTATCTCTGCTTGCTCCTTTTCTTCTAACAGACTTTTAAATGAAGAGAGTAACTTGTCTAGTTCTGACAACTGACCTTGTTTTTCTTGTATTTGTTTTGTCAGATTTTCTTTTTCAGACCTTAACGTGACAAGGTCTAATTCAAAAACTTTCAGGCTTCTGGCCATCTCTTCTATTTGTGTTTTTAGAGTCTCTACTTCTGCTTTGGAATTCTCGGCATCAAGAATCACTAGCTCCTGGTTTTCTTCTGACATCTGCAATTCCCTTTCAAGGTTCTCAACTTTATCCTTAAGTGAATCATTCTCCCGCTCGCGTTCTTTCAGTTTCTCTGCGATGTGCAGCTGCTTCTTTTCATCGGCCTCAATGCGAACTCTCAGTTTCTCGATGCCTCTTCTCAGCTGATGCACTTCCTCCTGTGTTGAGCTCAGCCTCAATGCGAACTCACCTTTCTCCACCAGTGCGGCCTCCAAGGCCTTGGAGACATTCAGCTTTTCATAATCTGATTCACTCAGTCTGGCCTGCAGGCTTTCAGATTCCTTGACAAGCAATTCTTTCTCTTTATTCAGTTGTGCAATTTGGTTTTCCAGCTCACATTTTGTCAAAGACAGTGCCTGTGAGTCCTTTTCCAAACTCTGCAGCTTTTCCTGGAGATGAGTTTTGTCTTTTAACAGCTCACTCACATCAGAGGACAAAGTCTGAAGGAGTTCCGTCTTTTCCTTCACCTCTGCCTCTGCCACCTGAATGCAATGGAGACACTCACTTTGATGAGACTCAAGCTCTTGTGTTTTCTCCTTCATTTTTTCAGACAACTGATCCAGTGCCGTGGTTTTTTTTGACATAGTATCTAATTCTCCACGAAGCTGGTTTCTCTCACTTGTGACCACTGAGAGTTCTTCTTCAAGGCAGACAATAACCTTCTGCTTATTTTCATTGTCTTTTTCTAA
This sequence comes from Homo sapiens, assembly GCF_000001405.40. NCBI lineage: Eukaryota > Metazoa > Chordata > Mammalia > Primates > Hominidae > Homo > Homo sapiens. The sequence continues at coordinate 214,645,372 of NC_000001.11, read as the reverse complement.
ACATAGCTTCTCTGTTTGAACTACCTCTAAGTCAGCCTCCAGGTAGAGGGCTTCATGCTCAATGCTAGCTTTCTCCGATCTGATCCTACTCAGCTCATTTTCCACATCAAGAAATCTCTCCTTCCAGCTGTCATTCACCTTGGCCACATTATCTCCAATATCTTCACGTGATGATTTATCTGCATGCATTTCTAAATCAGAATTGAGGCCTTCAGAAGTTTCTACTCTCTGGAGTAACTCCTGGTGATCACAAGAAAAATATTCCAATTTTTCACTTAAATCTGAGTTTTCTTTCTTAAGTTCCCCAACTATTTTTTCCAATTCTATGCATGCTTCAATTTTGGTCATTAGTTGTACCTCCTGTAAATGGAGTTTTGAGTCTAATTCTTTCATTTCATTTAGCAAACTTTCAACTTTTCTGTCACGGTCCTCTATCACATGAAGTAATCTCAAATTCTCATTTGATGTCTCTTTTACCCGCAGTTGAAGATTATGGATATCTTCCTGATTCCCCAGGAAATCCATAGGTACCAAAGCATTAGGACCAGAAAATGACAATTCAGAAATGCATTCTGAAGAGCCCTGGGTTTTATCTTCCCCTGGAGGCTCATAATTGGTATCTGGGGACTGTTCCCCAGAGCACTCTCCTGTGGGTTTCACTGCACCAGTCTCAGTTATTTTCTCAATGTCTAGATTGAGGTCCTGCTGAGCATCTTTATCACAAATCTGATGAACATCATGCTTTGGTGTTCTTTCTGTAGTTTCTGAAGTATGTTCTTTTGATATGTCACAGCTCTCATTTCGGCCTTGAATAGCCTGTAATTATAATACATAACAAGCATGCATTTTATTTTTCAAAAAGAATCAAAATAGAATAGATTTAGTTATTACTTTTTAGAAACTGATGCGTGGCCTCTGCTAAACACATCTCTTAAAGTGGTGAATTTCCCACTACATCTTTCTCTCTTCATTCAAATGTTCAACATACTTATACGTTCAGTAAGTGGCCCCTATGGGCAAGACACTGGGGTTAGGCATTTATCTTGAAGACAAACCCTTCGGCTCAATTACAATTTGTAATGTATTTAAATTTCATATTTTTCCCTTGCTAAGAATATTCAGGTAGCCTAAATATGAAATCTCTTTGTAATTATTAAATAAGAGGCTAACAAAATGCTCAGCTTCCACCTTCAGCATTTATGATACTCTTTAATAAGGCAGTAAAGTTTCATAACCAGATTCCCAGTCCAAGGACTTAATCCCCAATCCAGCACTTACTGTACATTATTGGATAAATTACATATTTGAGCCTCACTTTCCTCTCATCTGTAAACTGGGGATCTGCTGTTGCACCTACACCTGCCATCACCTCACCATGACCTGCCTTCTCTACCTCACAGAGATAGACAGAGGAAATCAAGTGACATGCATACACTATATAGCATTATTAATTAAGCTAGCAGGCTAGAAAGGACAAAGTTACAAGCAATTAAACAAATATGTATTCAATTTTTTAAAAGCCCTTTTAAATGACTTATACCAAATCATATTTTTGTACCACAGTAAATTGTTAGAGAGAAAACTGTTTAGTAATACATAAAGAATCTGCTGTATTTAGTTTCATGACGATAATGCCATAACATCAAAAATAGTCTGAAAAGTGGGAGAGATTAAAAATTTACATATTACCATTTGTAAGTTCTTAATTATTTCAGTATACTTTATTAATGCACAAAGGGTGGAAACACACATTCTAAAGACTTTCTGACTCCATAATATAATTTTCTCCAGACTTTAAAAACATCTTTAGTAATATTCTATATAATGCTATGTAAATCTAATCCCTATAGAAATTTATTCCTCAAATAACGTTTACTCATTTTCCTCAAGTTCTGGTTTGTTTTGAAAATATTTTGGTGTATTTTATTTCCTTGAACCCTAAAAATATTTTAACTTAGGTTTAATGTACATTTCAATTAGACAAACATTTACTGAGTGTCCACTAGTCATGTAAACCGAGAAATGGCATTTAAATCCCAGGTACTTACATCTTCTGTGTCGATGCCAAGCAAAGACCGAGAACTTAAGTCCAGACCTTGTAGCTGGAGTCGTGCTACTTCCAGCTCAAGTGACAGTTGTTCCGTCTGTTTCTTTTCTGCCGCCAACTTGGACTCCATCTCCAGAGTCACGCTTGTCAGCTTCTGTTGCCACTGTTCATTTTCTGACAAATACTGCTTCCTAAGGCAGTCAAGCTCTTGCCTTTCAGAACTTAATAACTGCTCGAGCTCTTGAATTTCCTTATTTTTCATAATCCCTTGACTTTCCATTTTCTCTTCTAGCTTCTCGAGGGACTGCCGGTACACCTCACAGAGGGACTCAAGCTCTTCAACACCCTTCGCTGGGGCCGAAGGGGTTTCTTTCCTGGTCAGATTCTCCTCCTGCAGACTGCTGCAAAATACTTCATCTACACTGCACTGGTTTGCTGAAACAGCCCCTTCTAAATTACTCAAAAGAGACATATCTCCTGTCTGTTCTAAAAGAGCTCTGTAAAAGGAGGAGTCTCCCAAACTGCTAAGACTAGAGCTGTCAGGCACACAAGAGGATGACAGGGATGGAACGAGCCCCTCCTCCAAGCCCAGCTGCATCTCCTTCACCAAGTCACCTTGAAAGTTTCTCAGATTCGTTGACAAGACCAAATTTTCGGCCTTTAATGAGTCAACATAGGTCTGCAGCTCTGACATTTTAGAGCTCATCTGACAGTGCTGATCATGTAAAATTTTGTGTTCACTTTGTAAAGATAAGAATTTCTCTTGCAATTCGGCAAAGTGCATTTGAACTTCTTTGTCTGACAATGTCAAGTGCTCGTAGGAATTACTCTCGTCCAATGGAGCCAAAGACACAGGGTGCTGTTCATTTGGTTGTTCACCAAATTCACCTCCTGGTATGTCTTCCACTAACTCACCATGGAGAAGACCACTGTCATCATTTAATATTTTAACTTCATTTAGTAGTTTCCCTACCTCTTCTGCCATTTTCCTAGTTGCTGTGATACATTCTGACCTTGAATCATTCAGCTCAGTTACGAGTTCATACTTTTCAGCCTGCAGTATTTCACATATTTTCTCTAGCTCATTCAGCTTGTTCATTGTTGTTTGCAGAGAGCACTGAAGGTGTGCATTGTCGTTTTGACTTGTTGACAACTCATGAGGCCCTGAAATATACTTTTCTTCCGCATCTATTTCACAGTCTTTAAGGCCACTAATTTCTTGTGACTGCATGTCTTGCAAATTGCTGGTTTCAAGATCTCCTCTAATTGTCTGTAATTCATGCTGCAGGCACTCCTTCTCCTTCTCACTTTCCTGAAGTTTTAATTCCTTATTTCTTAGCATAGCTTCTAATTGCACCAACTGCGCATTATAACTATCTAGAGAAATTTCTTTAACTTCAAGATCCATCTGAGGTTTAAAATTACATTGATTTCTCTCACTCTCTCTTTCTTTCACAGAGTTCCTAATTGGTTCTGATTCTAGATTTTGACATTCATGTTTAGTCTTCATTACCTTCATCAGCTGTTCATTCTCTTGTAATAAGTCATTAACTTCCTTTTGCATTTTGTTTTGTTCTTCCTTTAAAGTCATGATTTCTTGCTTTAAACCACCAGCCTCGCTCTTAGAATTGTTTTGGTTATCTGTCATCTCAGATCTCAGAGCTTGCTGCACTGTCTCCAACTCTAGCATCAGATTCTGATTTCTTTCTTCAGCAAATGCTAATTTTGTTAAGAATTCTTGGTGTTCCTTTGCAAATGCTTCCTTTAGCTGTTCCAACTCATTTTTCCTATTTTCACAAAGACTAGTGCATTCATTTAGCAAGCATTCTAATTTAGAATTCTTTTCCTGTGCTGCTTTGTATTTTTGACTAAGATCCTCATATGCATTTCCGGTTTCTTCACATCTTTGTAGTAAAATAAGTTTTTCTTGCTTGTACTGATCAGATAACTCTGAAATGCTTTTCTCCCTTTCATCTATATAGTTTGCAAAACTCTCACTTTTCTGGATTAAGTTCATCTTCTCTTGATTTAAGGATGCATTAATTTCCTTAAGAGTCCCATTCTCTTGGGTCAGCTCTTCAATTTCCCTTTTATTTAGAGAAATGATGGAACTCATTTCTTTCTTCTCCAAGCTTAGGGTTTCGGATAAAAGTTGTAGCTCCTTTAGAGAGTCTTCAAGTAGATGGTTGCTCTTTTTTAATTCTTGAATCTCTGCCTGCTCAGTTTCTACCTTATCATTTAAAAGTTGCAGCTCTTTTTCCTTGTTCTCAAGGGCACTTAAGGTTTCAGCAACAACATTCTGGTGAGCAGAAGTGTCTTCCTGTAACTTACTAATGCGCTGACTTGTTTCAGCCACAAAACTTTGATGCATCTGTTCTGCTTTCATGAGATTTTCTTCTATTTCTCCTTTGATTTGCACCAACTCTTCACACTGCTTTTGCAGGTCTGAGTTCATCTGTTTTTGAGACTCTAATGAAAATTCAAGTGAATCAACTCTATTTTGTAGGATGGCAGAATTTTTCGGACTTTGGTCTGCTTCTAAACGACATTCACTCCTCTCTGAAGGCATGCTTCCTTGTTCTCCAATTATATTTGCAAAGGAATGATGCATGGCAGGCTGCTGATCAAAAGCCAAAAGACTTCTCTGATGATCTTCATTTGTCACCAGAGAAGCATCTTTGGATTTTAGCAGATCCCTGAGGCTCTCATATTCGGCATGCAAGTCTTGGTAACACCGGTCTTTGTCCATTATTTCATTTGACAGTAACTGAAGCTTGTGTTCTAGATCTTCAACTTGCCCAGTAAGCTGAGAAGTCTTCAAACACATATTTTCTATTTCCTTCTGATGTTTCTGATCTGAGAACTCAGCTTTCTGCTGTAGCTCCATATAAGCTAGTTTCTGGGTCTCTACCTCCACTGACTTACTGTCTAACACGTTGTGAAGGTTTCTGATCTCGACACTTAGGTTTTCTCTGTCCATCTCCAGCGTTCTTACTCTCTCGTTGTATTCATGACTTTTTATTTGCTGTGTCTTCAGACAAGTTTCCAAGTGATTAATTTTACTCTGCAAGTTTTCCTTTTCTGATTCCATCTGAGTTAAAAGTTTTTCGTTTTCACTTTTCCAACAAGAAAACAGAGTTTTCTCTTCTTTCAATTCTTCATATTCTTTCTTTTTTAACTCTAAAGCACTCAGCAAGGCTTTGGACTCTTTCTCTGTCTTGCTTAACTTATCATTAAGTTGTTCAATGTGATGTTCTCTTTTCTTCAAAAGGTCTTGAGAACAATCTCGCTGCTTTTCCAGATCAGCCACAGCAAGCTTCAGTTTTTCTAAAGTCAAGGAGTTTTCTTGCTGATTTATTTTTTCTTGAAGATCTCTTAACATGGTTTCCTGAGAGGTATTCTTCGCTATTTAAAAATAAATAAAAGTCGTCAATGTTTGTAATAAATGTTTATTCTACAGAAACGCTAACCCCTCCCCCCGCCCCCTGGCAAAATCCAAACAAACTAACAACTACTCAAGCCCTGGAAAAACTGGCATTATTGCCTGGGTACCTCCTAGAAAGTGGATCACTTGGTAATTATCTTATATAAAAATGAGAAAAATGGTTATCTTAAGGAGAGTAACACATTTGTTCATCTTCTTTCTAGCAGCTTAAGAACATGTTATTGAATAAAATACCAAGGGATGATTTTCCTAAGCACTGTTTCTTTTCTTTGTATGTGTTTACATATGTGTATATTTTTACCATCTTTTCAAATATTTATTCCAAGAGAGAAAACTGGGACAAGAACAGCACTGAAATGGGAACATCCCACTTTATTGTAGAGTAATTCTGATGTCTCAGAAAAGTAAATAAGTACTCCACCATTTTAGCTAAAACATCCACAGGATTAGACTTAAGTAGAAAAGAGTAAATGATGCCATATATCAGTAATTCTCAAGGCCTATATGTGAATATTCCTGAGGAACATTATCACCCCCATCCCAGCCCCTCATAGTAAGGGTGGCAGTGTCTATGAATGTCACAGTCATTTGGAAGCTTCTTCAAACTCCGTTACCCCCTGTCTTCTGCCTAATGACTCATCTATACATACTGGCCCCTCCTGGTTGGGAATAACCACGATGTTTTCATTAAACAGTGATAAGAAGGCTTCATGTTGCTCAAGTATGTTGGGGGAGATTGAAAGTTGAGAACCTCCACAGTAGATGATAAAGGTAACATGTATTACAATCTCAGACATCATATCAAGTGGAAAGCAGTACGAACTTCTAAGCTGTCAATCTCAATCTACCTACTTATAGTTAAGGGCTTATGTAGACAGCACCACAAGGGCTTCATCCCACTTTGCTGTGAGCAACTCAAACAATCACCTGGGTGATCAACACTGAAAAATGCCCCAACTGTTCCTTTTCTTACAGTTTCCCTTCAAGAAAGCTGAAAACTGACATTTCTATCTGCTGCTGTGGAAAAACTAAAAGCTGTCTTGGGAAGATTGGGTTTTTGTTTTGTTTTATTTTTTTGAGATGGAGTCTCGCTCTGTCGCCCTGGCTGGAGTGCAGTGGCGCAATCTCCGCCTCCTGGGTTCATGCCATTCTCCTGCCTCAGCCTCCAGAGTAGCTGGGACTACAGGCACCCGCCACCACACCAAGATTGGGGTTTTAAAAAAATAGTCACAGAGAAGTGTGACACACATTCCACAGGACAGAGTTCAAAGAAATTCTAGATATGCAAACACCCCAGGTGAGAAAATAAAGGGTATGTAGAAGACATCCGGCACAAACATACAAATATGAAACCAAGAGTGGATTCATTTGATGTGTAGAGCAGAATTCTTTGGCTTTAAAATAAGAAAATAAAATCATTCAGTCAAGTAAGTCATCAAAAAACAATGGTCATTAGGAGCTTGGAAAACATGCATTTAATATAGGGTTTTTCCATTATAAGGGAAATGGTAATGAGTCAGGAGATGAGCTGTCTGGATGTAACTAACAAGCACACTAGAGACACAGAGAATAGCACTCGGGGGTGAGAGACAGCACTGACAATTTAGCTTTGTGTGGAAAATATTTACCCTTCTGATTTCAAAGTGCTGAGCATCAGGCGTTTGGGACTCAATATGTTCCAATTAAAAAAAGTCCCACTCTCACTCTGGAAACTAAAAACTAGAAGAGGGAAAACTCTTCCACATCAACTGCGCACATCTTTTTGAGGGAATATATGAAAAAAAATCCAAAGAGTTTCTCTAATATGTTAATGCCATCCATCCCCTCTCACGGGAATAGCAGCTTAGAAAGGTAACTCTAAAATACTAAGTTTACTTACCTTTCATTTCTTCTGCAAAATTCTGGCTCTGATTTAAACACTGTTTGATGTTCTTGAGTTCTGCCTCCAGGTGGCAGACTTCTCTGGCCTTTTGCTCAGAGTGACTCTTAAGGAGGTTGTTTTCCTTCTTCATTTCCTAAAACACACATTTTAATTGGTTATAGCCAAAACGAATGCTCAAGTAAGTTATGACTTCTGCCTTAATAAAGGTCCCTAGCAGAACTGTTTGTGTATCTCACTAGGGAAAGAATCACAATTTCCCCGTTTGAGTACCTAATGAAGTCAGACATTCTTACTTAAATAATGTTATGAACAGAAGACAACAGCATCAAACCCAAATCTGAAGATAATTTTTTCTTTCAAGAAGTTTCATTGAACTTTCTCATTGTTCATACGCCTATTAAAGAGTAAGCTCAAAAGGAAAATCCTATCTACAAGATCCTCAAGACAAAACCTCCAAGTTCCTATCACACCTGAATGGCCAAATATACCTTTGCAAACATTTGATTTGTTAATAAACCAAAAAAAAAAAAAAATCTCAGCACATATGTTTACTTTTCATTGCAAAACCATCTTAAGGTTTGCTGTTACAGGAATGATTCTGTGGGAAAAATTACCTTCAATAAATGCTTATCAAGAAAACCAACAATATTCAAGATGCTGGAATGTGCATTACAAAAAATGCAAATATAAATAAGACAGAGTCTCTGCCCTTGGGGCAGACATCCTCCAGTGGGGGAAGATGTGATACTAATCATTTAATACACAATAGGATATGCTAAATACTAAAGAGACATTGAGTGTGCTATGGGAAATCAGAGGGCTGGAACACAGAGGAAGAATTAATTCTAGCTTCTGAGCTTTCACAGTGAAAACAGGTTCTTTGGGCATCTGATTGAAGAGACATCCACGCAACAGCATGCAATAAAGTAACACAGGTACATGTGTAGTTCCATTCTACTACTAGGGAGGCCTATATGTTCTGAATCTTAAAAGCAAGCAATATTTACATGCCAAAGAAAAACTTTTTTGCTTATTAACCACATAAGACTCACATAACAAACAAGTATCTCAACCTATACTGTATGCCACCCTTTGGACCACAGGGAATTGGCATAAATCATTACAAGCTAAGAGAACCAAGCACCTCACATCCTCAAGCGGGGAAAAATCATATAAAGCTAACTTTTTTCTAAACTGCATTTCAAACCTACCAAAATTACCCCTTTGTGAAGTAGAGGAAAAATTCTGAATCTTAAAGAAACAATTAAGACCCATCCTCCAAAACCCTACTGCACTGTTAGAAAACAGATGGCCGTGGCAATACTGTGTTGGAAGGCTGCCTTCAATTATCAGTCTGGTTACTACCAGCAGATGGGTACCGATGTAGCAAAGCCAAATTCAAGAAGAGGGAGAATCTGGCTAGTAGAAAGTACTTGAAAACTTGCTGGCAGCTGCTCCGTTCATGTATATGCGTTCATTTCATCATTAAAATAAGACAGAACCTGTTGTAGTTATTATACTCCCATCTACCGTGTCCTGATCCTGCTTCCCTGCTGCTAAACTGACACTCTATCGAATTAAGATATCAATCAGAACTAAAGGGCAGCTCCAACCGATCTCAAGATTGATAGGCTAACATTCACACTAGTCAGTGTTAAACTTTGCAAAGCACGATCATTAAGGTGCAACAATGTTATTGATTTAAATTAGCATCATTAAATTATGGAACGTATAATGACTGGTTTGTTCTTCAGACTCAGAATAATCACCCCTCAAATGAGATCACAGATGTGAAAGGACAAACATCTTAAAGCACTTTGACAGGGGCAATGTAGCATTATTAGTAGTATTTCCTCCCAAAATTTAACAGTAGCCAGATCTCTGTAATCAATGCTAAGATCAGCTGAATGAGGTCAACATAGAAGAGGAACTAGAATGTAATTACCTGGGTCGACTTAGCATTTTTATTTTGCAAATGAAAAAATATTTTCTTACTCTAAAAAAAAAATTTTTTAATCAAATCAAATGACACCTGCATCTGGAGGCTTGACAAGAAAGCTGGAAAGACACTGTGCAAAACTAGGTGCGTCCCAATAGGAAGGAAGGAAAAAAGAAGAGAGAGAGGGCACCAGGGAAAGATGGGGAATTTTATGTTTATGTGTTTGTTGGTCTCGATCCATGTCTGTCCATAACTGGAGACATTTAAATGAATAGTAAGCTCAATGGAAAGATTAACATGACTTTCTCTATTCTGGCATTAGCTCCGTAAATATTTGTGTCTAACGAAGAAATGTTCAGCCAATCCTGGGACCCAGCAGGCTTATAATGCTATGGCTATGACCAACCCAAGAATTTTAAAAGGCCAGAATTTAGAAAATGAACATCTGAAAATGGATGTGCAAGCTGCCATCCATCAGCAATTAGTTTTCCACGAGGCTACAGCCACTTAAGACTTGATTGGGTATCTCATTATCAACAATGAGTTAAGCATACAAAGATACATTTTCCTAGGCATCTCCTGCATCCTCACATGATTTGCAAAATTGGGTACTATGCTGGAAAAGCACAACAAAAATCCCTATAACCACAAGCCAGCATTAGAGCTTAGCAAGCAATTCCACCCAGATCAACTTCGCTTTAGGAGCAGCAAGGGAGGCATCATTTCCTAGGGCCAGACAAAACAAATTTCAGCTACTGTGTGGCATTTCATGATCCCATCCATGAATATAGCTTAATACGTCCCCTGCTGGGCGAAGCCTATATACTTGGATAAGGGATGGATGCAAAGAATGTGTTTTTCCCTTTCCTCCTCATCTCTCTTGCTTGCCAGAGCCAGCTCCTTAGAGGACCTAGTGTAATACAGATCCCTATGCTTGGAAAGGTCCCCAGGCAAGTGTTCCCTCATCTTGACTGTCAAACGATGGTATTTTATTGCCTAACCCCAATGCTATGGGGCTGGCACTGGATAGTGGACGAGCAGCTTATCTAAACCCTCCATTCACTTTGATACTAAATGTTAACTTTACCCTTGATTGGGCCATTAAATCACATTTCCAGTACTGATAATTTCTCATTGTGAGCAGCATGTTTACTAAACACAGACAAGGAAAATTTCAGTACAACTGTCACATTATTTCGGCATCCAAAACCTATAAGCGTCCTAAATTTGTTAGTGCTTACATATAATTAGACACAGAAAGATACCCAGAGTGACACAGTAATAGAACAGGCAAAATTATAAATATGAGAAATCTCAAGTGCACTGTCCCCTGATCACACTTTCTGTGCCTGTAGGTGACAGCAAACAATGCTAACATCAAAAGGTCATGGCAGTGATGAAGACCAAGGCAATGGGCAGGTGTTGGACTGCAATAACTGACTGAGCACTTATGTGCTGGGCACTGGGCTAAGCACTTTACATACAATATTTAACTTAACCAAGAATACAGCCTTGAAAAGGCAGGAGAATGATTTGTCCCTATATGCAGATGAGGAAAGTCAGACTGAGAAAGGGTAAGCCACTGTCTAAAGGTCACATTGTGGTAGGTGGCAGAAAAGCAACACAATCTCAGATCTCACTCACTCTAAAGCCACTACCATTTTCCCACTAAGTTACACCACCACTCTAACTGGGTTCATCAGTTATCTGGTCCCAATCCCAATGCAAAACACAAGAGCCAGCCAAACTCTTTGAAATCTTGCTATCACCCTCAAAAGATGACACATACATAAACATAACCATAAATTAAGACAAATATTAACTTCATCCCCAGGCCCGGTGCTAGACACTTTCACACAGATGCCCTCATTTGACACAGACATCAATGATATACCAGTGAAATGTGATGCATGCACCTCAGTACAGGCTGGGATTAACTGAGGACAGCGCTACAGCTCACGGACCAGACCTCGTGGGGATGAACAAGTCTTCAGAAACACCTGCAAGACAATGTCCAGCCCACTACTGCGACTTGGCCAAGCAAGCAGTTTTTAAAGTGTTTGGACTCTCTTAACCAGATGATTGCTTTTACAAAATGTTTCCACCAGGCAGCCAGTGGAGTCGCGGGAGAGTTCCTGGCTGAAAGGGAAGCTCACAGAGGGAAGAGTTCGATGCCAGTCTGCCTGTGGAAATGTTAGCAGAAGCATCTGTTGGTTGGTCCCCACTGGCCAAAAGGCAAACATTTGTTTTGCTGAAACAAACACTTCCATTTGAAAACGTTTGCTGATGAAACTATCATCTGATTTGAAGTTTTCTTCCACTTTGTGGCTGGAGCTGCAGCCCCCTATCTCCAGCAGTATTGCCCCTTTGGGGTTAGCTGATTTAACAATCACCTGTCTGCTACTGACAGATGTTCTGATTTTACCATCATGATACACTCTGCAAAGCGGTGGGGATAAATACATTTAGACTTTCCTCACCTGAACAAATAACTGTTCTTTATGGACAAAGTTTTCTTAATCTTTACAGCCTAAAAAGTGATCATAGAACATTTAAAGAATAAACAGAAAAACATTCTTTCCTGTGGGGTTTGATGGAGAAGAAATTTCTACCATTCTTGTGTTGTTCCTCTTCTTAAAATTACAATGTTGATTTATGGCTCTCTTCAAATTGTTTCAGTCTATTAACTGTCACTGAATGGTTCTTAATTAAGCCCTTTAAAATAAAATCCAGGCCACTAAATAAATTCAGAGAGAAGCCAAATTGAAGTATGTATGCATAAAATCCCATCAGGGCATCCATGCCATTCAGGAACCCTCATCCACCACTTTGTGGACAAAACAAAGTCTCCAAAGACACCGTCAACCAGGGCATGCACAGGCTGAACATTAAGGTCAGTGTCCACTTTTGAAGCCAGAGTCATATAATTGACAATTGCTTGATGTTTTTATAAGAATTTTTAATCTAGAAACTCTTTATCTGTCACTACTTTTGTTTATTTAAATCTATGACTTTCCACGTGTTTTTAATATTGAAAGACACAAATGCCAACAGTTAGAAAAGGGATTTAGATGATACTTCCAATTTTGTTTCTTTCCATTTAAAAAATCCCTTCCTTCCTTTCCCATCTTTCCACCTCCCTGGGGGTCTAAAACAATCTTTAAGGAAGGACTACATATTCTTAATACAAGTCATGTTGTAGACACATATTGCTAGATATGCTATAATTGCTAGATGCATATTAGTAATTATATACAGAATAGAGAGTAGAAAAATAAGCAATCATATTCTGTCATGGGTTATATACAGAAAATTCTGTAATACTTACTTCTGGTGAATAGAAAAGAAAAAGGCACACAGTCATGACAAGCAACTGACAAATGGAATAGGAATATTCTTTTCCCCTTGCACTTGGTTCTTACATAAGTGGAGAAAATTCGGCATCCTCCTCCCTTACCTCCATGCTTCTCCTCAGCTCATTCTCCTTGATCTGACTCGCCTGGAACGCCTGTTCAGCTCTGCACAACTTTTGCTTAAACTCTTCCAAATTGTTTTCTAGCTGTTGCTTTACTGATGTGAGCTACAAAAAGAAAAAGAGACCAAGTTTCATTTTCATGTTCTTTACTTTTTCATTAATCATGTATTCTTAAACAATAAAATGGTCATGGAATATCAAAATGGATGCCATCTATTTTGGCTGAGATACAGTATACGTCACAGCTAAATATGTCTTAAAATACCATAATGTGACCTTGCGACGTCACTCAGCGGCTGCATATAGGAGATGAAAGAGGCTGGGTGTGGCAAGGAGACCACACAGGAAAAAGATTTAACCACAAAAAATAAAACAGCTAGGTATTAATAAATAACCAAAAGGAAAATAAGTTGAGATAAGAAACAGGCTAAGAGAACACATTTTCAATATATATAACAGAATAAAAGACAGTATATCTGTAATACAACATATACAGCGCTCTATGATTGAACAAAAGGGCAATGGCTAGAAACAGAAAACTTTATACAAAAAATACAAATGGCTATTGAAAGAGATAGCTTCAATGGTAATCAAGGAAGTGTGAATTAAAACAATGATATGACAGTATTTTTCACTCCTTGATTAGCAACAATTTTAAAAACCGAGACTACCTCCAATTAGCAAGGATGAGAGGAAACAGGCCCTCTCTTGTACCTGGTAGGAGAGTAACTGCTACAGCTTTTATGGAGGGCAATTTGGCAGTAACTGTCAAATGTTAGGATGCTGCCCAGGCAGGGCGGCTCATGCCTGTAATCCCAGCACTTTGGGAGGTCAAGGTGGGCAGATCACCTGAGGTTAGGAGTTTGAGGCCAGCCTGGCCAACCTGGTGAAACCTCGTCTCTACTAAAAATACAAAAATCAGCCAGGCGTGGTGGCAGGCGCCTGTAATCCCAGCCACTCGGGAGGCTGAGGCAGGAGAATCACTCAAACCCGGGAGGATGAGGTTGCAGTGAGCCGAGATCGTGCCACTGCACTCCAGCCTGGGTGACAGAGGGAGACTCCGTCTCAAAAAACAAAACAAAACAAACAAACAAACAAACAAAACACACAAATATTGGGATGCATATGTTCTTTAGGCTATAAATTTCACATGCAGAAATCTGACCTATAGAAACATCAGCACACATACACAAAGATACCTGCCCCGTGATATTACAAACAGTGCCACAGGGAACAAGAAAATGTTGATAACCTAAGTATCCATCAGTAGAGGCAGCAGATTCAAGTGTAAGAGAAAAAGAAGAATAGAAGTGACATGGAGGTTTTGGTCCCAGCAATGCGGGGAATGGAAGTGCAAGTTAGCAGGGTAAGGAAGACTAAGGGAGGAACAGTTTTGAAAAAGAAAAATACCTAGAGTTCAATTCTTAGCATGTTACTATGAAGTGCCTTTAGACATGTGAGTGGACTGTCAAGCACACATCCACACACCTGAAGTCTAGAATAGACATCCAGGCTGGGTAGAGTCATCATCACATAGATGATATGTAAAGCCACAAAACTGGATGAGACCACTTTGGGAGTGAGTCTTAAATAAGTAAAGTGATTATAATTTTCAGTGCTTTAACTACTTGGGGGCATAAATTACTTGGGACAGCTCCCACCTGGTCATGGAACCAAGAACCAACAGATTATGAGAGAGCTCCACAGACTTTCGGATCTGAAATCCTAACTCACCCCCACTGTTTCTCTAGATGAGGAAACCTAGAGCCAGAATGGTTCTGTACATTCTCCACTTTGATAGGGAAAGTGAAGGTGGAGCGCTTTTTCTTTGAAAGTATCATATGTCAGTTATGGTAGAGAAGTAACAAGTACAAGGAACAAGAGGGGATGATTAAGGAGAGAGAGAGAGACACGGCCCCTACTTTATCCAGTTCAGCCTGCAGGACGTTGTGCATATTCTTGGCTTGCTGTAACTCCTGGGTGAGTCTGGCCTTCATCTGGATGCACTCCTGGTCCAGTGTTTGGAAAGAACGCTGTTGACGGGAGAGCTCCTGAAAAACAAAGGGCAGGTGCATCAGCCTGATGATGGTTCGCTAGGGAGACTCCAGGGTGAGGCATGAGCATCCTAACAGGCGACTGCACAGAGAGCACAGGAGACAGCAGGGAGCTGAGCCAACTGTCCACTTAACGATGAACATAGTCAGCCTTGGTGCTCCATGCTGCCCTCAGGCATCAAATCCAGGTCTCTGAGGGAAAGGGGAAGGACTCTTATCAGTTGACCACATGGAAAGTAGCCTGTTTCCACCTCATCTTCAGTCTTAAATTAATTACCTCTACTTTGAAGGATCAGGGGCAAGAGAGAAGAACTGAGCTACAACAGTCAAAGCTCAACTAAGAAACCAAACATACTCAAAAACGGTGTTTAAAACACAAAAAACTGTATACCACTTTAAATGGGCTTAAATGTAGAAGGACAGGAAATATATGCTACCCATTAACTTTAATAACCACAGAAAGATATCAGCTAACATTTCCAGGCATTCTTATTTAAAATCTATAGACTCTTAATCCGTATGGTACTTTTTCAGGCTAAATCACCTGAAAGAACCAAATTGGCAGATACTTATGGAAGGGCACCTTCCACCCTCACTCTTCTGCCAACCACTTTCCCCACCACATCAACTACCCTCCTAATTTATTTACCAACCCACAGGTTTAAAAACAACTGGAGTTGGCCAGGCATGGTGGCTCATGCCTGTAATCCCAGCACTTTGGGAGGCCAAGGTGGGTGAATCACCTGAGGTCAGGAGTTCGAGACCAGCCTAGCCAACATGGCAAAACCCCATCTCTACTAAAAATACAAAAATTAGCCAGGTGTGGTGGTGCATGCCTGTAATCCCAGCTCCTCGGGAGGCTGAGGCAGGAGAATTGCTGGAACCTGGGAGGTGGAGGTTGCAGGGAGCCAAGATTGTGCCATTGCACTCCAGCCTGGGTAACACTGCGAGACTCTGTCTCAAAAAAAAAAATACTGGAGTTATAAAGGAAATAGAGTGAAAGAAAAAAAAATTTTAAAAGCCTACTGGAAAATGTAATACAATTTCCTCCACAGCAGAGAAAATGTCCAAAAGAAGAAAAGTGATCCTTTCCTACTGAATATCAAATCTCAAACAAATCAGAAAACATGGATGAATTCTGAATACTAATTCCCTTCTCTAATCAAAAACTGAAAGATTTAAAAAAAGCGCAAAAGTGAAGATGTGAAAGAAAATAAGATGACCTTTAGCTCACAAAGCATTTCTCCTCTAAGAGAATTTCCCAAATTGTGATAACAACTCCCCTTTCCAAGTGATCAAACTATGAAAAGCCCATAAAAAGCCTTTCAGACAAACACCTCATGAATCCATTTACCTTACCTCTTGAAACTCCTTTTCTTTTTCCTTAATTTTCTGTTCCAGAGAACATCTGGCACTTTCTGCATTTTGTCGCTGACAACTCAAATCTTCCGTCAATTTTTTCAGTTTTTGTTCCAATGCAGTATACTAATAATGAATAAAAATGTTCAAGACAAAATAAATATTACTCACATAAATGAACAAATATTTTGTGTTTTAGAAAAACTGCTATAATTGTTTTAGCACACAATTTATGTTTAGGAACTATTAGCAAGGATGTAAAGCATTAGCCCACTTAAATAAATACTTCCTAATTTGTGCCATGAAAAAAAAGATCGGCATGTCTAACGATTCATCTAACATTTTGTTGCATGGAAATGAGAGGTTAAAATGCAATGGTGTTAGCCTATGTAATTTAAAAGCTGTAAAATCATCAGAGGGTGCCCATTACCCTCATATGATAGTCTGTTTCAAGCATAATGGATTTTGTGGGAAATTTTAAATATTAAAATGCTTCTTTCCACAATGTTCCAAATGCTGAGGCAACATGGTGAAACGCCGTCTCTACTAAAATACAAAAATTAGCCGGGTGTGGTGGCGCTTGCCTGTAAATCCCAGTTACTGGGGAGACTGAGGCAGGAGAATTGCTTAAATCCAGGAGGCAGGGGTTGCAGTGAGCCAAGATCGTGCCACTGCACTCCAGCCTGGGCAATTAGAGCGAGATTCTGTCTCAAAACAAAACAAAACAAAACAAAAAGTCACTGCTCAAATGATGGTTCAAAGTTTAACAAATCTCAGGAAAAAAAAAAAACCTTGCACCACAGAGTAAATGAAATGAACCCGTGGCGCCCTCTACTGGCACTCCTTCAAACTGCAATACAGTCCACTAAAAGGGTCCTGGAATCAAGAATCCTTTTCTACTAAACACAGAAGGTTACAAGAGTCTTTAGAAGGTACTTACATTTTATTTAAAAAATTTTAAACAACATTCTATTATCAGTGATACCTAATTCATATAAGAGTATATGACCACTAGGTGTCATGAATGCTCCATAATACTCTAAAACAGTGCCCAGAGCTCAAGTCCTTGAAAATATGTAGCACAACATGACCCTGGGCACTCACTCCGGACCTTTTTATCTGTGAACTGTGGGTGCTGAACTCCAGGTCTGCTGCCAGCTCAACACTCTGTTTCTCCATGAATTCAAGCCTTGTATCTCACAACTTGTAAATACTTGGAAAAGACACTCTACAAACAGCATATGTTCACTTAAGAACACGGTATTGATTTTTGTTACAGTAATTCCATTTCATTTAATAGATAAGTCTAATGTTAGATCTGGAACCAGCATAAACATAGCATAATTTTATTTCAGTTACACATTTGACAAGGACATACTATCCTTAGGGACAAGACAGAAAAGAGTAGACTGAATTTTCAGTTAAATGGATTTCTAGCTCAAAGGAAAAAAAGAACCCAAAAAGCACAGAACAAACAAGTATTAAGAACCTGGAGGGGCCGGGTGCAGTGGCTCACGCCTGTAATCCCAGCACTTTGGGAGGCCAAGTTGGGCGGATCACCTGAGGTCAGGAGTTTGAGACCAGCCTGGCCAACATGGTGAAACCCTGTCTCTACTAAAAATACAAAAAAATTAGCTGGGCATGGTGGCATGCGCCTGTAATCCCAGCTACCCAGGAGGCTGAGACAGGAGAATCACTTGAACCCAGGAGGCGGAGGTTGCAGTGAGCCAAGATTGCACCATTGCACTCAAGCCTGGGCAGCAAGAGTGAAACTCCATCTCAAAAAAAAAAAAAAAAAAAAAGAGCCTGAGGGGGTTGGGTGCGATGTCTCACACCTGTAATCCCAGCACTTTGGGAGACTGAGGGGGGCAAACTGCTCGAGCCTAGGAGTTCAATACCAACTTGGGCAACATGGTGAACCTCGTCTCTGCTAAAAATACAAAAATTAGCCAGGTGTGGTGGTGGGCGCCTATAGCCTCAGCTACTAGGGAGGCTGAGGTGGAAGGAGCCCAGAAGTGGAGGTTGCAGTGAGCCAGGATCACTTCACTGCACTCCAGCCTGGATGACAGAGTGAGACCCTGTCTCAAAACAAAAACAAGAACCTGGAGGGAAGACTCTAATAGAAAACCAGAGCTGTATTCTCAGCAGTATCCTAGTCAAAAATATTAATTCACGATTTTATGTGAAGAAACTTCATTATATGTGTCAGACAGAACAAGGATTTGGTGAACTTGTCACTCCAAAACCAAATAAGTAAAGTGTAAAAGGAGAAATGTAATTCTTACATACAGGAAGGCCTAGCTTGGCAGAAATGCAACTGAAAATTAGCTTAATTAACTAGGAACTTGAAAATAAGCCATGATAATAACAGCTAATATTATTATAAGTTCACCATGTGCCAGGAACTATGCTAAAGCCTTTACAAAAATTATCTCAATCTTTACAACAACCCTATGACACAGGCATTATTAACACAATTTTACTGATTAGACAACTGGGGCTCAGAAGTTCATTAAATAACTCAAAAAGCAATAAAACTGAGATGTGGCAGAGCCAGGTTCAAATCCAAGTCCTTCTAACTTAAAAGACCAAATTACTATTACGTAGTGAGACTGCATGAGGATATTAAATGCATGGATCAAAGGAGGTCATAGTTCCACTGAAGCACCATTGTTCCTTTATATATCTAATCAATCTTTTTCCAGAATTTCTCTGTATAAGGCACTGCACTAGGAGAATATATAAAAATGAACCTGATTTTTACTTCCAGGAAGATGGAATAATCACACTTTTCCCTATTCCTCCTAACTAGAACAAATAAAAACCCTGGACATTATAGTAAAACAAACAAGTTTGAAAGGTGGAGAGAAGAAGGCAGACTGACTAAGGAGCTGAGGACCTGAAGAAAAACACTATGGCACTGGGAAAAAAGGACTGTCAACACAGAATCCTATACCCAACAGAATATCCTTCAGGAATGAAAAGAAAATCAAGACATTCTCAAATAAAGGAAAACTAAGGATCTGTGGCCAACAGACTTACCCTAAAAGAAGGGCTAAAGGAAGTTCTCTAAACAGAAAGGAAATAAAGGAAACTGGAAGGAAATCTAGGAGGGAAGGAAGAACAGGCTTAGCAATGATTTTATATATATATACACACACACGTATATATAAACATACACACACAAATATAATAGGCTTTCCTTCTCTTCCTCAGCTTTTTAAAATATGTTTAAGAGTTGAAGCAAAATGTAGTTCTAAATGTATGTACAGAAAACATTTAAGACAATTCTATTATAAATGAGGGAGGGTAAAAAGACGAAAAGGGAGAAAACAGTCTGTAAAATTCACTAGAACTAGTGAAATGAAGACACCAACAGACTGTGATAAAATGTGTATAAATAATGTAATATCTAGAACAATCACTAGAAGCTCTACAAAGAGATTCACTGAAAAATATATAGACAAATCAAAATGGATTTTTAAAAAATGTTCAAACAACCCGCAAAGGCAGGAAAAAAAAAGAAAACAAATGAAAAAGCAGAAAGAAATGGAAAACAAAAAATAAAATGGCAGACTTAGGTCACAATATATCAATAATCACATTAAGTATAAATAGCCTAAATATACCCATTAAAAGATAGACAGTGGAGGACAGGTGCAGTGGCTCACGTCTGTAATCCCAACACTTTGGAAGGCTGAGGCGGGTGGATTACCTGAGGTCAGGAGTTCAAGACCAGCCTGGCCAACATGGTGAAACCCCGTCTCTACTAAAAATACAAAAATTAGCCGGGCATGGTCGTGGGTGCCTGTAGTCCCAGCTACTCCTATTCAGGAGGATGAGGCAGGAGAATCACTTGAACCTGGGAGGCAGAGATTGCAGTGAGCTGAGATCACGCCTCTGCACTCCAGCCTGGGTGACAGAGCCAGACTCCGTCTCAAAAAAAAAGACAGATAGTGAAAGAGTATATTGAAAAACATGGCCCAATTATATGTTGTCTACACGAAAGTCGCCTCAATATAACAAAATAGGTTGAAAGTAAAGAGGAAGAAATACATCATGCTAACAATCAAAGGAAAGCTGGAGTGGCTATATTAATAACAGACAAAGTAGACTTCAGAATAAAGAAAATTACCATGGACACTAAATAGTGATAAAAGGGTCAATCCACCAAGACACAGCAATCCCAAATGTATATGCCTTCACCAACAGAGCTGCAAAATATGTGAAGCAAAAACTGGAAGAAATCAAAGGAGAAACAGACAAATCACAGTTATAGGTGGGGACTCCAACATTCTCTCTCAACAATGAATTGAACAACTAAACAGAAAATCAGCAAGTATATTAACAAACTCAACAACATCATCAACCAACAGGTCCTAATGACATTTTTTTGAGCAATATAAACCTAAAGCAAGCAGCAATCAATGAAATTGAAAACAGAGAAAAAAAAAAATCAATGAACCAATGGGCTGATTATTTAGAAAGATTAGTAAAGATCAACAAAACTGACAAATCTCTAGCAAGACTGACACAGAGATAGAGAGAAGACACAAATTACCAACATCAGAAATGAACAAGGAATATCACTACAAATATCAAAAGAATAAGAGAATGCAGTGAATAACTCTATATACATAAAGTTGACAACTTAGATGAAAATACAAACTATCCTAATTCCCCCAATATGAAATGGATAATTTTAATAGTTCTATAACTATTTTAAAAATTGAATTTGTAATTTTAAAACTCCCAGAAAAGAAATCTCCAGATTCAAATGATTTCACTAGAGAATTCTACTTAATATATAAAGAAAGAAAAAAAAATTCTACACAGTCTCTTTCAGACAACTGAAGAGGAAGGAATACTCTCTAATTTGTGAAACTAGGATACCCTGATACAAATATCAAACAAAGATGGCAGGGGAAAAAAAGAAAGCCAACCAATATCCTTTATGAATACAGACACAAAAAATCCTTAATAAGTCATTAGCAAAAAAAAATTCAGAAATATATTTTTTAAATTATACACTGTAAGAAATTAGGGTTTATTCCAAATATGCAAGGCTCATTCAAATGTGTGAAAATCAATCAGTGCAACCCACCACATTAACAAGCTATTATTTTGTACAACTGCATATGAATCTACGATTATCTTAAAATAAAAGTTTTAAGTAAACAAATGAAAGAACCTGCCCCAAGAAAGCAAATAATAGAAGTATGTCTACTACAATGGTTTTTACCTAAAGCCTCAGAAATATCTAAAGAGTTTATTAAAAGTCAAATAATTCATTTTTCTCTACAATACTTATTACCATATACCATACTATCTATGTTACTTTATTTTTGTTATTTTCTGCCTCCCTCTATTAAGATGAAGCTCCACAAAGCAATGATTTTTGTTGGTTTATCACTGTTCCAGCCCCAGGTCTGGAGATTTTTGTCTATTTATCACTGTTCCAGCCCCAGGTCTGGAACAGTGCCTAATATATAGCAGGCACAAATATCAATACATGCTTGTGAAATGAGTCAGTAAATGAATGAGTAATAGAAAAAAGAGAAGAAAAGCCTGGCTAGAGAGGTAGGCTGGGACCAAAGCAACAACAAGAACAACAACAACAACAACAAAATAACAGGCTAAGAAGCTTGGCCTCCGTTGGAGTCTTAAGAAGATTCAGTGGTGGGTGTACAGTCATCCCTCAGTATCCATGAAGGACTGGTTCCAGGACTCCTTGCAGATACCAAAATCTGAGGATGATCAAGTCCCTGATATAAAATGGTATAGTGTTTGCACATAACCTATGCACATCCTCCCACACACTTTAAATCATCTCTAGATTACTTATAATACCTAATACTATGTATATGCTATGTAAAATATTTGTAATAATGTATTTGTTTAGGAAATAATGACAAGGAAAAAAAGGTCTGTATATGATCAGTACAGACAAAGCCATTCTTTGAGACAGAATCTCACCCTGTCACCCAAGCTGGAGTGCAGTGGCACAATCTCTGCTCACTGCAACCTTTGCCTTCCAGGTTTAAACAATTCTTGTGCCTCAGACTCCCGAGTAGCTGGGATTACAGGTGTGCACCACCACACCTGGCTAATTTTTGTACCTGTAGTAGAGACAAGGTTTTGTCATGTGGGCTAGCTGGTCTTGATCTCCTAGCCTCAAGTGATCCGCGTGTCTCAACCTCCCAAAGTGTGGGGATTCGGGTGTAAACCACAGGTGCCCGGCCTTTTTCTTTTTCCCCCTAAATACTTACGATCCATAGTTGGTTGAATCCATGAATGCAGAACTCATGGGTACAATGGACCAACTATATATACGATCTTTTTTCCCCCTAAATACTTACGATCCATAGTTGGTTGAATCCATGAATGCAGAACTCATGGGTACAATGGACCAACTATATATACGATCTTTTTTCCCCCTAAATACTTACGATCCATAGTTGGTTGAATCCATGAATGCAGAACTCATGGGTACAATGGACCAACTATATATACGATCCCAAGAGCAGATTAATTAAATCCTATCAAATGTCCTAAAACTCCTTTAAAGTGCCATTAAGTGCCTATTTTAATGTGGCACACATCATGCTAGATGCTATATATACATTTTCTTTATTCTCTATTACCCCCTGCAACATAAAAGAGATCAGTGACTTGCCCAACGTCACTCAGCTGGGAAAGTACGGCACCAGGCTTGATCCCGGATCTGCCCAACTTAAAACAGCTTTCTAGTTCAGTTGCATCAAGAGTACCTAATATATATTAACAAAGAACATTACTGACATTTCATAAACTTATGTATAAAATACTCTTTCTAAATAATTGTATGAAAAGATGAAGATTTCTCCAGTAATTCACGAAAAGTCAAGTACCTTGGTTGACGCCTGGTCGTATTGTGCTGTTGTTCTCACTAGTTCATCCCTACATTTGTTCAAAACTTTCTCTTTTTCAATTAATTCCACTTTTGCTTTCTCCAGTTGGAGTTGGAGTTCTTGAAACTTATTCACTTGGCCTTTCATTTCTTTTTCATGTCCTTGCAGGCGTAGTTCCAACTCATTAATCTTGTTTCTTAGCTCTTGAACCACAAACAAAAATCACACTCCAATTCATATATATCTTTCCCAAAATGTTCATAACTTATCATTTGTTTTATTCTTTTCTGAAATCTTTGACGAAACAAATATTTACACTAAATACAGAAGCTACTTTAATTGGATTTAATTTCAATAGTTAGTTTCTATTGTCATTTGCATTCAAATACTCTATAGAAAGCAGGAGAAACAGATTTTCTTACATTTTAACAAAGAAACTTGGTGGGGGGAATGCTTTTCTAAAATCAGGAACGCTATCTTCTTATTGAGACTGTGAAAAGTACATCACATATGACACCCTTTGTTAAAATTACCATTTAGTTTTACACAACAGCAAACTATATTTGTTTTTTGCCCATATCAATGCAAATCAGTGCTAAGCAGTGAAAAGTTCACCCTCCTATATTCTCTGGTAGTTTTACCTCCAGTAAACATCAAGACAGTGTGAACCTCCCATACTGCCAAAATTAACAATGATTTTTTTTCCACTTTTTTCCCACATACGCACAACATTGGTTCCAATGGCATTGGCTAGGTGACAGCTCTCACCAGTGAACACTGACAGTGATTTTCAATATATCACAGCACTGGAAATTATCATCTTCTACAGAGTAGATTCCAAAACACCACCTGGTACCCTTGGCTGTCAGCTGCAGCGTGGCACAGCAGCCAAGGTTACAGGTTTGCTCCCATATGGACAACCTGGCAGGGCACAGCAAAGCTGTTCTGCAGACACACACACAACCTCTGGCCAAAGCTGGTCAGACCACAGCCTGGTTCTGTGGGTCACAAAAGGAGCCAGATGAGAAGCATGGGGAGTGTAAACTGTAACCAACCCACTCGCCCTGCATCTGGAAAGATAAATCAAAGCCTCTCAACGTACTTTAGAGGCTTCCAGGCACCAGCTTTTCAATACAAATAAAACTACATTCCAACACTATGATGCCTTTTATCATTATTGAAAAGACAGTATATTTCACATAACCAGTCTAGGATGTTGAACACCGATGTGCCTAACAAAACACATAAGCACTTTATGGGATTAAAAATATCTGAAATCACCTGTGAAATTACCTCAAGCAAAGTGAATTTAAACTTAACTTAGCTCAATGTTACCTTGATTCTGCGCTTTTAATTGATCCAAAAGATGAGGACTGCTAGAATTGTCAAAGAAACTGCTATTAGCATCTCTTTTCCCTATTTGCAAAGTTGATCGACTTGGAGTCACCTCTTGTTCCCCAGAAAAGTAAGATGCAGAGAAATCTCTCCTAATTGGAGTTCTTTGAGAATTAGATGAAAGATGACTTGGGGTCTTCTCTTGCTGCCATGAGAACACAGATGATGAAGCCTGATGCCGGGCAATGTCGCGGTGATTCATGGTGGCTTGTGGAAGAGTCTGGCTTGCTTTCTGTAGAAACAGAATCTCTTTAGAGGCCTTTAAAGATCTTATATACTCAAGGCTATTTATTTTCAGATAGAATATAAAGCCATAATCCCAAGAAGTTAACAGTTGCACTGCATACCAACAAAGAACATTCATCAAGTCAAGTAAACCATAAGTCTAATACCCAGTGATGGAATGTTCTAATGCTCGACTTCTTAGCATTGAAGGAATAAGCTACTACCATCTCATGCCCAATCTATTCAAAATAGGCTAAGTCTTAGTATTTATTCTGCATCCTTCTTAGAACCCATTAAACATATGTGAGTATTCACTTTCATTCTGAATTCCAAAACTGGCTTTTCTTTGCCTGTCCTTGGTTACCTCCCCCTATAGCTTTGCCCAAGAGAATCAAAGTTAAACATCACACTAAAGAACTCTTTCAAAAATCTCACATTCCACCATATCACTATCCCAAAAAAAGTCACATCGAGTGTTTAATAGTATATAATATACATTTGTGGATGATCTACCGCTTTGCATTGTTCTTTCTATGCTTCTCTCTGCCTCCATTCTGACAAATATCAAGACATGGAGGTGAATGCAGCATTAGATTTTTACAGCAAGCACTTTTTTTTGCCATAGGAAGAGGGTTAATGTTTACTAGAGACTCAAATTTTCCATAAAACATCTCTAGGAATCAATGTCAAGAGAAGAATTGATACAAATGACTGAACTGGATGACAAAGCACATGATATTTCTAGGACAAACTAGAGAATGAGTACTTAATTTTTATTCATCTTGATAAGCAATGCCTTTGCTACATATCAGAATCCTAATGACATCAAAATGAGGGTTAAAGTCATGAAAAGAATAAAAATTGTTAAAGCTCTAAGCCAGAGGTACTTCTGCATTCTCAGCATTTAAGGTACCTACTTATAAATTCAGCCTTAAATGGCTTGCTGAATTGTGCCATCTCATCAAGTCCTTATGTTTAGTGGAAAGCCACCAGTAAGTGCCAAACTGGAAACTGTTTTCAGCAAATAACACGTGAACAAAAATGGTAGAGGTAAAATTCAATAGATCAAAAGGACTATATAGGAAGCAACTGCCTCCAGGTGATAAAGCCAGGCAGGGAGCATCACGACTAATTCTCTGGCCCCACTGTCTCCAAGAATAGCCCTGATCGCTAGGTCTTAATAGGGAAATAATTAAGTGTACATTATATGAACATTTAATATTTAGGGATAAACTAACCTCCCCACTCTATTTTATTCATTCCACCCTATTTTTAAAACTAAAAAATAATCACCTCCACTGAGCCCAAAACCTTTTCTCAGCACACACACACACAAAAAGGCCAGCTCTATGTAAAACAGATTTTTCTCTAACCTTGTTCTATTCTATATCAAAGTATTCTATAACTGCATACTCTATTATAGGGCCCATAATTAACTTACTTTAGCCTGCAAGGCTTTAACCTCTGCCTCTAATCTTTTTCGTTCTTCAACCTCTTTATTATATTTTTCTTTTAGATCTTCATACTTGGAACCTAGAAACAGACAATCAAATACAGTTTTCTTTCAGTCATTGATTCCATGAAGGAATTCACAGATCAACAACGATTTTGATAGTCTAGAAATGAGTATCTTAGTAGAAACAACATTTTGGTTAGGGAAATAGATCAAACTATTGATCAAATTACTCAAATATCAAAACACATAAAAACATAAGTGTTTTAAATATTCTGAAATTGAATTTCTTTGAAAATATGCCACAGAAGGATAAAGTAAAAAGCTTAAAAGCTCAATCCAGTAGCTCAACATAATTCAACAGATATGCAAATGGATATGTAACAAGTGGCTGCAGTTTTTAAACATATACATTAAAAGTTTAATTCAAAGTTGAATTAATTCATTTATTTTGCAGAATTAAAATCTCAAGCTAAACAAAAAGCTGTCTATACCAAGGAAGAAAATGCATTACCACTATAATATTGACTTGGTGTTAGTGGAGTTGTAAAAATTTTTTGTGGTGTATTGCATGGATTCAGAGAGACATCTGCAGACTGCGCAGCTTGTTGGCTTCTTTCAAGCTCAGATTTACACCTGTTAGAAAAGGACCCAAGAGGCAGACAAATCAGTTAGAGCAAAGGCTACAGAATATCAATGCCTTACATTCCCAGAGAGTAATAAACTTACAAAGAAACCCATCCACTAAGAATTCTTAACCATTTCATTTATCCAACAGGCATTTCATAAGGTCTAACTTATGTGCCAGACATAAACCCAGTCCTGTGTCTTCAAAGGAACTCAGTCTAGTAAAAGAAACAGAAACATAAACCAGTAAGTACAATGTTATAAAGGCTATAAGGAAGATCTATAATAACCACTATGACAGTGATATGGTTTGGCTGTGTTCCCACCCAAATCTCATCTTGAATTGTAGTTCCCATAATCCCCATGTGTGGTGGGGTGGTGGGGACCCGGTGAGAGGTGATTGAATCATGGGGGCAGTTTTCCCATGCTATTCTCGTGATAGTGCGTTCTCACAAGATCTGATGGTTTTATAAGGGGCTTCCTCCTATGCTTGGTTCTCATTCTTCTCCTTCCTGCCACCATGCGAAGAAGGGTGTGTTTGCTTCCCCTTCCGCTATGATTGTAAGTTTCCCAGCGGAAAAGAAAAGCCCTGTGGAACTGTGAGTCAATTAAACCTCTTTCCTTTGTAATTTACCCAGGCTCAGGCAGTTCTTTATAGCAGTTTGAGAACAGACTAATACAGACAGCAAAGAAGAGTTGGAGGATTGGAATATATTCCAAGCAAATTTCATATTCTAAGCCAAAGACAGAGACATAAAAGAACCTAGAACTTCAGAAACATGGGAAGAAAGTGGTGTCATTGAAGCATGGGCTCAAATCGTGAGAATAGATGACATTACTTAGGTTAGTCAGTTATTTCAAAAACATAGACTTGATATACAGATCATATATTATATGACATTTTTAAAACACAGATATAAAAATTAAATCAATATAATGCATCTAGAAAAGATATGGCTGGAAATAGTTACAAGAAATGGGAAACATAAGTTACATATTGTATATATGTACACCCTGTATAAAGGTATTCAGAACTATCATGCAAGTAAGCTCTGAACACCTTTCAAAACCAAAAAACCCACATTAAAAGAGGGCTCAATTCTTCCAACTCTCTTATGTCTCTGACTTCAGTTTAACATAAAAAATAAAATGAAAGCTCTTTTAGAATGGCTAATGGTGTGCACCAGTCTCTTTGCCGTGACATATTACTTAAAACAGGAAGTAAAGAAAGTAATGCCGGGCCCAGTGGCTCATGCCTGTAATCCCAGCACTTTGGGAGACCAAGGCGGGCAGATAACCTGAGGTCAGGAGTTCGAGATCAGCCTGGCCAACTTGGCGAAAACCTCTCTCTACTAAAAATACAAAAATTAGCCAGGCATGGTGGTGTGCACCTGTAGCCCCAGCTGGGAGGCTAAGGCAGGAGAATCACTTGAACCCAGGAGGCGGAGGTTGCAGTGAGCTGAAACTGTGCCACAGCACTGCACTCCAGCCTGGGCAACAGAGCAAGACTTTGTCAAAAAGAAAAAAAGAAAAAGAAAAAGAAGAAAGAAAGAAAGAGAAAGAGAAAGAAAGAAAGAAAGAGAGAAAGAGAGAGAGGGAGGGAGGGAGGGAGGGAAGGAGGGAAGGAAGGAAGGGAGGGAGGGAGGGTGGAAAGAAAGAAGAAAGAAAGAAAGAAAGAAAGAAAGAAAGAAAGAAAGAAAGAAAGAAAGAAAGAAAGAAAGAAAGAAAGAAAGAAAGAAAGAAAGAGGAAGGAAGGAAAGAAGGAAGGAAGGAAAGAAAGAAACAAAGAAAGAAAGAAAGCCCTTAGCTCCATTTAGCTCCAAATTTAATCTGAGAAGAGGCAATGTATGAGCTAAAAATGACTTCTCAGCAAATCAAACCACCACATCTGAGCTTACAGTAGGAAACAGCAAGGTCCAATGGAAATGTTCCACTAGTATTTAAAAAGCACCGAGAAATAAGTAAAATTAATATTTAATTTAACTTGCTATTTTCAAGATACTCTCATTTCAACTTGTAATTAATAGGAAAGTTACTAATAAAATATTTTACATTTTTTCATACTAAATTTTCAGAATTTGGCATCCATCATACACTACAGCTCATCTCAATTTGCACCAGCCACATTTGAAGTACATCATAATTGCCACTTGTAGCCAGTGACTACCATATTGGACGTTGCAGGTCTACAGATTAGCAAAGATGTCACAAATCTGCTGATTCGAGGTGAATTTTGAAGAATCTTGCAAAACCAGTGTTTCTTTTCCACTTTAAATTCGTATCTTATTCTCTTTTCCCTATCCTTTCATTTTAAACAAAGTTATTTATTACTTAAACAAAAGTATACCCTGCTATTATTTTCATAAACCATTTTTTCTTCTTCCCCCTAAGAAGAAAAACACAAACACCATCATCAAAAAAGCACTACAAAGCTAAAAGCATCTTCTACTAGGTTGAACTATATGAGATTGCCAATCTCCACAGTTTTAACAAACATTCCAAACGGTTCAACCTCACTTGTTGGAGACCTTCCAGAAACCTAATCAGTGACAACTGATGGAAAAAATAAGTTTCTGCAATGCATTTGGAAGTTAGCAGTGTAAATTTTAAAACCATATTCAGTAGTTTTTGTAGTCTACTAGATAAGAAGAATATTTTAAAACCAAATGTGCTATAAGGATATGGCACGAACTCGGCTCACTGCAACTTCCACCTCCCAGGTTCAAGCGATTCTCCTGCCTCAGCCTCCTGAGTAGCTGAGATTAGAGGTGCCCGCCACTACACCTCGCTAATTTTTGTATTTTTAGTAGAGAGGGGGTTTCACCATGTTGGCCATGCTGGTCTCAAACTCCTGACCTCAGGTAATCCACTTGCCTCGGCCTCCTAAAGTGCTGGGATTACAGGCATGAGCCACCTAGCCCAGCCAAAAGGAAACATTTTTTAAATTATCACACAACCTTGCAGATTGGGCCTGCTTATATTCTGTCTCCAATCTCAACTGGGCCCTCCATGCTATTCCGTCCTTTTATAATTCCCTAGTTCTCCCTCTCATTCTCTACAGCAGCTTTTCCACCCAGAGAAAACACGAGCCATCAGTATGCTTCAACTAATTTCCATCTTTTCGGTAACAGCTGTCGATAGTTTTATTTTAACAAGTACTATCATACTATCAAATAATGCTATGTAACTAGTATTATCATACTATCAATTTGATAGTATGATAGTACTATTTATTATTGTATTACTCAGTGACCAATAGTGTCTGAATCATGGTACAGCTTAATAAACATATACTGAATGAATACATGAGTAATGCAGCAAACATTTGATAAATTTATATCGTACTGAGCTATGCAATGATAAAACCAAATCACTGTTTGTTTGTTTTTAATCTTCCACTCTTTCAAGTTACGGTACAGAGACCGAATCATTACTTATTCTACCAGGAAAAAAAATTGCAAAGTATAATAATTATATTGTTAAAGGAAAAGACAAACGCATCTGATTAATACATACAAATATCATCCCTATAAATACCATCCCAAAATATTACCTTTTAAGTTCCTGTTCCAGTTTTTCTATTTGTTTTTTGCCTGAATTCAGTTGTCCTTCCTGGAAATTCACTTGTGACTCCTTGACTTGAAGTTCATGAGAAATCTTCTGCTTAGTTTTCTCCAGACTTTCACATATTTCCATCAATCTTTGATTCTCCCTTTTCAGGTTTGTACCCTCGGTTTTTTCATTTTCAACCTAATGAGAATTGTTCAGAAGACAATAACTCCCTTATTTTGTGAATTTACCAAGTATTATTGGTAAACCTGAGTCTAACATTGACTACTAAATTCCTGAGATACAGCTGCAATAAGCCATATGAACACAGAAATTTTAGATGATCACACTTTGAAGCCAATAGATAGGAAACTTCTTTGAAGCCATGTAGTATATCATCTTTGGCCAGACACACCCATCCTAGAAAGGGAGTCTTTACTATCCTTTCAAAAATTAAAAAATAGGAAATAAATCCTATAAATCTCCCTTAACAATTCATTTTCAAGTTTGGCTGCTAAAACCAGTTATTGTTAGAAACCAGAAAATTCTCCCACAAGCAAAATCCTTTTAGAAGCAATGACTGTATCACTATTTAGTTGGCTAATAGAGAGGTAATTTTTAAAAAGTACTGTTTAGTTTTCATTTTCTAGACCTGAAAAGGTTGAGGAATACCAAGGTAAAAAGCCCAGTCTAAGAAAGCCACAACCATTTAACTGCAAAATGCTCTAATACTGTCCCCAGATTAGGAGCAGACACCTTTTGCCTTGTTGCTATGCAGTGCAAAAGCAATCTCCAATTCATGGTCCCACATGGAAGTTGAAATGGAACTCAATAGCCCTAAATATTAGCAGGTAAGCAGAAATGAGGACAGAAATGGGGAAAATTAAAAGCAATTAAAATAAAAATGACTCAAAAAAAAAAAAAGAAGGGGATTGGGGCCTGGGGTGGGGGTGGGGGAGGGGAGAGGAATTACCACCTGAAGACAGCAAAATCATTTTTCTCTAAATGTAAAGAAGATGAAATAATTAATCCAAAAATGAGTGAACAGTTTTAAATACCAGCACTTCTCTGTCAATAATGAGTGAACAGCTACAAATACCAGAGCTTCAGGGGTACCTTCTGTTTTTGCTTCTGCAGCGCAGCCTCGAGACTGTCAAGCTGAAACTGCCTTTGCTGCTTTTCCTTCTTCAGTTTGTCAAGCTGTCCTTCAAGCTCTTGAATTTTCTGAAGAGCTCTTGTAGGCAGCCCTTCTTTCCATTCTTCCAAAGCCCAGCTCATTTTGTTCTGCCTTCTTTATTACTCCAACATTTGTAAATAAACTGAAAAGAATAACCAGACTGTTGGTCTTACCACAGTAAAAGGAAACAAAGTCTCAGAAATTAATGAATCTATCTAACCACCCCTAAAAATCAAGTTTCAAGACCACATTTCAAAAGATAACAAAGTATAATACCTATCTTCTCCATCCTCTGAAAGGTGGCAACCAATAATTGATTCTGAAGTACATACTGTCCTGCTTAGTTTCCCTTTGCTTTCTGTTTTTCTTATTTCTCGGTGTTGACTTCTTATATCACTACCTGCTTTCTATTGCTCAGTTTTTTCATTATACAAAACATGGGGCAACAGTGATGCAAGATGGCAGTCACCACAGGATCAGGAGTAAAAGTCTCTCGAAGTTTCCAACTGATGGAAGAACTCGAAGAAGGCCAGAAAAAGGTAGGAGGTGGCATAGTTAGCTGGTGTTTAGAAGATGATGAAGACCTGGGACAAGATGGACAGGGATGATAATTGGGCCTCCAAGAATGATTTACGAAAATCAAGTATACAGCCTTAAAATAGAATGTATCCTAAATGCCCAGAAGCACCCTGCCTTTGTAAGATTTGTAACAAAAATTAATATAAATAGGGTTAATAGTTGTAATGGAGTGGTGGACCAAAAAGCCATATCAGTGCTAGCAAAATGGCAGAATTCATGTAGCATCAAAGTTGTCCTACAAGAGCTTTGGTGCCTAATGATGTCTAAAGAAAATGTGACACTCCTTCAGCTGCCTGAAGGACAGGGTTACAGCAGTTAATCAAAAAGAAAAACCATAGGCCCTTCCCCTTCCTGCCCCCCATTCAATTTAAACAGTCTTCATCTTCCACAGTAGTAAATTTTCTAGATATGCCTTGTAGACCTCAAAGGACTAGAAAGGAAGCTCCCATTCAAAGGAAATTTATCTTAAGATACTGTAAATTATACTAATTTTTTGTCCATTTGAAATATGTTAGTTGCGCTGTAACAATCATCCTGCCATGTGTAACATCCTGTCCACATACTTGAATTTCTGGGATCAAGAAAGTATATTTAAATTGATTCCCATCATAACTGGTGGAGTACATCTAACTCAACTGTGAAAAGACATATCACATAATCACCTTGCTGCTGATTAAATGGCCTGGGGCCTCTGCCTTCTCCTGTGGGATTACTGTTGGGTGTACAGGGTACTTTGTCTGTACCCCTGGTTTCCAAAAAAATTAAGGAGGAGGGACGCCTCCTCAACTCATTCTATGAGGCCAGCATCATCCTGATACCAAAACCTGGCAGAGACCCAACAAAAAAAGAAAACTTCAAGCCAATATCCTTGATCAACGATGCAAAATTCCTCAAAAATATACTTGCAAACCAAGTCCAGCAACACATCAAAAAGCTAATCCACCATAATCAAGTAGGCTTCATCGCCAGGATTTACGGTTGGTTCAACATACGCAAATCAATAAATATGATTCATCACATAAGCATAACTAAAGACAAAAATGACATGATTATCTCATGCAGAAAAGCTTTCATTAAAAATTCAACATCCCTTCACGTTAAAAACTCTCAATAAATTAGGTATTGAAGGAACATACCTCAAAATAATAAGAGCCATCTATGACAAACCCACAGCCAACATCATACTGAATGGGCAAAAGCTGAAAGCATTCCCCCCTTGAAAACTGGCAAGGAGGCCCTCTTCCACTACTCCTATTCAACATACTATTGGAAGTCCTGGCCAGAGCAACCAGGCAAGAGGAAGAAATAAAAGGCATCCAAATAGGAAGAGAGGAAGTCAAACTACCCCTGTTTGCAGACAACATGATCCTACATCTAGAAAACCCCATAGTCTTGGCCCAAAAGCTCCTTCAGTTGATAAACAACTTCAGCCAACTCTCAGGATACGAAAATCAATATACAAAAATCACTAGCATTCCTATACACTGACAACAGCCAAGCCAAGATCCAAATCAAAAATGCAATCTCATTCACGATTGCCACAATATGAATAAATCACCTAGAAATACAGCTAACCAGGGAGGTGAAAGATCTGTACAATAAGAATTAGAAGGCTGGGCTCAGTGGCTCACGCCTGTAATCCCAGCACTTTGGGAGGCTGAGGCGGGCAGATCACCTGAGGTCAGGAGTTCAAGACCAGCCTGGCCAACATGGTGAAACCCCATCTCTACTAAAAATACAAAGATTAGCTGGGTGTGGTGGCAGACGCCTGTAATCCCAGCTACTCAGGAGGCTGAGACAGGAGAATCACTTGAACTTGGGAGGCAGAGGTTGCAGTGAGCTGAGATCGCACCACTGCACTCCATCCTGGGCAACAAAGAGCGAAACTCCATCTCAAAAAAAAAAAGAATTAGAAAACACTGCTCAAAGAAATCAGAGTGACACAAATGGAAAAACATCCCATGCTCATGAATATGAAGAATCAGTATCATTGAAATGGCCATACTGCCCAAAGCAATTTGCATATTCAATGCTATTCCTATCAAACTACCAAAGACATTGTTCACAGAACTAGAAAAAACTATTTTAAAATTGATATGGAACCAAAAATAAGCCCAAATAGCCAAGACAAGCCTAAGCAAAAAGAACAAAGCTGACAGCAACATGTTACCCTACTTCAAACTATACTACAGGGCTACAGTAACCAAAACAGCATGGTACTAGTACAAAATCAGACACATAGACCAATGGAACATAATAGAGAGCCCAGAAATAAGCCGCACACCTACAACCATCTGATCTTTGACAAAGCTGACAAAAACAAACAATGGGGAAAGGATTCCCTATTCAATAAATGATGAGATAGCTGGCTAGCCATATGCAGAAGAATGAAACTGGACCCCCTCCTTACACCATATACAAAAATTAATTCAAGATGGATTAAAGACTTAAATGTAAAACCCCAAACTATAAAAACCACAGAAGACAACCTAGGCAATACCATCCCGGACACAGGAATGGGCAAATATTTCATGACAAAGACACTAAGAGCAATCACAACAAAAGCAAAAATTGACAAATGAGATCTAATTAAACTGAAGAGCTTCTGCACAGCAAAAGAAACTCAACAGAGTAAAAAGACAACCTAAAGAATGGGAGAAAATATTTACAAACTATGCATCTGATAAAGGTCTAATATCCAGCATCTATAAGGAACTTAAATTTACAAGAGAAAAACAACAACCCCATTAAAAAGTAGGCAAAGGACATGAACACTTTTCTAAAAAAAAAAAAAAAATACATGTGGCTAACAAGCATATGAAAAAAAGCTCAATATCACTATCATTAGAGAAATGCAAATTAAAACCACAATGAAATACCATCTCACACCAGTCAGAATGGCTATGATTAAAAAGTTAAAAAATAACAGATGCTGGCCAAGTTGAGAAGGGAACACTTATACACTTTTGGTGGGAGTGCAAATTAGTTCAACCATTGTGGAAAGCAGTATGGCAATTCCTCAAAGAGCTAAAAACAGAACTACCATTCAACCCAGCAATCTCATTCCTGGGTATATACCCAGAGGAATATAAATCATTCAGCCATAAAGACACATGCATGGCCAGGCACAGTGGCTCATGCCTGTAATCCCAACACTTTGGGAGGCCAAGGCAGGTGGATAACTTGAGCTCAGGAGTTCGAGACCAGCCTGGGCAACATGGCAAAATCCCTTATCTACCAAAAAAAAAAAAAAAAAAGGCACATGCACACACAAATGTTCATTGCAGCACTGTTCACAATAGCAAAGACATGCAATCAATCTAAATGCCCATCAGTGACAGATTGGATAAACAAAATGTAGTACACATATACCATGGAATACTATGCAGCCATAAAAAAGAATGAGATCATGGTTTTTTGCAGGAACATGGATGGAATTAGAGGCCATTATCCTTAGCAAACTAATGCAAGAACAGAAAACCAAATGAACACAAAGAAGGGAACAACAGACACTGAGGCCTCCTTGAGGGTGGAGAGTTGGAGGAGGAAGAGCAGAAGAAAAAATAACTATTGAGTATTAGGCTTAGTACCTGGGCAACAAAATAATCTGTACAACAATCCCCCATGACATGAGTCTACCTGTAAAACAAACCTGCATGTGTACCCCTGAACCAAAAATAAAAGCTAAGAAAAAAATAATATTTTGCCATAAGGTTTTCAGGTGAAATAGGTCCTATAAACAAAGAAAATGCATGACAAGATATTCTGCATATGCTCCTCTTTCCCTCTTCACATGGTTAATTACCACTCACACTTTGTCCCTCTTCCTCTGGGAAACTTTTCTGAGATCCCTGACCCGGCCATAGTTTCCCATCATAGTTACTCACAGCACAGGTAGCCCATCTCCTTCCAAGCAGTTATCATTTTTTAATAATGAATGCATGCATGAATGAAGAGTGAATGCCGTATTAGTACTAGAATCACTGCAAAAGGTGGTAAAGTCATGCTCCAGACAGACACTGACCAGGAAAGACATATACAGTACAACCTTAGAGATTCAAAGCGGATTCTTCGGGGGGAGCTGCGGCGGTGGCGATGCAGGAGGCCGGCCGGGGCGCGGAGGGACCGACGGACGCACGGGCAGGCGGCCAGGCGCCATGGAGTGCGGCCCTGGGGCCCAGGGGCGCGGGCCGGGGTGGGCTTCCCACGGCGTGACATGGAGACCTGTGGTTGCGAGGCTCCCTGGGGCTCGGCTTGGACCGCGATGGGGCTGGGCCCTGGCCTCCTAACGGGGCTGCCGTCTGGGGCCGTAGCTGGGGGGGCGCCCTCCCCCCTGCCCGCGACTCGGAGCACCCCCACCCCTCCCCTGCCGGGCCAGGCCGGGCGGCGTTGTTGGCTGGGGCCCCGGTGGGGGCCTGGCCCGGGCGGCGCCCGCCATGAACGGGCTGTCGCTGAGTGAGCTCTGCTGCCTCTTCTGCTGCCCGCCCTGCCCCGGCCGCATCGCTGCCAAGCTCGCCTTCCTGCCGCCGGAGGCCACCTATTCCTTGGTGACTGAGCCCGAGCCGGGGCCTGGTGGGGCCGGGGCCGCCCCCTTGGGGACCCTGCGGGCCTCCTCGGGCGCACCCGGGCGCTGGAAGCTGCACCTGACGGAGCGCGCCGACTTCCAGTACAGCCAGCGCGAGCTGGACACCATTGAGGTCTTCCCCACCAAGAGCGCCCGCCGCAACCGCGTCTCCTGCATGTATGTTCGCTGCGTGACTGGTGCCAGGTACACGGTCCTCTTCTCGCACAGCAATGCCGTGGACCTGGGCCAGATGAGCAGCTTCTACATTGGCCTGGGCTCCCGCCTCCATTGCAACATCTTCTCCTACGACTACTCCGGCTACGGTGCCAGCTCGGGTAGGCCTTCCGAGAGGAACCTCTATGCCGACATCGACGCCGCCTGGCAGGCCCTGCGCACCAGGTGAGGGCAACCCTGGGGGCAGCTCAGCCTGGGCACACCCAAGAGGGGACCAGGCCGGGGGCCGGGGGGCGGGCTTCCCTGGGAGGAAGGTGGGCGGCTCTGCAGGAGGGGAGCCACAGTGGATGCACAGGGCCAGAGAGCCGGACAGGCGAGCTTGGGTGTGCAGGTGCAGCCTCCACATGGCTGAGGTGTGGCCAGGCGGTCCTTCCACACCCTGGCCTGTGGAGCCAGGCTCCCTGGGAACCCCTGGCCTGAGGACGGGAAGGGGCTGAGCTTGTCACAGGGGCGTGGATGCCACCCGGCGGGAGGGAGTGGGTGGTGTCTGGGGGTCTGTGCACGTGTGGCTGGGGCCCCATCGGCCGAGGCAGCACTTGGGGCCAAGTGAGGCGAGGCTGCTGCATCCAGGTCCCGAGGCCTGGCCCATGAGGCCCTGTGGCTGCGGAGCTTGGCCATCCTGGGGCAGGGCCTGCAGGGTCAGGTGCAGACCCCCAGCACACATCCAAGGTCTGGGCCAGCCTCCATTCCAGATCCAGCCCTCCTAGTCATCCAGGTCCCCAGCCCTGCGCTTGCCTGGGGCCTTCACTGGTGTTTGAGCACCGCCCGGGCCAGTGCTGCTTTGGATGAGGAGACCCGGGTGGGCCTCTGGTGACCTTTCCTGCTCGCCATCCACTGGGGCTGTCTCGTCCTGGCCCTGCCCAGCCCACTGGTCTGACCTGCTCCCGCAGGGACCAGGCATAGCTCTGAGAAGTCAGAGGCCCTGGGGAGGTGGGGTCCTCGTTGCCTTGGTGATATTGCAGGCAGTCCCTGCTGTGGGCCTGGGAGCTGGTCCCCTGGCACCACCCTGGCTCCAGGGGCCTCCCAGCAGTGTGGGGCGCTGACACCAACCACTTCATGCGACTTCCTCGGCCCCTCCTGTCTCTACTGCCTGGGCCACTGGCAGAGTCACACCCGCCATGGCCAGCTCTGAGCTCTGTCTGCTCGGCCATCTGTCCTGCTGCCACTTTGTCCTGCAGGAACCTAGGCCCAGAGCTGTGAGGGGGAGGCCAGAGCATGCCCAGGGCCTCCACTGGGGATGTGTCCTGTTCGTTTGAGTGGTGACATCCAGGTGGCAGCTGGGGGCTCCTGCCTGGTAGCAGGTGACAGGGCTGGGCTGGCTCAGCACACTACTGACCATGGCTGCCAGGGAGCAGGCCAGGGAGGCTAAGGCAGAGCTGGGGCCACAGGCACAAGCCAGGCAGCATCCTTTGGGGCATGGGTGAGTGGCGAGCTGTGGAGTGCTGCCAGGAGGCTGGGATTCCAGGCCAGGGAGGGGGACAGCCCTGCTGGTGGAGTCCGAATGCCAGGCAGAGGGGACGCACACCTGCCCATGCTCCTGCCTTGCAAGAGGGCATCTGCCTGGGATCAGAGCCTGGAGCGTGTGGGAGGAGAGTTGTGGGGTCCCGGCATGGGCAGGGTGGCAGGTGGGTCCCGCGTGGTTGGGACTGGGCACGAGGAGGCCTTGTAACTGGTGCTGGATCAGCTGGGTCACGGGCTGCACACCAGTGACCTGGGGGTGGGGGTGGCCCTGGGTGGGAGCTGGTGATGCTGAGGTGGCCGAGGACTTGTCCACTCCCAAGGGAAGGTGCTGGTGGGAGGGGGTGCCACCTCCGCAGCCACGACCCTCGATGCTGACCTGGGTTGCACTGGCATCTCATTGGGCGTGGGGACTCCGAGAGTCCAAAATTGGGTGGAGACATTTGGGGACACAGCTGCCTGAATTCCTCATGGCCAAGGGGGTGGGCAAGGGCTGCAGGGAGGAAGAGTGTCCGCTGTCCTGGCCAGTGCACCAGGAACGGCTTTCTAACCCGGGCAGGAAGGCGTGAAGCATTCAGGATGTGGGGGGCACACAGTTCCCAGTGTGCACCTAGGGGTGATCAGGAGGAGAGGCGCCAGGGCCTCCCCTACCTCCGCCCCAGGGCCACTCCGTAGGCGGGATCCCTACAGATCCTAGCTAGGAAACGCCAGGGAACGGCAGCGCCAGGGAACGGGGTGGGGCCGCTGGCTTCGCCCACCGCCGCGGTGTTGAGGGCTGGGGGTGGCCCTCGGGACTGGTGTGGAGCCTGGGCCTGACCCACTGACTTGGCTGAGTGGGGAGACTGGAGGGTCGCATCCGGAGCTGGGCCCGGGGACGCCCGCTGGCGGGAAGGGTGCGCGCGCGTCGGAGGCCGCGGCTGACCCTGCTCCGGCGCCTCCAGGTACGGCATCAGCCCGGACAGCATCATCCTGTACGGGCAGAGCATCGGCACGGTGCCCACCGTGGACCTGGCCTCGCGCTACGAGTGTGCCGCGGTGGTGCTGCATTCGCCGCTCACCTCGGGCATGCGCGTCGCCTTCCCCGACACCAAGAAGACCTACTGCTTCGACGCCTTCCCTAACATCGAGAAGGTGTCCAAGATCACGTCGCCCGTGCTCATCATCCACGGCACGGAGGACGAGGTGATCGACTTCTCGCACGGGCTGGCGCTCTACGAGCGCTGCCCCAAGGCGGTGGAGCCGCTGTGGGTGGAGGGCACCAGGCACAACGACATCGAGCTCTACAGCCAGTACCTGGAGGGCCTGCGTCGCTTCATCTCCCAGGAGCTGCCAGCCAGCTCGCCTAGCGGCGGCACCAACCGGCCAGACCTCAGCAATAAGGCAGCCCCCGGACCTCACCCCGCGCCGGCCCCCCAGGGGCTGCATGTGGACCCCCGGGCGGCCCAGGGGACCCCGCTCCAACCCAGGGGCTGTGGACGATGTACAGGCAACAGAGCTACGCACTCCTTTCCTTTTGGAAGCAAGAAGAAAATACGTGAAAACAGAAATTAAAGATTTAAAATTTAAAAAAAAAAAAAAACAAAGCGGATTCTTCTAGCTCAGGCACTTACGGATGTATGACCTTGGGCAAGTTATTTAGCTGCTCTATGCCTTGTTTCCCTTGTTTGTAAAATGAGGATAATAATGATGGTGACTTCCTAAGGCCTTAGAAACAGTAAGCTTTCCTGGTAAGCTTTCCATATATGTTAGCTATTACATACTTTTTAAAAACACTTTTTCACTTGTATATTTCAGCCTATGGTACAAAGGGTGAAGTGGCCTACCTCCTTCTCAGCCACATCTTAGGAAATAGAAATCAGCTGGAAGAAAATATAGCAACTTTCCTTTATTTTAGCCTTCAGAACATAAACAAAAAGAAAAATCATTCATTTTCCAGTTACTTAGGCAAGAGTTTGAGAATTTGTTTTTTTACTAAATAAAGTTAACGGCCATTTTAATGGTTTTTTTCAATCGATTTTATCAATGAAACTTTTTATCAAAACAATAAGCAGTTCATGAAAGTACTAAGAACAATAAAAAAAATTAAGAGGGAGAAGCAAAGGTCTTAGACAACATATAAGTTGGATATCAAAGCCCTGGAAAGCTGTGTTTTGCTACCAGTTTTGTTTTTTTTTCTAGCTCTCAGTTCTTGGAACACAGCATCTTGTATTCCACTCCCATTTATCCCAAAACTACTGAAAGGAGTCACATGCCTCTCAACCAACAAAGGACAACTGACCCTGTCTCAATATCCTCCATTCCAATCTAGTTTGTCAGGAGTCAAAGAACTGTACCCAGAGACACACAACTGTAATTGCCCTAAACAATTCAGCCAGCAACTGAAATCATTACATCAAGATGCTATAGCCAACAGAATATAAAAAGGAGCAATTTAGAAAGATGATTAGAAAATGAGGGGAATAAACATAAAGAAGACTGGCAAGCTGAATGCTTTTCCATTCCAAAGTCTAAGATAGAGAACAATATAGATGTAGACCAAGCTAACTGTGATTAGAGCAGATTTTGGCCCATTAAGGGATCAGCTATCAGCCACCTGTATTGGGCCATTGGGGCAAAAGAACAAAAAAATAAACCCAGAAGTTTACTTTTGAGGAACAGGGAATCGAGGTGGGGAGTGAAGAAAAGCCCTGGATGAAGGTTCCTGCATGGAGGACTTGCAGGACTATTGTCCTTTCCAGAAAATGCTGTATCTTTATCTCTTAAATACGTGGAGGGCACTCTTCATGCCCGAACTACCCAGTCCCTTAGTCCCCAAGGAAGCTCTTGTGTGACCTCCTCCTGCCCCACCTCCACCACTGCTTTCCCGTTGTCAGAATTCCCCACCTCCTCCAAAAAGCCAGAGTCCCCGTGCACTGTACCAAGGCTGGGTCTGAGAATGATAACCCTGCCTTCTCCTCTAGGTCAGGCTCAAGGACACGACCCATGCCTTTTATTTCTGGGTCCTCATTACACAGCCGAGCCGGGCACACAGGCGCGTTCAAATAAATGTGGAAGGGAGGACCGGGCGTAGTGGCTCATGCTTGTAATCCTGGCACTTACAGAGGCCAAGGCGGGAGGATCCCTTGAGCCCAGGGGTTCCAGACCAGCCTAGGCAATATAGGGAGGCCTATCTCTATTTAAAAAAAGAAAAAAAAAAATGTGGACGGGAGGAAGAAGAGAGGGGAAAGAGAAATGCTCGCGTAACTAACCATAGGCACCCCACGTCGCCAACCAGATCAAAACTCAAGCTTACATCTACTCAATAAAACAAAGGACCAGGGCCTGAATTTCAATAAGGTTGGTTACGGGACTGGGAAGGCGGCTTGGAAATACCTAGTCATCTCCAATTCTTTTACGGAGGAAGAAAATGATCCCCTAAAGTGTGAGTCCGTGACCGAGTAGGGTCTGGGACACTAATCCGAGACCAGTTTGAACCCGAGCAGAAGGGCGCAGACACCCCTACGAACCACATCCCGGGGCGGATTCTCCAGTTCGGTCGGGTGGGAGGGGGCGGTCCCCGGCACCTACAGGGCCGGGAGAGTGATCCCAGAGGCCTCCCCGCCCAGTACCCGCCGGCAAAAAGCCAGCGGCACCCCCACGCCGCCCGCCGCCTACCGCCCGCCGCCAGGGCCAGGATCCGGACCCAGTCAGGACGCTCACCTTGCTCTCGGGGACGGGAAAACGACCTCTCGGAGAGTACAGTTCTGGCGCGGCTTCGGCGGGCTGGAGCCCAGAGTCTAATTCAAACTGCCCGCAGCCGCCACCGGTGCCCAATTCGCCCGCTTCTGGTCTCAACCAAACTTACCTCCACGCCTATTGGTCACTCTAAGTAGCTGCGGACCAATCCGCGCCTGCGCACTCAGACTGCCGCGTCTGATTGGCCCTTTCGGATGGATTTTAAAAACAAGCCCTCTACTGGAGGTGCCTGCGCCGGAGTTTACTGTTCTTTTTTGTTGTTGCGGGGAGACGGAGACCACGTGCTTTTGCTAATGCTAGACGCGGTTTTGGACCGCTATTTCCGCAAAAGTCAGGGAATGCGCCCGCTGATTAGGAAGGCGTGGTCTATCGCCTACAGCCAGGGGAACTGTGCTGCCTGGTGAAACCTCTTTTAAACTGCACGTACCAATCTACTTAATTAAACGTAAATTTAGGACATAGATACTAGGTGCTGTGTTTGTCATGCATTCTTTATCCGGTGTCGTTCTTAACAATTCTTTGAGGAAAGTATTATCCTCATTTTATTAAAAAGTTAA
Organism: Homo sapiens; assembly: GCF_000001405.40. Classification (NCBI taxonomy): domain Eukaryota; kingdom Metazoa; phylum Chordata; class Mammalia; order Primates; family Hominidae; genus Homo; species Homo sapiens. The sequence continues at coordinate 214,602,728 of NC_000001.11, read as the reverse complement.
CAGGCTCATAGAAGCTAAGTACAGTAATTTGAAATTGAATCTACGCAATGCAGGATGTCGCTCTTAAATGCTGTCCTTTATGGTTCATATTTCTAAGACGTGATTCTGAACACTTATTTTCCGGGATTAAGGCGTGGGGGGAGGACACTGCATCAGAATTTAAAATTCAGAAGAATCCTCAAAACGGGGTGTAATGCTTTTCGTGAAGCCCACTAGTTTTCTATGTATGTTATATACTCGTTTTATTTCCCTATTAAACTATAAATAAGCTTCTAAAGGCAGAAGCAAAACAATTAATTGTTAAAGTAATAGATCTCTAATGCTGTTGTCTGCCTCAATAGGTACCAAACTTTCCAGCCCCCTGACTTTACCTTTCATTAGACTGTTCCTGCAGTACCCAATTCAAGTGTCACTTTTTTTATAAAACCTCCCTAATCCCACCCACTCCTTAGAGATAATTATTTCCTAGACCTTTCCTGGAACTTGCAAACTTCATGTTTAGGATTTTCGCCGTGTCTTGTCTTGTATTTATGTCTACGTCTGACTCCCCCATCAGACTCAAAAATTCCTTTACAGTAAAATCTGTTTTAATTCATTTTTGCATCCCTAGTAACTTTGCACATAGTAATTTAAAATCCAGATCATCTTGGGAGATAAAACTGCTATTTGGGGAAAGGCCTTGTTCTTACTATCTTCTACCTTCGAATCCCCAAAGGGAGGGGAGAGAGCAGGTAGGGGAGGAAAACTTTTGTCAGACATTGCCATGATCAGTCTAGTGTCTGGTAGTTTTAGAATTTGAACCAAATTGTGTCTGGCTTCAACACAAATTACAATTCCATTGCTTCCCAGAGTAATTATTCAACTATGTATAGGCTGTTTAAGGAAAAATAAACAGCTAGAAAGACAGATAATAGAGGATATTTTTAAGGTTTGAATAAGAAATTTGCATTTACTATTCATTCATTCGTTCTTCAGCAGATATCTATTGAGTGGCCACTGTATAGTCAAGCCTTGTGCTTCGTTTTTCTACAATGAACAATAAAGAAATACATTCATTTCTTGAACAAGGGAAATAGGATGGATACCATTCTAGTAACTCCTGTGATATTTCTCTGACTTTAATTTTATGCTTCCCTTCCCCTCCCTTTATTTTTCCCCCGGTTGGTTTGTTTGTTTTGTAGGGGGAGGATCCCGTCCAACCAAAGACAGATGTTCTCTAAGGGTCCATTTTTGGCTCTCTGCTCTTCTCTTTTTAAGTCCTTTCCCTCAGTTAGCCAGTCTACTCTCTCTGGATTGTTCATCCACTACCTCGATATTCTGCTTGTGGACCAGTGTCTTTGAGTCTTCCCATCTTTTCTACAGATTAGACTGCAGGTTCATCACTGAAATCACTCTTTTGCCAGTGTCCTCAACTCCCTTGCCTCTTGTTCTATCTCCCAAACTTGTATGTGTGCAAATGTCCATATCATCCCTTGGTGCACTATTGCTGCAGAATGGGGCTGGAAAAAAATCCCAGCACTGTGCAAATACTTTAAATGTAGGATGTCTAGCTGGGCCTCAATGCTGCTCCACAGCCCTTTCTCCCAGTTTCAGGATTTCTCTAATCCGCTGCAACAACCATCTCCATTCTTACTCTCAGAAGATGACTTTATTTTCTAGTTCACAGAAAACATAAGATTTCTGACAGGAACACCTTCAACTTTCTGAGACCCAAATCTACAAATGTGTGAAAATCTATACCCATTCTTACCTCCTTTCTTCCTGTTACAACCATGGGAAATGTCTTTCTGACTACTCCTAAAACTGAACAATCATACTGTGTTTTGAGGCAACTTGCTTCTCAGGAACTTCACTCTCCCAGTTATGCACTTGTAAACAAGAATCTTTAACTGCTTCTACCTTCCTAAGTCTTCCTAGTAGCACTTAAACTGCTCAAATATTTCCCTTTAAAGAGAAATATTTTCTCAATCTCATGATCCCCTGAAGGAATCATCATATCTCCCCTCACATTCCATTTCCTTTTCAGATTTGATTAAATAAGTTGCGATACTACTTTTCATCAATTATTTTTCTCCAAAAAAACCCCACGAGTACTTTCAATAAATGAGAGCCGTCTCTATAGCTGCATCATGAAGACAATATAATCTATTATTTTAAGCAGCAGTTTACTTTTCATTTCATATTATTTTTCATCTTATTAGAACTGTAAATATTTTATAATTACACGATTTTATTTTTTTATCTATTCTGAAATTTTCTTTTCTTTCCTTGAGATGGAGTCTGGCTCCGTCACCCAGGCTGGAGTGCAGTAGCACAATCTCGGCTCACTGCAACCTCTGTCTCCCGGGTTCAAGCGATTCTCCTGCCTCAGCCACCCGAGTAAATGAGATTACAGGCACGCACCACCACGCCCAGCTAATTTTTGTATTGTTAGTAGAAACGAGGTTTCACCATGTTGGCCAGGCTGGTCTCGAACTCCTCACCTCAAGTGACCCACCAGCCTCAGCCCCCAAAGTGCTGGGATTACAGGTGTGAGCCACTGTGCCCGGCCTGAAAATCTGTATCCTTTTTTTTTTGAGACAGTTTTGCTGCGTCGCCAGGCTGGAGTGCAGTGGCAAATCTCGGCTCACTGCAACCTCTGCCTCCCAGGTTCAAGTGATTCTCCTGCCTCAGCCTCCTGAGTAGCTGCGACGTCAGGCGCACGCCACCACGCCCAGCTAATTTTTGTATTTTTAGTAGAGACAGGGTTTCACCATGTTGGCCAGGATGGTCTCGATCTCTTGACTTCGTGATCTGCCGGCCTCGGCCTCTCAAAGTGCTGAGATTACAGATGTGAGCCACCGCACCTGGCTGAAAATCTGTTATCTTTAAAACAAAACAAAACAAAAAAAAAACTTTAGGGCCGGGCGCAGTGGCTCACTCCTGTAATCCCAGCACTTTGGGAGGCCGAGGCGGGCAGATCACGAGGTCAGGATATCGAGACCATCCTGGCTAACATGGTGAAACCCCGTCTCTACTAAAAATAAAAAAAAATCAGCCTGGTGTGGTGGCACACGCCTGTAGTCCCACAGCTACTCGGGAGGGCGAGATAGGAGAATCGCCTGAACCTGGGAGGCGGAGGTTGCAGTGAACCAAGATCGCACCACTGCACTCCAGCTTGGGCGACAGAGTGAGACTAGGTCTCAAAAAAAAAAAAAAAAAAAAAAAAAAAACTTTAAAAAGATAGACGTTACATAAGATAAAATACACTCATTTTAAGTGTACAGTGCAATACATTTTGACAAATATATTCACCTCTATTAATACCACCAAAGTAAGAATATAAACATTTCTTGATATTACAAGTATCTTTATACCCCTTCCCAGTTATGCACCCCAAAAATTCCCAGACACAAGCAACCATTGATCTGTTTTCTGTCACTTACACATTAAATTCATATTTTCCTAGAGTTTCGTAGAAGTGGAATTACAGTGTGTACTCTTTTATGTCTGTTTCTTTTTTTTTTTTTTTTTTTTTGAGACGGAGTCTCACTCTGTCGCCCAGGCTGGAGTGCAGTGGCGCGATCTAGGCTCCTTGCAAGCTCCGCCTCCCAGGTTCATGCCATTCTTCTGCCTCGACCTCCCTAGTAGCTGGGACTACAGGCACCCACCACCACGCCTGGCTAATTTTTTTTGTATTTTTAGTAGAGACGGGGTTTCACCGTGTTAGCCAGGATGGTCTCAAACTCCTGACCTCGTGATCCGCCCGCCTCGGCCTCCCAAAGTGCTGGGATTACAGGCATGAGCCACCGTGCCCGGCCTTATGTCTGTTTCTTTTACTCAGCATAATGTTTTAGAGACATATCCTTGTTGTTGCACATGACTGTGTTTTTTTAATTTCTTAGTAGTATTTCTTTGCATGGATATACAATTGGTTTATCCGTTCACCTGTTGATTTGTATTTATGTTGTTTCCAGCTTGAAGCTTTTATGAATAAAGCTTCTATGGACTTTTATGTACAAGTCTTTGCATTGACATAGGTTTCATTTATCCTGGGAAACACATAAAGTGAAATTGCTGGGTCAAATAAGTAAGTGGGGGCCGGGTGTGGTGGCTCACACATGGAATCCCAACACTTTGGGAGGCCGAGGCGGGCAGATCACTTGAGGTCAGGAGTTCAAGACCAGCCTGGCCAACATGGTGAAACCCCGTCTCTACTAAAAATACAAAAATTAGCCTGGCGTGGTAGGGCGCACCTGTAATCCCAGCTACTCCGTAGTCTGAGGCAGGAGAATCGCTTGAACCTGGTAGGCGGAGGTTGCAGTGAGCCAAGATTGTGCCACTGCACCCCAGCCTGTGCAAAAAAGAGTGAAACTCCATCTCAAAAACAAAACAAAACAAAACAAAACAACAAATAGTAAGTGGATATTTAACTTTTTAAGAAATGTCCAAAATCCTTTTCAATATCTTACATTCCCATGATGTATGAGTGTTCTAGCTGATCCACATCCCCACCAACACATGGTGTGTCTGTCTTTTCAATTTATGCCAATCTAATTGATGTGACTGTTATCTCACAGTGAACTTAGTTTTATTTCTCTGATGACCAATGATGTTGAACATCTTCTGATGTGCTTATTGGCTGTTTATAGATTTTCTTTTGTAAAGTGTCTTAAAATCTTTTCCTATATTTTTACTGAGTTGTTATCTTCTATGATTTCTCATATATCTGGATACAAGGCCTATATCACATACATGTTTTACAAAAATTTTCTCGCAGTCTATTGCTTGTCTTTTCAATTTCTCAGTGATGTCTTTCATAAAACGCAAACTAAACTTTGATGGACTCTAATGATTCACTTTTCTCTCGTGTCATGCTTTTTGTGTGTCTTATCTAAGAAATAAATCTTCACTTTTACCTAGTTTAGAAAGACTTTCTCTCATATTATCTCCTGGATGTTTTATAATTTGAACTTTCACATTTAACTCTATAATCTATTTGGGTAAATTTTTCTGTATGGTGTGACATAAAAGTTAAAGTTTATATATTTTCCCATACAGAGATCTAGTTGTTCTGACACCATTTGTTACAAAAATTATCCTTTCCCCACTGAATTACCTTAGCGTCTTTGTTGAAAATTAATTGACCATATAAATATAGATCTACTTTTGCCTTTGTATTCTGTTCCACTGATCTATATGTCATATCTTTACATCTGTATCACACTGTATTCATCACTGTAGCTTAATGATAAGTCAAGAAATTGGGTAATGTAAGTCTTCCAATGATGATCCTTTTCAAAATTGTATTGTCTATTCTAGAGCCCTTACTTTTCATAAAAATTCAGAATAAAATGAGAATATTAATTTTCCCAAAAGCCTCCTGGGATTTTGACAGGGATTACTTTGAATCTACGGATCAGTTTGGAGAACTTAAGAATATTGTGCCTTCTGACACAGACAGCATACATCTCTTCCATTATTTAAGTCTTCTGAATAACACCTCTCTTAGCAGTGTTTTGTAATTTTCAATGTACATATACATTTTGTTATATTTATCCCTAAGTATTTCATGTATTTGCTTGCCATTGTAAGTGGGTTTTTTAATTTCACTTTTCATCATTTTGTGGCTTGTAAATAGAAATCAATTTATTTTTGTAAAATGACCTTGTATCTTTTAAGCTTGCTAAACTCTCTTGTATTAATGGATAGGGTTGTTGTATAAACAAAAGAAATGTCTTTTCTCACAGTTCTGGAGGCTAAAAGTGCAGAATCTAGTTTCTGAAGCTGGGCACAGTGGCTCACTCCTGTAATCCCAGCACTTTGGGAGGCCGAGGCAGGCGGATCACCTGAGATCAGGAGCTTGAGACCAGCCTGGCCAACATGGTGAAACCCCGTCTGAACTAAAAATACAAAAATTATCCAGGTGTGGTGGCAGGCACCTGTAATCCCAGCTACTAAGGAGGCTGAGGCATGAGAATTACTTGAACCCAGGAGGCGGAGGTTGCAGTGAGCCGAGATCATGCCACTGCACTCCAGCCTGGCCAACCGAGTGAGACTTCATCTCTGGGGGGAAAAAAAAATCTAGGTTTTGGGAGGATTGGTTCCCTGTCAGGGCTATGAGGGAAAGATCTGCTCTAAGCCTCTCTCCCTAGCTTGCAGATGGCCATCCTCACATTCACATGGCATTCTCCCTGTATGCATGTCTATTTCATAATGTCCCCTTTTTATAAGGACTCCAGAAATAGTGGATTAGGGCCCAACCTAATGACCTCATTTTGACTCTGTAAAGACCCTCTCTCCAAATAAAGTCACATTCTGAAATACTGGGGACTAGGAGTTCAACATATACATTGGGGGAATGGAGGGAGCACAGTTGAACCTGTAACATCTCTTTATAGTTCTAGTAGCTCTTTTGTAGATTGATTGGTATTTTCTACGTGTGTTATCTGTGAATCAACACAGTTTTACTTCTTTCTTTCCAACCTGTGTGTTTCCTCTTTATTTTTCTTCCCTATTTTCTTTTTTTTTTTTTTCTTTTTTGACGAAGTCTCGCTCTTTCGCCCAGGCTGGACTGCAGTGGCGCTATCTCGGCTCACTGCAAGCTCCGCCTCCCGAGTTCACACCATTCTCCTGCCTCAGCCTCCCGAGTAGCTGGGACTACAGGTGCCCACCACCGTGCCTGGCTACTTTTTTTTTTTTTTTTTTTTTAATTTTTAGTAGAGACAGGGTTTCACCGTGTTAGCCGGGATGGTCTCTGTCTCCTGACCTCGTGATCCGCCCGCCTTGGCCTCCCAAAGTGCTGGGATTACAGGCGTGAGCCACTGCACCCAGCCTTTTCTTCCCTATTTTCACAGGGTAGGACCTCAAGCACAATGTTGAATAAATGTCATGAGAGTCCCCATCTTTTTTGTCCTCCTGATATTAACGAAAAGCATTTGGTCTTTCAGCACTAATAGCTGTAGGTTTTTGTAGATGCCCTTTATCAGACTGAGGAAGTTTCCTTCTATTCCAGTTTGTTGAATTCTTATCATGATTAGATGTTGGATTTTATCAAATGACTTTTCTGCATCTATTTAGATAATCATAGAGTAGTTCTTTTTTATTTGATTAATATGAAGATGTCATTGTTTGATTTTCAAACGTTAAAATAACCTTGTATTTCTGTTATATGTCTGACTTGGTCATAGTATATTATCCTTCTTATATATTGATGGATTTGATTTGGTAATATTTGCTGATGATTTTTGCAGCTATGTACAGGTAAGATATTGGTTCATATTTTTCCTTCTAATTATGTCATTAAGCATGATTACAAACTGCTCTGGTTTAAGTATCAGGTATATATATATATATATATATATGTATATAGTTTGTTTGTTTGTTTTTTGAGACAGAGTCTAGCTCTGTCACCCAGGCTGGAGTGCAGTGGCACCATCTTGGCTCACTACAACCTCTGCCTCCCAGGATCAAGCAATTCTCCTGCCTCAGCCTCCCAAGTAGCCAGGATTACAGGTGTGCACCTGGCTAATTTTTGTATTTTTAGTAGAGACAGGGTTTCACCATGTTGCCAGGCTGGCCTTGAACTCCTGACCTCAAATGATCCGCTCGCCTTGACCTCCCAAATTACTGGGATCATAGGCGTGAGCCACCACACCCAGCCTCGGGTATAATCTGACCTCATAAAATTAGTTGAGAAGTGTTTCCTCCTCATGCCTTTTCTGAAAGAGTTTGTGTAGAATTGGTATCATTTATTCTTTAGTGCTTGAGCCTAGAATTTTCTCTGTGGGGGGTCTTAATTGGAAATTAAACTTTTTGCTAGGAGCAGAGGCTCATGCCTATAATGCCAACACTTTAGGAGGCCGAGGCATGAGGATAGCTTAGGACCAGGAGTTTAAGACCAGCCTGTGCAACATAGGAAGACCCTGTCTCTACAAAATCAATAACACTTAGATGGGCATGGTGGCAAATGCAGCTACTTAGGAGGCTGAGGCAGGATGATCACTTGGGCCCAGGAGGTGAAGGCTGCAGTGAGCTGTGGTCATGCCACAGCACTCCAGCTGGGGTAAGAGAAAGATCCTGTCTCAAAAAGAAAGGGAGATAAATTAAATTTTGTCATTGAAAAAGCGTTTTTTGAATGTTCTATTTTATTTTACACAGTTTTAGTAGGTTCTGTCCTTCAAAGATTTTTTCTATTTTATCTATGTTGTCAAAATTATTGGTACATTGTTTTTCAGATTATTCTATCATCCTTTTAATGGACTTGTAATATGTAATGTTCTCTCTTTCATCCCTGACGCTGGTAATTTGTGTTCTCTCTACCCACTTCCCTCTCATCATTCAGCTAAAATTTTACCAACTTTATTGATCTTTTCAAAGAACCAACTTTTAATTTTATTGATTTATGTATATGATTGTCCATTTTCTATTTTATTGATTTCTGTGCTCATCTTAATACTTTAAGTTTTTCTTTTTTTACTAGCTACTTAAACTGGAAGCTTAAATAATTGATTTTAGACCTTTCTTTTTTTTTAATATAAATATTTTAGCTTTACCTGACCCCCAAAATTTGTTTGTTGTCTTTTCCCCTTTTCCCCCCTTAGAAACAGGGTCTCGCTGTGTAGTGATGTGATCATAGCTCATGACAGCCTCAAACTCCTGGCACAAGCAATCCTTCCATCTCAGCCTCCTGAGTAGCTAGGACTACAGGCACATGCCACCATGCTCAGCTAAGCTTTTTGCTTTTTGTTGAGATGGGATCTCACTGTGTTGCTCAGGCAGGTCTCAAACTCTAGGCCTCAAGCTAGCATCATGCCTCAACCTCCCAAAAGTGCTGGGATTACAGGCATCAGCCACAACTCCCCCGTATTTTCATTTGTATTCCTTTTTAAATATTTTCTAACTTCTCTTATGATTTCTTATTTGACCTGTGGATTATTTAAAAGTATAATGCTTAATTACCAAATATTTGTAAATTTTCTAGATATTTTTCTATTGTAAATCTTAATTTAATTCTGTTGCGATTAGAGAACATACTCTGCATGGTCCCAATCATTTTAAATTTAATGAGACTTAACCAAGTCTCAGTATGTTGTCAAGCTTACTGGGTATTCCCGATGCCCTTAGGAAAATGTGTATTTTACATTTTGTGTATGAAGTGTTCTATAAATATCAATTATGTCAATCTTGTATTCTCTATCATTAAGATTTTGCATCTACTTGCTCTATCAATTACTGAAAGAGGAGTATTGAAATTTCCAACTATAATTGTGAGTTTATCTATTTATTCCTGCCAATTCAGATTTTGGTTCATATAACTTGGAGCTGTTATTAGAAGTGTACACAAATTGTTATTCTTACTGAATTATACTTTTATTATTATGCAATATCCTTTTGATCTCTAGATATATTCCTTGTTGTGAAATTTACTTTCTCTAATACTGACATAGCTACTCCAGCTTTCTTTTGTTTATTGTTTATATATCTTATTTCATCCCTTTACTTTTATTTATATACTTATTTATTTATTTGTTTTTAGAACTCAAGTTCTGCTTACTAGGATGGAGATGTCAGTGCTTTATCAAAGATGAAGAGGCCACCCATTTGTGTCTATATTTGAAGTATGGTTTTTGTAGGCAGCATAGTTGAGTTCTTTTTTATTTAGTTTTGCGATCTCTGCTATATTAGTTGAGCTGTTTAGAATATTTATATTTAAAGCAATGTTTGATATGGTTCTTTTAAATCTTGCTATTTGTTTTTGTTTTCCTACCTATTATTTGGGTTTTTTTCTAGGTTTCTTTTTCTTTCTTTTTTTTTTTTTTTTTTTTGAGATAGAGTTTTGCTCTGTCACCCAGGCTGGAGTGCAATGGCACAATCTCGACTCACTGCAACCTCCACCTCCCAGATTCAAGCGATTCTCCTGCCTCTCCCAAGTAGCTGGGATTACAGGCATGTGCCACCATGCCCAGCTAATTTTTGTATTTTTAGTAGAGGCAGGGTTTCACCCTTTTGACCAGGCTGGTCTCAAGGTTTTTTTCTAGGTTTCTTATGGAATACAGTAATGAGAATTTTTATGATTTATTTTTCTCTACAATATTGGCTTATAGCTATAGCTTTTTGGTTTTGTTTTTATTTGCAGTGGTAGCTCTGAGGTTGATCGTATATATCCTTAACTTATCAGAGTCTACCTTCAAATAACATTATACCACTTTATATATAATGTTACCATATGTTTTATTTTCCCCTTCTCAGCTTTTATACTATTGTTGTTATACATTTTACTTCATATATTGTAAATCTTATCATATTATTATCTTTTATTTAAACCATTAATTATGTTATAAAGAAACCTTTAAAACTACAGGAAATTACTGTTATATAACCCAACTATTTATAATTTCTGATGAACTTCATTCCAAGTTTCTATCTATTATCATTTTCCTTTTGCCTGAAGAAATTCTTTTTTTGTGGCAGTAAATTTCTTCAGCTTTTACGTGTCTGAACATTTTTGATTTATCCTTATTTTTGAAAGATATTTTTGCTGGGAATTCTGTGTTGTTGGGTGGTTTGTTTTGTTCTGATTTTTTCTTTCTTTTTTTTTGACTCTCGCTCTGTCACCAAGGATGAAGTGCAGTGATGCAATCTCGGCTCAATGCAACCTCCGCCTCCCGGGTTCAAGTGATTCTCCTGCCTCCACCTCGAGTAGCTGGGATTACAGGCATGCGCCACTATGCCCAGCTAATTTTTGTAGTTTTAGTAGAGACAGGGTTTCACCATGATGGCCAGGCAGGTCTTGAATTCCTGACCTCAAGTGATCCATCCACCTCGGTCTCCCAAAGTGCTGGGATTACAGATGTGAGCCACTGTGTCCAGCCTGTTCTCTTCTTAAAGTGCTTTCCAGGAGTCATCCATTGTCTTCTGGTTTGTGTAGTTCCTGATAAGAGGTCCATATTTTCCTTATTTTTATTCTTCCCCACATATCCTTTTACTCTGGCTACAATAAGATTTTCTCGTTATCCTTTTGGTTTTCTAGTGTTATGATTTGATATGATTTTATTTGTATTTATTCTGCTTGAAGTTAGTTGAGCTCCTTGAAGCTATACATTTTTAGTTTTTGTCAAATTTGTAAAAATTTTTAACATTATTTGTTCACGTATTTGTTGTCTCCTACACTCTCTTCTGCTTCTGGTACTCAATTACATGTTTTTTTACAAGATTTTTTTTTTTAAGACAGAGTCTTGCTCTGTCACCCAGGCTGGAGTACAATGGCACAATCTTGACTCACTGCAACCTTCGCCTCCAGGGTTCAAGCGATTCTCCTGCCTCAGCCTCCCGAGTAGCTGGGATTACAGGCATGCACCACCACACCCAGCTATTTTTGTGGTTTTAGTAGAGATGGGGCTTCACCGTGTTGGCTAGGCTGGTCTCGAACTCCTGACCTCAGGTGATCCACCAGCCTCGGCCTTCCAAAGTGCTGAGATTACAGGCATGAGCCACCATGCCTGGCCTTAAGATGATTTAATGTGGTTTTAGAGGCCATTTTCCCAGCCTTTTTTCTGTCTGTATTTCATTTTGGATAGAACCTATTGCTTCATCTTCAAGTTTACTGATTCTCTCTTCTGTAATATCTAATCTGCTATTAATCCTGTCCAGTGAAATGAGAGTAATGATAAATTTAGCAGACACAGATCTTAAAACAGCTTTTATAAATACTATTCAACATGCTGAAAATTTAACAGAAAACGTGGCATTTTGAGAAGAGAGGTGGAAAAATATAAAAGAAAAGCAAAATTGTTAAAGATAAAACATACAATGGCCGAATTAAAAATTCACTGGACAGCCACCAGGTGGGAGGATTACTTGAGCCTAGGAGGTCAAGGCTGCAGTAAGCTGGGATCACACCACTGCACTCCAGCCTGGGCGACAGAGTAAGACTGTCTTCAAAAAAAAGGAATTCCTCCACACCTGCTCTTTTTACTACTTCCCCATCTCCGTAAATGATATCCTCGTTCACACAGCTAACTAAGTTTGAAACTTTAGAATCAACCCCCTACTCCTTTCGTATATCCTATCAATTATATCTCCCACAAATACACAAATATTCCCCATCTCTCCCATGTTCTCCATTCTCACTGCCCAGTACCTTGTCCTGACTACTGTCAATTCTTGCCTTTATTACTCAACAGCCTTCTGGGTGGTCTCATGGCAGAGTTTTCCTTGCTAATGTTAGGGCCTTGATATGGATGGGGTAGAATTGTGAGATCTGAGGTGAGAATACGTCAGTGGGTCCACCTAAGGCTTATCCTTGCATGATCACTTTCCTAGTCACTTCTCTCCTGCGCCCACTTCCACCTCCCCCAATTGTCTCCACACCTCTTCCTACTCTGGGAGGGAATGGTTTCCTCACCAAAAGAGTTGCAGGACCTGGGTAATAAGTACAAGCAGGAATCAGGACATGCTTGAAAGTTGATCTTGAGGAGGCTGGGAGGAGAGGGAGTACAGAATATAAGGTTGGACAGGCTAGGGCTTACTGACATGGGAGCACTCTCGTGATTTGGGATTTAACGTTCTGGCAAGAATGTTAAATTCTGAATGTGCCATTCTGGATGGCTTCTTGAAGTCTGAACGTGATGATGACCTTTAGCAAGTAGGGTTGATATGCTAAAACCATAGTTACCAGTACTAAGGGTAGGAATAGCAGTCTTTAGGGGCTGGGCATGGTGGCTTATGCCTGTAATCTCAGCACTTTTGGAAGCCAAGGCAGGCAGATCACCTGAGGTCAGGAGTTTGAGACCAGCATGACCAACATGGTGAAACTCCATCTCTACTAAAAATACAAAATTAGCCAAGCATGATGGCACATGCCTGTAATCCCAGCTACTTAGGAGGCTGAGGCAGAAGAATCGCTTGAACCTGGGAGGCTGAGTTTGCTATGAGCCAAAATCCCACCACTGCACTCTAGCGTGTGCGACAAGAGCAAAATTCCATCAAAAAAAAAAAAAAAGCAATCTTCATGAGGTGGGAAAGTTAGACTGGATTTATTACCTAAGATCACCACCAGATTATTATTTCTAGAAGGGACCAAAGGATATTGCCTCCACTAAGACAACAAAGAATGTCTAGAAAGGGGGACACCAACATCTTTAAGCTGTCCAGTGGTGGCTGACCTCTATAGGCCAGGGTTGACAGTAGAAGATGCTGCTATAGAATGGCATGAATAGAAATCTAGAATGGCCTAGGCCAGGGCCAGTGCTTAATAACCTTGTCAATGGCAAGGTGAAAGTAGTTGCTGCAATGGACAGCACAGCTGGAATAGAAATAAAGTCCAGGGATCTGTGGTTATGACTAATAGACTATTATGTTTCTAGGTAAGAGATAGATGGCTAACACACTTGAGTTTTGCTTGATTTCTATAACAAGAAAAACTCACGTATTGGCCCAGCAGAAAGCTGAAAGCAACTACAGTGCAAAATGAAGCAAGCATCCAGCACTTGGCCATATCATCTGGCAGATCTACAATGCTAGAGATACCCATGGCAAATTAAGGCCGACCGTCTGGCATGTCTCAATGAGAGATTCATTGCACAGGCTCCCTAGTATTCTGGAACAAGGTCATGTTTTCTCCACTAGAGAATGACTTATCATTTGAAAAGCAGCTCCTGTTGTGCTACTGGGCCAGCAGACACTGAGCACCTGACCTTGTAACATCAGGTGTATAACCAGAACAGTCCATCACTACCTGAATATTGCCAGATCTACCAAGTCATGGGTTCTAGCGGATGTGGCAGCAAACCATCCTAGGATGAGGCCCAAGCAGGTTGAAAACGCATAAATAACTTAACATAAATAGCAAGCCATAAGTCACCTACTCTGTTTCACAAAGGCTTTCTCTCTCAATACCCATCTATGGCCTTGTGGTGAGTTCCCCAAAAGTAGCCCACCCAAAAAACACCTGATTGTGGTTCACAGATAGGTTGGCTTCATATGTTGGTATGTCTTGAAAATAGGTGGCTGCTCCCTACAACACCACAACAGGGGACTTCAAAGGGCAGAGCTGTGAGCAGAACAGCAGATCATCTACTTCATATGGGGAAAAGGTGGTCCAAGGTTAGAATATATTGCTGGGCAAATAATTTGGCTGATAGGAACAACATTAAATTATTGTAGACATAGAGATTTAAAGAAGAGGATTGTAGATAGACCTTTTAGGAACGGAAAAAGATTGTGGGGGTCTTGCATCTTTTGTCAATACCCACTAGAGAGCATCCACCATAGGTAAGACAGGAAACAACCAGGTGGACAGGACAATTTTTCTGGTGGATTGTCCAGTGAGTGTCCTTCATTACCAAAGCGTTTGCACAACGGTCTCATCATCAGAGCAGCTATGCTATCGGGGCTAGTGGCTATAGATGGGTCGAACAGCATGGACTGCCTCTCATCCTCTCTAAACTGGTCTAGCCACCATTTTTGCTAAATAACCACCCTGTCAGTAGCATACTGACACTAGGTTCTCAGTATGGAACAATCCTAAGTAAAAACAACCAGCTCCTTGGTGGCTAGTAAATTGCATTGGATCCCGTCCACCTTGAAGGAAATGATACCTACTCTCTCTGCAGTAGCTGTGCCAGCACTGCCCTCTGAATGTTGACAGAATACCTGATTCACACCCGTGGGATCCTGCATAAGATTGCCTTGGACCAAGGGACCCATTTGACTGAGAAATATGTACATGATCATAAGATTCACTGGTTCTACCATCTTCTACCTATTTCTTGAAAGTAAGTGGTCTGATACTGATATGGCTTAAGTTGTGACCCCAATAAATTCATATTCTGAATTCTTCAGCTTCTGAAATCCTAACCCCAGGTACTTCAGAATGTGACCTTAATTGGAAACAGGGTAGTTGCAGATGTAATTTGTTAAGATGAGATCAGTAAGGTGAACCTTAATCCAATATGACTAAGTCATTATAAAAAGGGGACATTTTGACTGGGAACTATGCCTTACACCCATAATCCCAGCACTTTGGGAGACCAAGGTGGGAGGATTGTTTGAGGCCAGGAGTTCAAGACCAGCCTGAGCAACATAGCAAGACCCCATCACTACAAAAATTTTTAAAAAATTAGCTGGGTGTGGTGGAATGAGCCTGTAGTCCTAGCTACTTGATAGGCTGATGTGGGAGGATCACTTGAGCCCAGGAGTTCGCGGCTACAGTGAGCTATGATTGCGCCACTGCATTTCAACCTGGGTGGCAGAGTGAAATTCTATCTTTTTAAAAAATAAAAAAGAAGACATTTGGACACAGAGACACAGGGAGAACGCTGTATAAAGACTGTCATAAAGACTGTCATTACACTGTCGCAAACCAAGTGACATCAATGATTGTTGGCAAACTGCCAGAAGCTAGGAAGGAGGCATGAGACAGAATTCCCTTCCCAGCCCTCAGAAGGAACCAATTCTCCCAATACCTTCATCTCAGACTTCTGGCCTCCAGAACTGTGAGACAATAAATTCTGTTATTCTAAGCCTCCAGGTTTTTGATACTCTGTTATAGCAGCCCTAGGAAACTAATATAGTAATAAGATACCATATTGGAATGGCTTACTTGTGGCTTCACTAAAGCAGGAGTTCATCCTATAGAATGGGAAAACTATTCTTCACAGTGCACTATCAGCATTGAACTAGTGTATCAAGCTATGTCCCCAATAGCTAAAATATACAAGTCTAGAAGCTAAGAAATGGAAAAAGAATTGGCTCTTCTCACTATCACTACAAATAATCCACATGTTCTTCCCTTTCCTTCTACCTTAGGCTTTACTGGGTAAAGTGGGGAGTGGGGAACACTACTCCTAGTGACACATAAGGGTTCCACAAAACCTGATGCTGTAACTCGTCTCTTTGTTTTCCTTATGTGGGTAGACCAGCAGGAAAAGAAAAGAGTTGTAATACTGGTAAGGTTAGTCAATCCTGATTATCATGAGAAACTAGACTTGCTGGTACATAAAGGGACATGGAAGAATATGGAACTCAGGGCATCCACTGGGGTACCTCCATATGCTTTTATGTCTAGTGAAAACAGTGAGCAAGCAAATGCAGCCGTCACAGCCCAACAAAGGAAAGGCGACCCAAGGCCAGACCCTCTGGGATGAAATTCTGGGATTCCCCCATCAGGCAAATAAATTATTAATAGATCAGATAATGCTGATCAAGGATAGGGAAATCGAGAGTGGGTGGTGGATGAGACAACTGACAAATGTCATTTGGAGCTTGGGACCAGTTGTAATAGCAGGGACCACAGCTCATTCCATTAACTCTCTGTACAAAGTCTTTTTTAGATATTATGGCCACCATATAGGGACAAATAGATCTGAACAGGGTAAGAGGTGGACTAACAATTACCTTCATGTCACCTACTTGGCCCATTTCTGATTTCAGCCACAGATGTGCTAGGCAATTCTTTGTGGGCACAGACTCTTTCCAGCTCAAGTGCAAGTCACCAGTTTCTTGGTGTGTCTCTACTCCAGAGCTTTCTCAGAAGATAAAGGAGCCTGCTCAGCCAGCACACAACCATGGCCTGGAAATGTGGAGACAGTTACAGCTTCCAGGGGCAGTTCTCAACCAATGGGATCAGAAGCCAGTGAACAAATGCCCCAGTGTTCCATCTTTCACTTGGGCAATTCCGAGAGATCCAAAAGAATCAAACCCCAGGTACTTACTGCTACAAATGGTGACATTGCATCCTTATACTTTTCCTTCTTCCCTGTCTCACTCTCCCTGACCCCACCCCTCTACCATTTTGCTTCCTGGAATCATCACCCAAATAAACTATGTCCACCAAATCTATCTTAGTCTCTGCTTCTGAAAGAACCCAAAGTAAATGGAAGGTGCCATACACTTGATGTATTCTTTTTGACCAGTGAAAAATCTATCTTGGTCCTCCAAATATTGCAAAAACTTACATTATGTAGATGGAACCTCAGTGACCTTACCTGTGAAATTAAAAGTATAATCATAATGGGATTTGCCTGTCACTGGTAATTTAAGAGAGGGCTCTGGTAGATAATGATCATGCTTTCATGCTGGTTTTGCACATTTCTAGACTTCTTTTGATGATAAAACAATGAATTTAACACATTCTTTGGAGCAATAATTAATTTTCAAAGCTTGACATTAGGATATTCTGAGTCCTTTTAGAGAAGAAAGGCTTGGAAAAAACATTACATATTCAACATATTGCCATAATTTAAATAAAGTCAATTACAAATAGATAAATATTCAACATCTTGGTACATTTTAAAGAAATTGATCACAAACCATATGACTACTACTCAGTGATATGAACTGAAGCCCAAGAAAAAGGACCTTACACTTTTAAAAAGCTTTTTCTATTCCTACCACTAGGTGATTCTCTATACCTAAAAAAGTCTTTGAAAGTAACCTATTTTGTCCCACACACTCTGACTCACTGCATTTTCTGTCTTCCTCTGTCTTTTCCCTCAGTGTATCTAATGTGTTTGCTCACACTTTCTTTAGAATAACATTTGGTTGTTTAAAGTGAGAAAAAAGAAAGAAAAAAAGGCTCATAATCCTACAGCTTAAATAATCTTTCATATTAACAAAATCATACAATAACACACAATATGAAATTCCAGATATTCAAAAAAGACATAAAAGATGAGTTTGGGAAACTAGAATGAACACTGAACATCCACTAGTCTAGATCCTCATTTTACAGCTGAAGTCAGCAAGATTGAGATACAGTCAATGCTCGAACAACACAGTGGTGGGGGGAGGGAGTGGTTAAGGGTGCCAAACCCATCCTGTGCAAAACTTTTGACTCCCCAAAAACTTAACTACTAATAGCCTACTGTGGACTGGAAGCCTTACCAATAACATAGGCAGCTGATTAACACATATTTTGTATGTTATGTGTATTATATACTGTATTCATACAGTAATAAAATGAGCTAGAGAAAAAAATGTTGGCCGGGCACGGTGGCTCACACCTGTAATCCCAGCACTTTGGGAGGCTGAGGTGGGTGGATCATGAGGTCAGGAGATCAAGACCATCCTGGCCAACATGGTGAAACCCTGTCTGTACTAAAAGTACAATAATTAGTTGACAGTGGTGGCATGTGCCTGTAATCCCAGCTACTCAGGAGGCTGAGGCAGGAGAATTGCTTGAACCCAGGAGACAGAGATTGCAGTGAGCTGAGATAGCGCTACTGCACTCCAGCCTGGCGACAGAGCAAGACTCCATCTCAAAAAAAAAAAAATTGTTATTAGGAAAAGCATAAAGAAGAGAAAATACACTTATAGTACTGCACTGTATTTATCAATATCATAAGTTTACAAGATGAATCATCTGTCTGAAATGGTGGGCAACTGCAGCTGCCAACCTCAATCTACAGACTGTGCAATTCAACTTTTATATCAAGCAATTCAGCTTTTTCTTGTAATGTCATGACCTTCTCTGCTTCCTGGGAGTACTACCAGTATCACTAGCAGCACTTTGTATGGGTTCCATGGTGTTATTCAAAGTTTACAATATTACACTAAACATGATGAAAAATACACAACAAGCACGAAAGGTAACTTTTTATTGTGATATGAAATTTACTAGAGATGAACTGCTCCCGTGGAGATGAATAGCCTCACACAGCATTTTAAGTTGATACAACACTTGAGCTCAATGCAATAGCAACAGAAGGTGGTTATGAAATTATCACAGTAGTACAGTATGTACTACAGTTAATTTTATGCAGTTATGATTTAATACTGCATTTTTACATTGGTTTACATTTCTCTCGACTGAATGGTACCATGCACAGTCTGTGTTCGTAGGCGTAAGTTTTAATACATTTTAACTTTTTATAATAAATTTGGGCATATTTTATGGTAGTAAATGATAAAATAGACTAGTAGCTACATATATGTTATGCATTTGTAACATATCTTTTTCTTAATGTTTTGATATTTTTAGAATATGTGGTTTCTCTGCAAGTTTTTTCAAGCTGTCAAAAATCTCCAAAAATTTTTTCAATATGTTTATTGAAAAAAAAACCCTCATATAAATGGACCTACACCATTCAAACCCATGTTGTTCAAGGGTCAACTGTATTTCTAAAAATTAACACAAGTTAATCAGGGAAGAAAAGCAAATTTAAAAACTTTGAAAAGAGAAAACATCATCATTCTGGAATCAATTACTTCCCAGAAATTTAAAACACATTCTTATAACTCTTGCAATAGTCATTTTTACGAAGGAACTAAAATGATTTATATATTTTTAAAATCTCAGTAGCTCCTTAGGAAAAATGCTTATCTAATGCTTATTTCTTCCAAAGTGTGAAAATCAATGTATGTTACATTTTCCCTTTCTTGGTTGGAAGCTTGATCCTCAAGAAAAGTGGCTTTTACGAGCCCAAGTTTCCAAAAAGACAATGTTACAGCCAAAATAAACCTCGCGACTTGCAAGACAAGTTTGCTCAAGGAGCAAGTTTTTATCATCGTGTGACTAAGTTAAGGATCAATTTGTCTCTATCTCATTTTCAATAATAGTTTTGACCCAGGTGTTAGATTAACCATGGACTAAGGTGCATGATTCTCCTGAGCTCTATGACCACGTGTCTTCACATCTTGGAATGAAAGTGAAGGAATTCCCTAAATCAGGAATACAGCTTCAGTGCCCCTAAGAATAACATGGAAAATTTTTTTTTAATGTTTAATTTGAGGCCATACCTAGGTATTGGGGTAGATTACAGAAATCCATTTTATGAATGAAGCAGGCATCTGTGTGGTCAACAGATAACATATACATATTTCCTGGTTGACTTCTATTTTCCTGGCACCTCTCTGGTTTAACATGTGTCCCAGAGTTATTGCTGTTGTTGCTTTAACAAAAGATTATTATTATTAGCTGCGTTAAAATAAGCCAGGACTGGTTTAGTGGATAACTTTGAAATAGGACGTAGGACTCGACTCTGGAGGCAGGGCTCAGACACCTGACCTAATTGAGGACTAGTTAAAACAGGGATGGGGTGGAAACACCTTTCCATATAAGACATGCCCACCAGTGTGCCATGTCAGTTTACCATTGCCATGGCAACACCCAGAAGTTACCACCCTTTTTCTAGGAATTTCTGCGTTAATCGCCTCTTAGTTTGCATGTAAATTAAAGTGGGTATAAATTTGACTTCAGAACTGCCCTCAGCTACTACTCTCAGCACACTGCCTGTGGAGCAGCCCTGCTCTGCAGGAGCAGTCACAGAGCTGCAGGACTGCTGGAGCTGTAACTCCGCCACTTCAATACCTACCGCTGGCTTGCCCTTGAATTCCATCCTGGCTGAACCCCAATTTGGGGATCATCTGCCCTGCATCAACTTTGTACTTCCATATTGTAGCATAGTCTTCCCTAGTAGTGTGTGAGATACATGTGCCATAAACAGAGTTCAACACTTAACAAGTGGTTAAGTCTGAGCTATCAGTGATAACTTCTTTCACCTTTCTTAAACCTTTCTTAAGGCACAGGTAACTAACTCCTCCATTTTAAGGATAGCGGCATATCTCATGCTGGCTTGAAAAAACAAAGTGTGGTTGCATACGGTGACTTAGGACAACTAACTTTTCATCCCAAAGGATGTGGGAGAAATACTTGTTGCTGCTGTCCCTGGCACCCATCTGGTGTATGAGTCAGTTGTGCCTTGGCCCCAGGTGGGGCCTGCAAGATGATTAAGGCACAAGGCTGCCAATCTGCCAGACAGTGGGGTCAGTGTGAAATGTGGGAAATTAGAAACGTGGTGAATGTGAAATACATGCAGGAAGTGGAGGCTAAGCATGCCTACCATAAAGCTTACACAAAGTAGTGTGAGCAATCCTGCTAAAATGGTTTTGGCATATACTAGATAGGGTAAATCTACAACTATTTATTTACCCTATCATTTGGTAACACTTTTCAAAAATGTTGTGATGAACTCTCTCAGCAACAAAGAGCTCAAAAAACAAAACAAAGCAAAAAAGCATGTTTAATGAAATTTCAAATGCAGATTTCTCATTTCTAAATAAAGTTGACGATGAAATATAACGTGCATAAAATATTTGCCAACATTTATCAGCCTCCTTGGGGCCTATAGTAATGAAAATTAGAAGACATAAATATGTTAAGGAGGCCCCAGAATTTACTTCAAACCTTAGCTGTTATTTTAAGCTTTTCTTCGACAGGCATGAAATATGAAGCAATAGCTGCTAATATATTTGGTTTAATTAACAGAACTCTGCAAACAGCTCATGATTTCTGTTTTATGTGTCACCAGCTGCTTCAAATTAAAATTTAATTAATTCCAATAATTGTTCAATATTTTCATGAAATTCAGTGACTCAAAGCTTTTGAAAGTTCATCTGACTTTATTGTGTCTGCTATTGCAAATTCAGTGACAAAATTTGTGAGGATCATATAAATACAAATTCTGGTGATGCACACATTATATTTATTGTCAATTAGTTTATTGATAAATAAGAAATCTATAAAGCAGAAATGTTCTAGAAAACTTTTAGAGAAACGCTATTATTAAAAACAAAACTTGGAACCAAGCCAGACATGGGAGAGTGTCTGTAGTGCCAGGCGTTCAAGAGGCAGAAGCAGAAGAATTTCTTGAGCCTACAAGTTCGAGTCCAACCTGGACAACATAGTGAGACCCTGTCTCTAAAAACAAAACAAAAACTTGGAAGCAAAGAGATATTAAAATTTATCCTATAAAAGCAAGGGAAGACTTGAGTGAATAAATAAGGAAAGCTTAATCCATTTACAGTGTTTAATTTTGAAATTCTATAATTGTGCCTTAGAATATCTACATTTCTGGAATAATCTTTTGATGAAGCTTTTTGTAAAAACAATTTCATAAATTTGTATTCTATGCCAGAATGGAATGAAACTGCAAAAACTAATAATTGTGAAGCATCTATATACAAAATATTTTAAAGTATGGAGACAACTTACTAACAAGTTTTGTCTTACAAAACTATTAGTTAAAGACATCTACTCTGAATGGAGGCAAACAGGAGGTATCATATCTGGGAAAATACTTATGCTGAAATATTTACACATTTCAAATAAAAAGAATAATATTGAGAATTTCCTTCATTTAGCAGAATTTGTTCTGAGCTTACCATAAGCCTCACCACCTGAAGAAAGAGTAATTTCTCAATTGAAAATATTGTAAGCTAGATGGTAGAGTCAATTGAAAAAGAGTATAACAGGCCAGGTGTGATGGCTCACGCCCATAATCTCAACACTTTGGGAGGTCGAAGTGAGCCGATCACTTGAGTCCAGGAGTTCTAGACCAGCCTGGGCAACATGACAAAACTTTGACTGTACAAAAAATATAAAAATTAGTTGTGTGTGGTGGTGTGCAACTGTAGTACCAGCTACTTGGGAGGCTGAGGCAGGAGGATCACTGGAGCCCAGGAGGTCAAGGCTGCAGTGAGCCGTGATTGTGCCACTGCACTCCAGCCTGGAAGACAGAGTGAGACTCTGTCTCAAAAAAAAAAAGTAGGCGATTTTATGAAGAAAATTAAAATGATAAGACCACATTAAAAAAAAATACACTCTGTAGAAATATCTCAGTAAGAGAGTATTGGCAAAAAACACAGCTATTCAAAGTACTTTATTTAAAGTACATGAATATGGGCCGAGCGCAGTGGCTTATACCTGTAATCCCAGCACTTTGGGAGTCCGAGGCAGGCAGATCACCCTAGGTCAGGAATTTGAGACCAGCCTGGCCAACATGATAAAACCCCATCTCTACTAAAAATACAAAAATTAGCCGGGCATGGTGGCATGTGCCTATAATCCCAGCTACTCAGGAGGCTGAGGCAGGAGAATCGCTTGAACCCGGGAGGCGGAGGTTTCAGTGAGCCGAGTTCACACCACTGCACTCCAGCCTGGGTGACAGAGTGAGACTCCATCTCAAAACACACACACACACACACACACACAGAGTACGTGAATATGTACCAACAATTATTCTGTTTGTATTATTTTTAAATTCAGGTAATCAACATAAACATTTCAAAACTTTAATGTACATGAGTTACATGTTTTTAAGAGAGATTTATATTTTTGAAAAAAAATTTTTTTTTTTGAGACAGAGGCCCGGTCAGCATGTGGAGAAGGAATGTCACAAGAACTGATCCTCTGAGCTGTAGTTACAGGGAAGGTGCTCCTTACCTTTAATGTATCACCAAATGAACAGACAGCAACTTTTGTGACTTCCTAATACTCCAGTCCTTACTTCTCAAACCAGAAAAACCCTAGACAAATATCTTGCAACAATTTACTTCTTTCCTCTTTGTCCCCAGGGGAGTCCTGACTCTGGTTTCTTTATCCTCCCAATCCTAAAACTACTTCCTCTTTTGAATAGTAATCTACCTTCTGAGGTAAACTTACCTTATAGTAACTTTATAAGCTTTTATTAGCCACAGGAAAGGTTACACACTGAGGTGTTTTTTTGTTTGTTTGTTTTTTGTTGTTTTTTTTTTTTTTTTTGAGATGGACTCTCACTTTGTCACCCAGGCTGGAGTGCAGTGGTGAGATCTTGTTTTACTGCAACCTCTGCCTCCCAAGTTCAAGCAATTATCCCACCTCAGCCTCCCAAGTAGCTGGGTTACAAGCGCCTGCCACCATGCTCGGCTAATTTTTTTTTGTATTTTTAGTACAGGTGGGGTTTTGGTATATTGGCCAGGTTGCTCTCAAAGCCCTGACCTCAAGTGATCCGCCTGCCTTGGCCTCCCACAGTGCTGGGATTACAGGCGTGAGCCACCATGCCCAGATATTTTTGTTTTTGTTTTTAATTCTGTGTTGAAAATAGAAATTTAGGAAATTTTGAGAGTAGATGCAATATTTGATCAGTATCTGGGGCCTGCCTGACTTCATAGGAATCTAGTTCCCAATATATCCATCAAAAAAGCTGAGCAGGGACCAGGTGCAGTGACTCATGCCTGTAATCCCAGCACTTTGGGAGGCTGAGGCAGGTGGATCACCTGAGCTCAGGAGTTCGAGACTAGCCTGGGCAACGTGGTGAAACCCTGTCTCTACTAAAAATACAAAAATTAGCCAGGCATGGTGGGGTGCGCCTATAATCCCAGCTCCTCAGGAGGCTGAGGCAGGAGAATTGCTTGAACCCGGGAGGTGGAGGTTACAGTGAGCCAAGATCATGACACTGCACTTCAGCCTGGGTGACAGAGCGAGACCCTGTCTCAAAAAAAAAAAAAAAAAAAAAAAAAGCTAAGCATTGAAAGAACACCTAGTTCAATGCCAGGCACATAGTGAGTTTACAACAAATATATGTGAAATTTGTGAATGAATGAAAGAACTCCCAAATAGTTGAAAATCATCTAACTGTACACTTTCAGCTATTTGGTAAAAGAAAGTTGTCAGGAAATGAGAAGCAATAAAAAGTTGGTGGATAAACATTTTTCTTTCTGCCTCACACTGTATTAGTCCGTTTTCATGCTGCTGATAAAGACATACCAGAGACTGGGAAGAAAAAGAGGTTTAATTGTACTTACAGTTCCACATGGCTGGGGAGGCCTCAGAATCATGGCCAGAGGTGAAAGGCCCTTCTTACATGGCTGCCACAAGAGAAAATGAGGAAGATGCAAAAGTGGAAACCCCTGATAAAACCATCAGATCTCGTGAGACTTATTCACTACCATGAAAACAGTATAGGGGAAACTGCCCACATGAATCAAATTATCTCCCACTGGGTCCCTCCCACAACACATGGGAATTATGGTAGTACAATTCAAGATAAGATTTGGGTGGGGACACAGAAACAAACCATATCATTCCTCCCCTGGCCCTCCAAATCTCCAAATGTCCTCACATTTCAAAACCAGTCATACCTTCCCAACAGTTTCCTGAAGTCTTAACTCATTTCAGCATTAACCCAAGTCCACAGTTCAGTCTCATCTGAGACAAGGCAAGTCCCTTCCACCTATGAGCCTGTAAAATCAAAAGCAAGCTAGTTACTTCCTAGATACAAGGGGGTGCAGGTATTGGGTAAATACAGCCATTCCAAATGGGAGAAATCAGCCAAAACAAAAGGGTGTACAGTGCCCATGGAAGTCTGAAATCCAGCAGGGCAGTCAAATTTTAAAGTTCCAAAATGATCTCCTTTGACTCCAGGTCTCACATCCAGGTCATGCTGATACAAGAGGTGGGTTCCCATGGTCTCTGGGCAGCTCTGCCCCTGTGGCTTTGCAGGGTACAGCCTCCTTCCCGGCTGCTTTCACAGGCTGACATTGAGTATCTGCTGCTTTTCCAGGCACACAGTGCAAGCTGTAGGTGGATCTACCATTCTGGGGTCTGGAGGATGGTAGCCCTCTTCTCACAGCTCCACTAGGTGTGGGGACTCCAATTCCACATTTTCCTTCTGCACTGCCCTAGCAGAGGGTCTCCATGAGAGACCCACCCTTGCAGCAAACTCCTGTCCGGCATCCAGGCATCTCCATACATCTTCTGAAATCTGGATGGAGGTTCCCAAACCCCCATTCTTGACTTTCTGTGCACCCACAGGCTCCACACTATGTGGAAGCTGCCAAGACTTGGGGCTTGCACCCTCTGAAGCCACAGCCTGAGTTCTATGTTGACCTCTTTCAGCCACAACTGGAGCAGCTGGGATGCAGGGCACCAAGTCCTTAGACTGCACACAGCATGGGGACCCTGGGCCCTGCCCATGAAACCATTTTCTCCTTCTAGACCTCTAGGTCTGTGATGGGAGAGGCTGCCACAAAGGTCTCAGACATGCCCTGGAGACATTTTCCCCATTGTCTTTGGGATTAACATTCACCTCCTCGTTACTTACGCAAGTATCGGCAGCTAGCTTAAATTTCTCCTCAGGAAATAAGATTTTCTTTTCTATCGCATTGTCAGTCTGCAAATTTTATGAACTTTTATGCTCTGCTTCCCTTTTAAAACTGAATGCCTTGAACAGCACCCAAGTCACATCTTGAATAATTTTCTGCTTAGAAATTTCTTCCAGCAGTTACCCTAAATCATCTTTCTCAAGTTCAAAGTTCTGCATATCTCTAGGTCAGGGGCAAAATGCTGCCAGCCTCTTTGCTAAAACATAACAAGAGTTACCTTTGCTTTAGTTTTCAACAAGTCCCTCATCTCCATCTGAGATCACCTCAGCCTGGATTTCATTGTTCATATCATTATCAGTATTTTTGTCAAAGCCATTGAACAAATCTCTAGGAAGTTCCTGTCTTCTTCTGAACCCTCCAAACTGCTCCAACCTCTGCCTGTTACCCAGGTCCAAAAATTGCTTCCACATTTTTGGGTATCTTTTCAGCAACACCCCACTCCTGGTACCAATTTACTGTATTAGTCCATTTTCACACTGCTGATGAAGACATACCCGAGACTGGGCAAAAAAAGAGGTTTAATTGGACTTACAGTTTCATATGGCTGGGAGGCCTCAGAGTCATGACAGGAGGCAAAGGCACTTCTTACATGGCGGCGGCAAGAGCAAGAGAAAATGAGGAAGATGCAAAAACAGAAACCCCTGATAAAACCATCAGATCTTGTGAGATTTACTCACTACAAGAACAGTATGGGGGAAACCACCCCATGATTCAAATTATCTCCCGCTAGGTCCCTCCCACAACATGTGGGAAATACAAGAGTACAATTCAAGATGAGATTTGGGTGTGGACACAGAGCCAAACTGTATCACCCACCCTAGAGCTCAGTGGACAAGGTGAAATGCAAATGAGCCACAAATAAACTGAGGCAATATTTCTATCTCTTTTGCTTGCTGAAAGTTGGAGAAGGAGGAGCAGCTGAAGGAACCCAGCTTTTCTCTCTTGGCTGGTACTAGAGAGAGAAGGGGTATAAAATTACCCCTATAGTTCCTTCTGGGAGAAATTGCTTCTGAGATTCTAGAACCAGAAAACATTAACACTTCAATATTTTAAAAAACAATGAAGCAACACTTTTCGGATTAGCATGACTCTTTGTTTGTTTGTTTGTTTGTTTGTTTGTTTTGAGATGGAGTTTCACTCTTGTTGCCCAGGCTGGAGTGCAATGGCACGATCTCAGCTCACCACAACCTCTGCCTCCTGGGCTCAAGCAATTATCCTGCCTCAGCCTCCCAAGTAGCTGGGATTACAGGCATGTGCCACCACACCCAGCTAATTTTGTATTTTTAGTGGAGATGGGGTTTCTCCATGTTGGTCAGGCTGGTCTCGAACTCCTGACCTCAGGTGATCCACTTTCCTTGGCCTCCCAAAGTGCTGGGATTACAGGCCTGAGCCACCATGCCCAACAACTCTTTAATTACCAGAGAAAAGTTGTTATTTAGTGAAAGTCAAATAAAACAGAATATATATTCAGGATATGTAAAGGTGACCTGTTAGCCATAGCAGTTGAGGAGTGATTTTTTACCTTCTAGATACCTATGTAGTCTGATAACCAGGAAGTAGCACAGCCTAGAGTGTAGGCATTAAACCAAAGACAGGTCCCAGCACTACAACTTGCTAGCTGTGAGGTGTTGGGCAAATTACTCAACCTCGCTTCACCCTTATCCAGCTAAGGGGGTTGTTCTGAGGATTATGTGAAATAATTTGTGTAAAGCTCTTAGCACCACGCTACATGGTGAGTACACAAAAGATAGTTATTGGTACTTACTCTCCTGCTCTTCTGCATAGGTTTTGTCATCTAATCAACTATGATTTCTGCTGGAAGAATGGAGGCAATTTGTATACCTCATAGCAAGTTCATAAGGTATATTAACCACAGGAAAGGTTATATGGTGAGTTGATTGTTGCCTAATTTGATGAGTCAGATTGTTTTCTTTTTTTCACTTCTGTGTTGAAAATAGAAATTTAGGTCAATGTCTTGCTTCGGGCAGAAAAGCATTCTTTTTTGGTTACCTGTCTAAAGTAAGAAAGTAACCACTCTTCATGTCTCACCACCTATCTAGACCCACAGCTGATGTTAATAGATTTCCTTTGGAAACTTGAAGCAGGAGTTTTAGGACAATATCTGTATATGGCCCTTAAACCAGGAAATGTAGATTAAAGTAGAGTTCACAGTCTTATCTCCAAGTGCACCCAAAATGAAAAATTTAAAAACCTAGAACACAGAGATTTTTCAGTTGAAATAATAGACAATTTATGTTTGTGGGCAGTTATACCAGATCAGAGTTCATTACTTCACTCAGCCCATGGTGCAATGTAAAAGAAAGCTTCACAGTGAAAGACAAAGTTGATGGGAATCTTGAGGATAGCTAGGAATAGCCAAGGTAGTCTTCCCATTAAAAGGAGCTAATGTAAAGAATTACTCAGTAGGTTTCTAGGTTGCTAATGATCATATAGCCCTCATTAGCAGTAAACAAGCGCCTATTTAATCAATCCAAGGTCTTAAGGTATTATGAACTCAAGAAAGGTGAATTGCCTGTTATTTCTACTAAGCAGCATAACTTTAACAAAGCTGATAGATTTTAAATGTTCCCAATCTTCTCTCTGGCTCATGAAACTGGGTGCTGGCTTAATAACCTTAGGCCATAAAGTACTGTAACATGTTGGCTCATGCTGGGTGGCAACAGGTTTGTTTTTCATGATTATGTAATCTGAATTCCTTTTCCAAGAAAGGATTTGAAAATGAGCTATTAAATTGGATTGCCAGCAAGCGTATAGTCGAAATGCACATGTTTGTTAACCCTGGTAAGCCCAGACCCTTCCTCTCAAACTGCCACCCCACCACACCCCTCTATAAATTGGTAAACTATAAATCGAGTGTGACCCATGAGAAATGTTATGCGGTAGCTTGTTGATGTATACATAAAGGCTGAAAATGCCTACTAAGAATTTTTAGAGAGGATATTTAATCTGCTCAGTCTTAAATAGCAACCTAATCAGCCACGCAATATGGGCAATTTGTACACTAGTACTCATATTAGATTTGCTTTAAAAACTAATATGTGTTAAAATGTTGTGCTAAGGTACAGACTGCAGCAACTTCAAAGGCTTGAGGTGCCAGGTAGGTATTTATTGACTAGAATGCTATTTAGAAGAGAGGTTCACATTGTTCTTAACTTCCAAGACAAAAACTTAAAACCACAGCAAGTAACTGCTTGGAGTTTCGCATTCCGTACTCCTGCAACTCACAAGCGAACTTCCTGTTCCTTCTTGGCTGGCAGACGTGAAGGCTAGACGATGATGAATGGTTTGATTCTTGTAGTTGGAGAATCTGCCATGGCTTTCAGCCCTTAAGGCTTTGTGTGCCAGGCCAGGTGTTATTAAAAAAAAAAAAAGTTCTTCGCAGAGATTTGGATTTCACTTGATGATAACAGAGCATGGACTGAGGCATTTGGGCAAAGATCATATCTAATAAAGATCCGCACACCCATGTACATCCCAAAAAGGAATGTTTCAGAACACTTGAGAAACAAACCTGGAAACCTTTAAACATTACCTGGAATCTTGTTAGTAGGTTTCAAGAACTAAGAAAAAATAAGAAGAATGGAGGGTGGGGAGAGGAAGAGAAAGAGGAAGAAAAGGAAGAAGATGGCAAGATTCTTGGGCCAACATGTTTTTCTTTTTCATGGGGGAAATGGCAGAGTTTTTCCAAGTGAGAAGATAATTCTGTGCTTTCCTTTGCAGCTTGTATACATGGACATATGTTTTTTATGAGCTGAAAGTTAAATGCTAGGATTTCCTTCATTGCCTTCACCAGCTAGTGCTATATTAAATGGATCCTAGGTCAGAACCTACTAGAAACCGTGGGTGAGTGGGATAGGTTGTAATGCCAGCAGTGTGTGTGTGTGTGTGTGTGTGTGTGTGTGTGTGTGTGTGTGTGAGAGAGAGAGAGAAAAACAGGAAGAGAGGGAGGTAGAATTCCAGAACTGGTCCTTGTCTGGAGTAGCTATGAGTCTGCTTTGAAATTTAAGTGGAAAACAAGTTGAGAGAATACTAGAACAGTAGTTATTCAAATAGCAGGCTCAAATTAATTGCTTAGGAAAAACAGTTCACATTTTCTTTTCTGCCCCATCACTTCAGCAGTTTTAAAGATCTTATGGTGAAAGGACAGAATCTTGAAATTAGGTAATGGGGATAGGGCAGGTGGAGGGACAGGGGGAGCTGAATTTTAACTCAGCTGAATTGGGGACTAATTTCCTTGACAGTTCAAAAGTTCTTAATGAAGGCTTTCTGCCAGAAAGAACCAGCGCAGGCCACTACCCAGGCACGCTGAGGCCTGTTCCTGCCCCTCTTTCAGAGAAGAGGAGGCTTATAGCTGTCTCCTCTGAGGCAGCCCCTCCCTTGGGGAGGGCATTCCCTACCTGAACCTTCTGACCCTTCCCCAGTTCTCCATCACCACCACTGTGTTCATCCTGACTTTTATGCCTTCTTTCACACCCTGCTTGGAATTCTCTTTCCCCACCTCTCTTGAACCCAGCCCTTCACCTCCTTCCAGGCCCAGCCCAGGTCCTCTAAAAAGCCTCAACTCACATGGCAGTCTCCTCTCTGTAAGCCAACTTCAAGTTACTACAGTTTTCACTATTTCTGGTAGAAGCTTTGGGCTAGCTGGTCAACTAGAGACAAAGGCCTTTTCTTTCCTGGCTTTACTTTTTTCTTTAAAAAAAATCATAATTTTATGATCTCTCTGCCTGACTTTTATCATTGTTTACCGTACCCGCAGAATCTAACTGACGGACTTTTCACAGCTGTTGCGTCCAGGCAATATGTTATTTCAACTTCTCAATCTGTTGCACGTCAACCTAGGCCCATATTTGGTTTTTACTGAAGTTCTCTGACATTAGAATTTAAAAGCAATCCAAAAGAATGGAAGCTATTTCTCTGACCAGGACAAGACAAACCAAGGAAGAAATCAGTGCATCGAGGGCATATGATGCTACTTACATTCGTCTTCTCTGAGGGACATATGCAGAGGATTCACGGAGAGGGACTTTTCAGAAATGTGCTCCAAAAACAGTAGGGAAAACCCTTTCTCTATTGGCAAATGATGTTTTAAAGTCTTTTTCGAAGAAACAAATGTAGAAATGTTTTTCTACTGAGGCCTCCTTAAGTTTTAAAATCTCCTTTAAAAATAATACAGGGAATAGAGCTTCCAGGACAGAAATTATTCTTTCTCATGAGTGTAGACTTCTCTACCTAGGGAAGTCTAAAGGAAATTGAGTACAGTCAACCTGCAAGGGTGAGCAGAGATGATTAAAATGCACTGATAATTCAGAATCCCATTTCCACCTCATTAATTTCAACCTCTGTTCCCTTCTGTTGGTACTTCTAAAGATAAGAAAAGCAGACCAAATTGAAGATAATATCCTGTCACCACTCCTGCCTTCTCCCAACCCTGAGTGTTCAATCAGTTGGGTGGAAGATCATTATCAGAAGAAGGAGGCAAAGCAAGTGGTTCACATGACTGACAACCCCACTAGTTTCTCCCTCATCCCTTCACTGTGCAAAGATTGTAGATGTCACTTATTTAATATGGATGAGAATTAATGAAAATCATGTCTAGTCTTTGTCTGCTTCCAATGTGTCAATACCTCAGATTTTGCCATGTTTAAGAACCTTAGCGTCATTATGGCTAAAGAAGTCACCTGACTACAGTAAGTGAACTTCTCCATCTCCACTCTCCCTCCCATTATCTGGTAAGGGGGGAATTTTGCATAGCTTTTTGCAGGACATGCCTGTTAATTGATTGAGGCTCTGTCTCTTTCAAACAATGTTTTCCTCTGCCATTTTACAATGTGTACTCTTCCTATTATTGTATAAGAGGGAAAGTGCATCATTGTTCTATCATTATAGAAGAACTATTTTCTTGCAAGGAAAATTTCAGTATTCACGAATGCTAAATAACACATCTGGATGCTAATTTGGGGGAACTTCAGACATTAAGTATTCTGAAATAATCAGCTTCGAGTGCAAGACTATTTGGAGTTATAGGAATCCATGGTGAAGACAGAGGAGGAAATTAAAGCAAAGATATAAACAGTAGAGGCTAGAAGGAAAAGGAGTCACAGGAGGTACTTTTCTGTGAGTCAGAGTGAGCCTGACTCAAAACCGTGAACTGGACAAACATCTTCCCTTTTCCTTTCTTTACCAAGACCTGCTTAGAATTCCCAATGGCAGGATAACCATCACTACTACTTGTGGAGTTTACATTTTTACAGTGTTTGATGCTTAAACATTATATCTAATTGGCAACATTTTGGAATGGAAAAATACAGGTGAGGGGGAGTTTATAAAAGCAATTCCCTAGCCCAGAAAGTCTATTGCATGTCAAAAGTGTCTCAGTCCAGCCCTGGGAACAGTAATAAGGAAAATATTCTAGGCTCTTATCAAGATACTGATAGGAGGAAATAAGATGCATATGCCAACTACATAAAGATGGAAAAGAGTCAAATCTTTCTAGCAGAGAGTGATTGGCTAGCTTTATGTGTCAACTTGGTGAGGCTATAGTACCCAGTTTTCAATCAAACACTAATCTAGGTGTTGCTGTGGAGGCATTTTGTAGATCTGGTTAACATCTACAAGCAGTTGACTTTAAGTAAAGGAGATTATCTTGGATAATGTGGATGAGCCTCCTATAATCAGTTAAAAGGGCTTAAGAGCAAAACTAAGATTTCCCTGAGGAAGAGAATAAATTCTGCCCCATGACTGCAGCTCCTGCCCAAAAGTTTCCAGCCTGCCAGCCTTTGCTACAAATTTCAGACCTGCCAGCCCTGACAATGTGAAAGCATCTGGCTGGCTCTCTGTCTATCTATCTATCTATCTATCTATCTATCTATCTATCTATCTATCTATCTATCATCTATCTATCTATCTATCTATCTATCTATCTATCTATCTATCTATCTATCTATCTAATCTACCTACCCACCTACCCATCTATCTGTCTGTCCATCCATCCATCCATCCATCCATCCATCCATCCTACTGGTTCTGTTTCTCTGGAGAACCCTGATACAGAGAGTGATCTGGAAGACCTGAGGAAGTGATATTTAAACTGAGCCTTCAACGGATAAGGAGCTGACTATGTGAAAAGCAGAGATTAACCATGCCCCTTACACAGGGAAGAACATACCCAAGGGCCCTGAGATAGGAACAACTTTGGCATAAATAAGATCATGAAAAAGAAATCAGTATGTTGGGCACAGTGCACAGTGATGACTCAGGATGAGGTTGGAGAGGTTTGCAGAGGTTAGATCATGCAGGATTCATAGTAAAATATTTGGGCTTATTTTTCAAACTACTGTAGGAAGCCATTGAAGGTTTTTAACTTGGAGAAAAATGGCTGCATCATGGAAAAGAGATTGGAGGGGCCAGGAATGGAGGCAGACAAACACTTAGAAGGTGACTGTAGCGGTTCAGGTGGAAAATGATGGTAGCTTGCCCTAGTGTGTTGGCAGAGTGTGGGAAGAGGTGAGCTGATTGGAGATGACATGATGGGATGGACGAAGAAGGTGGTGGGAGGTAAGGGCATCAAGGATGTTCCTAGATTTCTGGCTTGAAGAACTGCGTAGATAGTGGTGTTATTTAATGCAACAGGGTAGACTGAGGGAGGAACACAAAGCATGCAAATGATGTGTTCAGGTTTTGTTTTGTTTTATTTTTTGTTTTTTGTTTTTTTGAGATGGAGTCTCTCTCTGTCACCCAGGCTGGAGTGTAGTGGCGCGATCTCAGTTCACTGCAACCTCCACCTCCGGGGTTCAAGTGATTCTCCTGCTTCAGCCTCCTGAGTAGCTGGGATTACAGGCAAGTGCCACCACACCTGGCTAATTTTTTTTTTTTTTTTTTTTTTTTTGTATTTTTAGTAGAGACGGGGTTTCACCATGTTGGCCAGGCTGGTCTCAAACTACTGACCTCAGGTGATCCGCCCACCTCGGCCTCCCAAAGTGCTGGGATTATAGGTGTGAGCCACTGTGCCCAGCCAAGTGTTCAGTTTTGATAGTGGAGCTCAGAAGAGAGGGTTCAAAATGAGATATAAATTTGGGAGTCATAGTATACAGATGGCATCTGAAGTTACATGAATGGTTGTGATTAATCGAGGAGAGAAGACAGAGAGTACTCAGGACTGAACCCTAGGTAATGACATTTAGAGATAAGGTAGAGAAGGAACAGCTAGAGGGATGGGGAAAAAAGCCAAAAACAAAAATGAATGTTCCAAGAGGAGTTGTGCTTCAGGAAAGAGGTCTAAGTCAACATGTGAAATGCTGCCAAGAAGCCAAGCAAAATGAGGACAGAAAAACAAACACAGGGTTTGGCCCCATGGCCTAGCTGTGAGTCCTGATGTCTAGTAATCTACTTAATGCTTTCTCACTTGCCATTTACAACGTGCAACAGGGAGCTCACTGTCACGGCTAATTCTAGGTGGTCACTGGACCTGCTAGGTATCGCTTTTCATAACCTGATGTACACAAGGGCCTGTTTGTTGTTGTTGTTTTCCTGAAGGAGGAAAAAGAAAAGTTGATACCTGGGCACCTGAGGATATAAAAGAAGGACAGGCTGTTCTGCACTCCCCAGCCTTGCCTCAGAGACCATGCATTATCTATAGGAGGCACCCTATGTAAGGATGAATTGCTTTGAAGATTCAAATATCCCAAGTTCTGGGTTTGGAGACTTATTTTCTTCCTTAATATTGTTTTTCCTTTTTTACTTCATGACATTTAACTCAATTTTCAGTTATGAATACATTTGGCATAATAATTTATTTGACATTTATGTCCATGTGGGACTGTAGCTTCCATGAGGCAAAGAGCCTGTCTAGTTTTGTGCACTTGCAACTAGAGCCCAGCATGAGGCCTGGCAGATAGTAAGAGTTCAAGATATAGCTGTTGAATTAATAAATGATGATGGGATGTGTAGAAATAGAAAATTATAGCCATAAGCTTATAGGCATAAACAGAGAATTAAAAGTCAGTGGTCTGTGTTTTCCCACATATGTTAATTTGCTACTTGTTTACACTGCTATTTTCCACTAATAGACAAGTGGTAACAGGCACTAGAAATTTAAAACACTGTATGAGAGATACACAGGAAATTGAAGAAATTTTATGTATTAACATTTTAGAGACAGTCATTAGTATATTTTAGCTGTAGGGCACCTCAGTACCCAGATCCTGTGCTGGTGTTTGGAGACTAGGCGATTATTTTTTATTGGTATATCCTGAAAAACCCAGATGTAAGATAGCTATAGTCCTAGAACTGTGGGAAATCCACTACTAGCGTAGTTCCTACAGCATTAGCCAAAACCACTGCTTTTTAAAATCAGACATTTGGGGGAAGGAACATGTGAGGAAACTGTGAACGTCTGAGGCCAGAAATGCACCAGAGAGTTATCTTAGAGAAATCAGCAAATCATACAATTTTAGAATTAAAGAAGTCTTCAGGCCAATTCCCCTTATTGTATTTTTAGGGTAAAAGGGCCTATAAGTGAACTGCAGAGTCACACAGCCAGCTGTTACAACTTGTCATAATCACATATGTCTGACCTCATGTCCCAATCCTAAATCAAAGGTGTGGGTATGAAAATTAGTGTAGATATTGAATTCATACTTAATAATCAATGCTGCTGCACATAATATTAAAAAGCCTATGCTGACAGCTCTGGTGATTTACCTTGACTGAGAAGCCACCCCCAAAATATGTATTTCATAAGTTTGGAATTTTTATATTAGGTTTTCTCCAAAGTAAGGCACTGCTGAACTTCTGTGATGAAATCTCAATTTTAGTACAAGTGAAAATGTCACTTTCTCCCCTTACAAACTCTTGCTAAGACACGGTGGTGAGCTCACCATGTGTCACACAGGGAGGCCGGAGCCCAGGCATGGCTACCAACAGCTGGAATGGAGGGTCTCTTACACATGAATCATAAATTCCTATCCTGCCAATTTTTTAATAAGTCACTTATTTCTGCACATTTTTGAAGAAACTGATAGTTTTGTACAAATATATATTAACATTTATGTTCTTGGTTACAGAATTTAAGAGATGACTAATCCTCCACAGATACAGGGAATTTCTCAAACTTTTTTTTTGTAACATTTGCTTTCTACACTAAAATTGATACCAGTGCATTTGCTGGCTGCAAATCAGTAAAGGCACGTATTCAGTCATATATTAAATACACAGAGGAATGTAACTCACTTTGCATAACAGCTATTATTTATGAAATGTTTTGGTCCTTATTTTTGCATTGTTTACTTCCTTTGTATGATTTTCATATTTTAGGAATTATGAAGTTAGGATATTCTTCTATGTTTCATTTATAGCTCTTACAGAAAAATGCTATTTTAGAGAAATGATGGTCAATGTTTCTACTGAGGATTGTTTTCTTGAATCTTATTCCTGTTTTCATTTCATGATGTCATAATATTTGTTGAAGTTTTATGTCAAGCATCATTTAATTTGAATGATTCTTCTTTAAAGAATACAGAAAAATGTGGTAGTAATATTCTTCAAGAAAATTAGCTATTGAACATTTTCCCTATATTCTATTATTTAAAAAAAAAACACATTCTTCATCATTATCAAATTTCATGTATTTATTCAAAATGCTTTGTTAAGTACAGGAAGAGAGAAAGATGATGACAAAGACCTGCTTCGGTCTAAATATGGAAGATGTTTTAAAAGTTCAGCCCAAAACATGTCTTACTCAACCTTGTATTATCATCATTTAGCAAACAGGAGGGGCTTATTAAAGGTTTTTGAAGCCAGCCATGGTGGCTCATGCCTGTAAATCCAGCACTTTGGGAGGCTGAAGTGGAAGATCCCTCGAGCTCAGGAGTTTGACACCAGCCTGGGTAACATAGAGAGACCCCATCCCTACTAAAAAGAAAAAAATCAGCCTGGCATGGTGGCATGCATCTGTGGTCCCAACTACTCAGGTGGCTGAAGCAAGAGATCACTTGAATCTGGGAGCTCAAGGCTGCGGTGAGCTATGATTGCACCACTGCACTTCAGTCTGGCTAACAAAGTGAGAGCCCATCTCAAAAAAAAAAAAAGTTTTGGAATTCATGTTAACATTACCTTATGTACATGGGAAAAAATTATCCACATTAGTCAATATTAATCTGCATATAGCTTGTAATAGATTACATTCTACTGTTTATAAGGAGTTTGTGGGAAAACTGGACAGAAACATTATCTCCCTAATTGGAGAAATTTTAACAAAAAGATTACATTGATTTTGTAGAACATATGGAGCTGCCTTAACAGATGGGTGGGAGTAGGTGGTTCCCTGCATGCATAAGGACCCTACAAATTCATCTTTCTGCTTCTTGTCAGAAGACAGAATAATAAGATCCATGCACACACTAAGTCTTTTTAAGTAAGGTCCATGTAGATATGATACTTAGTTTCTATTTATGTTTTTATGCTTGCCGAGTTTATTTTCTCCTTTTCTTTCCTGGACAAGTCTACTGTGATTTACTAACTAGCTATTTTAATGGAACAATTCTAGCTGAAACAGATGCTTAAAAAAACTGAATTAATAGGATTGACCAGTTATTTTTATGCCCAACACAAAGGTTACCTGTCTAAAGACTCAGGTCTCCTGACTTCAAATCCAGATCATAAACCATGGGGTGTGTTTGTAAAGTTGTGCCTAAATTTAACAAAATGTAAAAATCAAAATCAGTAGTGGCATTCACAATTTAAGGGAGCCCTTGGTTATATATGGCTACTTGTTTTTAGTGAAGATTCCTTCTAACCAATCCAAAACAAATTTGTTTCGTAAGTTCAAAATTTTTATATTGTGTTTTCTCCAAAGTGAGACACCTTTGAACTTACTCTGACAAGTTCAAATCCCAAATTTGACACCAACAAAAATGTCACTTTTCTCCATATTGTTAACAGTTTGAGATATATATAT
Source organism: Homo sapiens (assembly GCF_000001405.40). NCBI lineage: Eukaryota > Metazoa > Chordata > Mammalia > Primates > Hominidae > Homo > Homo sapiens. The sequence continues at coordinate 214,564,852 of NC_000001.11, read as the reverse complement.
ATATATATATACATATATAACTAAAAAAAAAAAACTTGTCTCACCCAAATATGTGGAATGACTCACAGTCAGCATTTTATAGTAGCTAAGGTTTAACTTCAGATTTTTCTTGCATCAAAATATATTTACATATATAAATATATAATTCATAATACATTATTTATATAATACATACCACATAAAACTTTTGTCTGCATCAGTATAGAGTTAAAGTGATTACCTTCAGGGAATGTTAAGACAGAAATGGGATATCAAAACAGACAACCCATCTTTTAATTATGTACTTCAACATTGTTTGAGATGAAAATATATTATTTTGCTCTGGGAGGCCGATGCAGGTGGATCACTTGAGCCCAGGATTTCGAGACTAGCCTGGGCAACATGGCAGAGACCCCATCTCTACTAAAAATACAATAAAATGGTCCCAGCTACTTAGCAGGCTGAGGTGGGAGGATGGAGGATGGACGCTTGAGCCATGGGGGTAGGAGGGTAGCAGAGATTGCAGTGAACCAAGATTGCACCACTGCACTCCAGCCTGGGTAACAGAACAAGACCTTGTCTCACCAAAAAAAAAAAAAAAAAAAAGAGAGAGAGAGAGAAAAAGAAAATATATTATTTTGTAATATATATTTCTCTTAAAAACTTTTAGGTTTTTAACTTTATTATTATTTCATACTTTTTCAAAATTAAACATAATACATAATAGTATAATTAACCCCCACATAGCCATCACCCAGCTTCATGAGTCATCAACTCATTGCCCAATCTTGCTTTGCCTATATACCCCTTTCCCATGTCTGTGTTATTTGGAAACAAAACCCAGATGCCAGAACATTTCAACCATAAGTATTTCAATAATACTCTAAAAGAGAAGGATTCTTTAATGTTACATAAACTCAATGCCAGCTATCACATCTAAAATATTTTACAATAATTCCTTAATATCTATCCAGCCAGTGTGCAAATTTCTTCATAAAGAGCATAAATGGCTTTCTTGTTTTAGAGTTTATTTGAATTAGGATACAAGTAAGGTCACATGAGATAGATAGTTGATATGTCTTTTAAGTCCTTTTTAATCTATAGAGTACTCCTATTTGTTCCCCCTCTTTTTGAAATGTATTTGTTAAAAAAAAATTTCCTGCCGGGCGTGGTGGCTCACGCCTGTAATCCCAGCACTTTGGGAGGCTGAGGCGGGTGGATCACGAGGTTAGGAGTTCGAGACCAGCCTGGCCACCATGGTGAAATCCCATCTCTACTAAAAATACAAAATTTAGCCGGGCGTGGTGGCACGCACCTGTAATTCCAGCTACTTGGGAGTCTGAGGCAGAAGAATTACTTGAACCTGGGAGGCGGAGGTTTCAGTGAGCCGAGATCGTGCCATTGCACTCCAGCCTGGGCAGCAGTGAGACTCCGTCTCAAAAAAAAAAAAAATTTGCTATTGTTTTCCACAGCCTAGATTCCTCTGATTGCGTCTCTGAGTCTGTTTGAACATATTCCTTTGTTCAGGTATTTTTTGTAAATTGGTAGCTGAATCTGCTCTACAGATTTGGTAGATTGAGGCTATCTTTCTCAGAACAAAATGGTGATAGTCTAATGTCTGATCATCTCTGTTTTTGTCATGTTAGCAACCACTGATAGTCATGCCTGGATCCATTACTGTACCAAAAGCCACAAAATGGTGGTATTTTAATTTTATCATCCTTTTTCATTTATTATCTAGAATATTTCCATAATGGAAAACCCATTCTCATCTATGACTAATCAGTGGTATCATTTTTTAGAAAAAAAGATGAATGATTTATTTCTATCCATTTATCGTTTTTCAAAATAATAAGTTGGTTCCATTGGTGACTAATTACTTTTTTTTTCTTGCACCATCGTGAACTTAGGGATTTAAACACAGTTGAAGTGTTTCAACTAATTGCCATTATTTTCCTGTTGATGGTAAAATTGGCCCTTCTTTAGCCATGAAAGTGTATTTCAAGGTAGTTTCTGAGTCATTTGGTCCTTTGGTTATGTATAACTTTTGTGCTATTTTGTTTTTGAGACAGGATCTTGCTCTGTTGCCCAGGCTGGAGTACAGGGCTGTGATCACGGGTCATCACTGCAACTTCAGTCTCCTGGGCTGAAGCGATGCGCCCTTCTGTAGCTGGGAGAACAGACACATGCACCATGTCCAATTTTTTTAATTTTTTGTGTACATGGGATCTCGGATATCACTTTGTTGCCCAGGCTGGTCTTGAACTCCTAGGTTCAAGCAGTCCTCCCTCCTCGGCCTTCCAAAATGCTGGAATTATAGGTGTGAGTCACCACACCCAGCCTCTATTCAGGTTTTTAGCCCTTTTTAAAATCAGGTTGTTAGATTTTTGCAACTGAGTTGTAAGAGTTCCTTACATACTTTGGGAATTAACCCCTTATTAGATATACAGTTTGCAAATATTGTCTCCAATTTTGTAGGTTACCTTTTCACTCTGTTGATTATTTTGCTGTGCAGAAGCTTTTTAGTTTGATGTAGTCTCACTTGTCTGTTTTTGCTTTTGTTACCTGTGCTTTTGGGATCATATGCACGAAATCATTGCCAAGGCCAGTATCGTGAAGTTTTCCCCTATGTTTTCTTCTAGAACTTTTACAGTTTCATGACTTACATTTCAATATTTAGTGTGTTTTGAGTTTATTTTTGCATATGGTGTAAGATATGGGTCCAATTTCATTCTTTTGCTTGGGGATATCCAGTTTTCCCAACACAATCTGTTGAAGAAACTGTCCTTTCCTCATTATGTATTCTTGGCACCCTTGTTGAAGATCAATTGACCATATATGTGTGGATTTTTTTCTGGGACCTCTGTTTTATTTCATAGGCTTATATGTCTGTCTTTATGCCAGTAGCATACTGTTTTAAATACTATGGCTTTGCAATTTATTTTGAAACCTTGATACCAAAGCCAGACAAGGACGCACAAGAAAAGAAAATTACAGGCCAATATTCCTTTTGAGTATACATATAAAAATCCTCAACAAAATGCTAGCAAAAAAACAAATTCAACAGCACGGTAAAAGGAGCATACACCATGACCAACTGGGATTTATTCCTCAGATGCAGGGACAGTTCAACATATGAAATCCACTAATGTGATATACCACATTAACACAGTGAAGGAAAAAATCACACCAAAACCCATGTTCTTTTGTAAGTTTTCTTGTATATTTTTCACCCTGAGACCAAGAGTTTGCCATTTCTCCAAGGAGCCCAGGTTTCCTTTAGTAGGAAATATTTGGAATAAAATAAAATTTTTAGCTGGATGGATAATTTGATGTGATCATCTTTAAAGTCTCAGAAAACCCTGAGTGTAGTGCTGGGGTTAAAAGCACAAGGTTTAGAGTCAGACAGATTAGAGTTTGAGCCCCAGCTCTATCATTGACCAGCTTGGTGATCTTGGAAAACTTACAAGGCTTCTGGTTTGGGACAAGACAGAAAAGCAGCATGGGCCGGGCGCGGTGGCTCACGCCTGTAATCCCAGCACTTTGGGAGGCCGAGGGGAGCATATCACAAGGTCAGGAGATGAAGACGATCCTGGCCAACATGGTGAAACCCCATCTCTACTAAAAATACAAAAATTAGCTGGGCGTGATAGCATGCGCCTGCAGTCCCAGCTACTCAGGAGGCTGAGGCAGGAGAATTGCTTGAACCCGGGAGGCAGAGGTTGCAGTGAGCCGAGATCGCGCCACCTCACTCCTGCCTAATAACAGAGTGAGATTCCATATATTAAAAAAAAAAAAAAAGGAAGAAAAGACAAGCAGCACAGCAGCACAGACTGAGAGTTGTCTCCTGGAGGAGATGCCGCAGGAAGATAGAGGAGAAGATGGATCTTCAGGCTGTGCTCAGCAACAAACCGCAGAAATCCTTGGGGTAGATAGAAGTTGATTTGGTCCACTGGTTAGCAGGTGAAGTGGGTCTGAGGTCACAAATAGGGAACGGGTTTGGGAAAAATTTTGTTTTAGTTTTGCCCTTTCCTCATCCCCTAGGCAGATTCCCTGTGCCACTCCCAACTTGGTACTGCAGAGGCAGGACATTAGCAGTACAGGCTAGTGGCAGCATGATAGCTGCAAGGCAGTGCCATAGCTTAGTGTGCTTATGAGCAGATGGCAATGCATGTAGTTGGTTTGACCAGCCCCTGAGAATTAACCCCCTCACCACCGCACACACACATACATCCCTGCTGTCACTACCCTGTGGGCATCCACTTATGATAGAGTGGCTGTGTCCAATAAAAGATTATTCAGAGGTTGCTTGGAGACCAGTTGAGCACAATGCTATGCCCCTCACATAATCACACACAACAACATAGACACCAATTCACCTGGAGAAGCACACGCTTGGCTAGAATTGTGCCCCTTTCCATGGATGCATTTTACTAGTAAGGCAGCAAATGGTCCCAAAGGAACAAGGATAAGCTCAGAGGGAAAATTCTGAGAACTATAAGTTTGAGAAACAACAAACCAATGAAACAGCTTACACCAGAGAAAGTAGAACTAATGGAAAACAGAGAAAGAATTTCAAACAAAAATAATAACAATAATCTGTCATATATTTCAAAATATCTGGACGAAAGTAATTTCTAGCCTAAAGAAAAGAAATATTTGGCTGGGGGCAGTGACTCATGCTTGTAATCCCACCCAGCACTTTGGGAGGCCGAGGCGAGCAGATCACTTGAGGACAGGAGTTCAAGACCAGCCTGGCCAACATGGTGAAACCTTGTTTCTATCAAAAAATACAAAAAAAAAAAAAAAAATTAGCTGGCTGTGATGGCATGTGTCTGTTGTCCCAGCTACTCAGGAGGCTGAGGCAGGAGAATTGCTTCAACTCGGGAGGTGGAGGTTGCAGTGAGCCAAGATTGTGCCACTGCACTCCAGCCTGGGCGACAGAGCAAGATTGTCTCAAAAAAAAAAAAAAAAAAAAAGAAAGAAAGATTGATTTAAGGTGATGAATATTTCAATTTAACTGATTTGATCTTTATAAATTATATGAATGTATTAAATTATCACAAGTGCCATGAAAATATGTACATTTATTATGTATCAATTAAAAATAACATTTAAGAAAAGAACAAATATGCTTGAAAAGTTGAGAGAAGATACTAGAAACATGGAGTGAGAATAGACAGTTCAGTAAAAGAATTAGAAATATTGAGAATGAATCCTGCAGTTATTGAATAAAGAATTTGATGGATTGCTTCAATATTCAAGGTATCTAGTAAAGACATGATCTGGAAGATTAAGTCAAGGAGTTACCCTGGGATGCACTAGGAAAGGATAAGGATAGAGAATGGAAAAAAAAGAGAGAGAAAATGAAGGAATTTGATAATCAGGTGTCCAAGTCTATTAGAAATACCGGAAGAAAAAACAAAATGGTGGGAAGCAAATGGTTCAAGTAATAATGACAGAGAACTTCCTAATGTCACACAGCTAGTAAACTGCAAAACAAGGAGGTCTGCCCAGGCAATCTAGCTTGAGTATACTATATGTGATTAACTGTTATTTACTGCCTTAGCTGCACTACCTCAGAAGCCGGGCTGCAGGGGGAGAATTCAGTTAGGAATAGGAAATAAAGGGGGAGGAATTATAAAATAAACAGAAGAGAGGCAGTGCTTGAAGTGAGGAAGAGAATGTGTTAGGAATGAGGATAAAGTGTGGGTGTCTCAACTCTATGTGACGAGATCCTAAATAAACAAACAAATATCAAAATCCTGAAAATATGGAAAGCCACAATCTAAAATAGCAACAAAAAGAGACAAGTTACTTCATCTCTTTAATCCTTAGTTTCCTTATCTATAAACAGAAGCGATTGTAACACCTATCTCCTAGGGTTGTTATAAAGATTAAATAACAGAATAGATGTAGAATTCAGAGAACAGGAAAATAACTGGCAGTTAGTTATTTTTATGTGAGAAGAGACTCTAATAAAAATAATAAAAATTTTATTTTTTCATTTAATAGATATTTGTTGGGTTGGGTGCAGTGGCACGTACTGCAATCCCAGCATTTTGGGGGTCCGAGGCAAGTGGATCACTTGAGTTCAGGAGTTTGAGACCAGCCTGGCCAACATGGTGAAACCCAGTCTCTACTAAAAACATGAAAATCAGCCAGGCGTGGTGCACGCCTGTAACCCCAGCTACTTGGGAGGCTGAGGCAGGAGAATTGCTAGAAGCTGGGAAGCAGAGGCTGCAGTGAGCTGAGAATGCACCACTGCACTCCAGCCTGGGCAACAGAGCAAGTCTCTATTAAAAAAAAAAAAAAAGTCAGTTCCTCTTTCACCATTTGAAAATTTTTGTCTTGCACGTCACATGAAATCAGAGGTGTCCATCATGGAGTGAAGTCCAGCGTTTGCCTTCATATGTTAATCCGCTTTTTCTGGCTTCTAAGATTTATTATTTTAGAAGACACATCTGCCTCACAGTTGAGGCAGAAGACATCTTAAAACTGAGTTTCCCAGACAATTTGCCTTTTCTCTGCTGGCCACAGGAAGTATCTTTCAATCCTCAGTGGTCATTCCAAACCAGTCCCCTAATTGCCCTTGTCCAGGTCTGTGGGAGTTACTCAGACATGTTTGAAGTACCAGAGTCAGTCACACTCTGAGTCACCCCCTCATTCTAGGGGAGGCAGCCAGGAAGCAGCCGGTCTTGGGGGAGGTTTTGATTTAGTGCTGTTGGATTCTCTTACACAACCCTGCCCATACCCCGTGGGTAACCCTATCTCACCCCTTCAGGCTGGGGTGGCCATGTTCTTTAGAAAGGCATCCCAAACACAACTCGATCCTTCCTCCCCCAGTGAAGGTTGTTCCTTGTCACTAATCACAGCAGAAGATTCCTTTCAGGTCCCATACCTCTCAGAGAGGTGTTCTGGTCACAGCTGCTGATATCGGAAACAAATGCATCCCTGTTCTTATTTGACTTTCCAGACACCTCTGAATTTGTAACCAGTCTGGAAGCCTATCCAGTTTGCATCTTCATGAATCTGGTTTGCATTATTATTTGTTGACAGCTTTATCTAGGTGTTTAAAGTACATTAAAAAAAAACATTAAGTCTCATAGTCCATGCATAAAATTTTTTAAAAAGCCCAGAACTAGGGATATAAAAGACAAATGAATGAATTGCCACCTATTTAGGGCTTTATTTAAATTTGGCATCTAGGACTACTATAAGGAGAAGAGTCAGTGGCCCATAAGACTTAAATCTGGCCGGGTGTGGTGGCTCATGCCTGTAATCCCAGCACTTTGGGAAGCCAAGGCCGGTGGATCAGAGGTCAGGAGATGGAGACCATCCTGGCTAACACGGTGAAACCCATCTCTACTAAAAATACAAAAAATTAGCCTGGCGTGGTGACAGGCTCCTGTAGTCCCAGCTACTGGAGAGGCTGAGGCAGGAGAACTGCTTGAACCCCAGAGGCAGAGGTTGCAGTGAGCCGAGATCGCGCCACTGCACTCCGGCCTGGTGACAGAGTGAGACTCTGTCTCAAAAGAAAAAAAAAAAAGACTTAAATTCAGCTTTCTCAGGCTTTTCCTTCAAATAAGATACAGTTTCAGAAAGTCAGTGCAGCTACAAATATTACCAGAGACAGTGTCAGCAAGAGGGCTACATCTGGACTGGCCCCTTTGATCTAAACATCATCATTATGAGAAGGGAAAGACTCCTAGCTTCAAATAATTTTCTTCCAAGTTTGGTGGGAAAGGACTAAAAAAAATGTACATATTGGAGGAGGGGTATCTGTTGACTATTTAAGTCAGAAATGTCCTGGCTAACTTGACTTTTTACAACATCATCACTTTATCTCCTATGAACAATGATTTCACCTAATATCTATTCTCACTATCATGCCACAAAATGGCAGCAAGTAGGTATTTTGGAGAGTACTAAATGGGGCTAATTACAGATATCATTTACCTGCTCTCATTCAACTCCGTGAAGGTGTTATTGGCTCCTTGGCCACTCACAGTGAATTCTATAGCTGTGTACCTTCCTAGGAGTTGGCCCAGGTAGAGATATAAACAGCACGAAGAACAGTTTAGCTCAGTTCATGAATGAGAAATTAATAACTAACTATTCTTAGAAATTAGGGTATTTCTGACTTTTGGAGATTGATGTCACGAACAAAAACTATTCCACATTCTGAGAAAGTCAAGAAAATGTGACTTCAGGCCCGCCAGAGGCAGCCTCCTGTGTGCTAGAAGGACCCTTCACCCAACCTGACGCCTCTTGGACTCCACGTGGCTAATAGGTGAGGACATTAACTCATAGGAATCTTGGAAACTAACAAAATAAATAGTACCTAGGTATCAAAGTCCTTCGAAAGGACTTGTTCTCTGATCTTACAGTAGCAGCTTCCACTCCCCTTTGTAATGGCTGCGCTCAGAAGAACGTGAAAAAAGAAGGATTTAAAACAACTGGAGACACGTACTCCAGACATGTCTTTTCCCATTACCCCAATTTGATATCAGCGAAGTACCAGCTGTCCCCTGGTAAACTTTGGTGATGGAGAATTTTAAACACACACACTATCTTGCTAATGCTTTTATTTTCTGTTTTCACCATATACTTTCTGCTACTTCCTAATGCTATTCCTGACATACAGCAGTGCTGAATAATCTGTACAGCAACAAGGTGGAATAGAAAGAACACAAACTGGAATGAGAAAGGTCCAGGTTTGAATCTTGGCTCTATCATGTACTTAGGTACTGCATGGCCTGGTACACATATAAATACAGGGCACTTGAAGTCTCAAGTTTATTTCCATGTTAAAGCAGACACACACACACACACACACACACACACACACACACACACACACACTTACCCCGCAACCACTTACCTCGGTGTATTAGTCTGACTGAGCTGCAATAACGAAACAGTAACAAAATACCACAGGCTATGTAGCTTACACAACAGAAATTAATTTTCTCACAGTTCTGGAGGCTGAAAGTCCAAGATTAGGTGCTGTAAGGGTTGGTTTCTGGTGAGATCTCTCTCCTTGGCTTGCAGGCTTCTCATTGTGTCCTCACATGTGTAGAGAGGAGGAGCTCTGGTGTTTCCTCCTCCTCCAAATTTATATGTATTACACACCACACCACACACACACACACACACACACAAATATGATTCCATTTATATGAAGTTTAATAACCAGCAAAACAAATCCATGGTGGTAGAAGGGTGATACTGACTAAAAAGTCACACAAGGGAATTTCCTGAGGAGATGGACGTTTTCTATATCTTGACCTGGGTGGTGGCCCCATGCATGTATACACATGAAAAGGTCTTCAAGCTGCATCTACACTTAAGAGTTGTGCTTTTTATTGAATGTGAATTGTATCTTCCTAAAACACTGTCTAAAAATATTACACTCCTCCCAACTCCCACCATAACCCATCTCTACCCTAGACCCAGGGCATAAGATACAGAAGCAGAGGATTCAGAGAGGATGTATATTTGAAAAAGCTTCCCACTTCTCTCCATTACTCCAAGTTGCTAAACATCCTTTTAGGAATTGGAATTAAGCTGGACTATATACATACATGTACATATAAAACTTAAAAATTTGTAAAAGGCCCCTAGAGATCATCAGAGTTTTCTTAACAAAGCAGGCTTACTTTCCAGTTGGCTTTGATTTGGGGAACTTGTTCTGCTTTCAGTGGCTTCAGCATCTTTGAAGGTGTAAAATGAATGCATTAATGAGAGGAACACATTGGGGCTGGGAGGAATTGTGGAAGCCCACGGGATTCTTCTTTGTATTTGTAGTTTGAATTGGGCTTATAAGAATCTGGTAATTGCTTTGAGAAATGTAATATTGATAAGTTCTTACAATTGCAAAGCTTTAAAGCAAACATGTAGTGATGTGTTCAGGACCTATTCCATGAGTCGAATTCCTTTTCACCCTGATGTAGTATAAGGAGACTTGAGTGTGACAAAGATTTAGGAAATGGGTTTCTTTTTTCTTTTTGAAAGAAGCTTGAAACTAGCTTTTATATATTTATCCTGAGAATGAAAGGTTTTTGTCACTTCAAGCTGTACTTTCTATTTAGAAAATATTCTTTTTTTTTTTTTTTGAGACGAAGCCTTGCTCTGTCGCCCAGGCTGGAGTGCCATGGCGCGATCTCGGGTCACTGCAAGCTCCACCTCCTGGGTTCACGCCATTCTCCTGCCTCAGCCTCCCAAGTAGATGGGACTGCAGGCGCCCACCACCACGCCTGGCTAATTTTGTATTTTTAGTAGAGAAGGGGTTTCACTGTGGTCTCGATCTCCTGACCTCGTGATCCACCCGCCTCGGCCTCCCAAAGTGCTGGGATTATAGGTGTGAGCCACCGCGCCCGGCCTTAGAAAATATTCTTATTTGTATTGCCTTTCTGTGATCTATTCTAAAGAAAAAGAAATATGGCTAGTCAGATACACTCTATAGGCTTTTAAGTTAATAACGCATATTTTTTTTCTTTTTCAAGAGAGGATCTCACTCTGTCACCCAGGCTGGAGTGCAGTGGTGTGATCTCAGCTCATTGCAGCCTCGGTCTCTCAGGCTCATGCAATCCTCCCACCTCAGCCTCTCTAGTAGCTGGGACTACAAGCCTCGAGCTACCATACCTGACTAATTTTTGTATTTTGTGTAGAGTTGGGGTTTCGCCATGTTGCCCAGACTGTCTTCCTGTAAGTAAAATTATCTAAATTTTTAAAATGTGTCCACAGGGTTAGTGCTAAATCTTAGCTTTACTTATCATTGAACACTCAGCCACATTCATTGGAGTCTCAACATTCATTTTCATCTGAAGGCGGTGTGAAAACAGTCCTGTCCCCAGACACTGGCTTTATCCACTGGCTTTATTGCTTAGCTTCCTCCACAGGCATGCCATCTATCTGGAGAAGAGTACTTTGATGGAAGTTTAGTCCTGGGAAAGACCTCAGAGATGAACTATTCCAACCAAGCTCTGCCCTCTTTGCCACACTCTACTTAGAAAATAAATTCAGGCCTAGAGGTGAAGTGCCTTGATCAGGGTCCCAAGGCTGGTCAGAGGCAGAACCGGAACCCTTGTGTCTGCCCAAGAAGGACAACAAGTCCTTTGCTGCTTCTTTTATGCCACAACAGCCTCAGGGTGCTGTGCTCAGTTTGGTAGCACAGTGATGTTAGAGCAACACAATATATTTCCTAGTGTCTTTTCACTAGAAAAGACACCAAGCAAGAGGTCTCCCATCTCCCAGGAAAGAGCAAAGGCCAGAGTTTTACATTGAGATCCTGAAGGCATTTTCTTATCTTTAATCCTAATCCTGTTTGGGTCCAATTTCAAAGAGATGAAGAGCATGCACTTTAGGCCTGACAGACTAGGGCCCTGATCATATCTTCCTAGTTGTATGACCCTCAGTGAGACAGGTAATTTCTTCATGCCTCACTTTCCTCATCTAGGAATGGGGGAGTGCTTTCCACACTTTCTGGAACACAGTCAGGCACTGCCTAATGTTTTCTTTGGAAACCCAGCACGTCTGTACAGCTATTTCCTTTAAAATGTGAGAAAGTTGATTTCCCTTCAACCTTTTCTTTCCATCACTTTTGCATTGCACTCGGCGTTTTCTCTAATTTACAGTTCTAGAGATTGGCAGATGCTCGAAGAAAATCAGAGTCACTACGGATTTATTTATTTTATTTTATTTTATTTTATTTTATTTTTTTGAGAGGAGTCTGGCCGTGTAGCCCAGGCTGGAGTGCAGTGGCGCGATCTCGGCTCACTGCAACCTCCGCCTCCCAAGTTCAAGCAATTAACCTGCCTCAGCCCCAGAGTAGCTGGGACTACAGGCGCACGCCGCCACCCCCGAAACATTTTTTGAATTTTAGTAGAGACGGGGTTTCACCGTGTTGCCCGGGCTGGTGTCGAACTTCTGAGCTCAGCCAATCCCCCAGCTTTGGCTTCCCAAAGTGCTGGGATTACAGGTGTGAGCCACCGCGCTTTTTGGTTTCCAATTCTCTTCCCCAAGAGGCCAGGAATTTTTGCATGAGTTGCCGGACACTGAAGTGATTTGGGACAATACATTGTGTGCCAACGACTTCAAGGTCCCTTTTCAACAAAGGACTGGAATCTTACCGAGATAAATCCCAAGACATGTTTGTAGCAATGCAAAGGACCACAGAAATCTAGACAAATTATTTAATTTTGCAGCTACAGAAACCTAGGATCTCAGGGGCTGGGATACTCCTCAGTTATCCAATCGGGCAGGGCCTAAAACCCAGGTTCAGTCGCCTGGCTCCGAGCTTTTTCCATCATACCAGCTGCGTCTCATTAACTCCACCTCCGAAAGTGCTAAGGAAGTTCCCTCCCAGTGCCTACCCAGGCAGGGTGGGGCGATTCTGTGGCATGGAACAAACCGGGAAAACGACATTTTCCAACTCTCAGCACACAGGCTGCTTTTTATCATTCCTACGGGGCGGGAGGGGGCAGGGAGAGAAGGCTAAGACACCGGGTCCAGTACCCAGAGATTCTAGGGAGAGATCTCTGAGATTGCCTACTTGGTGAGGCCACCTTACTTTCTCCTGGTCTGTTTTCCCCTGTGGGGTGGCTGCATGAAACGTCCTGCTTGGAGGGTTCCCCAATATAAGGTGGACTATTCTGAATGTAGGTCGGGGTGAGCAAGTTCCTGCCGCCGCCCCGTCTCTGCGGTCCTCGGAAGTCTAGGTGGGCTCTTCCTTGCCTTGCCTCTTTCTCCCCAACGGCGGGAGCAGCCCAGGGTTGGGGTGGCTGCGGTCGCCTTGCTCTCTCCACTTCCACGTCTCTTACTCCAGGGAGTTTCATCCGGTCCTCCGTCCTCGGCCCCCACCTTTTAAAACATTTTCCAAAACTACCCCATTAAAAGTGTGCGACTTCTCCGGGCCTGCAGAAGGAGCTCCTGCAGCCCGGCATTCCTCGGATTCCAGCGCTGTGACGTCCCCAAGGACGGCGCGCCTCCAGCTCGGGAGCTCGGGAGCTGGGGCTCCACGTTTCAGCGCGCGCCCGCGGCGCCCCCGGCGCGCGCCCTCCCGGGCCGCATTCCTCCCCGCCCCCGGCCGCGCGCCCAGCGCTCCCTCCGCCTCCCGGCCCCCAGGGCCGCGGAGCCCGGCTCTGGGGTGGGGGAGCCGTGGCCGCCGGCGCCTGCTCCGTCCCCTCCCACTCGCACGGCCCCTTCCTCCCTCCTCTCCCGGCCGCTCGCATTTCCTGCCGCTCTGGCTCTCCCGGCCCCTCAAAGTTCTTTCCAACTTTTTCTCGGCGGAGTGAGCGCAGCGGGCGCAGACTCGGGGGCAGGTTGCTGTGCTTCTCCGGGCTCAGCCGCCTGCTCTCCTGGCTCAGGTCCTCGGGGAGCCCTAGACAGACATCAAGTGGCCACTGGCGCTCCTTCCCCTCCCAGCTGAGCCATCCTCCCCGGCCTCCTCGGGCGGGACAGCCCCGTGCTTAGGTTTTTCTCCTTTTCTCCCCCGGTGCGCCTCTGCTCGGACTCTCGCGCCGGGATCGCGGCGGAAACCTCCCTCCCCTTTCGCCTCCTGCGGCTCCTTCCCTTCGCCCCTCCTCCGCCAGTCACTGGAATCAATTCCGTGGGGAATCGGCTCCGCCGCCGCGAAGGACAGCCTTTCCGCGCGGGACTCCGGGGCGCCACGGGGGCCATGTAAGCAGGTAAGCCCCGTCCAAGCCGGGAGTTGGGCCCGAGGTTGGAGGCCGCCTTGGCGCTCCGGGCGCCCTGCAGATGACTTGGGCAGACGCTGGCAACGCCAACTTGCGATTGGCGCCCCGGGACGCCTGGCAGGGCAGCCTGGGGCGCGGGGTGGCCGGGCCGCAGGGGTGTTATCTCGCGGTGGGAGCTGCCCGCGGTGAGGCGCAAAGCTGGTCCCGGGAGCGAGCTGGAAGGTGAGCGCAGTCTGGGGAGTTTGTGGTTAAACCCACACCCTGGTCCCCTCTCTCCATTCCCTTCTGCGTTTTGGGAACGAGAGAGGGCCTCGGAAGGGCAACTAGAGATACCTAGACCTTGGGGGCTAGAGGATGAAAGACGAACGACGTCGCGGTCGCTGCAGCGGTAGGGGGATGCAGCTGCCCGACGCTCCCAATCACACCCCACCACCACCGGGAAGGAATCTTGAGGGGAGCGGAGTTTTCCTGCCCTCTCACTAGGCCCCAGTGGTGCCACCGAACTCCTGGGCGTCGAGGCTCCTACTTGGGTGGTCGAGCTGGCTCGTAGAAAAAAAGCTGTGGCCAAACAATTTCAGATCAGGTCTTCACCTCAAACTTCCAAAGTTGTAGGTATTAACAGCCTCTCCTTCCCCACGTGACCCCCAGATCTCAGGTTTGAATACTTGTAAATGGGGTTTACACCTTTTCGTTTGGAGAGAGCAGTGAGGTAACGCTGCCCCTATCTCCCTTTCCCTCTCACTTCCTTGGGTTCTTGTTCTCCAACCTTCTCATCCCCACCTACAATTTCAGAAATTGTGGGGTTTCCGCTTAAGTCTAGGGACTGGCTGTCGCAGGTTCTTTGTGAAGGTGAGGAATCTCTAGACTGCAGGTGCGGGCAGTTACAGAGTTTCCACCAATGTGTTAACTTCTTGAAATGGATTAGTTTACTCATTCATCCAACAAACCCAGCTTCTACTCTGCTAGGAACAGGATAGAAAGATGCTAAATGAGATCACAGGGCAGGAGTCTGCAGCCTAGTGGAGGAAACTTGAAGGCCGGTGAAGAATGATAATACATGGAAGAGGGGTTCTGTGAGAGTCTGAGGCGAGCTTGGTCCTGGTGAAGGGTGCACTACACTTAGAGGATAGAGGTTGTGCTCCTCTGGAGGGTGTATTCCAGGCAGAGGAAACAGCTCGTGCAGAGTGAACACAAGAAGGACAGAAAGTTTCCCTAGCCATCTGGGGGCCTGAGGGGCATTTATGGCCATGTTGGTGCAGTGTTGCTGGGATAGCATTCTCTCCACCCCCAATATCAGAAATAAATCTAGAAGCACGTTAGCCACTTATGGGAACCACAAGTAGCTTACCGAGGAGCCAAGGCCTCCCTAATTGGATACACCTCCATGCCTGCTGCTGTTTTACCACAAGCAGCTGTTGTATGATCATCTACATTTTAATTGGCCCATGCTCGGTTTCATTAAAATGGTATTGATTCTTCTTTTTTGTCCCCCACATTCAAGCAATGATTCCTTTTTTAAAAAGGCTGTTTGACAGCCGTAGGTGTGGTAATACCGCAGCATTACGGACCTTGTATTATAAAGTTAGCTAATTGTTTGGTGATGAGGTTGAAGCTTGTGCCATAGAAATGACAGCCTTAATGAGCGGGAGCTGAATGGCATGATGCCCTTTTTGCCCAGTCTGAATGGGTGGCCATGAGGTGCAAAATTCGTTCATCTGTATGTCACTAAGTTTGTTATACTTTTCTCTGCTTTTAAGTCATTACTATTGCTTTAGCACAGTTGTGCTAAAGTCGTTCTTTTCTCTGAAACTTTATGAAAATAGAAAACACTATCTTGCACATTTTTGTAGACTAATGGCCCAGGATTCAGCAAATCCTGCCTAGAAAAGTTTCTTACAATGCAGTAGCATTCTGTACGTGGTTTGCCTTTCAAGGGTGTCTCTTCACTGGACTGAAGTGGTGTTGTAGTATTGTTCATAGTGGCTGAGTCCTGGCTGAGGTGGCAGACATCCAGCTTTTGGTGACCTCAGGCCAGTACATCAGAGTGGGAAGAACACACTGACTTCCTACAACTTTGGGTGTTTATCCAAGCCCCTCTACCAGCATCTTTTCTTATCTCAGGAACAGCCCCTTCACAGAAGTTTTCCTGAAGGTGTAGGGACCTGCATGAGAGAAATGGCTGAAGAGAAGCCCACTCCCACTAATCCCAGACATTTGCCCAGTTTCCATCATTGGCTTAAACATGTAATTATTATTAACACTTGAGTTATTCAGATTTGTGCATACTGTGTCATGCTGGTAGCTGTAATAGAAAGGACAGTTAGGCTTTTAATAGGGAAGCACCATAAGGAATTCAGAGAAAAATCAGAATTTTTAGAATAATTCTTATTTGCCCTGAACGGATGGGCTAAGTGTCAAGAACTATGAGGATTTTTTATTTTCCAGTGCCTTCCTTCCTTATTAGAGGTTTAAATTTGCTCCGGGGAAGCAAACATCAACCCTTTGATTACATATTATAGCCCCCCTGGGTTCCATATTCTTGTCATTTTTGAACAAGGATTTCATCAAATTCTTGCATTTGAGCTTCATTACTTAGTCACCAAATGCTGTGTTTTTAAAAAATTCATTTTAAGCCTGAGAACAGTGCTGTGAGCTTTGTTAGAGATAAGGCATGAGAAAGACAAGATGAAATACTTAATTAGCCAATTAAGGAATGAGGGAAAACAAACACGAAAGCTTTGGTAGGGAGGAGGTTCAAGTTAATGTTAAAATACGCTTTTGGATCTCCCCTTACGGATTTAAATTGATTTAATTTACGCTTCCTCTGTATGCATCCCATGGAGGGCTTATTGAGTGGTCCAAGGGGTATGTGTGGCAAATTCTGTAGCTTTTCCTGGCTGTCAGTGTGCTGGAGCAGGCGGTCCAGGTTTGGGAGTTTGAAATATAGCTAGGTTGGAATTCTAGCGCTGCCATTTTTTAGCTGTGTGATGTTGGATGGACGTCATAGCCCTTCTGAGCCTCAGTTTCTTCATCTGCAAAATGGATCTGGTAACATTTGGCCTCTCAGGATATGTATGGAGAATTCAGTGTCATGCTGTATAACAGTACCTCACACAGAATAGGTCAAGGATGGCTATTTATATGTTCAAGGACTTGTATGTGGCCATGAATGTGCTCTTTGTGTGTGATTTTTTTCAGCAGCCTGAATTCACATGTGTGTCAACATACACATAAAGCTTTGTTTTTGACTTTTTTTTTTTTTTCAGTCTATTGGCTCAAAATAAACATGTTGGCTGGCAGCTGCCATGTGGCTCCTCCTACAAGAGGAAATTGAGAGGTGGGGGACCAGGCAGTAGAGAAGTTTGAGGAGGGAAAGCCACTGAGAGATTAGAAGGGCAGAGAACAAGATCCTTTTCCTTGTATACTTCTTACTGTAATGATGGTCCAGTGTTTTATATAAGGATCCTTGTATTTCTAATGTTGAAATCTAGTTGATTAAAGAATGTTAGGATAACTCTGTCTGCCTTTAACTAGAGTACAAAAGCTAGCTGCTGTATCTTTGCAGCCTTGATTTCCCTTTTTGAAGCCCAAATATAAACAGTAAACTGCAACACTTCTAGTGTAATGCCAGCCACTGGTTATTTGAACTTTAATGTTGTCTTTCATCTGAGAAGCCTAGAGTATTTGACAAACGTTAAATCATAGATCTTCGTATCAACCTCAAAGCGGAAGGGAATGTTAGAAGGAATGAACAATGTTAGAACAATGTTAGAAAAAAGGGCAGGTATGCAGCGTGTGTTCTTGAAACAGGATGGCAAAGAATTGGTTAAATCTTTTCTGCAGGATTGCGTGCAGGGCTGGAGATCATATGAAGGTATCCTACCCCTTTGGGGAATCGGGGAGAGAGCCCAGGAAAATGCAGGCCTGACCTGGACTTTTGTAATAGGAGGGGAGAGGAAATGTATCTTGCCCAGACCAGCAGTGCCTTTGCCATATATTGCATGCATGCTGATTATGAAAATAAATAATCTTATAATTATTTATAATTCTGAATTAAAGGATATGATGCAATGCTTGTGGATGAAGGACACAGAGTAGCTGTGTAAAAGGTAATAGTGACTAAGTGCCTTTTTGTGTGATAAGGGTAGTTCTGGCTCTAGGTTGGGTTATAAATGACATATTAACATTGTTTTACTTTCCTTTCCTTTTTCCTGTTGGTTCTGTGTTTCTTGACTTTTCTTCCCCCCTCAAGCTTTTGTTTGATTTTCTTCAGGATCCTTGCAATTGGAAAAAACATTTCATAGCCATTCTTAGATCAACCTTACATGTAAAATTTGATATGTAGTTGATTTAGCTTAGTTTCCTTAGGGGCTAAATTAGGCCCAGGTCAAGAGTTTCATCTTGAGCCTCGTCAATTAGTTTGACCCCGAGGACTACTGCATATCCAGAGAGCCGTAACCCTAGCTGGCCATCCCGTAAATGCTTTATGTTGGTCAATAGGGAGGAGTCTGGTGAGAAAATGAGAAAGGGATCCTTTGGTGATGTAGCATCGTCTCTAAGTAGAAAAATATCCTCTTCACGTTTAGATTGTTTGAGATTTTAGTGCTGAACTGTATTCCTAAGTTAGGAAGCCATACCATGTGGGCCACTGACTTGATCTACTTTGCCTTACAAGTTTTGCGTTCACAGGGAAAAATTACTCACAGTTGAAAATTAGCCACAGTTCCTAATGCATATTTTCGTATGAAATGTGTACTTTATTTCTACTTAATTTCCTTGTGTCTTTGGAAATTCACCTCTGGGGGTTAATTTGTTCACACTACATTCCTCAAGTAATTGGGGCATTAGCCAAGGCAGTAGATTGTCAACCTCCAGTGAGCATCACCTGCAGGGCTTCTTAAACAAAGGTTGCCGTTCCCCATGCCTACCTCGGTTTCTGGATTCAGCACGTTTAAGGTAGGCCTGAGAATTTCCATTTCCAAAGAGCTCCTGGGTGATGCTCTTGGTCCTGACCAACTGCATTTTGAGAAGCACTGAGCTAAGAAGTCTTGCTTGGTTCACCCACCCCTGTTCCTCAGGCTTGGTATGGTGGTCACTTTTTCACTGCACCAGTTTGAATGATTCCATTCCTGGTTGCTTTAGAGCTGCAGAGAGGCTTGGTTAATGGCCTCGTATCCCTAGCCAGGTTCATGTAAAGCACTAATTAGATGTTTCCATGTTGCTGGATCTCCTTGGCTATCGTCTCCAGTCCAGACCTCTCTGCTTGCTACCAAACAGTTGGGTTTATCTGGTGCTTAGATCCATCTGAGTGTCTGCTATACATGCCACATCCTACCTGTCCCAACTTGAACTCTCCAGTTTCTTGTCACAAAATGTGCTGCTTCCAAATTACCTATCTCAGTGACATTGCTATCTATTGAGTTAGCTGCTCAAGCCAGGCATTTGGAGTTTTCTTCAACCTGTCATTCTTAGCACCCTCAATCCCTTTCTCAAACCCCAGTAACAAATCCCATCAGTCATTAGGTCCCTTCGAGTTTGAGTCTGTAAAAGTATTTTCCATTTGCTCCTTTCCCTCCATCCTTACTGGCCTCTTGAGATTGTTCCAAGAGCATTGCTGTGGTTTGAATGTCCCCTCCAAAACTCATGGTAAAATTTGATTGCCATTGTAAACAGTGTTAAAAGGTGGGACCTTTACGAGGTGATTAGGAGGAGCCTTCATGAAGGGATTAATGTCAGATTTGTTATCTCAAGAGTAGATTGTGATAAAGGGAGTCTGGCCCCTGGTACCTTTCTCCATGTTCTGTGCTTGCCTCTACCTTCCACCTTTGCACCATAGGATGACCCTGGCCAAATACCAGCACCATGCTTTTGGACTTTTCCAGCCTCCAGAACTGTGAGCCAAATAAACTTCTGCTCTTTATAAATTACCTAATCTGTGATATTCTGTTATAGCAGCAGAAAATTATTTTTACTCTTTCAGCGCTGCAGAAAGGGTTTTTGATCTCAAATTTTTGAAGATTTTACTTTTTTGAGTACTATTTAATTGTTTTTCCCCTTATGATATGGATTCCTATCTTCTCATACCCATCTGCTGCTCTTTCTCTCTATCTGTGCTAGCGCCCCTAACACTTAGTGGTGTTTAATTCTCTTCTCCTTTGTTACATTCAGACCCAGAGTGGTCTTACCCCTTCCTGCCTGCTTAACCTCTTTGTGGTCAACTAAGGCTCCACCTTCACTCTGCTCCTCCCCACTGAAGCCTTCCTTTCCTTTCCTTTCTTTTCTCTTTCTCACCTCCCCTTCCCTCCTCTTTTTTCTCTCTCACCTCCTCTTCCCTCCTCTTTTTTCTCTCTTACCTCCTCTTCCCTCCTCTTTTTTCTCTCTGTCTCTTTCTTCTGTTCCCTTCTTTTTTTTCTTTCTCGTTTTGAGATGGAGTCTCGCTCTGTCTTCCAGGCTGGAGTGCAGTGGTGCTATCTCGGCTCACTGCAACCTCCACCTCCCAGGTTCAAGCGATTCTCCTACCTCAGCCTCCTGAGTAGCTGGGATTACAGGCATACAGCCACCACACCTGGCTAATTTTTAAATTTTTAGTAGAGATGGGGTTTTGCTGTGTTGGCCAGGCTGGTCTCGAACTCCTGACCTCAGGTGATCCTCCCACCTTGGCCTCCCAAAGGGTTGGGATTACAGGCGTGAGCCACTGAGCCCAGCCTTTCTTTTCTTTCTCGTTCTTTTCTTTTCCTTCTTTCTTTGACAGGGTTTTACCCTGTCACCAAGGCTGGAGTGCAGTGGGGTGATCATGGCTTACTGTACCTTGACCTCCTGGATTTAAGTGATCCTCCTACCTCAGCCTCTCAAGTAGCTGGGACCACAGGTGCCAGCCACCTTGCCTGGCTAATTTTTAAAAAATTTTTGTACAGATGGAGTCTCCCTATGTTCAAACCCAGGCTGGTCCTGAACTCCTGGGCTCAAGCGATCCTCCTACTTTGGCTTCCCAAAGTATTGGGATTCCAGGCGTGGGCCCCTGTGCCCAGCCCATTCTTTTCTTTATAGTCCCATAGCACTTTGAAATTACCAGCATTAGTAAGTTTACCATATTATGCTTGTTTACCTTCCTATCTCCTCTACTAAGTTACAAGCCTCTCTGGTAGGGATCTTATTCAGTTCATCTTAGGTGGAGGTTGGGTAGCCATAGCCATGATGACGATGATGTTGCCATTTTGCAGATAATGAATTGGAGTTGATTATTTTTTAAAAGTGTGGCCGGGCGCAGTGGCTCACGCCTGTAATCCCAGGATTTTGGGAGGCTGAGGCAAGGGGATAATGAGGTCAAGAGATCGAGACCATCCTGGCCAACATAGTAATAACCCCCGTCTCTACTAAAAGTACAAAAATTAGCTGGGCATGGTGGCGTGCACCTGTAGTCCCAGCTACTCAGGAGAATCACTTGAACCCAGGAGGCGGAGGTTGCAGTGAGCTGAGATGGCACCACTGCACACCAGCCTGGGAGACAGAGCGAGACTCCATCTAAAAAAAAAAAACGTGTTATAGAATCAGTGAATGAATGCATTTCTGAAATGCTGACCTGAGGGATAAGAGCTCAGCCTAGTTTGTGATTTATTATTTATTCTTTGATAAATAATTACTATGCTCTGGGAAAATTACATCTTGTTAATGACTATATGTAATTTTTAAAAATTAAACAGATATCAGTATGTATTATACATATCTTATTATCTTTGTTCATTTGAGGAGACAAATTCCATTTTTAAGCTATTTTCTGAAGTTACTCATACTATGGTTCTTAATATTTTGCTATACTTGGATACTTAAAAAACATGGTAATTTTTCCTCTCATTTTCAAGTCTAGGAAATGTTGTAGATCATGGGAGAATAAATATCACTGAAGGGTTAGGAAGGAGGAACATCTCAGGGTTAAGATATAAACCTTTCAGGTTTGGATTTACCGATTAGAATATGCTTAGTTTCCGTCCTATGCATTATTGTCTTTTGTATCATATAGAAAAGAGAAAAAGGCAGAATACCCCATTATTCAAACTCAAAGTTACTAGTTTTTACAGTGAGAGAAAGTTGGAGAGACCCTATGACACCATGTCAAGGCAGATTTGCCAGCTCACGCATATCCAAGACAGCCTGTTCTACTTATGGAACTATAATAAGCAGCAGTGATATCATTGATATTCCCCCCCAAATCACAAGCTTGGCTCTCACCGTTATTTTAGCTCCTAAGTCAACGGGATTAAGGCAGATTTCATGGTCATGAAAGTGAATTTGTCATGAATTACGTATATACTTCAGCTTGATGTTTAAGGTTCTCCACAAATGATTCCCACGTGGGCGTCTGATTTCTTCAGATTTATGTCCCACTATTCCTCAGGGTTATGCCAAACTGCAGGTGTTTCCTGAACAGGCCCAGTCATTTTCCACCTAATGTTGTGCTGTTTCCTTGCCTAAAAATCCTAACACTCATCATTGCCTATCAAAACCATCCCTCCAAGCCCTCCTTCAATACCACTTTCTCTGGGCAGCCTTCCCTAATCTCTCTCTGGGTCAGGCCCTCTTGCCATTCTGGCCTTGGCATTGACCTCACTGTGCCCTGTGTCCTGGTTAACCTACCTCACCCCCTCACTGGCCTGTCAGCTGCCTGGGAACTGCCACTGCTTCACTCCCCCATGTCCCTGCCTGTAACTGTCCATGCAGGTCTGCCTTCCCCTTGCCCAAGAATGCCCTGTGAGGCTGAGGCTGCCCCCCCGCGTCATTATGACAGACACCTGTTGTGGCACCACTTTGTGTATGCTGTCCCCTCTCTTGGTGCGGGCACCAGTCTCCCTTCTATGCTAGAGTCTTTTCTAAGGTATGTCTGATATTTTCGCTCTCCTGCTTAAAATCTTTCTTGCCACCATATATTGTTTACACATATACACAGGCACACACATACACATTTTCTTTATACCTTTACTACATATATACATGCATACTATATGTGTGTGTACATATAACATACATACTATATGTGTGTGTACATATAACATACATACATATATATGTGTGTGTGTGTAGTAAAAGTATAAGGAAATACCAGAAGGATAAACACAAAAGACAGGGTATGGTGAGCAGGGGTGGAGGTGAGGACAGACATGTGATACTGTTTTGTTTCCTAAGCTGAGTGATGGAAACGTGTGTTTATTACATTCTCCCTTCTAAAATATTTCATTTAAAAACTGCTTATGATTAAAGTACACACTCTCTAGCAGAGCACTCAAGGCTCTGCACAGCTCTTTTTTAAAAATGTAAACAGAAAGTCTCATTTATTTTTGTCTGAAGCACACAGGAGCTCACTCAGCACAATACAATAAGCGAATCATACAAATATTGAGAAAAAATATTCCCATGAATACATATGTATATATTCTTAAGAGCAGCAATCAGGAGTTTAACAACAATGTAAAGTGGTTTTCTCTAAATAATGCTTTCTGATGGGCTTTTGGGTAGGAAATGGACAGGTAAATCACCATCACGTAACAGATGAGCTAAGAATAACATCTGTTACCCAAGTCACTGGAACCCTGTGGCCTGCGAAAGCCCTCTTGGAGTTTACATTTAATTCCGTCATTGGCCTGGTTGACTTCCACATTTCACTAAATTTGGACAAGATCAAGAAACTAACCCCTCAACTCTCAATCTCTCATACTCAGGGATGTGGGAGGGAAGGGCAGGTGAGATCAGGTGTGAACACAGTCAGGGCTCTGCATAGCTCTTGATCACACCTAACTTCCTAGCCTTGTCTGGCCTCTCCCCTAAACATCTCTTGGCTCCCTGTGAACCTTCTCCAAACATTTCTCAGGGTTGAAACCTTGTTGCTTTGACTTATGCTGTTATTGTTACTTTCTGCCCCCACTGCAATTCTTTTTTACATCTGATCACATAATCTCTTTCTGATTCTTTAATGTGTATATGATTTTTATGTCCTTTTTGGAGGTTTTATCTGATGTTCCCTTTTTATTATTAGGGATAATAATATCCCTAATAATAGTTATATTATCATTGCCATCTTCTCTGCCTTCCTATAATACTGTACTGTTTGCTTATTTTCACACCTTTGGAGACATATTTTGTAATTTATTTATACTTGGGTTTATGGCATCTGATGCAGAGTACATGTTCAATAAATGTTTAGGGAATTGATGAGTAATAGATGTAAGAGAAATGTTTCTAATTGAAGTAATTTTTTTAAGAGTGTGTCCAAAAAAACTTCAAAACAAATTGAAAGGAATATTTCTTGGGTTCAATATCTGAAATTTTGTTTGTAAATCTAATGGATTTACACATGGATTTCCTAGCTCTAACCCATGATTTGTATTAGATACTCTTCTTCTGCT
The DNA here is from genome assembly GCF_000001405.40 of Homo sapiens. Classification (NCBI taxonomy): domain Eukaryota; kingdom Metazoa; phylum Chordata; class Mammalia; order Primates; family Hominidae; genus Homo; species Homo sapiens. Next base: position 214,540,779 of record NC_000001.11, on the reverse strand, counting down.
TTTCCCATTTGCTTTATGGTGGTGGATTTTTTTTTTAAATAAATAAATAGCTGTTCACGCTCCTCGTCCTTTCTTTTCCCCCATCACCATGGAGTAGCTTCATGGTTGCTGTAGTAGTATCTGTGGACGTGTGTGAGTCCCAGTTGGGAAGTAGCTCTAGGCTGTGAAGTGGTACCACTTGTACAGAGTGATTTCTGCCATCAGCGCTGCTTGCTCTGGGGTGGAGAAGTGACACCTCCATTTAGAGGAGAAGCTGCAGTTTATTTTTGTGGCAGATGTGTCCCACTGAAGAGCTGTAATAACCATAATAAAGGAGGATTATGCCGTATTAGGTTTATGAAGGGTGCACCAGTCTGTTTCTAGGGTCAGTGGTGACAGCTCAAGCCAGCAATTAGGTTTCATTTAAGACTCCAGGAGGCAATTAGCATTCCCTTCTGCCCAGGAAATACTGTGATCTATTAGGCCTATTCTTTTGCATTATACATTTTGTAAAATGTGCTTTAAATGATGAAGGTACACATTTTTTGACACATAAGCAAGTCTTCAATTTATCATTTGAAAAATGGGGCTGACTTTTAGACTCCCTGTGTGTTTAAATCCGTGGGTTATAATGACTAACATCCTGGGTGGATTGTGCTTTTTAAATCAGTACATTTTTAAAAGATCATATATATTCTTTTATTCAAAGGTAAGGAATTTCTTATGGAATATTATATAATTATGTGATTTATGAGGGGAAAAATGGGACTGATGTGAAACAAATTAAAACTCCAAAATAATGAAATGACATCTACCAGTCTTAATTATATTCTTTAGAAAATTATTGTTTTACCTAAGAAGTGTCTAAAAATAAAGGCTGGGGAGGATGATTTGTGCAGTGCTTCTGCTGAGCAGCTGTTTGGTTGTTCCTAAAATGAGGCACGTTTTCTGAGTGCCAGGTTAGGTATGAGTGTGTACTTTGTGCCCCTTCATCCTTATGAATGTGTTTAGGAATTTTAGCTTTGCCCGTGAATATGCACTAATATTTAGTAGTTATTCAAACTGCTTTCCTCCCTCCTCCTCTCTTCCCTCCTCCCTCTTCTTTATTGCCTTTCTCACTCCTCCCTCCTCCTTCTTCCCTTCCTTCCTTTGGAATAAATTAGCTCAAATAATAGTAAATTATTCCTTTGGAATAAATTAGTTTGGAGGATTCTGATAGATTAATTACCGTATATGTATTCAACATTAATATCTTTTTGGGTATGATAAAAGAGAATGCACAGTGAGCAGCACATCAGGCCAGAAGTGCAAAGACCACCTATTTCCATGGGGCAATTAGGCTATCTCCTTATTGTTTGGTTCTTGGTTTACATTTTTTTCTCATTTGTAGATGATAAAACTATAATAGTGACTGAGCTCAGTACTTTGAAATCTGTGTGTGTTGACATTAAAGGCTCTGAGAAGTCTTGCAGTAAATGAAAATGTTTCAAAGCTAAATTCATTTTAGTAAGAATCTTTTAAAAAAAATCTATGTTATGGAACACCTGTAATATGGAAGGGCACTAATAGTAAATGGAATACCTACCAGAGAAATCTTGGTTTAGAAGTTACCTGGATAGAGAAGACATGTTTGTGGTCTTTAAGAAACTCAACATCTAATTTAGACCATGTAGTGGCTTGGATCGTTAAAATGATTAAACATTTAAAGTCATCATTAGCAGACCAGAACTAACTTTAATTTTTTAAATAGCTAGACTTTTGTGTTTTGTAGCACATAACAAGAGCAAATTCAAAGCAAAATATCAGGAATTATTCACAAAATCAATTTTCAAGAAAAGTTTAAAGAGCAGTAGGCATTTAGTTTAATGTCTTTATAGTACATTGAAGAGTAACGTTCAGTTTAAATTTGAGACACTGAGAATCTCATCCTTCAAAGAAAAATTCAGATATATCCATTTGGCTTATGGAGGCTAGAAAATGTGGTTAATATTAATATATACAGTACGGAAAAATCTTTGTTCTGCAAATTCTGGCCTTCTGCCCTCTGTCTCCCCCACTTACTTAGTTAGAATACTGCCAAGAAGCAAGCAAGCAAGCAGGCTGGGGAGTTGTAAGCCACTGAGAGCTTTAGAAATGCCATTGCAATTATTTTATTAATAGCTGCCTCTGTTCAAATTGTTTTGTGTAATTGGGCACGTAACAGGCATTGTGAATATAAATAATATGAACAGCTTTTCTCCACCATGGCCTCTTTACTTATGTCAAGCTAATTTGCTCAGTATTCTCTTCATCGGTTTTCCCCACTCCTATCTTTGGCCTTTTATACAGCAGAGCTTTATGTATAGAAACCCCCTTTCTGCTATAACCTTTAAACTTGTAACAACATTATGAAGGAGATGTTATTTTTATCTATAGTTTATCCTTGAGAAATGTGAGAATTAAAGAAGTTATTTGCTCAGCTCTCACAGCTAGTAAGTGGAGTAAGTGGCATGTGAACCCGTTCTCTCTGATTCCACAGCCCAAGTTCTTAACCACCACGTTAGGCTCAGAAGTCTGTGTAGGTCAAGTACATGTGTTCCTTCCTCCTTCCATTCATTCTTTCCTTTTGTCTATCCACCAGCTTGTTTAATAAATGCATTTTGATGTTTTCGAAAGTGGAGATGTTTTTCTGTGGTCATAATCTTGAAAAGAATCAGCAACTAATAACGTAGCCTTTAGCCCCATGTGGCTGTTTAGCATTTGAAATGTGGCTAGTCTGAGTTGGGATATTGCTGTCAGTGTCAAATACACATGGGACCTTGAAGACTTGTTATCAAAAAAAAGTAAAATATCTCATAATTTTTTATTTATTATATGTTGACATAATATTTTGTGTATATTGAGATAAATCTGTTGTCAAAATTAATTTCACCTGTCTTGATTTACTTTTGTATGTGACTACAAGGGAATCAACAATTACATAGGTGGCTTGCATTTATGGATCACATTATATTTCTTTTGGACAGCACCGTCATAGATGGTTATCAAACTACTCTTAGGAGCCCTAGTTCTTCAGTGATGCCTAAGAGGACTGAAGGAAAAGTAGTTAGAGACAGAAAGTAAAAGTAGTTATAGGTGATGGTAAAATGTAAGCCTGATGACACCTTAGATGACCAGCAGAGAGAGACTGATATTAATTGGCCTTTAGTTAGTATAGTACTTACCGTGTGCAAGTGCTTTGTCCAGTGGATTATCTTTCTTGATCCTTACGGCAACCCTGTGAAGTAAGCACTATCTTTGGCCTATTGTAGATGAGACAACTCGGGCTTAGAAAGGCTAAGTAACTTGCACAAGATCCTACAGCTGGTAAATAAATACTGGTTTACTATGTAACATCATGGCATGCAAATACTAGTGAATGATGGAGCCTAGTGTCAAATCTGGGCATGAATCCAGAGCTTGTGCTTGTATCCACTCTTCATCACCACTTCTCAAAGGCAAAAAGGAAAACGTTACCTAGACCTGATCTGCAGCAGCCCTTCTGCTCATTAGTATCTACCGGGGGTACCCATTATTTTCCCTAGCAGTGAAAGGTATCATCTTTAAACTAGGGAATATAGTAAAAACCATTGATGTTCCAGGAATGAGCTCAAGTTATCAGGAAATGATAAAAATCAAACTGGATGTGCTTCGTTTACTAACTCAAGGTTGTCCTAATTAGAAAGATATTTAAAATAAATTGTTTTTAGAAACTTGAAGCATACCAGATTCTTTTGTAACTGAGAGACGTGGGTATATTTCATAGCAAGTACAGATTTTGTAAATACAAATATTAGACATTTTTTCTCTCAGTGTACCAACATGTTTAAAAAATTGGTATAAACTTAGCCACAAACCTATGACCAGCTATTTAAAAATTTTTTGATGTTTTTTATAGGTTGGCGCAAAAGTAATCACAGTTTTTGCTATTAAAAGTAATGGCAAAACCCACAATTACTTTGACATCAACCTAATAGTTAATGTTCATGTGTAGACATAATTTCATACTTGTAATTTTATATACTCCTTCATAATCTATACATAATTTCTGTATTTTTTTATTTTTTTGAGACAAGATCTTGAGATCTTCCTACCTCAGCCTCCTGAGTAGCTAGGAATACAGGCATGTGGTACCATGCCCAGCTAATTTTTTATTTTTTTGTAGAGACAGGGTATCACTAGGTTACGCAAGCTGGTCTCGAACTCTTGGGCTCAAGTGATCCTCCCGCCTCAGCTTCCCAAAGTGCTGGGATTATAGGTGTGAGCCACCATGCCCAGCTAACTTGTAGTCTTAATAACTAATATTTGTAGTATCTTTACAATTGATATACTATAAATCCTCTTAATATTTTTTAAAAAACTAATTAATTTTTTAAAGACAAGGTCTTGCTCTGTTGCCCAGGCTGGAGTGCAGTGGTGTGATTATAGCTCACTGCAACCTTGAATTCCTGGGCTCAAGCAATCCTTCCACCTCAGCCTCCTAAGTAGCTAAGACCATAGGTGTATGCCAACATCCTGTGCCAAATTTTTTTATTTTTCATAGTTATGGGTTTCATCATGTTGCCCAGGCTGGTCTCGAACTCCTGGCCCCAAGTTATCTCCCCCACCCCCACCCCACCCCGGCCTTGGCCTTCCAAAATTCTGGGATTATAGGTGTGAGCTACTGTACCTGGCCTTTTTTTGTTGTTGTTATTATTGAAAGCATGCACATTTTACATTTCTTGCTATCGCATAGAAGATGATAGTGAAAATGATTCACATTAATACTTTTTTTGCTGTTGAATTTATTTTAGGATTAATTATGAGTGAGATTGATATAGTGAACATTTTTGTGATTCTTGAATCATACAGATGCAATGGAATTTCTAATGTAGGTCATAAAGATAAATTCAGTGGTAACACAGCTTTACCCTCATATAGGTGAGGGTCTTTGAGATCTTGCTTTCACACAATGTTTGATGACAAGGAAGTGGATTATCTCAGCAAATCCTTTTTTTTTTTTTTGAGATGGAGTCTTGCTCTGTTGCCCAGACTGGAGTGCAATGGCATGATCTTGGCTCACTGCAACCTCCGCTTCCCAGGTTCAAGCAATTCTCCTGCCTCAACCTCCTAAGTAGCTGGGATTACCGGCATGCGCCACCAGGCCCGGCTAATTTTTGTATTTTTTAGTAGAGATGGGGTTTCACTATATTGGCCAGGCTGGTCTCCAATTTCTGACATCAGGTGATCTGCCCTCCTCAGCCTCCCAAAGTTCTGGGATTACAGGTGTGAGCCACCATGCCCAGCCCAGCAAACACTTTCTTCTAACTCTTGCTTTTGTCTGTTTTTTACAGTTGCCTTCTTTATAATCTGACAAAAGAATTGTTGAACCCTAAATCGTACATGTGAAAGGTTGAATAATAACCTTTGCACTAGATTTACTTTTGCCATAAGTGTTCACTAATCTTTATGTCATTGAAGCAGACAAAGCGTGTTGGATAGAAATATTTCTGTTATGAATATGGTATGTACAGAATTGTTGAAAAATATATTTATAAAGAGGTAGCATCTAAATGAGAATGAAAAGATGTGGCGATATAGATGTAGGTGCAGATGAAGTATAAACAGATACTTCATTGACAAAAATAATTATAAATGATTATATCATTTTCAATTAATTTCTGGTACTCATTGGCTTGCCTTATATCGATATCTTTTGTGTCTACCTATTTTTTATTTACTTTTTCATGACCTTTTTTCAAATATATGTTTGCTATATCCGCTACTATATAACTTGTCATGTTTTGATGAGAAGTTATTGTCATCAAAGAGTGGTAGTGTAATGAGAAGCATGTAACGTCATTGAAAGCTGTTGTGCGAGGGGATGGTGAATAGGTTGTCTCTTCACATCCCATTGGCCAAAGTATATCACATGACCAAGCCAAGACTCACTGGGTTGAGGACTTCCACTCATCCCACATGATTCCCAGGCAAGTCACAGGGAACTGGATGGGATATCTTATAGGAAGGGAGCAAAGATTCGGGATCAATAATTCCGTCTTTTATTTATTTATTTATTTATTTATTTATTGAGAAGGAGTCTTGCTTTGTTGCCCAGGCTGGAGTGCAGTGGCGCGGTCTTGGCTCACTGCAAGCTCCGCCTCCCACATTCACGCCATTCTCCTGCCTCAGCCACCCAAGTAGCTGGGACCACAGGCACCCACCACCATGCCCGGCTAGTTTTTTGTATTTTTAGTAGAGACGGGGTTTCACCGTGTTAGCCAGGATGGTCTCGATCTCCTGACCTCGTGATCCGCCCGCCTCGGCCTCCCAAAGTGCTGGGATTACAGGCTTGAGCCACCGCGCCCGGCCAATAACGTCTTTTATTATACCACGATTGGTTATTTAACCATTCTCTTGTGGCTTGATACTCAGATTTTCCCCAATTTTAACTATTACAAAAAGTATCACTATAAACATAGATGAACAAATTACATTTATTTTACTTGGAGAGTTCTTCATTAGGGTTTAGTTTCCAAGGTAGGTTCTGTGGGTTAGAGGCAAGAATTGCTTGTAGATCTTGTTACATATGGCCAGATTGCTCCCTGGAAAAACTATCAGCTTATAGCAGCATCATCAATCTTTAAGTTTACAACTTTCCTCACATCCTGCTAGTGCTGGGTTTTGAAATTTTCATTTTGTTGATTTCATAATTGCTTACCATTTAATTTTTGTAATTACGAATGATGGTATTTAAAAAATATTTAGAACTAATTCTATTGTTATTGATCTATTACATTGAGTAAAACAAGAGCCACTTATAATTTTCTTACCTTGTTTTGAAAGTCATTAAAAAATACAAAAACACAACTCATTTTCATCCTCCTTGTTTTCTTGGCCCCATATTTTTCTCAGTATACTACTTTTTTTTTTCTTTTTCTCTCTCTTTTTTTTTTTTTTGTTTTTTGAGACGGAGTCTCACTCTGTCGCCCAGGCTGGAGTGCAGTGGGACAATCTCGGCTCACTGCAAGCTCCGCCTCCCGGGTTCACGCCATTCTCCCGCCTCAGTCTCCAGATTATTTGGGACTACAGGCGCCCGCCACCACGCCCGGCTAATTTTTTGTTTTTGTATTTTTAGTAGAGATGGGGTTTCACCGTGTTAGCCAGGATGGTCTTGATTTCCTGACCTCGTGATCTGCCCGCCTCGGCCTCCCAAAGTGCTGGGATTACAGGCGTGAGCCACCGCACCCAGCCTTTTTTTTTTTTTTTATTTAAACCGCTGAACTTTTTATTGGCCTCCTGCTCCCCAAAGGGTACCCTGCTTCTGCTGGCTTAATGTCTCAGAACTTTAGTGTCGTTGGACTGAGACACCACTTTGCCACTCACTTTGCGGCAGGTGGTGGTCTTTTGAATGGTTTGCGTGGAGTTGCTGCTGTCCATCACCAAGATTGAAGATTGAAGTCCTCACCGTCTTCCAGCAGGCAGCGGTAGGTGGTGACCCTAGCCTCCAGCTTGGCCTTGATGTTCAGCAGGGCCTCGCACTCCTGGGCTTGGTGTTGCGCCTCTTCCTGGGTCTGGGCCAGCCCTGACGCCAGGTGCAGCAGGATCTCGTTGAGCTGCTCCATCTGCAGGGTGTAGCGGACCTCCACCTCCCTCAGGCTGTTCTCCAAGCTGGCCTTCAGATTTTTCATGGAGTCCAGGTCGATCTCCAAGGACTGGACCGTACGTCCCAGCTCCGTGAGTGTCATCTCAGCAGCTCCAACCTGGGCGGACTGGGTGGTGACCACTGTGGTGCTCTCCTCAGTCCGCTCAGACCAGCACTTGTCCAGCTCCTCTCGGTTCTTCCGAGCCAGCTTGTCATATTGGGCCCAGATGTCTGCCATGATCGTGGCGAGGTCCTGAGATTTGGGGGCATCAACCTCCATGGTCAACCCAGAGCTGGCAATCTGGGCTTGTAGGCCTTTTAGTTCATCTTTGTGGTTCTTCATGAAGAGCAGCTCCTCCTTGAGAGCCTCGATCTCTGTCTCCAGCTGTGGCCAAGTGACATTGGTGTCATCAGTGACCTTGCAGAGCCCGTAATGCTGCTCTCCACAGACTGGCGCCTGAGAGTCTGTCTCATACTTGACTCTAAAGTCATCAGCAGCAAGATGGGCATTGTCAGTCTGCAGAACGATGCAGGCATTGTCCACAGTATTTGCTAAGATCTGAGCCCTCAGGTCCTCGATGATCTTGAAGTAATGGCCCCCAGTCTCTGACCTGGGGTCCCTTCTTCTCCAGGTGCTCCCAGATTTTGCTCTCCAGCCTCCAGTTCTCGATCTCCAGGCTCCTCAGTCTGTCCAGGTAGGAGGCCAGGTGGTCTTTCAGGCTTTGCATGGTCTCCTTCTCGTTCTGGATGCCTCCTATTCCTGCCAGGCCCCCAGCCATCCCTGCGGCCAGGCCCCGGGACCCCAAGCCATCCCAGAAGCTGGTGTAGCAGGACACGGAGATCTGGAAACCAGAGCCCCTGGCACGTGCATAGGCTCTGGCCACGCTGTTGACCAGCTGGGCGGCTGGACAGAGCCCAGGGACCAGTAATTGGTGGAGAAGTTGGAGCAAGTGGTGAAACTCATGCTGTCTGGGGAGGAGAACGAGAGGACAGGACCCAGGCTTTGCCAACGACCTCAGTATACTACTACTTCAATACATATTTATTCTGACATTAAAATAAGACAGTGAAAAAGTAAAAACAAAACATACTTGATACAAGGTTTTATAACTTTTATCTCAATCAAATCATAGTAATTATCACTACAGAATTGAACAAGTGGTCAAACCTGCTCAGATTGCTGAGTTTTGTTTCATATTTTAAAGTCTTAGGAGGGAATTTATTTATTGCCCTGTTGCCTAATATTGGATGGCTTTAATTCCATGGTTTTCAGAATTGCCTATTGCCATATGGTTTACATACAAAATACCACCTGAAACATAAGAACGGGTCTTTCCTACGGCTTTCCCCCCACAAACTGTAAATGAAAACTTTTTATTACTGACTGTATCCTCTCATTTGGTTTAACTTACAAGTGTCATGTTGCCTGCTGTTACACTTGTCTTTGGCGTCTGCTCAGAAATAATGGTGTCTAGACAGACCCATAAATATCCTGGGTTATAGTTCCTCATTTAAGGCTCTGAGACTTCACAGCAGGGGCAAGAAGACTTGCAGGGCAGATACGAGAAATCTTCAGGCCACTTAATTCAGAGTCCATTGGCAGAATAGGCAGAGAATGTGTGTGTGTGTGTGTGTGTGTGTGTGTGTGTGTGTGTGTGTTAGGCTGGGTTGTAGAGATGGGTTTTGGAAATGATAGTTGGGTCTTGAAACTACTATTGGAGTGCAAATGCCTCCTCCCTCATTTGGCGGAGAAACGTCAAAAATCCTCAGAACGGAAGAATCCATTCTCTTTATTTTGGGACACAGCCTGGTAAAACTTGTAAGAAATTATGACAGCTCTGTGGGAAGCAAGTGCAAGTGTGGGAGAAGCAAGTTGATGTGTGAAGCAGACATCAGTGTGTGAACCAGAGTTTATTTGAACAGTAGTAGTTGCTGGTGGCAGAATGTTAAAAATGTGAGTATTAAGAGTATTAATGATGTGACTATTAAGACTTGGATTAGTGTTGAAGAAATGTGAACTTGAATAGATTTGCTATGAAAGTCTTCGGATTTTTTTTCCTGTAATGGATTTTATTTCAATTTCAGTTCACTTTATATGAGTCTCCCTGGAATTCATTGCAAATTTCTTTTGAAAGGTAAGGACCCGTTTGTTTATGAAGTTTTGATTTTTTAGGAGGTAAATATTTGAGGCAAAGTTGGTACTGAGGTTCAGAGTAAATGGGAATGAGGATGTTTTATATTAATATAGAAGTTAAGTAATTACAGAGAAAAGCTTTTAAAAATTAGTGCAGTAAAATAGGGTGCTTGTTTATATTGAATTGTTAGATATCTTGGCTGAATTTATAAAAAGAAGGTTACTACTGAACTCTTAAAAGGTTATCGTACTCGTCGTAAATATTTTCGTAAACTGCTAATAGTTTTGACAACAAAAGGAGTGCTTATCTTTGGAATATATTCTCCTTCACTGAATTATTTATTTTGGAAGAGTTGAGGCTAAGGGTGTAAAATATATTATAGAGCCAGGCATCATGGTGCACGCCTGTGATTCCAGCACTTAGGGAGGTCAGTGTGGGTGGATTGCTTGAGCCCAGGAGTTCGAGACCAGCCTGGGCAACATGGTGAAACCCCGTCTCTACAAAAAATACAAAAAGTAGCCAGGCATGGTGGTGCACCCCTGTAGTCCCAGCTTCTTTGGAGACTGAGGTGGGAGGATTGCTTGAGCCTTGGAGGCAGAGGTTGCTATAAGCTGAGATCCTACCACTGATGCACACCAGCCTGGGTGACCGAAGGAGACCCTGTCTCAAAAAAAAAAAAAAAAAAAGAAAAGAAAAGAAAAAAGAAAGTATTATAGATTTTTAGAGCTTTTTGGTTAGGGGTTGATCACTTATGGGACCCCACACTGTGTTGCCCTCAAAGAGTTACTGTTACCATGTTCACTCCCTAATACTTTCTCCTTGCATTTTCCTTCCATTCCTTTTTTCTTCCCTCCTAGCCTGAATGTTGGCCTACTAGTGAAATCTGCTTATGGCCTAACCTGATGGGTAATTAACAGACAATATGTTGTAGTTGTTGACCTAAGAAGGCCTGAGACTATTAGTCTGTTTTAACATACCTGCATCTATGAGGTATCTGTAGTCAGCTCTGTTTTTCTTAAGTAGAGGTTTATCCATTACCAACAGTGAATGTTCAATGCAAGGAATAGCTTTTTAAAACATATGGCAAATTTGTGGTTCTTTAGAATCCATTGTCATATAGTGGTTAATATATATATATATTTTTTTGAGACACACTCTTTCGCCCAGGCTAGAGTGCAGTGGTGCCACTTCGGCTCACTGCAACCTCCACCTCCCAGGTTCAAGCGATTCTCATGCTTCAGCCTTCCAAGTAGTTGAGACTACAGGCATGTGCCACCATGCCCGGCTAATTTTTATATTCTTAGTAGAGATGGGGTTTTGCCATGTTGGCCAGGCTGGTCTCAAACTCCTGGCGTCAAGTGATCTGCCTGCCTCAGTCTCCCAAAGTGCTGGGACTACAGGCATGAGCCACCGTCCCCAGCACATGTTTGTTGATGTCCACAAGTTGTTAGAGGTTGTTTATAAGGAGGATGGTAGCCAAAACTGTTAATTTCTCCCATGTCTCTGTAGAAGGAAAACCTGTGCAGCACGCTCTATTTTGCTAGTGTACTCAGTTGTCAAATAGATAGCCAACTTGTGTGTGACCAATCGTCTTTTCTCCTTCACTCTGCTGCTTTGAAGACCTTGGTCTCTGAAACACATACTTTTGGTCAGGTATCTATGACCATAGAGATTAGGACCCATCTTCTTGACTTTTTTTGGCAGAGAGACAGTGTCTCACTCTGTCATGCCCAGGCTAGAGTATAGTGGTGTGATCACAGTTCACTGCAGCCTCAAACTCCTGGGCTTAAGTGATCCTCCCACCTCAGCTTCCTGTGTATCTGGGGCTACAGACATGCGCCACCACACACAGCTAAATTTTTTAATTTTAATTTTTATTTTTTGGTAGAGATGAAGATCTTGCTATATCCCCAGGCTGGTCTCAAACTCCTGGCTTCAAGTAATTTTCCCACCTTGGCCTCCCAAAGTCTTAGAGCTACAGGTGTGAGCCACCATACCCGGCCCCATCTTCTTGACTTACATAGGCTGTGGGTATCATCAAGCTAAAGCCCATTTTTTAAAACAACCATACCTCAATTCTTTTTTTTTTTTTTGAGATGGAGTCTTGCTCTGTCACCCAGGCTGGAGTGCAGTGGCATGATCTCGGCTCACTGCAACCTCCACCTCCCAGATTTAAGTGATTCTTGTGCCTCAGTCTCCTGAGTAGCTGGGATTATAGGCATATACCACCATGCCTGGCTAATTTTTGTATTTTTAGTAGAGATGGAGTTTCACCATATTGGCCAAACTGGTCTTGAACTCCTGACTTCCAGTGATCCGCCCACCTCGGCCTCTCAAAGTGCTGGCATTAGAGGCGTGAGCCACTGCGCCCAGCCCCCATACCTCAGTTCTTAAAGTATCTCAAGAATATTAAAACCAATTACCCTACCACTCAAGTATATCCACTGTGTTTTTATATATTATTTCTAAACTTTCTATTAATTATATAACTGTAATCATGTTATATATTTAGAATAATAGTCACATAGAGCAATATATTGTGAGAATACTTTTTCTGCTTTTCTTCCCATTTATCTTTTTAGTCACACTTTTCTCTGTTGCCACATATTCTTAATATACTTAGAATGTTAATGGATGTATAGCTCATTGAGTAGTATGTTATAATTAACAATTTCCATTTGTTGACTATTTGGGTTATTTCCAGGTGTTTGTTTGGCTACTATAAATAAAATACCATTAACGTCTTTGTACATATAGTGTCTTTTTTTCTTTCCAGTTATTCCTTTGGGTTGAATTCCCAGGAGTAGGTTTAATGCATGAAATAAAATAACATATACATTTTTATGTTCTTCGTTGCCAAAACTTCTCTTCCAAGGATTGCCCAGTTTACATACTGCCAGATTTTATAATTTGTAAGGCTGTATTTAGTCACTGTTTTGTTTTATACATGAATATTAAATATTTATTAAGATATCGATGACTTAAAGTTAGAGTGTCTTATTGCAATATTGATCCTTGGTAGGTGCTCAGTAACTTTTGACTTTAGAGAGGAGTGACTTTAGAGAGAAGCTGTCGAGAGAAGTGCTTATCAGTGTTACTATTTTCAATATTGTAACCATTCTTCTTTCTGTGTATCTTACTGATGCTTAAACATTCCTTACAGACTTTTAGTAAAAAAGCTATGAAGAGAAAAACATTTTAAAACCACCAGACTGCATTTGGCTGATAGGCTGCAAGTTCAGCTTACCTACTTTCTCTACCACCTTACAGATTTTTCTACTTCATTGTGTTTGACTAGGCATGTGTTCCTCAGCATGCATTTCTGCCTTAGTCTGAGATCCAGTCCATGTTTTAGCCACATGACCGTTCAGAATCTTGGAAGCAAGAGGAAACACTGTTATGTCAATAGAAGTTTTTGGTTAATAGAAAGGAATGCTAAATAGGAAATTATTAAAAAATATATAATTAATTTTTAGAGAAGACTCTGAAATAGCAGTGGAATTACTGATGCATGCTTCAAGCCTATCCTCCTTTCATTATAATGGTTAGGGTGATTAAATCCCTTTATTCAGAATTTTTGAATTCTGAAGTGATTTCCCCAGATACTAGGCCTTTTGGGTTAAGAATGAGCTGAGTCCCCTTGAGAATTAGGGCTTCGCAGTATAAATTTCTAAGTTGGCATTGGTTACTCCTGATCGAATGCATAAGATCAAGTTCTGGAACAGGGAGAGCAAAAGTATAGACCCAATATATTCTGTAGAAACCTCTGCCTGCACGCAGACAGAAACCTACAAATGTCCTTTACCATCTGGTCTAATGTGTATGTCTTGACCGGAGCTTTCCTCTGCAGAAGGTGGGGGCTTTCCTGCCAAGGCTCTGAGATCCGCACCTTCTTGCCTTATCACCTTCTGTTTTTTTTTTTTTCTTTTTTGGAGATGGAGTTTTGCTGTTGTTGCCCAGGCTGGAGTGCAATGACGTGATCTTGGCTCATCGCAACCTCTGTCTCCCGGGTTCAAGTGATTCTCCTGACTCAGCCTCCCCAGTAGCTGGGATTACAGGCATGTGCCACCATGCCCAGCTAATTTTATATTTTTAGTAGAGACAGGGTTTCTCAATATTGGTCAGGCTGGTCTCAAACTACCAACCTCAGGTGATCCCCCCGCGTTGGCCTCCGAAAGTGCTGGGATTACAGGCGTGAGCCACCGCGCCCGGCCCACCTGCTCTCTTTACCACTTCATGACTTTCTTTCCTCTCCTCTGGTTTTCTAATTTTTCCTCTTTTCTGTCTCATCACTTCTTCCACACATCTCAAACCTAAACTAAACCTGGATTTTTCAAACACTGATAATCAGAATGCCTATTCTTCTCTGCTGTGTTTGGGCCAGTCAGTACTTGGATATAATCTTGGGTTCCTTTCATTGCTGTGGTTGTGGTGATCTAAGAACTGTTTTTTTTTCTACCAGAGCTACCTCTCTTTTTCTATTTTTTTTTTCTTTTAACCATCTGGGGACCTTGAGTCCTTACTTAACAGATTCTAAGGGTAGTCAGTCTCCTTGGAGTGTATATTTTATTGGCAATTGAATATATTCAAATGGCATTTTTCCTTTAATTCCTATCTGACCTTTAGAAAATCAGATAGTGACTTTTGGAATGGTATTTGAATTACTGTTGGTATGTGTATACTCTGACTCCAAATTAATGTTAGTCACTTTATTGTCTAAAAACGCTACCCAGGCACCATTAGAAGTGACTCTAGCTTGGCCGGGCGTGGTGGCTCACGCCTGTAATCCCAGCACTTTGGGAGGTGGAAGCAGGCGGATCACCTGAAGTCAGGAGTTCGAGACCAGCCTGGCCAACATGGTGAAAACCCCTGTCTACTAAAAATATAAAAATTAGCTGGGCGTGGTGGTGTGCGCCTGTAATCCCAGCTACCCAGGAGGCTGAGGCAGGAGAATCGCTGGAACCCAGGAGACAGGGGCTGCAGCGAGCTGAAATCATGCCACTGCACTCCAGCCTGGGTGACAGCGCAAGCCTCCGTCTTAAAAAAAAAAAAAAAAAAAAAGTTGACTTTAGCTTGTTCCTTGAGAGTCCCTTAGGCCATGTAAGATGAAACTACTCTGGGCAGATGTGTAACGGGCCAAGTCCATTTTGAATTTTTGCACCTCCTCCTACCATCCCCCATCCTCACCCATGTGGTCTAGTGGAAAGTGCACGCCTGTGGAATTTCAGAAACCTGAGTCCCAAGTCACTAATTAGCTATTTTGGTTTTAGGCAAGTTACTTAGCCACCCATGACTCAGTTTCTTTGTCTTTGTTGACTTAGTTGATCTAGTAGAATATGATTCCTAAGCTTCCCAGCTGAACACCTCTGTACAGATTCATGAATTCTAGAAAACTTTTTGTTTTAACTCTGTGGTTGAATTTGCGGTCAGAGTGAAAGAGGAAACTTCTGTGCTGTTTACTCTTCAGAAGAAACTAGTTGCCAGGTTTGTTTTTGTCCAGGAAAGATTCAAGTAGCAAATTTAAATAGTAAATTTAAACTTTTGTTTTGCTGTGATAAGTCATGTTATTTGAATGATCTTAGCATTCGCAGCTGACCCTTCCCATGAGAAATGGGACTATAACGTATGCAGTATACTTGTTTTTACATTTGTTTACATTACAATTAATTTTGTTTGGATATATTTTCAGAGGTTCACCAGGTTTGTTGGGATCATTTTAGAAAAGTGTCCCGTCAGAGGTTGGAAGTGGTTGGGGTAAGAGGTTTAGTAGAATTTAGCCGAAGTTTTGCTCCACTGTGGAAAAAGATACATATTCTGTTGTACCTCCACTGCCCTCTGCAAAACATTGCCTTCTGTCACAGTGCTGGCACCGACTTCTGAATCTTCGCAGAGATTTAGTGCTGATTCTGTGTAGTTCTTTAAAGTGTTTGTGGGACTGCTATATGTTACATATATACCTCCTTGGCCTCTCCTGAGCTGTGGTTTGCTTCCTTTTGGGAATTGCAACATGATCTCCAGGGTTTTGGGTTTCCTGACACCCTCCATGGCAGATTCCTTTATAGTGTACACTTACTACATTAATTTGTTTTGAAAGTTTCATAACTTATTTTGAAATAATTTGAGACACTTGGGGTGTTTCAAATTCTGGGCTGGAAATCTCTAGAGAACAGGATGTGATAGACAAGAGAGAGAAGAGAAGATTGGGAGGTGGGTGAAGGATTTTGAAATAGGAAGCCATAGCTGATATGTTAGAGATTGCTGGAGAGGAGCATAGTCTGAAAAAATAAATTTCACAGGAGATATGTTGTCTTTCCATTGATCCTATTATATTTTGAATCCTTCTCCACTCGCCCCCTCCCGCCTTTTTTTTAAGAGATAGGGTCTCTCTTTGTTGTCCAGGCTGGAATGCAGTGGCACGATCATAGCCCACTGCAGCCTTGACCTCCTGGGCTCAAGGGATCCTCTTGCCTCAGCCTTCCGAGGAGCTGGGACTACAGGTGTGCAGCATCCTGCCTAGCTAATTTTTACATTTTTGTTAGAGACAGAGTCTTGTTTTTTTGCCCAGGCTGGTCTTGAACTCCTGGACTCAAGCAGTCCTACTGCCTCAGCCTCCCAAGTAGCTGGGATTACAGGCATGAGCCACCACGCCCAGCCCTCTTCACTTTTACTGCCTTGATACGTGCATACTGTTTCCTCTTCTAGGCCCACTTCATATAGAAGTAGTTTCAAAAACTTGTAAATCAGCTTGCAATGAGGAATTGATTTTCTTATAAGAAAATCGTTCTATAGAACGATGTGAAAATTGGTGCTTTAGTTCTCAGCTGTCTGGCAAAAGCCTTCTTGCCTCTTATGTAGCATACTATAGAATCTAGTCAGCCAGACGTGGTGGCTCATGCCTGTAATCCCAGCACTTTGGGAGGCCGAGGCAGGTAGATCACCCGAGGTGAGGAGTTTGAGACCAGCCTGGCCAACATGGTGAAACCCTGCCTCTACTAAAAATACAAAAATTAGCCAGGCGTGTTGGTGCATGCCTATAATCCTAGCTACTTGGGAGGCTGAGGCAGGAGAATCACTTGAACCCAGGAGGCAGAGGTTGCAGAGAGCCGAGATTGTACCACTGCACTCCAGCCTGGGTGACAGAGCAAGACTCTATCTCAAAAAAAAAAAAAAAAAGAATCTGATTACTCTCAAATACTATTTCAGTGCAAAAATAGATTCCCAGCCCCAGTGTTCAGTGACAGGAACTCAAGGATCCTGGTCAGCCACCGCAGGAGGAGGAGGGACTCCAGGCCTTGTGTTGGTGGCCAGTACTCCTGGGGCCAGCAGCCCAGATACCTCCGGAAGTGGGGTCACTGAAACTGCACTCAGGGCCCCTAGTTGTCAAATCTGTGGTTGCTTAACAAGGGGGTATGTTCTGAGAATTGACTTATTAGGCAATTTAGTCGTTGAGCAAACATTATAGAATATATTTACACAAACCTAGATGGTAGAGCCTACTACACACCTAGGCTAGATGGTGTAGCCTATTGCTCCTAGGCTACAGACCTGTATAGCATGTTACTGTACTGAATACTGTAGACAGTTGTAACATAATGGTAAGTATCTGTGTATCGAAACATAGAGCACAGTAAAAATATGGTATTATAATCTTCTGGGGCTACTGTCGTGTATGTGGTCCGTCATTAATTGAGATGTCATGTAGTGCATGACAGATTGCTCTGGGTTCATTCTTGGTTAGGAAGGACTTCCAGTAAGAGGTATATAAGAAAAATGGGATGATATGGGGATATGTGGGGAAGTGGATGTGTTTCTGCGAGAGACTGTGTTGACCTCGGGATGCCAGGTTCAAGGGCACTGCCTCTATAAAGATGGATCTGACCTGTCCTTGTAGATCCTATATTGTGACAATGTAAGGATTGTCCAAGGATGAATAGCACATTAATCTCCCATAACCTTAGGTGCCTCACTAAGTATGATTAAGTCTTAGGAGTGAGAATAATTTTCATTATTTTGGTCTGTAGTCAGCTTCTGATCACCACCACAATTTCAAAAGATCTCGATTTAGTGTTTCCCTGCTTCTGAATAGGCCGAGTGACTGCCTTCTTTCTCCTCAGTCTTATCTTGCCAGCATTTTAAATGTAATTGATATCACCTGCAATTTTATGCCGTCCTAAACAAGGAGTTGCCCACATTAAGTCTTTTAAAACACCATGGCATTTATTTTCACAATTGGTTGTCTTTTGTTTATAAGTAAAGCTTTTACTGCTTGCGGTCTTTACTTTTGCCCTCTGGTGGTCTTCATTTTCACTTTTCTTGTCCTTTATTTAAAACGGCCTTGAATTGGTTAACTGCACTTCTCAGCAACCTCCTCCACTTACCACCATTTGGTGTAGGCTCAATGAATGTTAACTGTTTTTTACGCTGGTTTAAACTGAATATAATTAGGACAGCGAATTTGTTTCAGAACCTGATGGAAAACAGGTATTGCATATATATTTAGTGGTTACGTTCTGCGGGCTTGGATGTTTGTATCCTGCTTGTTCCTTTTCTGAACACAGATAGTTATTTGAGTTGAATTAGCTATTTGTTGACTGGCCATTTTGCAAGTTACTGTTTTTGAAAACAAGATATTAATTTAATCAAAGCTTACTTTGGTAGTGATTGTACCTACTTCCAAACTTGCCGTAGGTTTCCATATTCCATTGAAGCTACTTTTGATCCTTAAGATGCTACATGACTGGTATGAAATCTCTCATAGTTGTGGGGAAAAGATGATATAAGAAGCTTCAGGCTGGACATAGTGGCTCACACCTGTAATCTCAGCACTTTGGGAGGCTGAGGGGGACAGATCACTTGAGGCCAGGAGTTCAAGATCAGCCTGGCCGACATGGCGAAACTGTCTCTACTAAAAATACAAAAACTAGCCGGGTGTGACGGTGCACACCTCTAATTCCAGCTACTAGGGAGGCTGAGGCAGGAGAACTGCTTGAACCTGGGAAGTGGAGGTTGCAGTGAGCCGAGATCGTGCCACTGCATTCCAGCCTGGGCAACAGAGCAAGACTCCATCTCAAAAAAAAAAAAAAAAAAGCTTCAGATTTATATTTTGTTGAAGATTAAGTAAAAAAAAAAACAACAAAAATCTTATGAAACATGGTTTTAGGTACCTTCTGACAAACAACTGGGGGATGTGCTGCATCAGTTCTGCCCATACTTTTCCTAACTGCGTATTTTCCTACCTTTAGTTGTTTTTCTTATTGAAGTCTTCTAGTTCTTTTGTTCGTGTGTGTGTGTGTGTGTGGGTGTGCTTTGAGATGGAGCTTCGCTCTTGTTGCCCAAGCTGGAATGCAGTGGCGCTATCTCGGCTCACTGCAACCTCCGCCTCCCTGGTTCAGGCGGTTCTCCTGTCTCAGCCTCCTGAGTAGCTGGGATTACAGGCACACGCCACCACGCCCACCTAATTTTTTGTATTTTTTAGTAGAAATGGGGTTTCACCATGTTAGCCAGGCTGGTTTCAAACTCCTGACCTCAGGTGATCCACCCATTTTGGTCTCCCAAAGTGCTGGGATTATAGGCGTGAGCCACCACGCCTGGCCGTTCTTTCTTGTTTCTGTTTATACTGTCACATTTAGTATTTATACATCTTTTTCTCTCAAGGAAGGCATCTGCCGTTTTAATTGGATGATTATATCAGAGGGCTCTTTTCTATATCTTAGCTAGAGCAGGTATCTGAGAAGTCCTTTTTGCCATTAACTAAGGGGCCGTCAAGTACTTTGTGAAAACAGCATACTCGTGTATGCATTTATATGAGAAATATTTTTATAAAGCGATTAACATGCCATGTGGGCCATGGATCTCTCACTGATTCATGTGTTTTCAAGAAAACATGTTTTTATTTTTTAAATTGCATTGAGCTTCCTTTAAAAAAACTGTTATTTCTCCAAAGATAAATTTCATTTTCTACTTAGGAAAACAGATGACTCTTTTTCCCTCAAATGCCTTCTGTGAAATGACATGTGGAGCTGTTAGGCATTGTGAATCTGTTTTATTTACCCCAGTGTTACAGAAAGACGGAAGGCAATTTTAGCTTCTTTAAAGAGACACTGGCCTGGGGTAAATAACAATTTAGTCCAGGTGGGTAGAAAAGAATGCTTATGACATTCTTTTCATCAGCTCCATGTGTAACCTCCAAGCAGGAGGTCAGGCAGTAAAACATTTGAGTGAACTGGTGAAATGTTTTGTATTTATTTACAAGGCACTTAAACACAAGACTGATCCCAATAAACTCAACAAGTCAGAGTGATGGAGGAAAGTATATGGTGCATGCAGAACAGTAAAAGCGGGGACTGGAGGGGGGCCTGTAGATTGCATTTAGCCTGCTCCTCTCTTCCTACCGTGGAGAGATGACCATCAGTGCAGTGGTTATGGGTGAGTTTCATGAGGAAGGTAATGAGCCCCTTTCTGTTCCCACCTGCTGCTGAACTACTTGACATTTTCTTTTAGATTCCAGGCATCCTGAAGTATTTAAATTCTGTTTTGCTGAAAATTCTTCATTCTTTTTGTGTAACTTTCTTGAATCAAAACTTCTGTTCCACCATTCTTAGTGTTGTATCTGTTATGCTGGAGTTGATGACTTGATTCCATTGCTTACCACAGTCTAATTTAAAACAAAAGCATTCTAAAACCTTCTCAGTTTCGTCATTTTTATTGTTACTATATATTTATTGGTTTAGATGTAGTTTGTAGAGAATCAAAAGAAAAGAGGACAGTTTCTTTGGATAAGACGTTCATAACCTTTTCTCCTCAAGAAAGCCTGCCACATAGTAAGCTCTGGGGTCAGTAAGTCATTGCCGGCTTAGCTGTTGTTCATTTTCTCATTGCATCTCTACCAAATGATGGGCAGACAGACTGATTCATACCTGACTGTTCTGCATATATTCTGCATATATATATATATATATTTTTTTTTTTTTTTTTTTGAGACAGGGTTTTTTTCTGTCACTCAGGCTGGAGTGCAGTGGCATGATCATAGCTTACTGTGGCCTCGAACCCCGCGGGCTCAAGGGATCCTCCCACCTCACCCTCCCAAGTAGCTGGTACTATAGGCGCTAGCCACCATGCCCAGCTAATTTTTTATTTTTTGTAGAGACAGAACTTTCTTTGTTGCCCAGGTGGTTTTGAACTCCTGGGCTAAAGCCGTCCGCCCCCCTTGGCCTCCCAAAGTGCTAGGATGACAAGCGTGAGCCACGACACCCAGCCTGCTTGCTTATATTTTGAATAAAAGATTTCATGGGGCGGGAGGGTTAAAACTCTTTGTGAATATTAATAATCCAGATTAATTTGAAAGAACTTTCATGTAATATGCTACTCAAAAAACAGTATATGCAAGCGATTATCTCTATCACCTAGCAGAAGGCTAGGCAGGATTGGTTTAACAAGTAAATAAGAATAATTTAGTGTTAGCCTGCTATACAAATAAGAGTGCTTTAGTATCTGAAACTGTCCCTGGAATGTATCAATGTATATTAGGAAGTTACTTCAGTATATTATGGACCAGCAGGCATTATTGAGAACTCACTGTGTTGCAAGTTTGGGGCAGTAACTCTGAAAATAAATAAGGTGCTTCTAGTTGGAGATGGGGGTGGGGGAACAGACTCAATCAGATCATTTTTGGAGTGGTGAGGGCTTTGATACAGGAATGCAATGCTGTATAAAGGTGCTTCCCTCTTGATTGTTGAGTTTTGTTTTGTTTTGTTTTTTGAGACAGTCTTGCTCTGTCACCCAGGCTGGAGTGCGGTGTCATGATCTCAGCTCACTGCAACCTCCATCTCCCAGGTTCAAGCAATTCTCCTCCCTCAGCCTCCCAAGTAGCTGGGATTACAGGTGCCCACCACCATGCCTGGCTGATTTTTGTATTTTTAGTGGAGGTGGGGTTTCACCATGTTGGCCAGGCTGGTCTTGAACTCCTGACCTCAGGTGATCTGCTTGCCTTGGACTCCCAAAGTGCTAGGATTACAGGCATGAGCTGCTGTGCCTGGCCTGTTTCGTTTTGTTCTTTTTAATTAAAGGCAATGATCAAATTATCTAGGAAATTAGTTTAAAGCCAACATACCTAAAATATAAAACAGAACACAAGGCAGATATTCTTAGGACATTTTCCTCAAACTAACATTTATTTATCTTGCTGCCTGAACATAAAGACTTTTTTTTGGGTAGCGTAGTTACTTAATTTTACCTCTTTTTTTGTTTCAGTTTAGCTGAATATAACTTTATCTAAAATAAAGTGAATAGCTGTTGTATTTAGAAGTAGCACAAATAATAGGGTAACTGTACCCCTTCCTTGTTCTGTCCCACTTGCACCCAGCCAACCCATCTGCCCAGTGGGATTTTAAATGGTTTCAGTCCTTGGGCTCAAGAGAACCCAGAGGAAGTTCATTTTTGAAGTCTCATCCTCTCTGTATGAATAAATTCCTTGGTCATTATCTACTGTTTTTCATTCTTTGTGAAATAGATCATCTACCACAGTGGATAATAGAGGATAATACTATTCAAGACAAAAGCCTATATTTGGAATAGTTTATGTAATGTAACATATTTAATATGCTTAATGACCTTAATGAAATGAAGATGTGAAAAATAAACTATTGTCATTCTGGGGATATCATTTATCAGATTCTAAAAGGGCTGTTTCTGAATCTGGTTAGGGAGTTTCTTTTATTAGTAGTGGCGAATAGAGAGTAGTGGTTTGGATATATTGGTGTCATATTTTAGTTGGGTAGAAATATCTCTGACATTTTTACATGATGTGTTTTCCCATCTTCTCCAAAACAATAATTTCATCCTCGGGAAGAGAAATTCATCCCATCCATGGTGGATTTTCGGATACAGTACCCAGTTCAATCTTTTGACAAACATTTATTGTTTACCATGTGCTAGGTGAAATAAATATGGTAGCTCAGGGGTTATGAAAAGATACCAACGCATTGTTCCTTCTGGGGAGGATTTTATAAGTTTTTTATATTTTAAGTACCTTCTTTAGAGGTCTTTATATTATAAGCTTTCTATATTTTATTTTATTTTTAGAGATTGAGTCTCTCTCTGTCACCCAGGCTGGAGTGCAGTGGCACAATCTTGGCTCACTGCAACCCTTGCCTCCCAGGCTCAAGTGATACTCCCACCTTAGCCTCTAGAGTAGCTGGGATTACAGGCATGTGCCACGACTCCTGGATAATTTTTGTATTTTTTATAGAGACACAGTTTCGCTATGTTGGCCAGGCTGGTCTCAAACTCCTGAGCTCAAGCAATCCACCTGCCTCAGATCATGGATATAAAGCTTTGTATAGTCTAGAGGGACTAGGGAAGGGTCCCTTTCCCTCCCTACTCCTCCTGCCTCCTGTTATATTTTTCTTTCCATGTCATCTCAGAAGAAAGGTAAGTTTCACTTTGCTGATGTGTTCCTGCATATTTTCATTTATGGCCTCTGGCTAGTGCTATGATTAGATTTTTGGGTATTTCTTACTTTATGTTTTTTTTTTTTTTAATATTATGCTCATTAAATTTGGTGAGTTGACCTAGCAGTACCATCTCAAGCTTCTTTAGATTCAATGTGCACTTTGTCTTGAGTTAATCTTAACCTTGGTGGTTAGTGTGCCAAGGAGACATACTTGAAGGCTTTTCCCTTCTCCATTTAGGATCCTTAAGTTTTGATGCAGTAATTATTTCAGAAAGGAAGACATATCATGCATTTTGTCATACATACATAAAGTTTGTTTATGTGGAAATTTTATAGTACACTGACCATGCCTTCACAGAAATGGAGGTGACCATGTCCTTGAGGCAGAAGGAGGTAGCTGTGCAGGGCTGGCAGTTGCCCTGTAAAAGATGTGGACACGACATTGTAAAGGCTTAGAGGTAGGACCGATTACATTTGCCTGGATGACAGGTGACAGCCTTAGGAGCGGAGGAGATAGCTGGGCCTGGAAGGTTGGATAGGACATATTTGGTGGGAAGATGAGAAAGAATTTCTCCAGGAGGAAAGAGGGAACATGAACTGTGAGAGAGGAGAGCAGGTGCCTTAAAGTTCAAGGCATAGTCCAGAAGCCAGGAGGAGTATGCCTGGTGCGTAGCGTAGGTGGAGTGGGGTGGGGTGGGGAACAGGAATTGCTATCAAGTGGGGATATGATAGTAGCAAAGGAATGTGTGTGCCTTTTCTGTTTGTAAAGATTAGAATTTCCCTAGGTGGAACACTTAGCACCTGCCTGCCTCTCTGAGTTTTTTTTTAATATCAAAATTAATTCAGTGTTTTCAAACAAACATTGCCTTTCTATTTCCTTTGAATCTATACCCAAGGAAAATAAATATTTACAGTCCTGGTAATACTATGTATTGCTGCGGTAAGCTGTTAGTAGTAGGTAACTTCAAACAAACTTTACCAACCACATTTTGTGTTTGTTTTGCTCTGGTGCTAATCTGGCAAGAATGATGTCCAGCAGGAAAGTCAACATATCTTAATAAACTGTCTGCTTTTATAGGAATGCTAGCTTTCTGGCAGATGTCATATCAGCCCAGCATATGCTGCACAGTGATGACTCTTTTAAATATATTTCAGTGGGAACAGCAATGTCTCTCACTGGTCACTGCCATCCTTGCAAAGGATACTCTGAAGGGCTGTGAATTACTTTTCAATTCATATATGGTACCTTGGCCTCTTGCATTGTTGGCACTGAAAACAAAACCAAAACACACAAGGCATCATAGAGAAATTATTCCTACCCCTTCAATAGTGTGGCTTCAACTGTGAAAAAAGGAAGGGTGAAGACACTGTAGAAGCAAAAATTTGTTTTATTTTAATATTGGGCTCATCAGCTATGCAGGTGCCAATACAGAGAAATTTTCTTGAGAACCTGGCAGTGGCAGGGTTAATCTAGCTCCTCTGGGGTGAGGTGGAGGTGTACTTCCTGCTTTTATGTTATCGAAAGAGGAGTGCAGGAAATTATACCTAGGTATTAAGAGCTTTGAAAAGTTGAGTACAAAGCTCTTTATCAGATATAGCAGGCCTAACTGAGAATATCAGCCCAATTGCAGTTTTTCCAGGAAAATTGTACTTTGCCAAAGGTAACTTTTCCAGGGTCAGTGAAATAGCAAGATATTTCTCAAGAGAAGGAAGTAGAAAGGAAAATCCCTTTTATGGGATTAAAAATTCAGTAAGTATCCTGAACTCAGTTTTTTTTTTCTTTTCTTCACATTTGAGAATCATTTGTTTTTATGCTAGCAATAGAGAATGCTAAGACGAAATTCAGAAAACAATTCCTGTTGCAATAGCACTAAAAATGTTGAAATATTTAGAAACAAATTTCTCTAAGGAGGCACACTGAAAAACCACAAAACGTCAATGACAGAAATATCAGATTTAAATAAATGAAAAGATATTCCCTACTTATGAATTGGAAGCTGTTATTAACATGATAGCACTACACAAAGCAATATATAGATTCAGTGCAATCTTTACTAAAACCCTACTGGCTTATTTTTTTTTCTTAAATAGAGAAGCTGATCCTAAAATATATATAGAATTACAATATACCCTTAGTAGTCAAACAGTCTTGGAAAAAAATAGGAAGACTCACATTTTCTAATTTCAAAACTCACTACAAATCTCCAATAAACAAAAGAGTGTGGTGCTGGCAGGAAGATAGACATATTATCGTTAAAAAAAAAATAAGTGCCTAGTGGATAGTGGATACTTTTACATCTAAGAGTATTTTTTCTCCCAAATGCTGAACTCAGTTTTTAAAAACTCCATTAACTAATGTGTAAATTTTTCATTGTCTTTAATCACTGAAATAAGGCTTTTTTCTACTTACGGAGGGATTTCTCTCCTGATTTATTGATAGTTGACTGGTCAAAAGGCATGGAAAAGCTGCCATTCCCTGGGCTCTGTTGCCATTTGATTTATTTAGAAGATGTAATAGGAGGAAGAATTTCTGTTCTTGCTGTTAGTCCTGCTCGGTCACGGCAGTGGATGATGGAGAGAGATGGATGCTTGTTTATTGTCGGCTACAGGAGGGGAGCTGCCAGGCGACCGAACAAAGTTCTGCTTAGTATGTGACTTGTACCGATGCCTCCAGTGCCTGCTCTGGTCCACATGCTGGGTTTAGGGGCTCTCAGATTCTCTGCTTTGTTCAATTCTCTCAACAGTTCTTATTTCCCTTCTAAAGAGGAAGGACTGGAGGGCACACTGCAAGTCTCTTTTGCAGCCTTAAATGTGTGGTGTTGCACAAAGTGGTTTGAGCTGGGGTCATGGGGTGAAGGCTTGTTTGGATGATGGAGGAGTTGGCACACATCCTCAGTATTATTTTCAGTAGTATGGGGACTGCCTGAGTCAGCCCCGCCCGCCTGCCCGGGAGCACATTAAAACTCAGGCACCAGCACCATCGAGGGGGGACCCCAGGCTCAGGGAATCAGACTGTCTAGTAGAGAGAGTCTGGGAATCTGTTGGCAATCTGCACCTTTACAAATTCCCTGGTGCCTTTTCAGTTGTAAAACCACTGGTTCATACTTTCCTATCCATAGAGGACTGCTCTAAGTCTATATGGCAAATTTGGAAAATCTTCCCTCAAATGCTGCATCTACGGGATGGTGGGTGAGTGGCCCAGAGCAATTCTTATGCATCAGTAGGACCCATACATGCGGCATGTCTTAAAATCATAGTCGTGGCTTCATGATATCTTTGTAGAGCGTTTGAGGGCTTTCAAGCACTAGGTTTATTGCCTTTTAAAATAGGGTGTTTTATCCTGTTTGAGGACTACCTCAGACTGTTAATTTTGCCCCCTGAGGTTATATGTTGACTCTGCCCGCTGCTCTGGAATTTGTAGCCTGGGAGCATCCAGATGGTAAAAGACCCCCTGGAGTTACTGAGTCAACTTTCAAAATTATCCTGGATTTAAAAAAAGACAAGGAGAGAAAAAAGGAAAATTGAGGGAGGGGGAGGAATGGTACAAGAAGGGGACCTTTCACAATTGGGCAGGCCCTGAAATTCTGTCCCTATTTTAAGTATTTTTCTTGCAATCCTGCTGCTGCTGCTGCTGGTTCTAATGATGGTGATGGTGAACAAGAGTAATAACACAGCAACCAAAAATAATAAAAATATCAGGAATTTAATGAGAATCGACTTTTGCCAAGCACTGTGCTACCCACCTTGCACACATTATCTCATTTAATCTTTATGACAACGCTATGAAATAGATACCATTATTATTGCCCCCATTTTACCGATCGAGAAACCGAGACAGAAAAAATATAGCTCAACTGACACAGCTAGCAGTAGCAGATGTGGGATTCGAACTTTGTGAAATCTGACTTGGAAGCCCAGGCACAAGATGGAATGCAGGTTAAAAATCCAAATGCCTATGGGGCTAGGCAGGAAGAGTAAATGAGTAAAGCACACCCGTAGCACACAGAGAGTGGTGGGACTGTGGCCAAGAAGAGAATGCTTGCCCTGTCAATGAGGGTAGTCAGTTAAGTCCTAGATAATTGTGCCTAGACTGAAATTCAGGCCAGTGCTATCAGATTTTTTTTTTTTGAAGAACTAATGGAAATCAGTATTTTTATGTGAGATATTTTGATGTTTAAATGGTGGCAACATGTTCAAATTTTTAAAGAACACTGAGCCAAACAAACATCAGATTGTAAGCGGGGTCTTAAATCTGTTTTGTTTACTTCCACTTGCACAGCATCTAAAACAGTGCTTGGCACATAGTAGGTACTAAGTACATGCTTGTTGAACAGATGATTGAATGAATATTTGTGGACTGCATTACACTTACAGGCAGCCAGTTTCCAACTTTCCTACTGCTTCCCCCAACTATCTTTTAGGTTTTTCTGCTGCTTCCTATCCCAGACCAGATCATTTTTCATTTTTCAGCTAAGTATATAGACCATGTGTACTTCAAAGGTTACATCCTTCTAGTTTGAATTGGTGTTTGGACCAGGATTCTTGGTGGGGATTTTAAAATTGATTTAAAAACTTATTTTTTGGCTGGGTGCGGTAGCTCATGCCTGTAATCTCAGTATTTTGGGAGGCTGAGGCGGGCAGATCGCATGAGTCTAGGAGTTCAAGACCAGCCTGGCCAACGTGGCAAAAACTTGTCTCTACAAAAAAACACAAAAATTAACCGGGCATGATGATGTGCGCCTGTGGTCCCAGCTACTTGAGAGGTTGAGGTGGGAGGATTGCTTGAGCCTGGAGAGAGAGGTTGCAGTGAGCCAAGATTGCATTACTGCACTCTAGCCTGGGCAACAGAGCGAGATGCTGTCTCAAAAAATAATACGTATTTTTTTAGCATCTAAAAACATTGTAGTGAAAAACACATAAAATTTTTTAAGTGTGCAACTCATTAGTTGTGCTGCAATCTCCAGAAATTTTCATCTTGCAAAACTGAAACTCCACCCATTAAACAACACCTCTCCATTTTCTCCTGCCCTCAGCCCCTGGTAACCCCCATTCTGCTCTGTTTCCATGAACTTGACTACTTTAGATAGTTCATATAAATGGAATCATACAGAATGTGGCTTTTTGTGACTGACTGATTGTGTCAGTTGTACCCAAGGGATTTTAATTTTATTAAATTTCCTAAGAAGAAGGAGCATGCCAAACCCTATAGGGCCACATGGAGAAGCAGCAGGATTGGTTAGGAGGCAGAAGGAGTGAGGGGACAGCCTAGGCCAAACCCTTATTTTGTTTTCCTTAGGAAAGGTGAGGTAGGACAGGGTGAGCAGCTAAGACTGGCAAGTTTGAGTAAATCTGGTAGGCTGTGGGGTACAGCAGTCTGGTGGGTGGCCCTGGGTGGATTTAAGGCAAGATGGAACACTGGCTTTTGATAAAGGAGATGGTTGGGGGTGTGGGCACTGAGTTGGTGAGTTTGCCTGTGGAAGATGTGCTGGGGCAGGGGCCTCAGAATTTACTAGCCCTCTAAGAATTGACTAGCCCTGGGAGATGCAGCCTTTCCCCAGTCAGCAAGGCCACAAATCTAAGACCATCGAGAAGGCAGAAAATAATACAATGTAGTTTATAGCAACTGGCCCTGTGATGGATGCCAAACAGAGAATTATAGAATCTAAAAAAAGACAGAACACTTAATCCACTCAGCATAATATCCTCAAGGTTCATCCATGTTGTAGCATGTATCAGGATTTCCTTCCATTGTATGTATAGACCACAAGTTGTTTATCCAACCATTCATGTGTTGATGGACACTTGGGTTGCTTCCACCTTTTGCCTGCCATGAATAATGCTGCTGTGACATGGGTGTGCAAATATCTCTTCAAGACTCTGTTTTAAATTCTTTTGGGTCTATACTCAGAAAGAGAATCCATAGATCCTAAGGGAATTCTGTTTTTAATTTGTTAAAGGTACTGCTGAACTGTTTTCTGTAGCAGCTGCACCATTCTGTATTCCCACCAACAGTGCACAAGAGTTCCAATTTTTCCCACATCCTCGCCAACACTTGTTATTTTCTTTTCTTTCTATTTTTTTTTTTTTGATAAGGGCCATCCTGTGAGGTGATACCTCATTGTCTCACTGTGGCTTTGATTTCTACTGATGATTAGTGTTGCTAAGCATCTTTCATGTGCTTATTAGTGATGCTTTTGTATTTTACAATTTGGTAGTCTGTGTTTTTAAATTGAGTCACACAATTTAAGTGTGAGTTTTGAAGAGTTATAAAAACGTATTTTTTATTAGTACCTTTTGTAGTACGGGAAAGTCTTCTCAAGGTGATTGCTTTTTTGCACAGAGAGGCAAAAGGTTATCCATTCAGCCTAACTTCAGAAGCTGTTAAAGAATCAGCAACTAGCAGTGGCTTATGCCTTGTAATCCTAGTGACTTGGAAAGCAGGAGGATCACTTGACACCAGGAGTTTGAGATCAGCTTGGGCAACACAGCGAGATGTGGTTTTAAAAATAAAAAAAAAAAACCAAAGACTTAGTTTGGCCTGGTGGCATGTGTGCCTGTAGTCACGGATACTCAGGAGCTGAGGTGGGAGACTTGCTTGAGCCCAGCAGTTCGAGGCTGCAGTGAGTTGTGATTGTGCCACTGCACTTCAGCCTAGGTGACAGAGCAAGACCTCATCTCTTAAAAAAAAAACAAAACAAAAAACAAATTGATAACTATACCTGGGGACTCTGGCCTCTGGCTTTAAGCCAGATCTTGGAGGACAGATCATTCATTCACAGAGGACCTACTGTGTGGTAGCCAAGGCATAGAACTGCCCAGACCAAGTCCAAACATATGGAGATGGTCTCTAGCTATGTGTCCAAAGTAGAGGGATTGCCTTACCTCCTGAGAGCACTTCTCTATGGAAGCTGATTAAACTTTTTGGGGTGAGATTGGGAGGGCAAATCAGGTGAAGGAGAAGTAGAACTGAGTGTGAGTTTTTATTCAGAAAGCTGAACCATCTGATAATGGCAGAGTTTAGTGTATTCAGAAAGGATTGAAAAACTAAAGTGGACCTATAGGAAAAGTAAATAAGTGATCTTTGTATTTCATTGCAATGTCATTACAGGCATACACCATTTTATTGCGTTTCACAGGTATTGCTGTTTTCTTGTATAGATGGAAGGTTTGTGACAACCATGCATTGAGCAAGTCTGTTTTTCCAACGGCACGTGCTTACTTCAAGTCTCTGTGTCACATTTTGGCATTTCTCACAATATGTCAGACGCTTTCATTATCTTGATATCTGTTAAAGTGATCTGTGATCAGGGATCTTTGATGTTAATGTTGTAGTTGTTTTGGGGTGTCACAAACTGTGCCACATAAGATGGCAAACTAAATTGATAAAAGTTGTGTGTGTTTTGACTGTTCTATGGCCCAGCCACTCCCTCCCTTATCTCTCCCTCTCCTCCCGCCTCCCTATTCCCTGAGACACAACAATATTGAAATTAGGCCAATTAAGAACCCTACAGTTACCTCAGCAACATCTAGAAATGATTAAATTTAGTGAGGGAGACATTGAAAGCCAAGATAGCCTGAAAGCTACCTGAAAGGCCCCGGTGTGTGATGTTCCCCACCCTGTGTCCAAGTGTTCACATTGTTCAATTCCCACCTACGAGTGAGAACATGTGGTGTTTGGTTTTCTGTCCTTGCAATAGTTTGCTCAGAATGATAGTTTCCAGCTTCATCCATGTCCCTACAAAGGACGTGAACTCATCCTTTTTTATGGCTGCATAGTATTCCATGGTGTATATGTGCCACATTTTCTTAATCCAGTCTATCATTGATGGACATTTGGGTTGGTTCCAAGTCTTTGCTATTGTGAATAGTGCTGCAATAAACATACATGTGCATGTGTCTTTATAGTAGCATGATTTATAATCCTCTTGTGCCAGTTTGCTAAGTTGTGACTGAAAGGAAAAGTTCTTGAAAGAAATAAAAATTGCCACTCCAGTGAACCACATGAATGATAACATGTGCAACAGCAACAGCAAAACAGCCTTATTGCTAATAGGGAGAAAAATTGAGTGGTCTGGATAGATTGAACCAACCACAAACTTTCCTTAAGCCAAAGCCTAATCCCGAGCTAAGCCCTAACTCTCTTCAATTCTGTGAAGACTGAGAGAGGTGAGGAAGCTGCAGAAGAAAAGCTGGAGCTAGCAGAGGTTGACTGATGAAGTTTAAGGAAAGAAGCTGTTTCCATAACATGAAAGTGCAAGTTTAAGCAGCAAGTGCTGATGTAGAAGCTGCAGCAAGTTATCCAGAAGATCTAGCTAAGATCACTGATGAAGGTGGCTACACTAAATAACAGATTTTCAATGTGGATGAAACAGCCTTTTCTAGAAATTTCATAGCTAGGGAGAAGTCAGTGCCTGGCTTCAAAACTTCAAGGGACAGGCTGACTTTCTTCTTAGGGGCTATTGCAGCTGATGACTTTAAGTTGAAGTAAGTGCTCATTGATCATTCCCCAAATCCTAGAGTCTTTAAGAATTATGCTAAATCTACTCTACCTGTGCTCTGTAAATGGAACAACAAAGCCTGGATGATAGCACATCTGTTTTCAGCATGGTTTACTGAATATTTTAAGCTCACTGTTGAGACCTACGGCTCTAACAAAATTTCTTTCAAAATGTTATTGCTCATTGACAATGCATCTTGTCACCCAAGAGTTCTGATGGAGATGTATAAGAAGATGAACGTTGCTTTCATGCTTGTTAACACAGCATCCATTCAGCAACCCATGGATCAAGGAGTAATTTCGACTTTCAAGTCTTATTATTTAAGAACTACATTTTTTAAGGCTATAGCTGCCGTAGATAGTGTTTCCTGTGATGGATCTGGGCAGAGTAAATTGCAAACCTGGAATGGATTTACCATTCTCAGTGCCATTAACAACATTCCCAATTCACGAGAGGAGGTTAAAATAATAATAACAGGAGTTTGGAAGACATTGATTCCAAGTCTCATGAATGATTTTGAGGGGTTCAAACTTTAGCAGAGGAAGTAACTGCAGAGGTGGTGGAAATAGCAAGAGAACTAGAATTAGAAGTGGAGCCTGAATA
This sequence comes from Homo sapiens, assembly GCF_000001405.40. Taxonomy (NCBI): domain Eukaryota; kingdom Metazoa; phylum Chordata; class Mammalia; order Primates; family Hominidae; genus Homo; species Homo sapiens. The sequence continues at coordinate 214,508,472 of NC_000001.11, read as the reverse complement.
TGGGACTGAATTGCTGCGGTCTCATGATAAAACTTGAAAGGATGAGGGTTACTTTTTATGGATGAGCAAAAAAAGTGGTTTCCTGAGATGGAATCTACTCCTGGTGATGATGCTGTGAACATTGTTAAAACGACAAGAAAGGATTTAGAATATAACATATACTTAGTTGATAAAGCAGTGGCAGAGTGTGAGAGGATTGACTCCAATTTGGAAAGATACTCTACTGTGGGTAAAATGCTGTCAAACAGCATTGGGTTCTCCAGAGAAATCTTTCATGAAAGGAAGAGTCAACTGATGTGGCAAACTTCATTGTCTTTATTTTAAGAAATGGCCATAGCCACCCAACTTCCAGCAGCCACCATGCTGATCAGCAGCCATCAACATCAAGGCAAGACCCTCCACCAGCAAAAACATTAGGACTTGCTGAAGGCTTAGATGATCCTTAGCCTTTTTTAGCAATACAGTATTTTTTTTTTTCTTAGAGATAGAGTCTCATTATGTTGCGCAGGCTGGTGTGCTGTGACTATTGACAGGTTCAATCATAGCTCACTGCAGCCTGGAACTTCTGGGCTCAATGGATCCTTCCGCCTCAGCCTCCTGAGTAGTGGGGACTACAATAAAGCATTTTAAAATTAAGGTAACATTGGCTTTTTAGACATGATGCTTTTGCACACTTTATAGACTAATAGTGTAAAACAAACATAACTTTTATATGCACTGGGAAAGCAAAAAGTTTGTGTGACTTGCTTTATTGTGAGATTCGTTTTATCGCAGTGGTATGGAGCCAAACCCACAATGTCTCCGAGATATGCCTGTAATTGATATTGACTGGAACAAAAGAAAGTTGATTACATCAGTTTGGTGCAAACAGTGGTCATGTCTACTGTCCCCAAATCCTAGAGAAGAATAAATTTAACTCTGTGACAGCTGATTTGTAGTTTCATTGTTAAAAGGTGTTCTATATATGTCTTGAAAGTGTTCTTCTAGGATGAGCTATACTGACTCAGGATTAATTATAAAAAGGTATATATGCTGTGTCTTGACTTCTGAGATGTCCTTTACTGATAGAGCATGGATGCAGGATTAATCAAATCTGTAGCCTTAGAGACAGGAGGCATTCCTGCCTTTCTGGTTTGCAGACATGGAGGGCTGAAAAGGATGGGGGTGGGGCATGGTAGTGGAGATTGTTAGCCAGTGGGTTAATGGTTAATCCCTGCAACATGCCAGAGATACACCTAATCTTTGATGAGACCTACTGCTCAGAATGAATAATGGTTAACCATTCCTTACCTTTGACTAAGACCATATACCTTTCATAGTTTGTTTTTTAAAGTATGTGGAACTGTGAAGTTTTTTTTTCTTTTGCAAATAACATTTGCATATCACAGAAGTTTTATGACTCATTCTTGGTAAAGAAAGCAGGTGATATCCATGAATGGTTTGTCATCTTTTAGAGACGAGTAGAATGATTGCTATCGAATTTTCATTTAACTTAAACACAGCTGTGTAGAGACAATATAAAGTGGTCCTTTCCTCAGTACAAAACATGGAAAAAAAAAAAAACCCGCGCTCTTGTTAGCAGATGTTAGTGTGTTATGCTGCACATGCCACCGAGACATTCTTGTTTATGAGGACCAGTCATCTGGACTGGAAAAAGATTTTTGAAAGAAAATAAAGGGAGCAAAGAAAAATTCGAGGTCTCCCTCCCCTCACAGGGGCTGTTTTGTGCTGGGTGCAGCGTCAGTTATGTGATGGCTGACTCCAGGGAGAGAGCCACCTGTATCCCTGGTTAATGAGCATTGGCCACCTGGCAGAACCCCACTACCACGAAGATACAGTTTCACTTTTACCGTTTGTCACATCCAATTAAAGGTTTTGGCATTCTTGCCTACTTAAAAAACATTCTGTAAACATTAGAAATAGTTTTTATATTTATTTATTTATTTATTTTCTTCTTTTAGACACAGGATCTCTATCTTCCAGGTTGGAGTGCAGTGGCACCATCACAACTTACTGCAGCCCTGAACTCTGCAACTCAGGTGGTCCTTCCGTCTCAGCCTCGGGAGTAGCTGGAATTATAGGCACATGCCACCAACACCCAGCTCATTTAAAAAATTTTAAAAAAAAAAATTTAAGAGACGGGGCCTCCTGTGTTGCCCAATCTGGTCTCGAATTCCTGACCTCGAGCAATCCTCCCACTGTGGCCTCCCATAGCATTGAGGTTACAGGGTGTGAGCCACCGTGCCTGGCCAGTTTTTATATTTAGGAAAAAAGCTAGCGGAAATTGGCTCTTCCCAGTTCTGAGAAGTTTTTCGATTAATGCTATTGATGATTCCTAACTTGTTATCAGTCTTAGTTTCCTTTCCTTAGTAATCGAAGGAATTGTCCTTGGCTTCCCTTCTTCATAGTAATCTCACTGCTGCCTAAGCAGTGGATGCATGGTTACGTGGCCAGTGTCTCTCTGTCTCTGTGTCTGGGCTTAGGTTTACCCTGAGAGAGTTCATTGTAAATCTGTGCTGAACTGACTATTCGCTCTGAGTTGGAATATTTTCTGCTTATTACAAACTCGATTTTTTTGAGACAAAGTCTAACTCTGTTGTCCAGGCAGGAGTCCAGTGGCACAATCATAACTTACTGCAGCCTCAAACTCCCAGACTCAAGTGATCCTCCTGCCTCAGCCTCCCCAGTAGCTGGGACTACAGACACATGCCACCACCTCGGCTAATTTTAAAAAGTTTTGGGAGAGGTGACGTCTTGCTGTGTTGCCTAGGCATGTCTCAAATTTCTGAATTCAAGCAATCCTCCAGCTTTGGCCTCTCAAAGTTTTGGGGTTACAGGCGTGAGACACTGCACCCAGCTGCAAACTATTAAGAAAAAGTAATGAAAGGCTGAGCTCTTTTCTTTGTAGCTAAGCCTCTTGAGAAAGTTCTGAGGCTGCTGCATCTCCCATTCCGTCCTCAGCTCCTTACATCGCAGCTGGCAGCTCCACCACTGTGTGGGCACTGACCACCCCACCCCCCCGAAGGGACCAGCCATCTCCTGTTGGCCATGGTGAATGTTTTTCAGTCCTTATCTGACCTCCCTTTGGAATTGGACATTGACCAGATCCTTCTCCTTGAAGCGTTACCATCTCGGGTAGTCCCCTGCTCGAGATGTTTCTCCTGCTTCCCTGGGTGTTCCCTTTCACTGTTTGTTGAAGGTTCTCCTCCTGCTGGTCACCCATTGAATGTAGGTGTCAGGTGTCATCTAGCATTGGATCCCATGTCCTCCTGTCACACTTTTTTTTTTTTCCCTGGCGGGTATTCACAGCTGGGTTTGTTCACATGACCGCCACAATGAACTCATATTTAACTCAGACCTCTCGTTGGGGGCCCCCAAATTTCAACTGCTTGTCAGGATCTTTCCATGAGACTGGCCACAAGTATCTTAAACAGAGAATTCTTAGACAGAATTCATCTACTTTTTCCTTAAACCTATCTTTTCTCCTATATTCCCTACCTTGGTGAGGGTGTCACCTCTGATGAAGTTAAACACACTGGGGGTTTGGATCAACCTAAACTCATTTTCCTTCACCCTCTTTATGCAGTAAGTACCAAGTCTTTCCTGTTACTCTAAGGTAGTTCCTTTTTCCTAGTCCAAGCCAGTCCTACTTGTCTGCAGATTCAGTATGTTACCTTACCTCCTGCAGGAAAATTCCCCAGCATTCTGTACCCAGCCCTTATCCTGGGATTGGTCTCCCCTCGATTAAGCTCATTCAGGCTGGTGCCTTGCCTCATTCACCATCATTTCCCCAGGGCCTAGCAGGGTGGTGCCTTGGAAATAATTTAATTTGGTGGAAGTGTCTTAGTACGATTTCATGGCTAATGGGTGTGCTACTCTTGTCATTCAGAGATGGGGCTGGGACATCACCTCTGTGGACATTGTGGTCCTAAGAGCCCCGTTCCTGGGTGCCTGCCATTTGCTTGCGTCAAGTTGGACATGACAGCTACGGGAAAATGATTGAGGGCAGAAGGCAGTTTTGGTGCGACAGGAAGAGCACAGGCTTCCAGGGCTTTGCTGTAAGATCAGGAGAGAATAATGCATCAGAAGTACCTGATGCTGAGTCTGTTCTCAGGAATGGTGTGTTTGAGGCAGCTGCCCATTGCCCGGTGCTTGCCATGTGCTTGGATGCAACCATGGCTAAAAGGTTTCCTATCTGGCTATGTGGTGATTGACTGTGGGTCGCCTTCCTATGGTATTTCTGACTCCTCGAGTGTAATATAAAGGTCTTCGCAGAGGTAGGGCTAACGGAGAGGCAGCGGCAGTTGTTCAATGTTCTATAATGTAAATTGAAAGATTTTTCTTTAGTTTTAAGCTGAGTTTTCCACATTCTCATTACTAGTTGGGGAGGAATGGGAAAGTGGTGACATTATTCGCAGCATTCCTATGACCATTCTCTGGTTCTACAGAAGAGGTGTGTTTGAGGAAGGCACCCAAGTTTCCTGACTATTTCTCACACTTCTCCATCACAAGAAAGCCCTATGTACAAAATGATGAGAGTCCCAAGAAGCATCATTTGCTCTAGGCTTGTCCTTACTGTGGAAGCTCAGAGACTCACCTTTGATCTAAAATAAATAAACAAAAAGCCATAAGGCAAACCTTATTGAAGTAGGTGATGTCGGGTGTGTTTGCTGCTGAACGCATACAAACACTTTATATGCAGATAAAATAAAATGACTCACAACATTGCTGACATTAGTGTGTGTTCTTCCTGCAGCTAAGTACATCATAGGATTTTACCGAATTACACCGACTAATTGTTTATTGACCAACATCACACTAGTGGGATCACAAGACCACATATGACAGTGCTGCACTTTGCTTTGAGAGAGGAAAGGGAAGAATGAACCTGAGGAGAGCTGACTGAAATGTAATAATTCTGTACCGAGATTTGAAGTGAAAATAGAATGCCAATTTTGAGTTTTCTGTTTCTTAAACTCTATTTTAAATGTTTATTTTGTCTTACAAATGTACGTCTACATATTAGACATAAAAATGGAAGCGAGGCAGCTGCCGTTAAATTCTGGCTTCAGTCTCTTCTAAGATTCAGTCCTTCTGATTACTGAGCTGTGTCAAAGATGCCATATCTAAAAAAGAAGTCAACGTCTTTCCTACTTCATCTTCAATACTCACATATACTTAGGACAGATTATCTCTTACATGTCATTAGATATTAGTTTTGAAGATTTAATGAGTTCCTGTAAAGTACTTAGAATAGTGCCTTTCATAATAAATACTGTATAGTGTTTGCCATTTTATTATTGTTATTGCTTATTTTTAACAAAAATTGTATTTAAATTTGCTTGTAGTGACATGTTTCTCCAAGTGTATGCTAGTATAATTTTCACAGTGTGAATTTAAAACTCTGAATCTCTCATTTAATTGGATCTTATCCTTTTGGTTGGAATTTCCTTTAGAGATACTTTGTCAACTTTTGTAGAGTTAGGCTGGTAATATATATTTTCAATAATCAATACTAATAGGTTTTTAAAATGACAGATTTGAGCAACTTTTCACTTAATTTTTCTAAGATCTTCTGCAAAAACTGAGGGAAGCCTGAATACATCCTATGCAAATAATTGACATAAGGATAACACAGTTTCATTTATGTTTTCCCTATTTTTTTCTGTGATATTGTTATTTTTAACATTATTGCGCTATATTTTATTATGGAACACTTTTTTACACAACTAAATCACTCTGTCTTTATTTTGATCATTTGTTCCAAGTCTTCAACATTTTTTCGTAACGTTTAAATGCTAAAACTGTTTAGTTGGCCTCGCACAGTGGCTCCTGCCTGTAATCCCAGCACTTTGGGAGGCTGAGGTGGGAGGGTTACTTGATACCGGGAGTATGAGACCAGCCTGGGCAACATAGTGAGATCCTGTCTCTAAAAATAAATAAATAAAAAATAAGTTGAATGAATATTACAAATATTTTTCAAGACCTGCTGTGTGTTGCACACTATTTGCATATGTTTTTCTTGTTTACCACTCTGAGCTGTATTGTATTATAGGACAATGAAGCTATTTTGCATATAGGAAAACAGGTTTATAAAATGCACATCATTGTTTGGCTAGTAAAGAACAGAGTTGGGTTGAACACAGATCTCTCTCTGTTAATCTCAGGCTCTTAATTATCATGGTAAAACTTTTTCAAAATGACCCTACCGCCATCAGTAGGATGGTGGAATAGGGGGTCCAGCCCTCTTCCCCCCTTAGAAGCACCTATTTAACAACCCTCCAGGGATGAAAAATCTTTATGAGAGCTCCCAAATTCAGTTCTATGCATTAAATATATGCAACTTTTTGTATGTCAATCACACCTTATAAAGTGGTTTGAAAAATAACCTTTTTTTTTTTTTTTTTTTTTTTTGAGACAGAGCCTTGCACCGTCGCCCAGGCTGGAGGGCAGTGGCACAGTCTCGGCTCACTGCAAGCTCCGCCTCCTGAGTTCATGCCATTCTCCTGCTTCAGCCTCCCCAGTAGCTGGGACTACAGGCGCCCACCACCATGCCTGGCTAATTTTTTGTATTTTTTATAGAGACGGGGTTTCACCGTGTTAGCCAGGATGGTCTGGATCTCCTGAACTTGTGATCCGCCGGCCTTGGCCTCCCAAAGTGCTGGGATTACAGGCGTGAGCCACTGCACCTGGCCTAAAAAATAACTTTTGAAGTTATGTGCCATGAAAAATGGATTTAACTTGGTTTTTCTCTATACTACGCCTGGTGATCCCAATTCATTTCCTTAATTAGTGTTTATTGAGCCACTAAATATTGTTTATTATTCCAGGCCCAGTGTTAGGTGGGAGTTCAACAGGAAAAAGAGAGGCATAGGGTTACCTCTGAAGGAATTTATAGCCTAATTGTTCATAGAATACTTACTCTGTTTTGGGCTGGGCGTGGTCATTCATGCCTGTAATCCCAGCACTTTGGGAGGCTGAGGAGGGTGGATCACTTGAGGTCAGGAGTTCAAGACCAGCCTGCCCAACATCACGAAGCCCCGTCTCTACTAAAAAATACAAAAAATTAGCAGGGTGTGGTGGTGGGCACCTGTAGTCCCAGCCACTCGGGAGGCTGAGGCAGGAGAATCACTTGAACCTGGGAGGCGGAGGTTGCACTGAGTTGAGAGTGCCACTGGACTGCAGTCTGGGCGAAAAGAGCGAAACTCCGTCTCCAAAAAAAAAGAATACTTACTCTGTTTTCATGGATTAAGTTTTCTGTGTTTAACCAGCTCTCACATGGCTTAATAACAGTCACACTGTAACATTATTAAAATATGAAAAGACGAATTTGGCATTTTACCCAGCTCCATGAGACGAATTGCGCTATTTATCACATTATTCCTTGAACTTTGGTGTTGCCTTAAAATTGTACAGCCTATCAATGAAGAATACATTTTTATCTTTGCTATATTTAGTTTTCTCAAGCTGCTCTTGGGCATGGTGAATCTTTTCATTGTTAGTGTTTTACATAGTTTCTAGCAGTAATGAATAATTACGAAGGACCAGATGTTTTTAAACCTTTCCTCTAATGCTCACAGCCATCCTTCCAAGCTAATCTGCCTTTTCTTCATGTTAATGATGAGGGACCTGAGGCTCCACATGCCCCACAGATGTTGTCATTCCAGGGTAGTCAGGGCAGTCATTTGCTGGCTTCAGATTTCTTTCAATAATTTTTTTTTTCTTTTTTAATGAAGACCTTAGATAGGATGTAACAGATTATCCCCTTTTCCCCTTCTGTGAGAGCCAAGGTGCCTTATATCGGTTAAAATCTGGTGAAACCTGTGGTGAATTGATTGTTTCTGTCTGTCCCTCAGTGGTTCTGAAACATTAGGAGGTTGTCCTTGAGAGAAATCTCAGCACTTCACTCAGTGAGCCGATGCCTCAAGCCACTTGTATTTGGAACCATAAAAGAGCTGTCAGTTCACCAAGTTGAAGGAGGAGGGTGTTGGTGGCTTTCTTTGTTGCCGGAAAGATGGATCTGATTATAAGAAGCCTCTCAAGTAGAGAGTTGAATCCAAAGAACTAGGAAAATCTGGGTGTTTAAACAAAGTTTGAGTTGACATGGGATGTTGTTGAGATTGCAGCTTATTTAGGAAGGGAAGGGGGTAGATCTCTGGCTCCTTCTAATTAAGAGTTTGTGTCCAGAGTCTGCCTTTGTCCCAGGCTGCTAAGATTATTTTTCCGGTGTCTTTGACAATTGCCACAAATACAAGAATATGGACCCATGTGGGTATGTCTTACATATTTGGGGGAATATTTTTCTGGAAACTTTGATTCTTGGTCATATCCTTATTGATACATTAGAATAAAATATAAAGCAAAAATGCCGTAAACTGGAATCATGATCCATCATCTAGAATGAGAAAATGTCCCACATTTGTGGACATTTGCGGACAATGTGTGACATTTTCTCATTCTAGATGATGTTGCTTCAAGAGTGTTACTGAAACGCTCTGGAAGGTAGAACCATTTGTCCTTTCCCCTCCTCAAGCCTGCTGGCACAGAAGTGTCACGAGGGTAAGAGTTCCTGTAGGAAATGTAATGGCTTTTGAAGTTGAGTTTCCTGTAATGTGAAGAGGCTTTCTGTATTTGAGACATAAAACTGAGTATTATTTTCTTTTTAAGAGTTGTCTCCTAGGCAATCTAAAAAAAAATGAATGCTTAAATTAGAAATAATATAACAAATTTATGGAGCATTCATTTGATAGCCTAACCATTTAAAAAACTGCAGTTACGTGAACTCTGGCAAACTTTCTGAATTCACATAAATGGATAGTTTTACCATGTAAAGTGTTAGCTTTGAAGTTTTCTTTTGAGGGAAGAGATACAATGTGTTAAAATTAAATTATGTTTGTTTTTGTTTGAATGGCTGAAAGATGAACATGATGCAAATTTTAAAAGTACAAATCTTTTTGGCATACAGTAAGAAGTTTTCATTTCACTCCTGCTCGGCAGCCTCCTGGTCCACCTTCCAGAGGCCAATAGTTGATAGTTATTTATATATTCTTCAGAGATATTTTGTATGTATACCAGCATATATATATATATATGCCTACCCTCTTTTTCCACACACTCATTCTACTGATCAGTCTCTCTAGGGTTCTATATCACTATGGTCTCTTATTTTGACAGGCATTAATTCTAGTATATAGCGAGCCTCCTCATTCATTTTTTTCTGTTACGTGCACAGACTGTCCACATAACCTCTCTGTGGTGCAGTTTCTAGGTTGCTTCCAGATTTTGCAGTGAACGAAGAATTTTCTCACACAAGTATGAGTCTTAGAATAAACTCCTGTTAGTGTAATGCTAGGTCAAAGGGTGTGGGCCGCCAGGTGTGATGGCTACTATCTCTTATCCCAGTACTTTGGGAGGCAGAGGTGGGAGGATGGCTTGAGTCTGGGAGTTTGAGGCCAGCCTGGACAACATAGTGAGACTGTCTCTATAAAATAAAAAAATTAGCCAAGGGTGGTGGCGCATACCTGTAGTCGTAGCTTTTCAGGAGGCTGAAGTGGGAGGATGACTTGAGTCCAGGAGGTCAAGGCTGTTATAAGCTATGATCACACCACTGTACTCCAGCTTGGGCAACAGAGTGAGACCCTATCTCTTAAATCAGAACAAGGATCTCGCAGGAAAAAAAAATTTTAAAGGGTATGGGCATATGGGTATTTTAAATTTTAATTTATATGGCCAAATTGTTTGCCATGGAAATTATACCAAATTATCAGCAATATATTGTGGTGCCGTGTAGACTATTGGCTTTGAACACATTTTCTTGTGGATGGGAAATTGAGAATTTTTAAATATGCATCTTTAGAATAATATGTTAAGTATATATGCATATTTGGATATGTTTCCATATATTATTGAGTAATCATATTTGATTCTCTTTTTGGAGGCTAGGTAAGTTTATGTGGCAGTTTTCAAACATTGAGAGCTATTAGGTTGAAAAAATATGGATAATAAGGTAATCTGAGGAACTTTTAGTTTCTTGCCCTTTCTCTCTTACATCCCTCTGAATTATTTAAGATCCAACTGAGTCTTGCCTTCTTCCATGAAACCTTCCACAATTATTCCAGCTCTTATTGACCTGGGATAGCAGAGCCTGTACTCAGTGATATGCTTTTATTAGAATGAATCTCTACAGTATCATGTTTGTGTGCCATGTTAGGAGACTCACAGCGTTAGAAGGGAAAGAGCAAGGAGGAGCTTAACTCTTGGCTTTGCCCTGTGATTTTTATCTAGCTCTAGGGACAGAAACAATAACATTCAGTAGATACTGTTTTCTTAGTTTTAAATAAGAAATACTTCCCCCAGTACTTTGTTATAATATTTTAAGCATAACTTGTATTATTTTTCTGAATATAAAAGTAATAATGATCATTATAGAAAATATAAGAAATATAAAACATTTTATAAAGCAGAAAATAAAAATCACCCAGAACCCTATCAGCTATGAGTACTCATGGCCATCATTTCTTTTGTCCTTTTCTCTCTCATTGTGTTTCTCTCTCTCTCTCGTGTGTGTTTCTAATGAAATTGACAGCAACATGCTGATATAGTTTTATATTTTCCTTTTTTTTCCCCCTAAGAATAGCTGATGGCTTGGGCTGTTTCCTCACAGAACTTTTCCTATGCATGTATATATACATAATATGAAATGTAGAGAAAGTTTTGAAAAAAGAAATTAGAAACAAAATTATACTATGCATAATGCTGCATTTGCTTTTGCCACTCGGTAATATATGGTAAGCTGCCTGTCTCAGGAGTAAGTATAGATCATTCTAGTTCTTATAAATGTTTTGTACCTTTGCACCAGGTCCCATAGGCTTCCAGTGATATCATGTTTTCTGTATTATAAATAATGCAAAAGTGACATCCTTTTTCATAGATGTATGTAGAAGCTTGTAGCATAGATTAAAAGTGGAATGACTGGGCTAAATGCTATACACACTTAAATTTTGATGGATAATGCCAAATTTCTGCTTAAAAATGTTTTACCTGTGTGTATGCCAATAAATAGCCTCACTATCCTCATCAGCTCTGAAAATGATCTCTTTAATTTTTTTAACTTGATAGATTAAAAACATTGCCTCTTGTGCATGTTTAATTTACATTTTCCTGATGGTGAGGTTGAATGTCTTCATATGCTTCTTAGCTGTGTGTCTTTCAGCTATAAATTTTCCATTTTTCTAGTTTCTGATCGATTATTGAGATTTCTTTGATACTAACTTTTTTTGTCTGTTACATATGTTGCAAGTATTTTCCTCCAGGTTGTTGTTTTCTTTCTTTATTTCTTCCCCCCGACCCCCCACCGCTGCCCCAATAGAGCTCAATTTCTGGAGACCAGGTTGTTGTTTGCTAACTTATTTCTTGTTGTCTTGAGCCATACAGGAGTTTTAATTTATTTAATAAAATCTGTATGGTCTCTCAGTTTTGGATCTTATTTACAAAGACCCTCCAATTTAAAAATGTATTTTCTTATGTTTTTTTTCTAGCACTTTTATGATTTTGTTTTCTTACAAAGACTGAGCTAGACTGAAGGAATGATTGAACTTTATTTCTTTTCCTTTGTAGTTTAATCATGAAAATTGATATATTTTTATATAGGATTTTTATAACTTACCAAAGCAGTTCTGTGGAATATAGATCAAATTAGATATTAAGTTAAAACTGAATCATAGAAATTCAGATTATGGATAAATTGTTCTTTAGGACTTTAAAAATCTCTCTCCAGCTGTCATTTAGTTTCTAATAGTGTTCTCTGGTCCCTTAGGGATCCCAGCACTTGGGTAGGGGGTAAGGAGTGTTTAAAAAGAATATACAGGTATCATCAAATCAGTTCTGCTTTTATCTGTAATATTTCATTTGAAAATAAAGGTGCTGCTGAAAACAAGAAACAGAAAACCCACAATTTGCTATTCCATTGGAAGTTTGGGGAGCAGGGCAGGTACTAGTAACTCATTTTCCCCGAGGGGTTTCAGTGAGTTGGTATGGGTCATGAGTGAGGTCAGTGTGCAGTATAACTAGAATTCCTTGCCCCTGAGGACCTTGGCTGAACTCCCCTTGACAGAGCTGGGCTAAGCCTAACACTGGGCTAAGCCGTATCCTGTTACAGTTATAAAGTATGTTCCGCAGTGTGACCTTCTGCTCTAGAACACTTTGCACACTATTATTCCACATTTCCTCTTGGGTACCTCTCTCACCTGTTCACTGGGATCTAGTTATGCAGAAGCAATAAATACTGCAGAGCAAAAGTATTTTTGTTAGGAAATGAAGTACGTTTCTAAATCTGTGAGCACAAAACTGAAATGGAAAATTACTGAGCAAATTATAAGCTCAGGACCAAGAATGCCAGGAGAGTTTTTTTTTGTTTAGAAAAGAAACATGAAGTGTTGTTTATCTGTGGGTATGAAAAATGTATTAAAATAACACATGAGGCCGAGTGTGGTGGCTCATGTCTGTAATCCCAGCACTTTGGGAGGCCGAGGCAGGGCGGATCACCAGAGGTCGGGAGTTCGAGACCAGCCTGACCAACATGGTGAAACCCTGTCTCTACTAAAAATACAAAATTAGCTGGGCATGGTGGCGTGTGCCTGTAATCCCAGCTACTCGGGAGGCTGAGGCAGGAGCATCGCTTGAACCAGGGAGGCGGAGGTTGCGGTGAGCTGAGATCGCACCATTGCACTCCAGCCTGGGCAACAAGAGCGAATTTCCGTTGCGAAGTAAATAAATAAATAAATAAATAAATAAATAAATAAATAAATAAAAAAAATAAAATAGCACATGATAACTGTTCTGAAAAGCACTTTTCCTCCCCCATCTTAATTTGATAATGTCAGTCTTGTCTAAGTACCTTTTCTCCTGGAGTGGATTAATTGGAACACTATTTTTTTAGACTCTTGAATTACTGCAGATTTTCTGACCAATTGTTATTCCTCTCCTTAATGGTACTTAGTTTGCTTCAGAAGATTTGAATTAAATTTTGGTTTTGGTGTCATCTTTCACATGTCCTTTTTATTCCTTCAGTGTTGATTTTTAAACCACTGTCCCCCTACTTGTAATAGCTACAGTAATAGGTAATTATTAGGCATTGTTATCTGGGCCAGGGACTCTGATAGTGCTTTATATACATTATCTTATTTAATCTTTTCACTGACGCCGTGACATGTAGTTACTGTTTTCATCTTACAGATGAGGGAACCAACGCTCAGAGAGTTTAAATAGTATGCCAAAGATTTTACAGTTGGCTGAAATTCAAACATAGTATTGAAATTCAGTGCTCTTTCTTCAGATCCCAAGCTTTTCACTAGTATAGTGTCTTTAGATTTTTTCACCTTAATGAGTAACTCTGTGTGTCCCTTTCTGGGATGATGCTGAGAGAGGAGAAAATACATCTCACCACTAATGCTGGTCCCAGTTCTCAGACAGTTGCTTCTAGGTCCAAAGTGATTTTATTGTGCAGTCATCTCTAAGACCTGTTGAGTTTCATGAGTCAAGCAAGAAGAATTCCAGGTCTTTCAGGCATCTCCTTCCCTCAGGTTCACTTGTGGTGAAGATGACACGTGGTCAGTGTTTCTAATTATACTTTGGTCTTCCTTTTCCTTGAATATTGTCAAGGAACACAACTGCCCTTCCCCCTTCTCTCCCTTCCATTCAGTAGTGTAGTGGTAACTCAGTCTTAGAAACATCAGGAGAGGCCACTCTTCCTTTAGACGTCCAAACATTTTGTTAGCTTTAGTTCTCCCTGCTTTGTTCATGTAAAGCTTCATTTATATGACCAATTCCGTGTCATCTCTTTCTACCCTTGCAAAAAAAGAGCTTAATGTTAGATGACAAGGCAACACAATAACAATGCACCACAACAGAGCATAAAGTTAAAGTTGGCTAACTTGGCAGGGTAAAAAGAAGTACATCCAGGGCTTGTTCCTATTTTGACCAAAAAGCATTAAAGTGTATTCTTATATGGCAGGAATCGCCAACCTCTCTAAGCTTGGGGAACATTAGCCTGTGTGATAGGGCTGACAACAAGATGACTGGTACAAGGAGTGAGGTAAGAAAGAGAGAGGAGGGGCCGGGTGCTGTGGCTCACACCTGTAATCCCAGCACTTTGGGAAGCCAAGGCGGGCGGATCACAAGGTCAGGAGATCGAGAGATACCATCCTGGCTAACATGGTGAAACCCTGTCTCTACTAAAAACACAAAAAATTAGCTGGGCGCCTGTAGTCCCAGCTACTCTGGAGGCTGAGGCAGGAGAATGGCGTGAACCTGGGAGGCGGAGCTTGCAGTGAGCTGAGATCGCGCCACTGCACTCCAGCCTGGGCGACAGTGCGAGACTCTGTCTCAAAAGAAAAAAAAAGAGAAAGAAAGAGAGAAGAGGAAAAGGAAGGCACTAAGGACGGGAGAGAGGACACTTGTGGAGTGCTGCCAGTGATTTCTTTGGTTCTCTTTCTTTGATGTGTCCACGTAAATTGAGTGCTACACCTTTAGAAGTGGTTCTTTTTAAAAAACTTATTTGTATTTTTAAATTTTTTAAATTTTAAGTTCTGGGGTACAGGTGCAGAAGTTGTTCTTACTTTTTTTTGATAGATGCCAACAAGAATATGTTCTGTGAAAGATCTTAACTAGTGTAATCATTCTGTCATTTCACATTTGAAATCTTGACCATATATGTGTGACATTATATATACGAGTCTTGCATATAAAGTGTGTTTAACCTGGGTCAGTATGTTAGCATGTATCATTGTCACTGATCCCACTGTGTCTCTGAATAGATTACAGTTATGTATAAAAGATCAATTTCCTGTTTTGCTCTCTCGCCATCTCTCCTAATTCATTGGAATGTGATGACTCTTTATTGATTGCCTAATTCATTTCTTTTTTTAATACTTTTTTATTTTTAATTTTTGTGGGTACATAGTAAGTATATATACTTATGGAGCACATGAGCTATTTTGATACAGGCATATAATACATAATAATCACATCATGGAAAATGGGGTACCCATCCCCTCAAGGATTTATCCTTTGTGCTGTCTTGTACATGGTTGGTGGGAATGTAAATTAGTACAACCACCGTGGAGGAACAGCTTGGAGGTTCCCCAAGAAACTGATTCACTTCTTTTTCATCTCTTGGAGCCCTTCCACCTGCAGGTTCTTGATCAGAAGTTCCTGTTTCCAACACATCGCCCAGGCCATCACTCTGACCATTGGCTTCACTTGCAGCTGTCCCCAGTCAGAACCTCGTAGGCAGTCCGTTCTGAGGCTTCCTCGCACCCAGGACCCCTCTGCCCTGCAGCCAGCCCAATTTGGGCCTTCTGACCTCCGAACATGTCTTGCTTTCCCACTTAGGAATTAGAAACACTGGGAATGATCATCCCCCCTCTGAAAACAGTCACCACCACTGCCTGTTGGAATCCTGCTAGACATAAATAAAGCCTTAGCTCAGTTTCCTTAATGGCACCTTTCTCATACCCTCATACCCTCCTGCTATGTGTTGTGAATTCTGCCGCATTCTTTTTTTTTTTTTTTTCTTTGAGACAGATTCTTGTTCTCTTGCCCGGGCTGGAATGCTGTAGTGTGATCTTGGCTCACTGCAACCTCTGCCTTGCAATTCTCGTGCCTCAGCCTCCTGGGTAGCTAGGATTACAGGCATGCACCACCACCCCCAGCTAATTTTTGTATCTTTAATCGAGACGGGGTTTTGCCATGTTGGCCAGGCTGGTATCAAACTCCTGGCCTCAAGTGATCCACCTGCCATGGCCTCCCAAAGGGCTTGGATTACAGGTCTGAGCCACCATGCCCGGCCGACAACACATTCTTTGTAGCCAGGCATGCGGCACCAGCAAGGAATGCCTCATTTGATGATACCATTGTTACACTCTGTCATCATCAAATGTCCCAACGTATACACAAAACTTTAATCTGATTCTCCTTAGGGTCATGCAAAGCTAAAATTATTTATAAAGGCATTTAAATGAATTGTGCCATTAAAATTAAATCAGTGTTATATGTGTGTCTCTACAGGTTTGTAACTCATTATTTATGGACCTTTGGGGTTGAATTTACAGATGCTGAATCTGCAGATGCCAGAGGCCCAAACTGATTTTCCTAGGGGCCATCTTATCTCCTAAGTGATAGCTACATGGTTGTGGACATGTCTGCTTATTTCTTCTGCCTTTTGGGGGGCAGGGATGATCTTTTACTCATTATTATATTCTCCCGAAGTTTTTCTTTTTCTTTTTTTTTTTAAACACAGTATCCTGCATTTGATAGGTTCCTTTAGTAAATGTGTCTTCATTAAATGAATTAATGAATATCATATTTTAAAATAAAATCTCATCCCAAAATGGAAATAAGTAGAGAATGGAGTAGAAAAAGAAAATCCTCTATTTGAAATGAGGATGGGCAGCCTGAAAATGGAAGCGACAAGTCAGGGTTTAAGAATAGACTGAGTAATCTAGATGTGACTGTAAGTGCTGTATTTGTGAGATATGACACCTGGGTCTTTAAACCAAGATCGAGTGTAGTAACTAAACTGCTTTTGAGGGGGAGGATAGAAAAGAAAAGAATGGAAGGAAGCAGGTGGACGTTTGCTCTGGCAGGTGACCCAGATGAACTAGACTTGGGGAAAGATTTCCCCAAGTCTTGTGTTCCTGTCTTGTCCTTTAGTCTCCTTCCAAATCCAGCTTTCTAAGTGCTGCAGTTTTTCATTGTAAGCCTAGAGGGCCATCCAGTTGTGCTTTATCACAGGGGTCCCAGACCAGTACCAGTCCCTGGCCTGTTAGGAACTGGCATCACAGGAGGAGGTGAGTACTGCCTGAGCTCTGCCTCCTGTTGGATCCACAGCAGCAGTTGATTCTCATAGGAGAAGGAACCCTATCGTGAACAGCTCAAGCCAGGGATCTAGATTGCACACTCCTTATGAGAATTTAACTCATGTCTGATGATCTGAGGTCCAACGGTTTTATTCCAAAACCATCGCTCCCCACTCCCATTTGTGGAAGGATTGTCTTCCTTCAAACCAGTCCCTAGTGTCAAAAAGGTTGGGGACCTCTGCTTTATCGACCAGTGAATAAAAGTTGGAATACCCTGGCAGAACAGGCAGCCCACAGCCGCTGTAGATAGAGCTCATACACAGCAGTTTTACCTGTGAACTAACATTACATTGCAGCATTGTGAGAGCATATAAAATGAAGTTTGGGTTTAGAGTTTTACCAGACCATTCTCAGTCCTACATCATTACTATCATCTATGGATTTAAAAATCATATTAAAGAAAATATAATTTAAAAAATCTTGCCCATGCCACTGGGTAGGGGGTTATGCCATATTAAGCAATTTGTCTTTCTTTCTTTCTCTTTCTTTCTTTCTTTGTTTTTCTTTCTTTCTTTCTTTCTTCCTTCCTTCCTTTCTTCCTTTCTTCCTTTCTTTCCTTTCCTTCCCTTCCTTCCTTCCTTTCCTTCCCTTCCTTCCTTCCTTTCTTTCTTTTCTTTCTTTCTTTCCTTCCTTTCTTTCCTTCCCTTCCTTCCCCTTCCCTCCCCTCCCCTTCCCTCCCCTCCCCTCCCCTCCCCTCCCTTCCCTTCCTTTCCTTTCCTTTCCCTTCCGTCTCGCTCTGTCACCCAGGCTGGAGTGCAGTGGCGCAATCTCGGCTCACTGCAACCTCCACCTCCCGGGTTCAAGTGATTCTTCTGCTGTAGCCTCCGAAGTAGCTGGGATTACAGGCGCGCACCACCACGCCTGGCTAACTTTTGTATTTTTAGTAGAAACAGGGTTTCACCATGTTGGCTAGGCTGGTCGTGAACTTCTGCCCTCAAATGATCTGCCAGCCTTGGCCTCCCAAAGTATTGAGATTACAGGTGTGAGCCACAATTTGTGTTTCTTAAAGGAACACAAATATAACTGTGAATTCTAACATCTTCCACAGTATTCTCATTTATGCATACACAATGAGAGACACTCGTTTGTCCTATTTATAGCCAAAGATGCTTTGTTGAATATGACATGAAACAATATGATTTTTAACTATACAGTTTTACTGTGATCTGATGATCAACATGATACAATTAATAGTGCTCTGTCAGAGGTAAATGTTAACAGCAACAGCTGCTTTATTCTCAGCTGGGGTATCAATTCCCAGGGAAATGCTTATTTTGGGAGAAAAGATTTATTTCAAGGTTATATGTGAAACATTTCCCCCTTGTAACTTTGTGGAAAAACCTAAAGGATCCTTAAATATCTAGCTCTGGAAGGGACTTGGGTTGGTTGACGAAGTGATTCCACCACCCCATTGCCTCATTGTAAGAGGAGTGACTTTGTACTTGCTCAAAGCCTTGGGATTGGAGGAAAAAGCAAAGCTGGGAACCAAGGGCAAAGTGGTTTATTATAAGAGGATTGGCTTTGGCCTATACTTTATTACTAGTAACTAACATTTATTAACATATGTGTCACTTACCGAGCTAAGCTGCAAAATCTAAACTCTCAGAAGAGACTTTAGAGCTAGATGCTACTGTTAGCCTTTATTTTATAGACGAGACACTGAGGCTTAGAGAGGTTAAATAAATTGGCCAGTTGATAAGAGGTGGAGTCAGGACTTGAATTCAGGCATCTCTAGCTCCAGAGAGACCATCCTAGAATAAGTCCTTAACTTCAGTTCTCTTTCTCATGCATTTGTTCAGTCAGCCAACACAGTGATGTGATGCCTGCTGCTAGTAAGTACCCTACGAGGCTCTGGAGCTGCAGAGTTGAATATAAAATGATCCATGACCTTGAGCAGCTCATGACTGCATGGCACAGTGGGACAAGTGCTGGGAGAGAGGGAGTCTATGTCCAGGGCTAAGCAAATCCAGAGATGAGGCATCAAACCTTAGAGAGGGGCAATTTAGAGAACTTTCCTGGAAGGTTGACTCCAAACGCGTTCTGAAAGACAAATAGGAGTTGACTGGATGAAAATTGGGAAGTGTGGCCTCTCAGAAGCAATAATACTCAAAGGCTTGGAGATTAGAAACGGTATGGTGGTTCCATGGTTCCTGCTCTTTGCAGGTGACTGGCGCATATGGGAAAAGGGTGGGCAAGGGGAGAGGGCATGGTACAGATGGATACGGTTTTGGGTTTGGCTCTGCCACTTCCTGGCTTTGTGTCCTTGAGCAAAATCTCAACCTCCGCAAGCCTCAGTTTCGTCACCCATAACATGAGGATAAGTAATATACTTACCTCAGTACTGTTATGAGGGCCAAATGATATAACAAACTGAAAATGCTTAACACCATGCTTGACACATCATAAATGCTCAGTCCTTTGAAGCTGCGGTTACTAATCACCATCATTATTGTCACTATCTTCCTTTTCCTCATTATTTAGGTAGTCAAGGCCCAGATCTTAAAGGACCTTTCTCAAACCACCTTATGTTGTCTTTCGATGCAGCCTTAGCTACACCATGAACTAGTGGAAATTCTGATGTCTTTGAATGCTGGGTGGAAGGATAGAGAGAATTTCATATTTCGAGAAGCGGTGACAAGTTCATTTTGATGAAATGTATTGCAACATAGCAGAGAGGTCAAGAGCCTTTTCTGATGTCTGTGCTTGTGATGGGAAAATTTGTATTGAGGAAAAGGCAATAATATTACAGTGTCACTTTTGCAAAAATCTTCTTAAGCACAGCTGTCAAAAACCTCTTTCCAGAGAAGGCCATTTGCCCTCTGTGATCCTGAAGAATTCATCCCCACTAGATTATGAGCTTTCTGAAGACAAAAGCCAGGTTGTACTCATCTTTAGATCCACAGTGTCTGACGCCTTTCAGTTGCTCAGTGAAAATGGGTGAAAGTTAATGATGCTCCTGAATGTTCTGGTATTTGGCATTTTACAAAGGGCAGATATTGTTAAGAAAAAGATAAGACTTATGACAGCATGCTATTTCATTCCTTTTACATGGGTTTTATGTGCTCAGCTCTGATATTGCCCTGCTTAGATGCTTTAGTGATTTTGATTCTTTTGTGTGCCTGTACAGAGAGTTGTTTTGGGGATGATTAAAGTGTTTTATGGTAGGTGGGCTTTGTGAGAGCAGCACAGCTGTGTCTGTCTTAAACAGTTTTATCCCTATTGTCTAGTGTAGTGCCTGGCCCCTACAAGGTACGTGATAAATATTTGTAATAATCAATTTCTATTAAAAATGTGGCTCAAATTACTGTGAAACATAATCTTAATTTAACAAATTTAACTTACTTTTCTTGGCCCATAAGTACAAGTAGAAGATTATCTGTGCTCAGTACAAAATTTCATTCAAGTTTGGGTGGAGACGCTCTTAATGTTTAAAAGGTTGGCTTCTGTGTTGTATGGTGTATAGGACCCTTGCTTTCTCCCTTGTGCCATTCACTGTTGTTATAGGGTAAGGTCTTTGGGCTGAATGGCTACAGTGTTTTAGATGTGGACTTTAGGTCCCAACTCTGCACTGCATCTGTCTGCTCTTGCTAACATGACTGCAATGTTGGAGGAAT
Organism: Homo sapiens; assembly: GCF_000001405.40. NCBI lineage: Eukaryota > Metazoa > Chordata > Mammalia > Primates > Hominidae > Homo > Homo sapiens. The sequence goes on along the minus strand of NC_000001.11, from coordinate 214,487,942 downwards.
GTCATAGCATCTCCAGGAAAGCGATCCTGTAATGCTTGGTCCTCCTTCTCTCTCAAATGCAGCTATTTATGTTGCCATTGGCCCAAGATCATATGGACAGCATCTACCTCTTCTTCCCAGGTGTGTTAGAGAAGGGGCCTTACAACCCAGCCAGCTTATCTTTCATCTTTTAGGTCACTGCTTAACATGTTAGCTCTCAACAAAGTGCTTTCAAACCTTCTTCACAGACTAATTGCAAAGTATATATTGATGGAGCTTTTTTGCCCTGTTGCTCTTCTAATTGGATGTAACAGTCGTTTTTTTTTTTTTGAGACGGAGTCTTGCTCTGTCTCCCAGGCTGGAGTGCAGTGGCGTGATCTCTGCTTGTTGCAACCTCTCCTTCCTGGGTTCAAGGGTTCAAGTGATTCTCCTGCCTCAGCCTCCTGAGCAACTGGGATTACAGGCACATGCCACTATGCCTGGCTAACTTTTGTATTTTTAGCAGAGACGGGGTTTCACCGTGTTGGCCAGGCTGGTCTCGAACTCCTGACCTCAGCTGATCTGCCCACCTCAGCCTCCCAACATGCTGGGATTACAGGCATGAGCCACCGCACCCAGCTGGATGTAATAGTCTTTGATGCACCTTCTTTAATTCTAGTCTGGCTGATCTCTCATAAGGTGTTCCCTGCCTCCTCCTCCTTCCTTCACTTTAATTCCTGTCTTTCACTTTAATTCCTGTCTTTCCTTCTCCTTTTCTTTCTCTAGTCATATGTGAACTACCCATGAATTAGTGACTTTAGGATTGTGCTTTGAAAAATAGGCATATTTTACTTGAATTTGTTTTAGTATAGGAATTGGGTTAAAAGAAGTGGATGCAATGCAGTTCATTTCTGCACTTACCTGTGAAAATATAAAAGCATACAGATTTTTTTCCAGTATTTATTATTTTGTGGTAGAATGAAAAAAAAAATAGATGCTTTGGGGATCTGATCAAAGCGCATAAATTAATGTGAATAGCTGAAGGTTGATGCATCTGGGTGACGGGGTCAACTTTTCCAGATTTACGGAGATGTACCAGAGTTAAAGCATGGGATATGCCATGTAAACATCTGAGAACTTTGGCATGTTTTGATTTATTTTTTTCACTGCAGTATTGAGTTTGGCCTATGTTCACTACTAGGGGGAATGGGAGAGGGTTCAGGGAGGTTGTTTTTGTTTTTCAAACAGAAGGGGAACAATGCTTAGCAAATGCCCCTGGGTGTGTGCCTCCAGCAAACACATACATTGGGTCAAGACCCTGATTTCTAGCCTCCCATTGCCTCTCATCTCAGTTTTTTTCCGTTTTGTTCTGGGCCCTGGGTAGTCTAGCAACTTTGTTCCTATTGTCCCAACCCTAAGTACTCCGAAGAATCTATTTCTCTAATGTGGTAAGTAGTTTTATACAACACTGTCAGCAGGCGGTGAGCTGTAAGTTATATTTCCATTGGGAGAGACTTACTTTGCTGTATCCCACTAGAATCTAAGGAAAAATCACAATAAAGGCTCATACTTTAAGATATTCTGGAAGATGGGAGACCATGTAGCCTAATGGAGACAGTATGAGCTCCATCACTAGCTAGTGTATCTCAGGTAAGTTACTTAGACTCTGTAAAGTTTGATTTACTGTTCTGTAGACTGAGGATAATGCCTCTACAGAGTTGATGACATGAGTATGAGAGATAACATATGTACAGTTTAGTATGGAGGAAGTGCTCCATAGATGGTAACTATGATTTTTGGTTAAATTAGGGTATGGTTTTGGGACATGAACATTTATTGATGATAACTTATTAACACCCCTCCCTCTACCCCTGCCTGCAGAGTAATTCTGATCATTTTAAGTGCCAGCACCTGTGGATATCTGTGAACAAGGACTCACCAATGAAATATAAAAGACTAGGCCGGGTGCGGTGGCTCACGCCTGTAATCCCAATACTTTGAGAGGCCAAGGCGGGCGGATCACGAGGTCAGGAGATCGAGACCATCCTGGCTAACATGGTGAAACCCCGTCTCTACTAAAAAATACAAAAAATTAGCTGGGTGTGGCGGCGGGCGCCTGTAGTCCCAGCTACTCGGGAGGCTGAGGTAGGAGAATGGCGTGAACCCGGGAGGCGGAGCTTGCAGTGAGCTGAGATCGCGCCACTGCACTCTGGCCTGGGCGACAGAGCGAGACTCCGTCTCAAAAAAAAAAAAAGAAATATAAAAGACTAGATGTCTTCAGCCCTGTGGTGGTTCCTCTTCATGCATTTAGGCGCAGTACAGAAACTCTCCATGTCTGTGGTTACATTCGCCTCTGTATTACTCAGTGGTTGGAGGTGAGGAGTTGGAAGTCTAGGTCAGTTGTACTTTGAATTTACCTGTAGGTCCACTTCTGCCAGCTCAGAGTCCATTAGCTCTTCCATATTCATCTGTTCTCAGCAATTACAGGAAGGAGAATTTCATACCACTTGTCTAATGAGGACTTGATCCCGGTGGTTATCACAGATTTCCCAAAATTGAATGAAATGCTCCTCTTGTTCCCCTTTCTGAAAGAATTCCAAAGCTTCCTTCAATGCAGTCAAGGGGATCCTTCCTTCCGCTAGAAGCATTCCTCTGTTTTGAGTCTAGAATGCTTCACGGTGCTTTTTGTCTTGTGGCAGCTTCCTGGGAGAGATACGAGGCTCACTTATAAGTGCTCAGAATAAAAATACGAAACACAGTAAGTGCTCAATAATGTTAGCTAGGATGGTGGTGGTGGTGGGTGATAAATGATTTAATCTCATTTATGCTCCATCTTCTCCTCCACTGTCCTTCCAGGATAATTAGCAGCACTAATAATCTGGTTAGACTCAGCTCAATGCTTTCTATTCGATATGAATAAGTGATTATTGTTTACTGCTAAGACAAGTGTGGTGTTGAGATGGCATTTTCTTTGTTGAACACATTTTTGTTTTTCCTTGAGAAAATGCCTAACCTTTTCATTCTCTTGGTTTTCCTTGAACATCTAAGTCTTCCCACACACCTCCAACTGCTTTGTGAAACAAACGCCTCTTGTATAACTTTCCACATTGTCCAACCTTTTCAGATAATCTCAGCACCTCGCACTTTTGCTTCCCCTGAAGACATCCCTCTTGGAGACCTTTAATGACCTTCTGTTCCCATCTGCATGGAGAGGAATAAAGACATTCAAACAAGTCTCCTATTTTCAAGTCCTTCCCTACCCATAACCTACCCATTTCCCTCGCAAAACAAAACACCTGGTACCTTGTGTCTCTAAAGTTAAGTGTACAGACAGCAAGTTTAGCTTTCTCTGCCAGGTTTTTACCTTCTGTATTTATATGTTGTGTTGGGGGGGTTTCTGAAACCCCCTTGTTTCATCAAACATGGAACTCTTTGCATCTGTATCTTGTTTTCTCAATGATTTGAAGCGATTTTTCAGTTGGGGAAAAAATGGGAACACCTGCATTTTACCACTTTAACTCAGCCATCTCCTAACTTCTAATTCCAAATTCATGTTTATTTATTATTTTTTAAAGAGATAGGGTCTCACTCTGTCACCTAGGCTTAGTGCAGTAATGCAATCATAGGATCATGGCTCATTGCAGCCTTGATCTCCCAGATACAAGCTATTCTCTTGCCCCAGCTTCCTGAGGAGCTAGGACCACAGGTGTGTGCTGCCATGCCTGGCTAATTTTTTAATTTTTTATAGAGACTAGGTGATACTGTGTTGATCAGGCTGGTCTTGAACTCCTGGGCTCAAGAGATCCTCATGCCTTGGCTTCCTGAAGTGCTGGGATTACAGGCATGAGCCACCACATCCAACACCAAATTCCTAATGATTGACTGGATTAAAATAACCATGCCAGGCAAGGAACTAAATACACCTATATTTTCTAGACCCATTCTACGATTTCTTTTTCCTTTTGTCCTATTCTTTATTATTGGATACAAATGATAACATGCTTATCTTTTGGAGATGAAAGGGTCTTTCTCTGGTGAGAACTCTTTTCTTTCAAATGCAGATTTTATGGGAAAATCCAACTGGCCTGCTCTGTGTTTTCTGTTAAATAAGCCCATCTCTATGAGTTAGGTGGTAAAGGTAATTTGTTTCATTTTAGTGCTATAACTTAAGAAGACAAGGAGAATTTAGAGTTAAGGGAGAACCACTGAGATAATTAAAAGGTGAAGAAATAATACCTAAAAAGAAAAAGTAAGAAAGGTAGGATTATTTATATCGGAGTATATGAGGGAGTGAGTGTCATAATGAGAGTTAAATATATAAAGGTGCAGTGTAGAGAAGATGGCACCCAGTTGCCCTTTTAAAATGAAAGACTTCAAGAGGAAATAGATTAAATTAGCAGTAGAGTCTGTAAATAGCATAACAGAGTATAAAAATAGCAGTAGAGTAAGTATATTTTACAAAGAAGAAACTTCAAGACAGTGAAAGTTGTTAACTGGAGGCGGGTGGGGAAGGGTCGCAGGCAAGATTACTAGGCGAGGCTTGTGCGCCCGCTCCCGCCCTGGCCACCAGTGCCCACCCGGTCGGCCTGGCACAGCCATGATCAAGGCGATCCTAATCTTCAACAACCACGGGAAGCCGCGGCTCTCCAAGTTCTACCGCCCCTACAGTGAAGATACACAACAGCAAATCATCAGGGAGACTTTCCATTTGGTATCTAAGAGAGATGAAAATGTTTGTAATTTCCTAGAAGGGGGATTATTAATTGGAGGATCTGACAACAAACTGATTTATAGACATTACACAACGTTATATTTTGTCTTCTGTGTAGATTCTTCAGAAAGTGAACTTGGCATTTTAGATGTCATTCAAGTATTTGTGGAAACATTAGACAAATGTTTTGAAAATGTCTGTGAACTGGATTTGATTTTCCATGTAGACAAGGTTCACAGTATTCTTGCAGAAATAGTATGGGGGGAATGGTATTGGAGACAAACATGAATGAGATTGTTACACAAATTGATGCACAAAGTAAGCTGGAAAAATCTGAGGGTGGCTTAGTGGGAGCTCCAGCCTGTGCTGTATCAGCTGTAAAGAATATGAATCTTCCTGAGATCCCAAGAAATATTAACATTGGTGACATCAGTATAAAAGTGCCAAACCTGTCCTCTTTTAAATAAAAATGTAAAAAGGCCACTCCCAGGTAAAATCCAGGGGGAAGAGTCATCTAAGTTTACCATGCAGTTGTTTACCAAAAATAGAGGAGGAGAGTCTTAACTTTTGCTCTTGGATTTAAGTCAAGGTACTATATAGAAGTTGTGTAAAATCAGTATGAAAGTTCAACGTTGCTTTTCTTGCTCAGTGATTTTAAAGAAATTGAGTAGTTTCTATGTGATTTTTTTTTTTTCTTTTCTAAACTGCATTCGGGTGCCCATCTACGGCATGCCTCTATGTATTGGCTACTACAGTGTTTTAAAAAGTGTTTCAGATATTTCTTTAATTATGTGCAACCTAAAATGTTGGTGTTTTGTATGGATCACAAGTGCAGCATTCCTTAATTCCTTCTGCTATTTGTCACACAATTGTTATTTAAAGAACCAAGTATGTATTGCATGAAAACATTATGACTTTTTTCTCTTAGTTTAAATAAACTCCAAGGTAACTGGACTTCTAAAGCACCTTTCTGTTTGCCTGATATCTACTTTAGCAATAATTTTTTTTACAACCCTCTGACTCAACAAAGTAAATAAAAGTATATTTTATCACTAAAAAAAAAAAAAGTTGTTACTGGAATGAGCTATCAAGGGATGGTCACCTTGAATAATTTTTATTTGATAGTGTTTAGCATCACCTACAGGTTCTAATTTAGCTAATAAATGACTAAGCACCATTACTTTTTTTGTGTGTCCAAATCAGTTCATTTTGTCTTGAGTGTCTTGAGAGTATCCATGCACAGGTAATAGCAAGAAGTCTTCATTCTTGCCTTTTTTTTTTTTTTTGGAGACAGACTCTCGCTCTGTCACCCAGGCTGGAGTGCAGTGGCGTGATCTGGGCTCGCTGCAAGCTCTGCCTCCTGGGTTCACGCCATTCTCCTGCCTCAGCCTCCCAAGTAGCTGGGACTACAGGTGCCCGCCACCATGCCCAGCTAATTTTTTTTGTATTTTTAGTAGAGATGGGGTTTCACTGTGTTAGCCAGGATGATCTTGATCTCCTGACCTCATGATCCACCTGCCTCGGCCTCCCAAAGTGTTGGAATTACAGGCGTGAGCCACCGCGCCTAGCTCATTCTTGCCTATTTTAATGTCTGTATTGGAATCCTTGTTTACCAATCTTACTTCAGAGCAGCAGTACTCTTGAGAAAACTGATGACTTCATAAGGCTCCAGTGTCTGTGTAAATGAGACAGTTTTCAAAAATCATATGTAATAGATAACTAGAATATTTTAATTTCTATTCTTTTTTTTTTTTTTTTTTTTGAGCGGGAGTTTCGCGCTTGTTTCCCAGGCTGGAGTGCAATGGTGCCATCTTGGCTCACAGCAACCTTGGCCTCCCAGGTTCGAGCAATTCTCCTGCCTCAGCCTCCCAAGTAGCTGGGACTACAGGCGCATGCCACCACGCCCAGCTAAATTTTTTTTGTATTTTTAGTAGAGATGGGGTTTCACCATGTTGGCCATGGTGGTCTCGAACTCCTGACCTCAGATGATCTGCCCACCTTGGCCTCCCAAAGTGCTGGGGATTATAGGCGTGAGCCACTGCGCCCGGCAGTTTTTATTCTTGTGCTGCATTTGTTTGACCCTGCAGTTGCTTCTGTTTCAAATGTTGCATTTATGTGAAATAAAGTGAGATTGGATATAATCTTTACACAAAAAAATCTTACTTGAAGTTCTTATTTTCTCTTTGAGCCATTATGTACCCTTGTCATCTCCTTTTCTCCTTTTTTACTTGACACGTTTTGTAGATTATCCTGAGCCCTAGAACAGTGTGTGGATGGTTGCAAATTTTCATCTGCTGCTTGTTTCTTTCTCGCCCTTGCCTCTGTGTGGGCTCTTCTCTTCCCAGCCGCCCAGCATATCTGCTGCTCTATTCATATCCTTACCTATCACTTCATACGACTTGGTAGGCAGAGAGGGTGCCTTTTCTTGTTCTTTGGGGAATATTGAGATCAATATTATGTGCTGTGGGAATAATGGTTTTTGAGAAAATGATATATAAATATAAGGGAGTACAGTCATTTGATGTTTGGGCCAAGTAATGTTTCTGTAGTTAACACTTGGTGGGGGGCAACAGTATTACATTTTTCAAAAGCTATCCTTAGATCTGCTTCCGAGGTTGAGGTGCTGTGACATGGCACTGTAGCTATTGAGAGATAGGATTGTTGATATTTTTGATGGTTGATCATACCCAGGGCCATGCCTAAGATTCACAGTTCACCTATTTGTTACAGACTGGATTTTGGGAGGCTTTCTGCTTCTTAGACTTCCTGTCACATGAAGACATTGAGACTTTGAGGTATCCCTTTTGGGATCAATATTCTCCTTTACTAAAGCTTTTCTGCCATCTTGAGGAATCATGCTTAAGGTAACCCAGTAAGAGAAAAAAGCTATAGCAAGAACTTGGTTCTTTTGACTCCAAGCGTGGGTCTTTTCTTTTTATGGAAGTGGTTAAGAAAACATATTGTTTCAGTCATCTTATAAGTGAAGAAATGGAAATCATAGTCATTTGTGATAGCCTCTGCATTTAACAGTTATTTGGGAAGCAATTTAGGAGTATGCAATAAGAGACTTCTAAAAATATGTAGTTTTTGACTCAATAACAGTCTTGAAGAATCTATTCCAATGAAAGAATCAGAAGTATAGGGAACTCTTTTTGAAAAATAGCAAAAAATTAGAACCAACCTAAGTTGTCAACAATAGCAAATGGTTAAATAAATGGTGATCCATACACTGGAATATTATGCAACAGTTTAAAATTGTTTTTGAAAAAATTTTAATAGCATGAGAAAATAATACATAGTAATCATAAATAATGAAAGATATCAAATAAGATGGTACAATCTCAGTTACACAATAAATTAAACATAATTAAAATGATGAAATAAAATATGCAAACATTTTAATATTGGTCCTCTGTGGGTGGTGACGTGGGTGATTTTTTTCTTTTAGTTTTCTGTCATTTCCAATATTCTTATAATGAATTATAATCAGAAAATATTAAAGGTTATTAAAATATTTAGGTAAAATAGAAAACGACTGAGCTTTCTAACCCTAATAATTCAAAAGAATAAATTTCAGGACATAAGCTGTTTTAATAAGTCTTTTTTTGTTTGTTTTTTTTGGATAATAAAGACAGGGTCGGGTACGGTGGCTGACGCCTGTAATCTCAGCAATTTGGGAGGCTGAGGTGGTAGATGAACTGAGGTCAGGAGTTTGAGACCAGCCTGGCCAACATGGTGAAACCCTATCTCCACTAAAAATACAAAAATTAGCCGGGCTTGGTGGTGGGCGCCTGTAATCCCAGCTACTTGGGAGACTGAGGCAGGAGAATCGTTTGAACCTGGGAGGCAGAGGTTGCAGTGAGCCAAGATCACGCCATTGCACTCCAGCCTGGGCGACAGAGCGAGACTCCATCTCAAAAAAAAAAAAAAAAGACAGGGTTTTGCTCTGTTGCCCCAGTTGGAGGGCAGTGATGCAATAGCTCACTGCAGCCTTGAACTCCTAGGCTCAAGCAATCCTCCTGCCTCAGCCTCCTGAGTAGCTGAGACTACATGCATGCACCACCACATTCAGTTAATTTTTAAATTTTTTGTAGAGATGTGGGTCTTGCTTTGTTGACCAGGCTGGTCACAAACTCCTGGACTCTAGTGATCATTCCACCTCGATCTCCCAAAGTGCCAAGATTACAGGCATGAGCCACTGTGCCAGACCAAAAAATTCTGATTTTAAAAAGGAATGCTTGATCCTTTTTTTTTTTTAAGCAAAATGTACTATTTTGTACATTTTGTATTTAGTCAATGTATGATTGTATATGGTGCTGAAAGCCATGTGATAATGGGAGAGTGCTCTAAATAGTATTTATTAATAAATAATTGACTATTGTTACTTATTTTATTATGTAAATGTACATCTTATGGTATAACCTAATGGTGAAAGATTGAGCTTTGGAGCCAGCCTTTGCCACCTGCTAGCTCTGGAACTTTGGCCAGGTTATGTAGCCTCAGTTTCCTTATCTGTAAATTGGACGTGTGAAGATAAATGAGAAAATACACGTAAAAGTCTTTAGCACACTTCCTGGCACATAGTAATCATTTAAAGGCTATTATAGCTGAAACGATCAATGAATCATGAGTGTTCTACTGAAGGAACCCTTCTTCCAAATTTTCTTACATATAGTATTTAGGAGGGACATATGTTAGGTGATTAAGGTTTTTTTGTTTTTTGTTTTTTTTCCAAATACAATGGTGATAATCCAAAGATTGTGTAAGAGAAAGTAGATGTTTCTTCTCTGTTCCTCCTCTTATATCTCTGAGTATGGAAATACTCCCTGGTTTTCTCCAAGCTCATATAAACCTAAACATACACAAGGTAACTGGTTTATTTGCTTTGGTTTTGCCTTATATATTACTCTGCAACTTTTCCTACTTAGTAACACATCATGAGCATTGTTCAGAGCTAATATAGATTGAACTCATTTTTAATAACTGCAGAATAGCCTAAATAATGTAGATATGCCAAAATGTACTTGAACTATGTATTATGGATACTCAGGTTGTTACAAATTGCCACCCTCTACTACAAATGACGTTGAATGCAGCATCCTTATACAGAATTTTTAAGATTCATTGCTTTTATTTCCAATGAAAGTTTCCCTAGAGTGACACTGCTGAGTTCAGAGTCAGTGCTAATTATAGTGCAAAGGGATTTGGGGTGCAAATAATATATAAAACTTTGTTGGTTTCTGCCCTTTTATAATCTAATTGAAGAAGAAGTACGCATGTATTTTTCTGTGGATTTCTTTGCTTATGTACAACAATTTTAGTAAATGGTGTTTATTCCTAGGGAGGTTTGAAATCCTTAGCATTCTGAAACATAAATCAGAAGAGCAAAAGGAGTCTCTTGAATTAGGTTTACTCTGTACAGTATTTGCTGTATTTATTAGATACAAATTTGTTAGAAATTGTACATAGTTAAGTCTTGCAGTTTTTAAGAGCTAAGAGTCCCACTTGAAAACTGAAGCACCTGACTTTTGCCCTCTTGTTCCTTAGTGTGCTTACACCCTACAGGGTTGCAGACAGGGGAAGAGCCATCCCCACATGCAGTATCTCATCTCTAGAGGCCCAGGCTTGCTCAGCACGGATGCAAGCAGCTGAACAAATCTTGTTTTGAGGTCACCGATGGTAACAGGAATGATAGTATGCTAACAAATTATTTTTACAACAGTAAAGTTACTGTGTTAGCATTAGACAGGTTCTTTTTCTTTGTAATATCACTGAGAGCTACTTAGTACAACATAAGTTGTTCCAAGTGTCCACTTAAGTAGTGTGGGGTATGTGTGTGTTGTGTGTCTTTACAAGGCAGGGGACAGAGAGAAGAAAGAACAATTGTAATGGGTTTGTGGTGCATGTACGTGCATGTGTGGCCGCAGTATACCTTTAATGAGCAGCACGACCATGTCTGTTTAGAAGCTTTGTTTTTCCCTGTTAGTAATTAACATTTGGTTACATCAGTTGGGATTATACAACTCTTTAACAGCTGATACTAGTTCATACCTGTTTTCATTCTTTCTCCCCTCTGATTCAGCTTCTTGGCTCTGGAGAAGTGATTGCGTTATACACTAGAATCCACTTGGTTGTACTGATTCACTGGAGTGGTCACATATCTGAAACCCACTGGGCACCCTGTTGCGGTTTCCAGTCAGTGGGACCTGTAGTTGCATGTTTTGGTTTCATATTTTTTCTCTTAGTGATGAACAGCCTTAACTTTAAAAATTCTCTGCTCTGTAACAATTGGCTTGTTGGGAAAACATTTTTACAGCTGTGGTATTTAGCAGTCATTGTGTTTCCTTGGGTTTCCTGCAGTATTCCGTGAAGTAGCAAGGATAATAATGGCGGTGATAGCAAACACATAACCAATGCTTACCATGTGCCAGGAATTTATAGATTATTAACTCATAACCCTCCCAACAACTCTAGGTGGTGGGGACTGTTTTCATCCCCATGTTAGAAATGCAGGGAGCGAGCCAGCTTCGGACCCATGGTTATGCAGTGTGTAAGTGGCTTAGGCATGGAAATGACTGCTTCTGGGTGAGGCTTGCTGGTGGGGCTGGAGAAACTGGTGAATGAGGCGACATTCCCAGGGAAGCTCAGTGCTGGATGCTCAGACCCAGATGGAGAGAGCTGGCAGAGTGGCTTAGCTGCTGCTCACTGTTTGGATAGGAAGTGACACCCTGGACATGGGAGAGAAGTTGAGGGAACTCACTCAGGCATGGGAGGAAGGAAACGGGGGAAAGGAAGGTGTGGAAAGCTTTGCTGAGGGAGGTCACAAGCAACAACTGTCTCTCCAGGAGAGCCCTTCTTTCTTGGCTACTTCTGTCCCTGCAGGGCGCACCTCTCCGGAAAAGAGCGAAGCAAGCTCAAGGTATGTTTATCCTCAGTGAGTTTCTTTTGATTTGATGAGTGAGTCATCTGCCCTGGCTGGAAAACCTTTCCATTTGCTTTTGTGATTGTGTTTTTCAAATTGGTTTTTGAAGAGGTTCTATGCGACATGCTCAGGTTCTCTCATTCCACAACACAGTGGTACAGTAGAATAGGCCATCTAGGTAAGAGGCTCTGGCAGGGTGCTATGGCTGGGATGGGACCCTGATTCTGCCACCATGCCTTCTGGATAGAGCTTCCTTGGGCTGAAATTGGGTCCCAGCCTCAGGGCCCCCTCCACCATGTCTGAGTAATGTCCGCTGTGGGTGAGCAAAGATAAACTGCTGATGGTATGTCATAGTTGTTTTTTGTAGAATGTGGGTGCTTGCTATTGTCATTGTTACTTTTATATCATAAGGTCATAGCTGATAACCCTCTTTCTGCGTCATATCAGCATGGTTCATTGGGTAAGAACATGGGTTCAGATGGAGCTCTGGGTTTGAACTTGATTGTCTTTAGTCACTGAGTGATCGTGGGGGGAAGTTATTTCCTCTCTTTAGCCTCAGTCCTTAGTGTGTAAAATGGGGTGATATAGTAAGAGAAGCCCTGTTGTCGTAGGGGTGTTGAGATTGTGCTCAGCAGAGTGCCCCCATCAATGTGTCTGCTTCACAAATGGCGGTGCTGATTATGGGGAATTTCCCATTCTGATTTTTAGGTGTAATAAGCTCTGACATTCCAGGACATACATCATTGTGGATATAGATACTGACAGCAAAAAGAAGTGGAATTGAAGAGTTGCAGAATGCACATCTCCCAAAGAAGGGTGGGGTGTCTTACAACAAAGCATTCCTGGCGTGACTAGACAAAGCTCATTTGAGAGTAAACCAGAGTCAGGTATTCTTCTGATGGAATTGATTATGCAAGCTGGACCAGGAAGAGTCCTTTATTTTATGCCCAATTGATGGTTCTTTATATTTTAAAGAACTTGTCATTTTACTTACAGAAAGAATTTTTCCTACTGCCTTTTAATAAGGAAGGGAAAAACTATTGCTTTTGGTTTTATCTAGTGAAATCCAAGTTCTGTTTTGGAAGGACAAAGGAGTTAGTTTGGAGGGAAAATTCTGACCCTTTTTAGTGAGCACTGTTATCTGTTTTACCAGGTTACTTTAAAAAGTATCATTTAGTAAATTTTTTTGTTTTACAAGCTCCAGCTTATTATTATGGAAATTTTAGGCACATACAAAGCTGTAGAGAATGGTGAGACCCCTGACATACCTGTCTCCCACCTTCAAGAACTGTCAACTCATAGTGGTGCCTCATCTGCAGCCCTACTCAGTTCCCAAACCCTCGTGATTTTTTAAGCAAATCCCAGACAACATTATTTTATCCATAAGTATTCAAGATGTACTTAGAATGCCTTCAGAGGAAAGTTTCGCTAAGGTCAAAAATGAAAACCTGCATGTTCTAAGTTGCTTCCTGTGGGAAAATCATGTCTCTCTGGAAATCTCAAGACAGTAATCCTTAAAGCAGGGGGTGGAGAAATGATCTTTTTAAACAATAACCAGGGGAGCTTTTTCAGACTAACTTGTCCTCCTAGAAGATTGCCTGCTGAAGCCACCCCCTTATTCCAAGAGTTCACAGAAAGTGTTAGAGATGTACAAGATAGAGAACCACCTCTTTGGGGAAAGTGCTTCCGGGTTATGGAGGCTTTTTAACCACCATGGATGGGACTTACTTAAAAATGTATTTATTTTCTTCCTTCTTAAACAGATTATGCTGGGTACTATTTAATTGTTCCTATTTACTACAGGGAGTTTTGGACACCGATTTGTATGCTGTGGAGTGTGTATGTTAATCATTTACGTGTCACCTCCCTTGTTGCCATTTTTTATCCTATGTCAATGTGCTTGTCTGTAATGACAGCCCCTTGTCTCTTTGAAATCTGTTAAGGGCTGAGAAGTCAGGTCAAGGAACTTGTAAAGAACTGTACTTAAAGTCAGAGTAAATGAACTGAGGGTGTTCTTTTGTTTCCTGAGCAAAGTGTATGATGTTGGAATTAAGGATTTGGTGATACTCAACTGCTCAAAGGATGTTTTGGCTCCATTTCTTGGTTTTTGGCTGTGTTCTACATAGATCAGGTTGCTGTGTAGCCATGTTTCATATAGGTGAGGTATTACTGTAATGAATTATAACACAGTAGGAATCTTTGTTTTCCAATTTCACATACAGCTTTAGAAAGGCTTGAAAGGTCATTTACGTGGTTAGTGCGTAAGAGAGATGGAAAATGTGTTTTAGGACAAGTTTCCATCTCACCACTGACTAAAAGTGAGTTAGGAGGGAAATAATGGAATCTTAAAATGTGCTTTTTACAGTTTTTGTTGTTGATGTTATTTTCATTAGCAACTAAAGTCAGGGGCTTGTGTTTTAAACTTTGCAGAAAAAGCTTTACTTGGCTAAAAATAATTTGATGTATGGATATGATTTGGGTACTGTACAGCTCTAAAACTGATTGATAGAAGAAACTAATAATCTCATTTGCACTGCACAAAACTAATTTCCTTTCTGCCTTCCTTTAAAGGAAAATAAGAGTAGACATTTTTAGTATTCTTTTATTTCCCATCCCCTCCCACCTCATCCCTTCTTTTAGCCTTTCCTTAGGAAAATGACCTAGTACTATCAAAACTGAGCTGTGCCCTATGCAGGTTTATACACAGCACAGACTAGTTGCATCAGTTTTTCCTTTCTTACACCCTCACCAAGATTACATAGCTCTGTGAGATGTCCTTGGGAGTTGTAATAGTATGGAATGCTGGAGAAATTCCAAAGACTGTTGGTAAATATAGGATGCAATTGAATAGCAGTTAGCTTCTTTTGGTGATTTCAGAACTTATCTTTAAGAAAAAAAATAAAGAGTTAAGTATACATAGCATAGCATGGGAACTAAAAAGAAAGTGCGGTGACCATGTTTAGGATTTGGATTTGAACTTCTGTCTTTCATTTGCCTGTGCAGGTAATTCAATAAAAGACTAAACACAGACTGTGCTGGTAATTCAATAAAGAGGAATACGCTGCATTTGGTTGATATTTGTGAAAGATCTCTCCTCTGCTTATCCATCATATTTAAAGATTTACTTGCTCTGCCAAATGACCTTTTCTAAATTGTGAGAAAGCTGTCTTTCTTTGCTTTGTGTTTTTAACTTTGAAATTTTTTTTAATTAAAAATGAGAGAACAAAATACTGGAAATCCACAGTTAATAGGTAAAGATCGAAACTTACACTTTAGAGCTTAGGAAGCTGATTGACTACTCAGAAGTGAATTTTAGAAGTGCCTGAAGGTTTTCTGTATGTTCTCTTGCAATGTAGCCTATTCTATATAAAAGACCTTTAAGATGTGATGTTTACAGAGCAAATATCTCAACGAATTGCTTTCAGCAAGCATGGGCACACTACAACACTTTTTATCATCTCAGTAGTTCCATTGTATTTGTTGCAAGGAACGTGTCTGGATCTGCAATCTCTGTCTGTGAGAATACCCCCAGTATAAGACAGATCAGGGGCTAGAAAAGGAAAACTTGGGTGGTGGGAATGTTCTTTTGGAAACCCAAGTTCAATTTTTTCCCCTGAAAAAGCATGAGTCAGTGGAATAACTTAACTCTCATCCCTTTTCTCTGTAGCTTAACCCTCTCTTAAGAAGCCAGAATTCAG
Source organism: Homo sapiens (assembly GCF_000001405.40). Lineage (NCBI taxonomy): Eukaryota > Metazoa > Chordata > Mammalia > Primates > Hominidae > Homo > Homo sapiens. Next base: position 214,472,653 of record NC_000001.11, on the reverse strand, counting down.
ACCCATCTAAGGTTCCAGATTCCTTAAATGATTTGAAGAGTCACTGAGGTCATGCTGGAGACTCCTGCCCTGCCTTAATGTCAAAAAGCTAGTGATCTCAGGATTCATTCTTTCTTCATAATGACTGTGTTAGTCTGTTCTTGCATGGCTATGAAGAAATACCTGAGACTGGGTAACTTACAAGAAAAGGGATTGAATTGGCTCATGCTTCTGCAGGCTGTACAGGAAGCATGGCACCAGCATCTGCTCTGCTTCTGGTGAGGGCCTCAGGGAGCTTTCAATCATGGTGGAAGGTGAAGGAGGGGAGCAGGCATCGCATATGGCAGGAGAGGAGGGGGCAAGAGAGCGAGCGGGGTCAGGGGAGGTGCTAGACTTTACAACAACTAGATCTCGGGAGAACTCAGTATCCTGAGGATAGCACCAAGCCAGAAGGGATCCACCCCTATGACCTGAACACCTCTGATATCGGGGATTACAATTCAACATGTGATTTGGTGAGGACATATATTCAAACCATATCAATGAGAAACATTTATTTCACTTCCTGCCATGTATAAAGCTCCATGTTATGATTATAGAAGGTTACAAAGCTGACGCCCACACAGGTCTTTCCCTTCAGGACTCTGACTGGGGAGGTGAGACACACCTGAGAGTGATTGTAGGATGAGAGACTCTGTGATACACCAGGAGCTGTAGAGACATGGCCTCATGGATTTTATAAGACCAAGGGAATGTCATATCAATTTCCCCTGGGGAAAAAAAGAACAATGGGCAACACTGGATGATATACACATGCTGTTGGCTAGAATAAGAAATCTTCTTCCCACCCAGGATGGGCTCTTCAGAGGACATTTAGTCTAAGATTCTCTCCTTTATGCTTCAGGTGTCTGAGTTTGTGGGATAACCAGGTAGCCGTGGTTGGACTAAGAGAATGCATGATTCAGCATTCTACTCGGTCAGTTTTTCCATGGGATTGTCATAGCTTCATGTTAAACTCTATGCTTTGCCACCTCACCCCCCACCTTCATTTTTAACCTTTTAAAAGACTTTCTCTACAGTAGGTCAAGTACTCAATTTCCTCTTTGCACAACTGCTTGGCCATGCTTTGAGCAAACCTAGCATACTCTGAAACTATGAGAAGAGTAGGAAGGGAACTTGTCCACACTTTCTGAGTGCTCACTAGCACTGTTTTCTCATTTACTTCTCACAAATAGGTAGGGTATGTATTAACTTCATAAGTGAGTAGACTGAGGCTAAAAGAGGATAAGTACTTTGCCATTCATTCTGCCCCTCTCTGGTTAAAGCCAGTACTTGCATGAAAGTTTGTGCATGTTCCTATCCCTAATAGTAAACCTTGGTTCTTAGAACCCCTCAGCTCAACTTCAGTCGAGTGAGTATTTTTCCCTTTCTTTAGTCTTTAGTTTTCGGTTTCCAGTTGCTTTACTGAGACAAAGACCCTAGAAGTTGAAGAGTCCAGGGTTTACTGCACTTTCCCTGTCATTCCCCCTGTACTTTGTATTCCAAATTACTTTCATCACGGAAAGGTGAAAGTCTAAGTCTTTAAAAAAAAAAAAAAGATTTAGGGGGTTCAAGTGTAGTTGTTTTTTTGTTTTGTTTTTTTTTTTTTTGAGATGGAATTTTGCTCTTGTCACCCAGGCTGGAGTGCCGTGGTGTGATCTTGGTTCACTGAAACCTCTGCCTCCCAGGTTCAAGTGATTCTCCTGTGTCAGCCTCCCGAGTAGCTGGGATTACAGGCACCTGCCACCATGCCCGGCTAATTTTTATATATATATATTTTTTTTAGTAGAGATGGGGTTTCGCCATGTTGGCCCGGTTGGGCACTCAAGTGCAGTTTTTTTTTTTTTTTTTGAGATGGAATTTCACTCTTATTGCCCAGGCTGGAGTGCAGTGGCACGATCTCGGCTCACTGCAACCTCTGCTTCCTGAGTTCAAGTGACTCTCCTGCCTCAGCCTCCCGAGTAGCTGGGATTACGGGCATCTGCCACCACACCCGGCTAATTTTTTGTATTTTTAGTAGCGATGGGGTTTTACCATATTGGCCAGGCTGGTCCTGAACTCCTGATCTCAAGTGATCCACTCGCCCCGGCCTCCAAAAGTGTTGGGATTACAGGCCTGAGTCACCGTGCCTGGCCAAGTGCAGTGTTTTTACGTGGCTATATTGCATAATGGTGAAGTCTGGGCTTTTAGTGTAACCATTACCCCAATAGTGTCCCAGGCTACTTTTCTTTATAAGATGCGCCTAGGAAAAAGAGGGTTAGAAGATTGTTTTGAAATTAGAAAAAAATCACAGTATTGAAAAAAATTAGGAGTCAGCATTGTTAGCTTTATGATCTATATTTTACTTAGAAATAGAGTCTTGCTGTATTGCCTAGCTGGAGTGCAGTGGCATGATTATAGCTCACTGCAGTCTCAAATTCCTGGGCTCAAGTGATCCTCCTGCCTCAGCCTCCCAAGTAGCTGAGACTACAGGTGCACAAAACCATGTCCAGCTATTTTTATTTTTTATTTTGTAGGGTCAAAGTCTCGCTATTTTGCCCAGGCTGTTCTTGAATTCGTGGACTCAAGTGACCCTCCCACTTTGGCCTCCCAGATATGTATAGTTTCTTTAATTTCTATAAATGGGTCTCAGCAAGAGTTGCAGCTTTGTAGTATTTATTAGATATGTTCTTAAAGAATAGATCAATAAAACTATATATTAAGTAACTTATTTCTGTTTATTTTTTAAAAATAGACTCGATTTTTGGGAGCACTTTTAGGTTCACAGAAAAATTGAAAGGAAGTCTTAAAGATTTCCCACATACCCCCGCCTTTCCCCATGCGCCCCCACTATCACCATCCCCCTACTAGAGTGGTTCCTTGGTTACAATTATTGAACCTAAATTGACCCATCTCTAGCACCCAAAGTCCATAGTTTCCATTAGGGCTCACTCTGACTTTTTATTTTTAATGGACCTTTCTCTTAAAAAAAAAAATTACAGTAAATATAATGAGGGCTCTATACTTTTATCTCTTTTGAAAAACAGTTTTTATTAGGAAAATCTAAAGTGTCTAAACCTGTGACCTTTCTATGAGCATGTGGCATTTAGTTCCAGATTTTATAATGTATGTGTGATAAAATGAATATGATGGGGCCCCAGAGAGCCACATGGGGAAAGTTGGAAAGGTTCCAGGAGCCAGACTATTTAACAGAAAGGAGATGCTTAGAGTGGATTTCACATCAAGTCCATTTTATAGTGGATATTTTGCTCCCTGCTCTAATGACAAAGCAGAGGTATTCCTATTGGACATAAAATATAGGAGGGAGCTGAGTTTGAGGTGGAACTCTACGCCTGTGTGAATGGCTAAAAGATGGAATTTTAACATATGTGCAATGGCTTTTTTGAGAGCTTAAAAGTAGTGGATAAATTCATAGAATATAAAAATGTTGAAATGAAAGGGACTAAGAGATCTTCTTCTCTAATCCTATTGTTATAGATTAGTGTCAAGCAGATTGTTTACCTGGAATAATTTAGGTGTAGCCTTTCCTAAAGGTAAGAGATGCCTTAAATGAGTGCCTGAAAGTTCTTTCCAGAAGCATGGCTCTGTGGCTGTGCAAATTCTGGGTGAAAATGTCATGAGCTTTTAATGTAGGTAAATGATGTGTGTGTTAGAGGTGAAAAAAATGTGTTTCTAGCTCTGAGGAAGTTTAGTGTCAAAGTGTGCTGATATTTTTAACATAAGCTAGATTAGTGTATTAAAATAAGCACCAATGGCTGTGGGAATTCAGACAGAAAAGATTACCTGTGATATTAAGGATCAGAGAAGTCCATAGAAAGAGGCAGCATCATTTAAATTCAGCAGTGACTAGGTATGAGCATGTTTACTATCGGCATTGAGGATTGCCTTCTTTTTAACTTTTGATTATGAAAACTTTTAGGTATATAGAAAACCTAAAAGAACAGTAGAGTGAGTATCTGTATACTCACAGATTCAACAACTGTTAACATTTTGTATATTTATTTTAACTTTGAATTTATAGATGTGCTTATGTGTGTATGGTGTATGTGTTGGTTTTTCTTTTCTTTTCTTTTTTTTGTTTTTGAGAGTTTTTGCTCTGTTGCTCAGGCTGGAGTGCAATAGTGCCATCTCAGCTCACTGCAACCTCTGCCTCCTGGGTTCAGGTGATTCTCCTGCCTCAGCCTCCCGAGTAGCTGGGATTACAGGCACACACCACCATGCCTGGCTAATTTTTGTATTTTTGGTAGAGACTAGGTTTCACCATGTTGGCCAGGCTGGTCTCAAACTCTTGACCTCAGGTGATCCACTGGCCTTGGCCTCCCAAAGTGCTAGGATTACGGGCGTGAGCCACCGCACCCAGCCGTATGTGTTGGTTTTGCAAAAAAACCATTGGAAAGCAAGTTACAGGCATCATGACTTCTTTACCCCTGCTATATCCACTGGCATCTCTTAACACAATTCCATCTATTCTCCTACATAACCACAATTCTATCAAAATCTGAAGAAAATTAATAAAAATACATTAATATCATCTAATTTCTGTTTTTCAAACTTCCCTAATTATCTGTATCTTTTACAGCTATTTTTTTTTTCACACTTGGATTTAGTCAGGGTTCACACACTACATTTTGTTTTCATAATTCCTAAATCTCTTTTATTCTACAGCAGCCTGTACGGCCTCCCCCTCCTCATGCCCAATTTTTGTTTCATGACATTGACTTTTAAAAGGACCAGACCAATTTTCTTACATTTTGTTGATACCGTATCTTGCAAGTATTTTTGTCAACTGGAGATTTTAAAAGTCTTTTAGAAATCAAAATGTGTATTTTCTAGGAGATATATTACCAGATTATCTGCTAGCCATGAATATAAAGCCATCGCTCCTGATACACCATTTTCAGTAGATAATGTACTTTAAAATAATCTTTATTTACAAAAATAATATAAGGCAGCTGTAAGATGCTAGAACAATGTAGAAATATCTAAGGTTAGAATTCTATTTAATATCAAGTAGCTCTGAGATAATAATTTTGCCAAACTTACATTCTTTCCTCTTTGTGTTTTTGTATATCATAAAAATTCCAATCATCTATACATGTTGTTTAAAGTTTACTTTTTATTTCACTAGTTATGCATTGCAAATGATATCCCATAGAATATGTAGTAGAGATTGTTTTTGCTGGGATAAATGCGTACCAAGCCAGCCACATTCTTTCCTAGGTGTTTACAGTGAGACACACCCAAATGTAAAGTGCCTGGCTCAGGGTTAGAAATGTGGCTTGTGCCCACAGAGCAAATATTTTTCTCTGTTTGAGGCTCTCTGGTTAATGCAGGAATTGAATCTTGGCCTCTTGTGTTCTGTGCTTTAATAAGTTGAGGGGAATTCATGAGTAGTAAACATCTAAGGGCTGTCTATTTGAATTTTGGCTTCCCCCCACTGTTTTTCTTTGGGTTGGGGGTGGGTGGGTCATTTCATATTCTTTTCTGTACCTATCAAGAAATCAGATTGGCTTACCTTAGAGGTAAACATGATACTCTGCCAACATAAAGTGATTTAGAAATGTTAATATATTTTACCAAGCCAGAGTTTCTAGCATATGTATTTTAAGCCGTCATAAAACATATACCTGTCATGTTAAGGAATGTGCCCACGGCAAGTATCAAAGACCTGCTGTGGGAGGCTGAGGAGTGTGTTTTGCTATGTTGCAGGGTTATAACCTGACAACCTCCATGAGGCATGAGTACTGGCAGGGAGTGGTTTATAAATATTGAAGCTATTTTATTTATTACTTTAAGAATTCCTACAAGTAGTAGCTATTCCTATTTGTACATCCAAGTGTCTTGGGGCTCAGGGGGTAATCCTGTGTCGGCAGATGGATGAAGAGTGTAAATCCTAGTGGATCTGCCTGAGTTAGGGAATCAAGTTAACAAAACAATCAGATGAGCAAGAGATAGTCTGTTGGGCTTAATGGAGAACAGAACATTTGGACAGAAAAGTTTTCTGGACATTTCTGGCTTCTTTGAAAGACAAGTTTAATGAGCCTCCCAGCAAGATTGCTGGCTCAGGGTGGAGCAATAAGGCCACTTTTGTTGTTATTTTATTCTTGTGTTGTCCATGGCAATAATGTCATCATTTTCATTTGGTGGGACATCAGGGTGTCAGTAAGTCTTGTTACTATAATAGTAAATTAAATTATCTGTGATTTGGTTACAGGACTTTTGCATCAAGATTTTGTAAAGGAACAAGATGATGGTAGGGTGGTTCCCCACATCTGTCTAAATATTTGTTAAAAAAAGGACAAAGAGTTGTGATTTTTAAGTGCTTTGAATAATTCATGTCTTTCCATTAAAGAAAAAAAAAAAAGGAAGTAACTGGCCGGGTGCGTTGGCTCACGCTTGTAACCCCAGTACTTTGGGAGGCCAAGGCGGGTGGATCACATGAGTTCAGGAGTTCAAGACCAGCCTGGCCAATATGGTGAAACCCCGGCTCTATTAAAAATAAAATTAAAAAAATAGCCAGGTGTGGTGGCGGGTGCCTGTAATCCCAGCTACTTGGGAAGCTGAGGCAGGAGAATCTCTTGGACCTGGGAGGCGGAGGTTGCACTGAGCCAAGATTGCACCACTGCACTCCAGCCTGGGCAACAAGGTGAGACTCCGTCTTCACAAAAAAAAAAAAAAAAAAAAGGAAGTAACTGATTATATTAAATGCATATTGCCACCACTTTATCATTCATTCTAAGTAAATAATAAAACATAAGACATGAAAATAAAAGTAAATAATGTTAATAAGAGTAAAGAGGCAGTGTTACAAAGAGTGAGGAGGAACAAGATCAAATTTTAAATTCAGTGAGGCACTTAAGTCATTAAACCTTACTTTTTTCATCTGTAAAATAGACACCATAGGGTTGTTCATGAAGTTGGAATGAGACAATATATTTAGAAATTTAAAAAACAAAACACCAGTGTTCAAGTTCCACTCCTAGTGGGCTTTTTAATTTAATTTAATTTTTTTTGTTTGAGACAGAATCTTACTCTGTTGCCCAAGCTGGAGTGCAGGCATGATCATGGGTCACTGCAGCCTTGGCCTCCCAGGCTCAAGAGATCCTCCCATCTCAGCCTCCCAAGTAGCTGGGACTACAGGCACACGCCATCATGCCTGGCTAATTTTTATTTATTTATTTATTTTTTTGTAGAGACAGGGTCTCATTGTGTTGTCCAGGCTGGTTTTGGACTCCTGGGCTTAAGTAATCCTTCCGCCTCAACCTCCCAAAATGCTGGGATTACAGGCATGAGCCACCACGCCCAGCCTCCTAACACTTTCTTGAGTGGACAGCATTGCATAGTGAAAAACGCATGTGAACTGAAGTTACGTAGACATTGGTTTAAATTCTGGCATTGCCATTTACACTGTGCACCTGTGAATGAATGCTTTAATCTCTTTGAATCTTCCTTTCTTCAACTGTAAAGTAGCTTTTATCGTATCACCCTTGTAAGATAAGGCATAGGGCATGGGCTCTGCCAAGACACTTAGGAACTCCAGAACTTGCAGCTTATCAAACCTGAGTGTTGATCTGTTTGGCGGGGTGGGGGGGGGGGGGGGCTTCTGTGTGTGTGGAATATGGTACCATTGATAGGTCCCTTCTGGAGCATGACCATGGCATTTCTTTTGCATTTACAGCTATCTTCCAGAGGGCCACACTGGGCATGGACACCCTTTTCCCTGCCTGGAGGAGCACAGGTGATAGTGTAATTTTCCAGTCACGAAACTGCTAAGGCCATCTCAGGGGCGTGTGCGCCAGGATAGGCGGGCGGCGTCCGAGGACCACATAGCCATGCCTTTTGGTCTGAAGCTCCGCCGGACACGGCGCTACAACGTCCTGAGCAAGAACTGCTTTGTCACACGGATTCGCCTGCTGGACAGCAATGTTATCGAGTGCACGCTGTCGGTGGAAAGCACAGGGCAAGAATGCCTGGAGGCTGTGGCCCAGAGGCTGGAGCTGCGAGAGGTAAGAGGGGTGTGTCTGTGTGCGCATGTGCGCGTGCATGCGTGTTGGGTATGTGAAGGAGAACTCACCGAAGGGACCAGCCATCTGTTTTTTGGCATCTGTTGTGTTTTTTGGCCTAAGCGACGATGTGTTTATAAGAATCCTGTTATTCTTAGCACGGCTGTGATCTTATCCATCATTGGATGGGGAGACTTGAACACCGCCTAGAGCTGCATGGCGTGGCAGGTTTCCTTTTATTTCAGCTGGGGAAGAGGTTTTGGGGGAGTTGAAAATGAGAGACTCTCCCCACCAAAGTCATCTTCTCTCTTTAAAACAATTGAGTGGGTAGCTGGTATTTTGGCATTCTGGCTGCACATTAAGGAGAAAAAACGCCCACATACGGATGCATGCAGCTGCCTTTTTTTTTTTTTTTTGGTTGTTTCTATATTTTCCTCTAAAAAAAAAAAAACCCCACCGAATAAAGAGAAAAAGCATTTAGAGTGAGCATGACCAGTGAGGCTTTTTGTGGGAGCCTGTAAAACAGAGGTTTTCTTCTTTTTAAGATTCCTCACAGCCCTCGTTGCCTTCACGCCGTCTGTGAGATGGCTTTTAAGCAAAAGCAGGGCTGACCACTTAGAAAGTCATGCTATCACTCTTTAGAAGGGACTTTCAGAGCAGTATGTTGTTTTTGACAGCCAAGCCCTTCTTTTTTCAGTCATACAGACGTTTAGGACAAGAGACTTTTGTGAGCAATCCACACTTCAGCATCTGTGTCTTGAGAGCTGTCTGACATATTGAGCAGTGGGGAAGGTGGTATGGTTGAGTGGTTGCCAATACTGAATGACTGCAAGCCCCTGAGGCTGAGACATTCCTGAGGGCAAGGAAAAGCTGTGGGTAATTGTCCTAGGTCCCTGGGCTCTTGGAGAGTCCAAGTGACAGCATTGCCCAGGACCTCGATGACAGAAGAGGGGTGGCAATCACTGTTGGAAGTGATTGCATGTGGCCTCTCTCCACCTGCTTACAAAGGAATGGGGGCCCAGGAGGGTCTTCCTCTCCCCTTTCCTGCTCTGAAAGTCCCTTCTAAAGACGTCTTCCACAGGCTGGCTGTTTTTCTCAGGGAAACTGTTTCACCTGAAATGCATCTGTCTCCTGCTGTTCTTGGTGTTTATACTTTGGTTTCAGTGATCAGGTATTCCTTTTAGGTATATTTTTCTGTGCAGGAGACTGTCTTGGACAATGGATATATGTATTAGTAGCTTGGTAACTGCCACAGTAGAATAAATATGTGAAATGTTCTCATCTTGTTGATGGGTAGCTGGCTCTCTTTTTCTCGTTGGTATCACATTAGGATACACACATTTAAACACACATTTGCATGTATGCATGGGCATAAAGGAAAAACAAATACTGATTGGGGAAGAGACTTGTCTAAGTTCTTATAGAAAACTAGTATTTTTACTTTTAAGTACTTCCAGTCACTCAAATTAGAGCAACTAATTATTCCTCATATGCATCGGGGGACAGTGTAGCATGTGGTTACAAGTATAGGCACTGGACTCTTGGTCTTGGGTTCAGCTTACTCTTCTGTCATTTATTAGCTGGGTGACAATGGAAAAGTTACTGAGTCTTTTGAGGCGTAAGTTTCCTACCTATAAAATGGCAATAATAATGCTTACTTCACAGGGCTGTTGTAAATATTAAAAGAGTTCCTGTATGGAAAATGTATAGTGCTGTGTTTAATAATTTATAATTGTTCAAATTTGAGAGTCTTAATAAACAACTTAAAAAAAACCCATTTTTTGTTAAAGAAAATATTGAACAACCATCTTGTGCCAGGCACTTTTTTAGAACTTGGTGAAATGAAGATAAATAAGGTACAATTTTACCTTCAAGACATGCACAGAACAATAGGGGAGTCCAGCCTTTAAATAAACAGTTAATATCAAATGTGGTCCAAGCTAAAATAGAATGCAGGGGTAGGCCCAAAAGGCGATGGCTGTCCTTAGTGTTGTGCAGTGTGCAATCCAGCCCACTGAACACTGCAGTCTTGCTGGTGAGAGTGAAAGAGTTGATGGAAGATGAACATAGCCTTCACTCTGAACCAAAACTTGAAGGACATGTATCAGTCCAGCAGGTAGAAAAGAAGGCCATGTCATCTTTAGTGTGGGGGACTGGATTATCAAAGATCCAAGGATGTGAAAGAGCAGCCAACATTTTGGGGGCTGAGAAGGCATCCCTCTGAATCACCAGGTCAAGCTAGAGTTTATAACAAATGGTGGGAGGTGTGTGGAGATGTGTATGGTAATAATGGCTTTCAACAGACTATTGGTTTTCTCAGTGAGAAGGCAAAAGTCAACCCTGGATCATCCCACAACTACCTTATCACAAAGAATAAAGCAGTGCATTGCCAAGTGTGTGCCGTAGTGTGATTGACATTCCATTGCTGAGGTGGGGTTTGTGTTTAATACTGACTTTATTTTGACACGTCCTAATGGGTGCATCCGCATTCGACCAAATCACTTTCTTTTTGAATTTTATGCTTTCCTTCCATGACAGATAACATTGAAGTTGTGCCCTTTTGGGAATCAGTCCTCTAGATACTCCTGAATTAAAGGATCAGATAGAGTAATCTGATACTTTGTTCTTCTTTTGCACACACACACCTTAAAGAAGAATGCATCCTCTATCCAAAAGCAGAAGTAAGAGGAGGTGAACTCAAGGTCTGCTCCTCATACCTTGAATTTGTATTTGGGTCATTTTTCAAATAGAGCCGATGCTGCTTTAGAGGAGAAGGTGACAACCAATCTAAGATATAACAAAAAGTTTAGTCTTTTTTGGGAGGGGTGTTGGGGCCTAACTCTATTGCACAAGATGGAGTGCAGTGGCATGATCATGGCTCATTCAGCCTCCACCTCCTGGCTCACGTGATCTTCCTGCCTTGGTCTCCCAAAGTGCTGGGATTACAGGTGTGAGCCACACACCCAGCCAAAATATATTTAATCTTTTTTTTTTTTTCCAGTTGAGACAGGATCTTGCTCTATTGCCCAGACTGGAGTGCACTGGTACGATCATGACTCACTACAGCCTCAACCTCCTGAGCTCAAGTGATCCCACCTCAGCCTCCCAAGTAGCTGAGACTACAGGCACATGCCAACATGCCCAGCAAATTTTTAAATTTTTTGTACGGATGGGATCTCACTGTATTGCCCAGGCTGGTCTCAAACTCCTGGGCTCGAGTGATCCTCCCGCCTCAGCCTCCCAAAGTGCTGGGATTATAGATGTGAGACACTGTGCTCAGGGTAATATGTTTAGCCTTTATGAAGTCTTGGAAACTAGATTATGGTGGATATTTGGCTTTGCCATTAGAAGTAGTTTAGGTATATCATAAATTTTGTAATAGCTTTATATTAGGAAAGGATGTATGGTGGATTAAAATTTTTTTATTAAATTTTTTATTTACATTAATTGTTTTGCCACTAAATTTTATTAGATAATTTTTAATACTTTATTTTTACTTTTAAGACTTTGATTTCTTAGAGCAATTTTAGATTCACAGTAAAATTGAGAGGAAGGTACAGAGAATTTCCATATACCCCTGGCCCCGTGCATGTACACCCTCCCCCACTGTCAACATCACCCCCTGAGTGGTACATTTGTTATGATTATTGAACCTACATTGACACATCATTATCATGCAGAGTCCGGAGTTTACATTAGGGCTTACTTTTGGTGTTGTACATTCTGTAGGTTTGGACAAATATGATATGCTGCTATTTAACATGGCTTTCAGAAGGATCCAGGCCTGGTTCCTATTGTCAGCAAACAGTCATGCTCTGGGAAAGCTGAATGTGCTAGGGTCCCTGCTCCCAGAAACCAGATAGGGTCTTTGCTCCTAGAGTTTAGAGAACAGGACAAACAAGAAACAAAGCAAGGGGAACTGCTTGTGCTGCGGTACAGAAACAGGAAAGAACATGGAATTTTCAGGGAAAGGCGGAATTCAGTTTGCACTGATGTGTGTGTGTGTATGTGTGTGTGTGTATGTGTGTGTGTGTGTTAGAATTTTCAGGGAAAGGCAGAGTTCAGTTTGCACTGATCTGTGTGTGTGTGTGTGTGTGTGTGTGTGTGTTGGAATTTTCAGGGAAAGGCAGAGTTTGGCTTGCATTGATCTGTGTGTGTGTGGAGGGGAATTTTCAGGGAAAGGCAGAGTTCAGTTTGTTTGCACTGATGTGTGTGTGTGTGTGTTGTGTATGTGTGTGTATGAAAGGGTCATGGAAGGGAAGGAGGGTAAAGGAGGAAGGGGCAGGATGGAGTCTGCTTTTGAAGGGTTTGCTGTGTCTGCCTAGGGAGTTTTAACTAGATCTATAGGATAGTATTTCTAAAATAAGTTACAAAGGATAATTACCACCTTTTGATTGTATATACTCTGCTGAGCAGTTTCCATATATCAGCTCATGTAGTTCTCATAACAAGTCTGATGTGTCCCTACTCTTGCTGTTCCTATGTTACAGATGGGGAGGCTGCAGCATAGGGTGACCTGCCCACAGTCACTGGGCTGGTAAGTTGTGAGGCCGGTTCAAACCCTGGCAGCTGACGCCACTGTTCCAGTTCCCAGAGACTTGTAGTGGGGGAGCAGGGAGTATGGTAAAATGCTTTGGGAAACATTCTTTCCTCAATTCTGTAGTAAAAGAAAGAAAACGGTGTTCCAGTAAGTGTTTCACAGTTATCTTAGCCTTCCAGAAAATACTCTTTTGAACTATGTGGGGAATAAAACATTGCTGTGAAGTGTAAGGTCATCAGAGGACTCCAAGGAGGAGCATGACATAGTTACCTTGCATGTTAGGTAAAGAACTCAGTAGCACTCAGTAGTAGAAAAGAGTGGGGATCGGCCAGGCGTGGTGGCTTGCGCCTGTAATCTCAGCACTTTGGGAGGCCGAGGCAGGCGGATCACGAGGTCAGGAGATCGAGTCCATCCTGGCCAACATGGTGAAACCCCGTCCCTACTAAAATACAAAAATTAGCTGGGCGTGGTGGCACATGCCTGTAATCCCAGCTATTTGGGAGGCTGAGGGAGGAGAATCACTTGAACCAGGGAGTTGGAGGTTGCAGTGAACCAAGATCGCGCCACTGCACTCCAGCTTGGTGACAGAGTGAGATACTGTCTCAAAAAAAAAAAAAAAAGAAAGAAAAGAGTGGGGATCAGCTGGGCACAGTGGCTCATGCCTGTAATCCCAGCACTTTGGGAGGCTGAGGCGGGCAGATCGCCTGAAGTCAGGAGTTCGAGACCAGCCTGGCCAACATAGTGAAACCCCATCTCTACTAAAAATACAGAAATTACCCGGGCAAGGTGGTGCATGCCTGTAATCCCAGCCACTCAGGAGGCTGAGGCAGGAGAATCGCTTGAATCTGGGAGGTGGAGGTTGCAGTGAGGCGAGATTGAGATTGTGCCACTGCACTGCAGCCTGGGTGACAGAGTGAGACTCTGTCTCAAAAAAAAAAAAAAAGAAGAAAAGAGTGGGGATTGGAGGCGAGGAACAGAGATGCCAGTGGGCACAACTGTAAACCTGGCAAGAGGTCATGAGATGAACTGCTTAGGAAAAGTGTGTTTTCATTGTTTTAAAGATGAGGGAAAAATCAGGGATAAGTTGCTGCTTGGGAGCTCTATTAACAAAGACAATTCCAGAGATATAGGAAGCTCAGAAAATCAGAATTCCAATAATGTCATTATAATATGTCTGCATCAGTGGGTTTAACCCTTTTCTGCAAATCTTTGGTGGAGCATGGATGTGTAAATGGAGCTGGGCCTTTTACAGAGGAGATAGGATATCTGGAGCCCTATCTCAGTTTGAAAATAACTAGCCTAGGTTAAGGGAAAAAGAGCTAAAACAATGGTGCCTTATGACTAATTCTCACGGTTTAAAAAAGAAGTACATGAAAACACAGCAGAGTTTAGTGGCTAGGAATGTCAGCTTGGACCAAACTGCCTGAGTTTGAATCCTGGTTCTGCCATTTACTAGCTATGTAACCTTAAATAGAAGTACCCTGTGCCTCAGTTTTCTTATCTGTAAAATGGAGATGGTAATAGTAGCCACCTCTACAAATTGTTGGGAGGATTCAGAGAGTTAGTTTTTCATAGTTGCCACAGTCTCACAGTGCCTGGCATAGGAAGCACTCGATGTGGCTGCCTTCTTTGCAAAACACCACCCAAGCCATCCAGCCTCTGCCATGACACTTCCAGAGACTGGGCTGTCACCCTTTTGTAAGTCTGCTTGTTCCATTTTTAGATGACTTTAATTATTAGAAACTGGGGCCAGGCCTGGTAGCTCACAACTATAGTCCTAACACTGGGAGGCCAAGATGGAAGGTCACATGAGCTCAGGGGTTCAAGACCAGCCTGAGAACATAGTGAGATCCATCTCTACAAAAAAAATAAAAAATTAGCCAGGCATGGTGATGCATGCCTGTAGTCCCAGCTACTTGGGAGTCTGAGGCAGGAGGATCCCTTGAGCTCGGGAGAATGAGGCTGCAGTGAGCTATTAACATACTACTGCACTCCAGCCTGGGTGACAGAGTGAATCTCTCTGTCTCTCTCTCTCTATCTCTCTCTCTCTCTCTAGGTATAGATATAGATATAGATATAGATATAGATATAGATATAGATGAAACTGTGATCTTATATTGAGTTAAAATAGCAAAGTCTTTCAGTTCCTCGAACAGCTAGGATTAATTTAAGGTTGTGCTGTCCAATATGGTAGCCACATGTGGTTATGGAACACGTGAAATGTGGCTATTTTGAACTGAAATGTGTGGTAAGTGTAAAAACACATCAGATTTTGAAGACATAGTATGAGAAAACTAAAATACTCATTAATTATATGTATGTTTGAGTACAGGTTGCAATGATATTTTGAACGTGTTTTAAATAATATTTATTAAAAGTAATTTCACTTTTGGTACTTTTAAATCAATGTGGCTTCTAGAAGATTTAAAATTAAATATGTAACTCACATTTGATTTCTGCTGAACAGTGCTATTCTAAGAAACGCAAAGGGGGCATTTAATGGTAATAGTGAGTATAAGCATCCTAATAAAATGTAAAAATATGCTAGAATAACCTTGGCTCTACTTTTAACTTAACAAGTGGAAGAAGGATAAATGATATAACAAAGGCACCTGAGATACCCTTCAGTTCATTGGTAAACCCTATTTGAGGTAGAGAACTGCTGTGAGGAAATCCAGCGCTCTGGAGAATGGTGACTTTCATAACTCTCGGCTCTCTCCTAAGGCTAAGCCTAAGAGCCTTGGTTTTTAAAAGAGTGTAAAAAAGCTTTTAAAAACCAAACTATAATCATTTCAAAGAGTAAGTCCTTATCCTCTAATTTATCCCCTTTTTCTTTTGCAAATTTATATTTTGATCTTTACTAAAAGCTGTTTTACCCAAAGCTATCACTACAGTAGAAATTTTCCACATTTTGCTATTTTCATAATGACTAGAGATTATAAAGATAAGAAACTTAACATGCATTTCCTATTATCACATAAAAGTTAACTTACATGAAGAATATTTCTGTGGTTTGATTTCATGCTAATCTTTTGGCAATTAATAATTTATGTGGGATTTGGGGGGTACTCAATTAAATGCAACACCTCATGCCCTGGCAGATAATAGTGGAATTCTGCTGTATTTTATAGCTTGTTTAATCACGTCAGTATATATGTGTATTTGCAAAGGATTAAAATAATCAATGCTGATTAAGAATCGACTGAAGAGTAGACTGCTGGGGGAGATTTCTCATCTTTAAGTTTTGTGTTGCTTTTTGTCTTTGTAAAAATGACAGTGTGAAACATTATTAGCTTAATGTCAATCCTAGAATGTAATGGCACCGGCATCTCCATTTTCTAGGTATAGAGATTGTGGGTGAACTATTCGCCAGTCTTAACTTGTACGTCTTCATCTTTCTGTGTATTCTAGGTGAGTCGTACAGTCTCAGAAGAGTGGTTTTTCTTGGCTATGGGACTTGCTTCTTGGGTCTGTGTTACTCTGCATTTTCTTTTCATGTACTTTTATAAAGAGATTGGCTAGGAAAATGAAGAGGGTGCAGTTGTTAATTATAGATGTGTCAGTTATAGAAATCTCAGACCTACCCAGAGTAGAGGTTGATTACACACAAGTTCTTTTCTACCGTTATCCAACTGATGTACAGTGGCTTATTTTCCAAAGCCATTGGAATGTAATTGCATGAAGTGCTATTTCAGAGTCTGCTTATAGTCATCTTTTGAAGTATTTTCCATGCCTCAGTGAAACTGTTCGTGCTTGTATAATATGTAATTCATATATTTTATGTGGAAGCACACCATTTCTTAATTTACAGCTGAAATATTGGGTAAGATAGGCAACCTATTACAACTTAATGCAAGATATTTTAAACTTTTGCTTCTGGATGAGTAACTCTTCAAAATGCTTGAGATAAGATCATGGCTTTAATCCTTGGTAATTGCCAAGACTGCATCTAAACCTCTTACAAATAGCATTAGTCTGTGCCATTGTCACAAAACTGGAAAAACAAAACCCTCAAAAAATATTTCCCTTTTAATAGCTAAGGTGGGGGATTATACCATCTCTTTACAAATAAATGAACAAACAAATAAAAACCACCCCAAACTACTTTTTAATAGATTTTATTTCTTTAGAGCAGTTTTAGTTTCACAGCAAGATTGAGCAAAAGGTACGGAGAGTTCCCATAATGTCCCCTGCCCTCAAAACTACTTTTAAGGGCCCTTATTCTCTAGAATCTTTCCATAATACCAAAAGATGGACATTTTGACGCTGTAGTATCCACACACCAACCTGCCACTGAAGAAACTAGCCGATTTTTTAGTATATGCTTAAATGTATGTTTCCTGTGTTAAAATGCAGTACACCAAACCAAATAAATGAGGAAGCTGCTCACATAAAAATGACATTTTAGTGTGGCTTTCCCTACTTGGTTTCATCGTAGTGCATTTTTTGTAAGTGGTTCAGGGATGTGGTTCTTGTGTCTGAGGACTGGCTCTTCTGTCTTCTTTTCTCATCATTGCAGTAAACTTATTGCAGAACTCATGGCACCAGAGCTGTGTGTTCTAGTTTTCTTAAGAAAACTGGAGCAATAAAATGGGATTCATACCTCACCCAGAGGAGGTATCATGAGGATTAAATGAGTCTGGCTTACTTTTGGTGCCTGAGATATAAACAGAACAGATATTTCAGGCATTTACTCAGGTAATATGATGGGATCCTCTTGGTGTCATGGAGAAGGTGGTTTCTATTTGCAATCATCCACCATGCTTTCTTCAACCATGTGGCAATGTTTAGCAGCTAAGCTCAGCTTTCAAAATTGAGCTAGAGTTTAAATTGGCAAGTTAACCACAAACCAGCCTGGTGGGGTCTCAGCTGGGCTTGACAGGATTAGTAGTTCCTTGGATAATACACAGGAAGTTGATTGGTGCACATGCTAGTTGAAATGAGAGCCTAGGCTCTGATTCCATTTCCTGTGAGGCACTGTGTAGACGTGGGAGAATAAACATGTGCTGTATTGGACTTTCAAGGCAGGGTCTTTCTACTCCAGAGTAGGAAAATAGCTAGAGGAAGAACGGGAGGAGTAGGGTGGGAATGGAAAAGGTTACTTTGGGCATAGCTTCAAAAATCAGGGTGGGGATGGACTTTTCTTCCTGCTAGAGAACTGAATTTGACAGTTCTAAAGTTAGGATGTTCTGGCTGTGAGTAGATACAAACTCTGTCCTCCAGATTACCTGCCTCCCCCAATTCTGCCCTGCACTGGACACCCCGTTTCTTCCATAGTTATGTAATTATTTCACTGGATAATTACCTGGTGAGTCACCCTGAAATATTCTGTGTCCTCTGGAAGGTGCTGTACAACAGCAGTGATAAATTTATGCCATGAATTAGGTTTTTCTATTAGAAGTGGTTTACTTTGTTATTTAGAGCTCTGGCTCAAGATTATTGCCTTACTATCATTTCTCTTGTACCTCATCATCCTCCTCAACATATCCATATGTGTGTATGCACAGGAGTGTGTGTATGTGCAGCTGTAGTGTGCATTTTGTGTGTGTTGTATGTGTGCACATACATGTTCGTGTGTATATATTCCATGGAATATTCTTTCTCTGAGGGATTTCTGGGGTGGAGGTCAGGTCTGGTTTAATGATCTGGATGGATGGGAATGAGAAAAGGAAATTTAAAATAGCTTTCAAGACACAGAAGCAATAAAAATTTTAACCGTTTTTTAAAATCGATTGTAGAACATTTATGCAGTTACTGTGGCCCTCTATAATTTGAATATTACTAATTTGAATGAAGTGTGGACCATAAAAATATCTCCCAAATGTCAAAACTACTTTTAGTGAAAGATGATAAATCATGGTTAGCCTGTTAAGCAATTGTGAAGTTGCCCTCTGTTTCTCCACTAATGCTTATAAAAGGGCTCTTTTCCAACTTTAATAATTGCTGCATAGCATGTTAATTACATATATTACATAATTTATTATATGGAGACTCACTCCTAGGCATCCAAAATACCGTGGAATACCCTCATACAGCCCTGTGTTCCATACAGGAATTCAGTATAATGCAGAGCTACTTTGGACCCTTTTCAGATAAGTTTCTTGAATTGAATACCCAAATGACTTCATGTTAAGGTTAGCTTAAGCCTACATCATAGATCTCAGAGGATAGCATCAGAGTGATGTTCCAGTGTCCCAATATCATCTCTCATGAGATCCTCAAAATCTTAGTGGAGGTATAGCTTTGTGATTTTTTTCCTTACATCTTTTAAATATTTATGTTATTTGTAGATGTTCCAGCTTCTACCTTTGCCTGCTTTTTCTCATTGACTCCCAGATAACCTCTGTTTCCTGATTCTCTGGTTCACAGAGATGTCAGTAGTGCTGATGAAAAAGATTTATGAGGTTTACCTGCTTTGATTTACTGATGATGATGATGGTGGTGGCGATGGTGGTGGTGGTGGTGGTAACAGGAGTAGTAGTCGTGCAGCCGCAGCAGCAATAGAAGGTACCACTTATGATGTAGTTACTTACCATGTGCCATGCAGGTGATTGACAGGCATTATCTCATTTACACCTCTCAGAGCCTGTGGGCAAAAGTTGTAACCATCATCTCCATTTTGCAGAGGAGAAAACTCTGAGAGTCTAGAAGGCTCAATGACTTGTGTAAAGTTACTGAGACAGTGAGTGCAAAAGATGGGAGATGGACTGACCTCCAAGTCTGTTTTCTTTCTATTCAGCCACATTTCATTTCCTCTATGTCATCACTCAGGTTGGAACAACTAATGGACTCAGTGGAGCTAGGAAATGAATAATAGGGTCAGAATTCATCCAAGTAAGTTTGTCTAAGTTGATAGAAATATAACCTTGGCTCTGGTTGGCATTTTGTTGCTCAAGAAATGCATAGATTTCTGATGTGAACTTGTCCTTTGGAACATCATGGGAGAAAGCTAATCAAATCATTACCCCCATCTCAAAGTAAATCCATTTAAAATATCTTTAAAGCATCTGGGTCTGCAGCTTTATATAGGCAAGGGCACGTCTGGTTTTCTAGTAAAGTCAGAGTCATAGCTTCATGAGAGATTTTGGTGGGGTTGTGGCAGGGATTGATCTGTATAATGTTGAGGGGGCAGCCAGCTGGAGTGGGAACATCAGCATAAGAATGCCTTTGGAAATTGAACATTGTAATGAAAACATTCTTTTGAAGGCAGATTTCCAGGTGTGCTGTAAACCATTCTAGGCTATAATTGAGATATAAAAGAATCTTCAAAAGCAGTGATCTATTTTTTGGTGATTGTTGTGCTAATCCTGAAATCCTAGCATGAATTAATATAAAAGATGGGATTGGGTGCATAAAAGTACCTGTTTTAATCATTTAGCATGTTGTTCAAAACTAAACTGGTTTAGGCTTCAAGTCTAAGGGCGAAAATCTCACTTTCATCTAACAAATCCCACCATAATCTGCCAAGAACAGCCACCAGGGGCTCCTGCAGCAGCTGTGAGGAGGCGATCCTTCCTCTCTCAAAGCTTGATATGGGGAGAGATTTGCTGCAGTTCGTGTATAATAAAGTGGAAGAGGATGATACTTTTTAAAGCACACGAAAAGAGTGAATAAATTCTCCGTTAAAATCTGGTACTGTATGAAAATATTCTACAGTGCAGAAGCTTTCAGTTGGCAGGCGGTTTTGTCTTAGGAATTGAGTAATAAGTTACATTGCAGCAGGTGCAGGAGCGGTGTTGGTCTTTGCCAGTGTGCTCCATGTGAGATCATGAAGCATGCAGAAGGCACACAGAAAAGGCAGTCTTCAGATATCAGGGGAAAAGTCAGCACTATCCCTTCCCTGCGCGACTCCCCTTACCTCACATGGGCGCTTTGGTATCTGCAAGCACAAACAGTAGTAATGAGTAGGGATACTGCATCTGGATACTCCATGTATGTTACAGTAGTGTGTGGTTGTGGTTTCTTTTGATTAGTCCCAAAGTTATATGTCAAAGCTGGATCTTATATATGGGCTGGGGAACCCAGGGTGGGATGCAGCATGCTGGAGTCTCGTTTCTTGTGTGGCCTTGGGATGCTTGTGGTGAGCATGAACTGATGCTATTTTACCCTTTTATCTAGACGCACTACTTTGGCCTTTGGTTTCTCAGCAAGAGCCAGCAAGCACGATGGGTGGAGCTGGAGAAACCTCTGAAGAAACATCTGGACAAATTCGCTAATGAGCCTTTGCTTTTCTTTGGAGTCATGTTCTATGTGCCAAATGTGTCATGGCTTCAGCAAGAGGCCACAAGGTAGGTGCATTTTCCCCCTGTGTGCCATATAAGGGTGTTGACTAACTGTGAAGCTTCCAATGAAGTAGATGAGCTGGTAGATTTAGGGGTGTGTGGGTGTGGGTGCGGGTGTGTGGTGGGGGAGAGGGTAAAATAGTTGGGGGTTGTTTACTCATTGCTTTGCAGCTTTAGAGTTTTGGTTGAATCCATGTAGCTAACCCCAGCAGTTTTCTGTAATGCTGGTAAGGTAGTAGGGATCCTGAGCCAGGCAGAATTTCATCTCTAGCAGCGTGGAAATATTCATCGGAGACTGTGGGTAAAATAGGCATGCAAGAATTTAATAAAAAATTAATGACCTGGCCAGGCGTGGTGTCTCATACCTGTAATATCAACACTTTGGGAAGCTGAGGTGGGAGGAGAGCTTGAGGCCAAGAGTTTGAGACCAGCCTGGGCAGCATAGCAAGACCCTGTCTCTACAAAAAGAAAAAAATATAAAAACTAGCTAGACATGGTGTTTTGTGCTTTTAGTTCCAGCTCCTCGGGACACTGAGGTTGGAAGATCACTTGAGCCCAGAAGTTCAAGGCTGCAGTGAGCCGTGATCATGCCACTGTACTCCAGCCTGGGCAACAGACTGAGACCCTGTCTCAAAAACAAAAACAAAAACAACAAAAACAAAAACAAAAACCTAATTCTGTTTTGTCCACCCTTTTCCTAAAAATATCCCCAAACAAAATGTGGTATCAGACTTCGAATTTGAAGATTGGAAAGGTAACTAAAAGTGGGAGTAAAGTTAAGGAGGAAAATGTTGCGAGAGCAGGAGTTTTGATGATTGTCCCTACTAAATAAGAGGAGACAAGAAGCCATCAGTAGAAGAGGAGAACAAGGTATTGCAGCTACTCAGTGTCTGCTTTAGCTTGGAGAAACCGTGTGCTGCCTTTGAAATGATGTTTTCCCCTCTCATCTGTAAAGTGAGGGATTTGTGTAAGTTCATAAAGCATATTCAGTGAATGGAATAAGTGCATTTTTTTGATGTTGGTATAGTTCATTTATTGGTAAGAGTTTTCCATTAAAATACCTGGGAAGTCTCCTCATCAAATGGATATTTCTGGTAGGAAAAGGAATCACATAAACCCTTTACTTTTTGCCTTTTACCCGGACCTTGTCATTCTGAATGCTTGGGAAGCAATGCGGGAACATGCTTTGAAGAAGGAAGAGTATTCTACCTGACTTTTGTGTAGTTTTTAGATTTTAAATTTCTGATATAAGGATGCTCTTGAAATTTTTAAGTGTATTTTAAGGCAATATTCTGCTTGCTTGCTTTTTCTTTTTCTTTTTCTTTTTTTTTTTTAATTTGAGACGGAGTCTTGCTCTGTCACCCAGGCTGGAGTGCAGTGGCACGATCTTGGCTTACTGCAGCCTCCACCTCCCAGGTTCAAGCGATTCTCGTGCCTCAGCCTCCCGAGTGGCTGGGATTATAGGCGCCTGCCACCACGGCTGGCTAATTTTTGTATTTATGGTAGAGACGGGGTTTCACCATGTTGGCCAGGCTGGTCTCGAACTCCTGACCTCAAATGATCTGCCCGCCTTGGCCTTCCAAAGTGCTAGGATGACAGGGGTGAGCCACTGCGCCCGGCCTCTGCTTGCTTTCTTTAATTTGGCTTTTATTTATTTATTTATTTATTTATTTATTTTGAGATAGAGTCTTGCTCTGTCACTTACACTGGAGTGCAGTGGCACAATCATAGTTCACTGCAGCCACAAACTCCTGGGCTCCCGCAATCCTCCTGCGTCAGCCTCCTGAGTAGCTGGGACTACAGGCATGTGCCACCAAGCCTGGCTAAATTTTCTTCTAATTTTGTAGAGATGAAGTCTCGCTGTATTTCCCAGGCTGTCTTGAACTCCTGGCCTCAGGTGATCCTTCTACCTTGGCCTCCCAAAGTGCTTATTTTTTTCACTTTCGTTCTTTCCTTTTTTTTTTATTTTTATTTTTAAATCAAAAGGTATTGTAAGTAGATGGCATAATTGCAAACAGAGGCCGTGAGTTAGCTTACAGCTTGATCCAAAAAACCTAGTGTTCAGTTTTTCATGTGATAGACATTTAAAGCACTCTGTTGCATACCATTGCTCCCTGTTTTCAAGTTGATTCACATATCCAAGTTCTTCCTGTACAAAAAATTATTAACTCCTCAAAATGTGATGATTTCCGTTGGCTTTTGAATCCTCCTTGAGTACTTTACACGGTGCTAGGAACACAGCATTAAGTTAATAAATACTTGCTGATTCTTGGCTCTCGGCCATTAAGTGCAAGGTAATGAGTGATGAGGGTGAAACATGGACTAGAAATTAGTGTATATTGAAAAAAGTTCTGTCTGTAAGAAAAATGAAGTATTGTTACTCTAGACAGACCTATCCTGTAAGGCCTATTGGTGAGAAAGAGCAGTTGAAATAAAGAG
Organism: Homo sapiens; assembly: GCF_000001405.40. Lineage (NCBI taxonomy): Eukaryota > Metazoa > Chordata > Mammalia > Primates > Hominidae > Homo > Homo sapiens. The sequence goes on along the minus strand of NC_000001.11, from coordinate 214,449,371 downwards.
GGACTCAGAAGTTATGCTTTATGAAGTTAAAAGAAAAAGGTTGTTTAAGCTTAGAAAAATTAAGTCGGCCGGGCGCGGTGGCTCACGCCTGTAATCCCAGCACTTTGGGAGGCCGAGGCGGGCGGATCACGAGGTCAGGAGATCGAGACCATCCTGGCTAACACCGTGAAACCCCGTCTCTACTAAAAATACAAAAAATTAGCCGGGCGTGGTGGTGGGCGCCTGTAGTCCCAGCTACTCGGGAGGCTGAGGCAGGAGAATGGCATGAACCCAAGAGGCGGAGCTTGCAGTGAGCCGGGATAGCGCCACTGCAGTCCAGCTTGGGCGAAAGAGTGAGACTCCGTCTCAAAAAAAAAAAAAGAAAAATTAAGTCTTACAAGGGCACAGTAGTAGCTGCCTTTAGATATTTACAGACTGTTGTAGGAGGGGGAATTCTTTGTCAGTTCTGGAGCACAAAATTAGGGTCTAAGTAAGTGAAGTCCAAGGAGCCAAAGAACTTTGACTATTTGGCTCAATGTAGGAATACAGTTTCTAGTAACTAAGCCATCTAAAAATGGAACAAGACTTACAAAAGGGTGAGAGCACTGGTCTCTGTGAATGTTGTCACGTGGACCAGGTAGCCCATGTGGTATCCTGTAGAGGGAGCCACCATATTGGGTAGGATGTTGGAATAGATCAGTGGTTCTCAAAAGACCAGGGCCTGCTGTATCATAGTTACCTGGAGCACTTATAAATATGATTCTAGAGCTGTACCAGAAGTCTGGTTGTAATGTCTAGAGCTGAGAATCAAGAGGATGTTATTGTTTAAAATGAATAGGCCGGGCAGTGTCTGACACACGGTGGCTCACGCCTGTAATCCCAGCACTTTGGGAGACCGAGGCGGGCGGATCACGAGGTCAGGAGATCGAGACCATCCTGGCTAACATGGTGAAACCCGATCTCTACTAAAAAAATACAAAAAAAAAAAAAAAAAATTAGCCCGGCTTGGTTGGGGGCACCTGTAGTCCCAGCTACGCGGGAGTCTGAGGCAGGAGAATGGCGTGAACCTGGGAGGCGGAGCTTGCAGTGAGCCGAGATCGCGCCACTGCACTCCAGCCTGGGCGACAGAGCGAGATTCCATCTCAAAAAAGAGAAAATGAATAGTACTCCTCTGGTGTTTCTGACACTCACCCAGCCTCAGGAATCAATGAATCAGTTAACCTCTAAAACTCTTTACAATTTTAGATTTTCCAAGGAAGTAAACTTAATGCTGCATTGTTTGACTGTCAATGTTTGCATTCATAGACTAAAACAAAAGGTATTTAAATTTCAAAGAGGGAGGTATAGAGTAAAAAGTTTTGGTAGTGGTGGTTATTAACTGTGGGATTTAGGAAGGACTTTTCTTTTTTCTTTAGAATTTCTTTTTGCTTAATTAGCCTGGTTTATTTCAGATGAAGGTTGATAAGGAGGGAAAGAAGTGTTTTCCAACACAGGATTTTGAAGCAAACTGTGTTGCTGACATTTGATCAGAAAAACTAACAAAAAATTTTAAACTTTGAAAGATATTTTTAGATTTAAGCGCTGGAACTAAATTATGTAGATTTCAGGTCTAACCAACTCTTTATGGCAAAGAATGTTGAAAGTTAGGAGTTGGATTAGCATGCAACATTTTGTCTGTGCGTGAGTATGTGTGTATGTTTGCAGCATTGCAGAAATTTTTGTTGCCTCCAAGGGGCCCTAAAACTGGAATGTGCCAAGGGGTGTCAGAGTGAGTAAAAGATTTAAGCTGGGAATATGGAGGAACATGAGAAAAAAAAAATGTAAGAAATCAAAGAAAAGTTGTTAGGAAGAAAAGAATAAAGGAATTACATTTATTTGGGAAGGTTGAGGGCCACCAACAACGATCAGGTGTGATTCAGCAAGACATGCCGTAGGTTGTAGGCTTATGGACTAGAGAATAAAGGAGATCTGGTTTGGACAGAATAACATTTTTAAATGCTTGAGTTTTCTCGGTGTGGTGTTGGAGATGGACAGATGTGCTCAACACAAGGTGAAAAATGCTACAGTCCTTAAGAGCCTTTGGGAATCTCAGCCTTCTTGGGAGGTTTTAGCAGCATCTGAGGTCCGAACTGAATATTGAAACTGCCTTCCAGGCAGCTCAGCCAAGGGGAAGCAGTGGTGGTGGGGCAGGATTCCAGAGGAATGTTTCACAGAAGGCCCCAACAACATTCATTAGGAGCGGGTTAATGACTAACTCTCCAGTCATCCGCTGTTATCCCAGTTACCAGGCATCTCAGGTGGAGATGGGCTTTGGCATCTCTGAGAGCACCTGGGATCTGCAGTGTCTGACACAAAACAGTTAGTCTTTGTGATGCCCTGCAGAGTAAGATATTTGCATAGATTAGAAATAGAAATCTGTCTTTCATTTGCGGGCAACCCGTTGGAGGAGGCAACCATTCAGCCATCTGTGCTGAAAAAAATAAGCCTTTGTCTGGAGCCAACCAAACTTGTTTTCATCCAACACATGTTTGCAATGGTTTGGCTACTTCTGTTTGAGAACAGGTTCTATAGCATTAGTCATGACCAGCCATTTCTTCTCTCTGAACAAGGACAAAGAGTCTAGATTAATACTCTGGTTGGGTTTTCCTTTTTTTTTTGCTGTGTATATGAACCCATATATATATCAAGACACATAGGAGTCAAAGGAAAATACATTTAAAAGCTGTTTATTTAATTTGTTGTCCCCAGAGAATCACACCCATGGAAATTTTTAGGTCAGTAGTGTATTCAGAACAACACAACAAAAATTTGAGAGTGACATTGATTGCAAATTGTTTAATAAAGTGATTGGCTTTATTAAAATTATCAAGTCCAAATTGGTTTAAATTAGAAAATTAGGAGGCACTGCTTTTTTTGACATTAATTTGACATACTGTGTCTCATCTGCTAGATATGGCTTTTGAGGGGCAAGTCCCTTCATAAGTGAGGGAAACCTGCCAAGACACTATGATTGTGTTGGATAAGAAATGGATAACTCAGGCCCTACTTTAAGGTGTTAATTGAATGAGAAAACAAAATATATTAAAAGGAAAATACACACAGGGCTACAAATAAAAGGAAAAAAGAAGAAATCCCTTGATATTGTTATAGAAATGTTAAAAGAAAATAGTGAAAAGAAGGACACACTCTGGTAGACAGATGGGGGATGAGTCATGAAACCATAGGATTTAAAGAGATTAAGAACCACCGAGTTTGTTAACCCCAAACTGTAAGATTTATTACCTTGGGGCTTTGAAAATGTTAGTTTTCCCCTGTTGGTTAAAATGACTCAAGGGATGGGACCACTGTAATTTTTTCCATTTTGCTTTGCTTCTCAGATTCCTTTTTGCCAGCTTTTCTGTCCAGCAAAGGGACTCTTGAGCAGTTCATCTTCCCCAGCATGTTCTCCTGACTCAAAGGAAAGATTTTTGTAATGTGTTTTAATGATTTGCATAGCAACAGGCTCATTATAAACACATGGTTTTCACATTTTTCTGGACACGGAAAGAAAAAAGATGGCTTCTGAGAGGTGGATAAATTCTTACTCAAACAGAAGGATACTTAATAATAGCAAGGGGAAGCCAGAAAATTGCTGGCCAAGATCACTGCTTTTAGTTTAGGTCTGGGGTTTTTCCAAGTCTTCCTCAAGCATGGAAGTCCCTCTTTAATTTCTTCAATACTAAAGAGAAAACTTTTAAAAGAAAACTTAATTTTTGAAGAGTGAATTTAGGCTACAAACTTCTAAGTTGCTGAGTGCATGCATGGTTTCTAAAATTTTTAATTTTGTGGTTTTTTTTTTTTTAACCAAAACATGTTTGTCTTTGCATTACTCACTGTTGAATGTTATGGTTGCACAGTGCACAGGAGCTTCTAATTGTCCTAATGAGGTCAGATAACATTTCCTACTTTTCCAGGACATCTTAGTAGCCTGCCTGTTTGGGTGGGGCTGTCCACCCTATTAATGGTGAGCACTCTACAGAATTGACAGAGTGCAACTACTGCTGTAGCCAGCACGGTCATTCCATTTGCCAAGGATGATTTTAGTACACTGTCGTACATCTGGCAGACACATCAGGCCCACAGGACCTGTTCCAAGTACCCTCTATCTGGTGGATGCTATGTCTGTTTTCGGTGCTTCTCAGCAGCTATGGGTATCCCCTACTCTTAGGATCAGTGATCTATTGTACATCTCCCAGTTCTTCCAAAGTCCTGGGTATTCTAGTCAGCCAGGTAAAACTGCCTAGCAGTTATCACCAGGAGGATTTTTAAAATACTTAATCTCTGTATGGGCTTGCATGGAGCATTCTTAAATGTTAAAGATAGTTCCTGTCTGGGAAGAACCAAGTGGACAGGTTGTCTTTCAACCAACTGAGAATAAATACCCACATTTAAAGCTGTGCTGTTTAGGTACCAGAAAGAGGGTAAGTGCATTTCAGCGTGTGAAGTGAGTGACAAGGGAGTTAGGTTAATGCATTTTTAAACTATGATGGGGGTCCCCTTTTTCCAGTTACGTATTTGGGCCCATGGCATGTTGATGGGAAAGCCAGACTAAGTGAAGCTGTATATCTTCATAAGGGTTAAAATGGTGTTTTGGTGTGTGCATGTGTGTGTCTCTCTGTGTGTGTGCATGTGTGTGCTTAAACTAGGTTTCAGGAAGTGACCTTACAGTAGCTTTCTTCACATTTTCTTTCTTATAAATACCAATACTTTTCCCCCTTAGACTCCTGCAATCTGCCTTGTGTGCTGTTGTAAACAAGTTAGTGTTCAACCAGTGTTTAAAGTGTCTGTTTTAAAAGCTCTAATTATGGTAGTATTTCCATTTCCTTTTACAACACCCTTTATTTTGTTCCTCCAGTTCTTTTAGTTCTTTTATTATTTTGAAATGTCATTTTACTGGATATTTAAAGTCTACCCGTGGGCTGGGATACAGGGACTCCCTTCAAGTCTTAAGATTAAGCATGAATTCCCTGTGGATAATATAATTTGCTGAGAATAGCAAATTCTCCTCCTGGCCAGCTCCAGCTAGTGAATGGGAAATTGTTCTCTTTATGTTGGTTATTGAGAATGGAATTATTTCTGCCAGATATTTTAGATATTTTAAGATGCAGTTGACATTGGGATCTAATCTCAAACATTCTGTGTGGTTAATGTAATGTACAATGTGATGAGAGAAGATGGCTGTCTGTAATAAACAGTGCAACCTTGGAGGGAAGAAGAATTACCTTCCCAAAATGAGATAAGTTGATTGTCATTTGCATTGTTTTTTATTTCAACCTTTATTAAGTACCTATTCTGTGTTAGACACTTTGCTAGTTAGTGGGAATGTAATAACAAATAGGTCTCAACTCCCCACCTCCCTCCCACTCTCACTCCCACCACAGAGCTGTATCTCCAAGCAGCTTTTATTTCATTTCCGTGTATTTGATTTACTAGAAGTTTATTTGAATTTGTCTTTAACGTCTACATTGCTGACCCTATTTACTTCCAGGAGAAGGCAATGCCACTGCTTTGGTGAAACCCAAGGGCAAATGTCTCCTGGGACCAGGACCAGCTTCATGGGTCTGTGACCTGTGCAGTTAGTTGCACAGTACCCCATGCTCAGAAGTGCCCTGTAGTTGGTTTAGTGCTCTGCTGTTGCCATCCTGAAGTTTTTTGGTTTTTCAACAGTGGATTCTGCATTTTCACTTTGCGCTAGACTCTGCAAATTAAGTAACCAGCCCTTCCCAGGACAAGGACAGCCTCCTGTTCCTCATACATGCATCTCTGTTCGTTCACCTCTGCTTGTTTTGTTGTTATCTTGCGATTTATTCTTAAGTATCGGTGGATTTACTGATTTGAATCTACTGTTATGGGTGTGATCAAAGAGAAAAAGTAAATTTAATAAACCCTCAAGGGAACAAAACTAAAATTTTCACTGTCTTTGCAAATAAGAAAATAGAAATGTAGCGCTGGTAACCATTTCTGCTTCTGGATCTGACTCACTGGGAAATCCTTGCAGGAATTGGGGAGGTGGTGTAAAGTCAATTTGATTTCTTTTAGGAAAGCTGATTGGATTAGCTTGTCTTGATCCTCAACTAGGATTTTCTTATGTTTTACTGTGAAGAAGACTATAAATCAAGACTATACAGTAGATGCCTACTTCATAGTACAAGTTGTCCAAATACATGAAGTTGCTTCTTGTTTCTTTCTTTGCTCTTAAGAAAAAGATATGGTGTGAAAGATATGCAGTTAGGCTGGGCGCGGTGGTTCACGCCTGTAATCCCAGCACTTTGGGAGGCTGAGGCGGGTGGATCACTTGAGGTCGGGAGTTCGAGACCAGTCTGACCAATGTGGAGAAACCCTGTCTCTACTAAAAGTACAAAATTAGCCTGGCATGGTGGCACATACCTGTAATCCCAGCTACTCAGGAGGCTGAGGCGGGAGAATCGCTTGAACCCAGGAGCAAGAGGTTGTGGTGAGCGGAGATCGCACCATAGCACTCCAGTCTGGGCAACAAGAGTGAAACTCCGTCTCAAAGAGAAAAAAAAAAAAAAGAAAGCTATGCAGTTAGGTAGTTAGCTATTGAGGCAACCTACTGCTACTAGAACAATGAAGTATAGACAAATAAGATGAAGTTAACTTAGCCGAAGTTAACTTAGCCGTAAACATAATCTAGCTGTTTCTCTGATATTCTTTCCCTTTAGGGAAAACAAATAGTAAAATAAATCAGTGTTCTTTTGTAATATCACTTGGCATAACTTATTATTTATTGTAGGTGTCCTATAATGAAGAGGAAACTCAGAATTTCAAAAGGAAATAAATCAGAGGCATTATTCGTATTTCAAAAGGAGTCTTCATGTAATGTTTGTGTTCTTTAATGCATCTGAGATGTTTGATTGAGATGCTTTATAAAGCAAGATATGCTTATACGTATGTTTTAGCCATTAGAAAAACAAAGTTTACCAAAAAAATAGGTTGAGCATCCCTAATTCAAAAATTCAAAATCTATAATGTACCAAAATTGAAAACTTTTTGAGCACCAACATGATGCTCAAAGGAAATGCTCGTTGAAGCATTCAGGATTTCTGATTTTTGGATGAGAGATGCTCTACTGGGTAAGTATAGCAAATATTTCAAAATCTGAAATCCCAAACACTTCTCGTCCCTAACATTTTGCATAAGGGGTACTAACCTGTTTAGTATACTTCAAAGAAGTGATAATTTTATTATTACATCTTTAAATCACATGGTTAATGTGTTAGTATTTGGTCTATTTGGAACTTTTCTCAAAAGCAAACAAAAATAATGTGCTATTGAGCTATTTTGAAAATAAGTTCTTAAGCAGAGGTATTGATTTTTATCCTTTGTGAATTCCTTGATTTTCAAAGATACATTCATTCATTTGTTCATTCATTCATTGATTCCAAATTGTTCTTTATTAGTGTTACATTGCAGGACTGAGAAAGATTAAACAATTGAACTCATGAAATAATAAAGATTTGTAATAGAGCATGAGTCAAAATGTTAAAATAGTCTACTTTTTCTAAAGCTTGAGTAGAATACGATGATGCCACATTGTAGTGTTTACCTTTAACAAAGGTGTGAAAAGAAGGGGGAAAAACAACAGAAGCTATATGAAGAGGTGTTTTGTCATGTTGAAGCATGCAGGCTGTGCCTTATGAATTTTTAAGAGACATCCGCTTCCCATAAAGGATTCTCAAGATTGTAGGGGTATCATTACAATGGGTGGGATTGAGAATGGTGTGTCAATTTCAAAAATGGATTTTAAAAAAAATCTTGACGTTGGAAGAGGTGCAAAGAATAGATGTTTTATAATTGTTTGCTCTACCTTTTTTCCTGAATATCAGCATTGGGACATTCAGTTGGAGTGGAGTGGGTGGAGAGGAAGGAAGTGACAGATGTGCTACATCCACACGTTAAAGAAACTTACAGTGTCTGAGCAGCAGCAGAATCTAGAAAGCACAAGAATCCAAAACCTCAAAACTTCCCCAGCCTGAGGATATTATAGTTCTGTGTGGTTCTGTGGAAAAATGTAGTTGCGTTCCATCACCGGATATAATGTAACAGTAGTAGTCATGGTAGCAGCTAACATTTATGTGCAAGATGCTATGCTAAGTATCTCAGATTATTATCTTTTTCAGTCTTCACTAGAACTCTATAAAGTGGGCACCCTGAAAAAGAACTGTTTGTTTTTTAAATAACAGAAGTTTTTTCTCTAACAAGTGGAGTAGATTTAGGTCATCACATAAATGGAGTCTTTTATATTACTTTGCCAGAGAAATACATCCGTTCATGCCTTTCTTCACTGGCTTTATCAGAGTAACAGGGAGTTTAGTTCCATAAAAAGTCAACAAAGAAATCCAGAGGGCTGACCTACCAGTAAGATCAGAGATTATTAACTAGTACTATGAGGGCTGATTCTGGTCTTCAGGTGGGTTTTGTTTCACCAGGATCATTTTTGAAAGAACTGAATTGGGACGCCTTGCAGAGAGGCATGTGCTGTCTAACTGGGCCTAGTTCTCCACTCCCTAGGGAGTTAATAGTCAGCAGCATTTACACATTCTTGTGACCTGTCTGGCCTTGTAGGTATTTAGGTCCTGACTGCCGATACTTGCACTTTCTGTATAACTTGAAGTGCATCTCAGTACTTGGGTCAGCCCATATCTCTTCATTGACCCAGTTGATTTTATGTCATTCAGTGTCCAGCTGTATTAACACTTTAGCTGCCTATAAGAGACTGTAGGTGGTTGAGCTGAGTGTGAGAGTATAACTTCCCTAAGTGCTCATTTGAAAACTTTATTTCTGTGTAAAGATCACTCCGGAGGGCTAGATTATATGTCCCTGTCAACTTTCTACTGCAGAGCCATGGCTCAAATTATTCAGATTTCCTCTCTTTATTGCTCACAATATCTGTCTCATCTCTGATTACCCATAAAAGGTTCATGCATAGAAAGAGTACCAAGCGTCTTATAGGCCAATAAAGACATCATTCAAATCTTAAACAAACACAGCCTATTTGAGAAAGAGCCCTTTGCCTTATATCAAGACAGACCAGAATGATAGAGTTTTATATCTAAATATGAGACCCCACATATCAATAAATCACAGAGACCAGTTGCTTTGTTTTACAGATGAAGAAACTGAGAAACAGACAGATAAAGGGACTCTGCCCATAGTCACACAGCTGTTTAGTGACAAGCCTGGCTCTTAAGGTGGTTCTGGAATGGTTTTAGGTGAACCAAGCATGCTGACATGGGAGAGCCCATAGATAGGATTTATTTAAACGTTCAAAAAGTCTTTGCCAATCCTCCCCTCCCCTCCCCTTAGCTGTAACAGCTAAGACACACTGTGGAATTGGAAGGGATGAGTTTTGTCAAAGAGAAGGAAGTAGTTCAGACAGAAGAAACAAAGGGTAGAGGGAAACAGGCACTTCTTTGAGTGAGTCCTTTAAATAGCGAGCATTATGTAGAGAGTGGAACTAAAATGGGTTTTATTTAACGTCTTTATCAGTGATCTCCAGCCCTGGGCACATAGTGAAAGTGCCAAGCTTTCAGATGACACTGAGTCCTTTAGAAGGGTGGAAAATTGAGACATTGCAAGTAAACAGTAGAAAGGTGTCAGCAGGTGTCAAGTTACCAGGTGTGACTCAAATAATGATACTGCTTTCTGGTGTACTTTGTAAAAGCAGAGGAGGCGTAATCATAGCGGGACATGTTGCAACATGTTTCGGTTTACAGCCTCCTAACTCTCAAGGTCAGCTCGTCAATCTTGTGCTTGCAGCTGGGGAGAGTGAGTAGACATTTCGCCTGACGTTTGCTGCCAGCATAAAAATGAGTTACCGTTATTCAGAGCAAATCCCAGCAACTTTGACGTAAGTTTAACTGAAATGCGAGTTAGACACATGGTCCTTTAGTAGAAAATCACAGAGATGAAGCAATGTTGGAAGCAAATGCTTTTGACCAGCATAAATGTTTTGAAGAAGGTAGAAAAGATAGATGTTTATGACAGTGACTAATGTGAGAAACCCATAGGTCTAACTAAGGAAAACATGAAAAAGGTCGGTAATTTGGATCCTTGAAATAAAATGGCCAACTGTGAAAAGATAGCTACTGATGAGGATACTGATGGAAAATTTGAAGCAAGTTATGTATCTGCTAGAGCTCTGTATGTTTTGAATGATTGTTGGAATCAGCAAAGAACTAGTATTTTTTGGTTTAATCTTCAAGGAAAATAATAGCTGGAAATAAAACAATAAAAAAAACACTACAAAGGAGAACATACATTAATGTGGGAAGTAGGGGGAAAAAAAGGAAAAAGAAGGAGAACAGACTTGAAGACCTCACTCTCTGGTGTTTGTTTCTTGGTCAGGCTCTGTAAACTCCCCAAAATTAAGTTCTTGTGTTTAGAATCAGGAGATGATGCTAGCATAGCTATTGTAAGGATGAGTTCAGAAAGCATTTGCCATTGTGCTTAGCATATAGTAGGTCTTCAAATAATATTTGTTTTTTTTAAATGAAAAGATATACTAGAAGGTAGCAGGAAACTGCTGCATCCCTCAGAGAGCTGTGCTGGTATCAGTCACCTGGCAGAAGATTCTCTGTGACCCACACTAACCAGAAACATAGGGGAAGAACATTCTGGGAAATGGAGTGCAGCCTAGTCAGGTTGAGACATTACAATGCCACTGTGAGGCTTCGTACATTATTAATGATTAGTAAAACCCAAATCACTGTAAACCATACCCTACTAGAAACTCTACTGAGTACAAATTTTGTACTGACTGGCGATTTCCAAAATTCAGAATTACTCCCTCAAAACAAATGATTTGATATTATTGAAGATAACTTCAAATTTGTCCCTAATTCCCTCAGGCAATTCCCAAAAGTGGAATTGCAAACAATAATTTAAGCAAACATTTTGTGTTATTATCATAGACATGTATTCCCAGGGAGGTTCCCCACCCTCATTCCAGTCCCATATGAGGGAGCAGATCTGCTGCAGAGGACGCGGCCTGGTGCTTTGTCCTGTGCCGAGTGTAGGAAGGCTAAGGTTATCAGGCCCGAGCAAGGAGACAGGATAAAGCGGGCCTTGCCTCACAGCTTCCCAGATGGTCAGAGCAGCTGTTCAGAACAGGGAAGCCAGGTTGGCTGCCACAGGACGGGCCAGGCTGACCCAATGGTAATCTCACAGTACTTGTAACTTGAAGAGACTGTAGTCTGAAAAGATAAACAGATTCCAGTGAAAGATTATTTAAAGAGATGATAGACTCCTGATGAGTGACAGTTATTTAAAAAATAAAAATAAGACATTGGGAGCCTGTTGGTTCTTTGAGTGTGGTCTTCACACTACGTGCATCAGTATTGCCTATGGCATTTTAAAAAATATGTAGGTTATTGTACCCCAGTCCTGACTCCCTGAATCAAAATCTGTTTTTGATCATTGCCATGGGTGATTCTTATCATTTAAGTTTGGTTAAATGGAAGACAACTGTATCCTGATGTCTTTTCAGCTGTAGCTGGTCTTTTCTGTTAGTAGATGGATGTTGGAGAATCTCAGGGGGGATTTTGGGGAACTGGGAAGGAATTAAAGAGTTGCAAAGCTTAAAACATTTGGTTCAGGCTGAGGAATTTAGAGAATAGATGGCGTGGTCTTATTTAGTAGAAAAATTGTGGGCGTCTTCCTGGGGATCCTAGAAGGAACAGAATGGAGAATCCAAGGTTCTTCTGTAGCAATTTTGTACAGTTTGATTGTATTTCCTCTCTTTCAGAATATTTTAGCCTTCTAGGTAGTTCAACTTCTGTAATGCACAATAGATTATGCATAATATAATGAGTAATACATCTCCTAAATAGGTTTAGGGGATATATTAAATACTATTTATTGCATAAGAATTTAGCCTTTTGTGCATCCTTTATTTATTATTAAATTTATTATTCCTATAAGAATAATAAAAACTGGCCTGAATTATACTACTCTAGGACCCTAAAACCTTAAACACAACTTCCCACTGTTTCTGCAGGCTTTGAAGTTACAGATTGAATTTTAATTTTTAAAGTGAGAATTTTGCAAAACTGAGAATTCTACATATGGATTTCAGTAATTCTTTTGCCACTGTCTGATTTATTGATATTTACTGCATTTAGGTAAGTGTAAGATGAAATAATAGGTAAATTAAGAAAAAAATAAAATAATTTCAGCCAAATAAAATTCAAGGTTGTGAAAACATTATTTCTTTCCATTATCAGTTATTTGAAAAAATATTATTTCTGGCACTGGTTCATGAAATACTTGATTTCAACTACCAACTAGAAGTACACTATATTTAAGTAAAAAAAAAAAAAAATACAGAGAGGCTTGGTTCTAGATAGCAGTTATCTTAATTTTCCAGACATCTGTGACTACTTCCTTACTATATACATTGAGAGATTTTGTGTGTTGCATTTGCATGCATACAAGCACACCCATGATTTTGTGATGTGCTGACTCTTGTTAAGAGTACTTGAAAAGCATTATCCTGAGAGCTAATATTCTGACAAACCTTTTTTTTTTTTTTTTTTTTTTTTTTTTGAGACGGAGTCTTTCTCTGTCGCCCAGGCTGGAGTGCAATGGTGCGATCTCGGCTCACTGCAACCTCCGCCTCCCGGGTTCAAGTGATTCTCCTGCCTCAGCCTCCCCAGTAGCTGGGATTACAGGCGCCCACCACCATGCCCAGCTAATTTTTTTAGAGAAGGGGTTTCACCATGTTGGCCAGCTGGTCTTGAACTCCTGACCTCAGGTGATCTGCCCGCCTCAGCCTCCCAAAGTGCTGGGATTACAGGCATGAGCCACTGTACCCAGCCCTAACTGTCTTTAACCAAAAATCTCACACTTACTTGAAAAAATATGGTTTCAAAATATTTTATCCACCACAAGTTGGCAAATGGCAGGTAAAAGAAAACTGTATTTTTTTTTAACTTTATTTTAGATACAGGGGTATACGTGTGGGTTTGTTATATAGGTAAATTGTGTGTCACGGGAGTTTAGTGTACAGATTATTTCATCACCCGGGCAATAAGCATAGCACCTGATAAGTAGTTTTTCAATCCTTACCCTCCTCTCACCCTCCATCCTCAAGTAGGCCCTGGTGTTTGTTATTCCCTTCTTTGTGCCCATGTGTTCTAGATGTTTAGCTCCCACTTAAAAGTGAGAACATGCGGTATTTGGTTTTCTGTTCCTATGTTAGCTCACTTAGGATAATGACCTCCACCTGCATCCATGTTGCTGCAGAGGACATGATCTTGTCATTTTTTGTGGCTGCATAGTATTCCATGGTGTATATGTAACATATTTTCTTTATCCAGTCTACCACCGATGGATATTTAGGTTGATTCCATGTCTTTGCTATTGTGAATGGTGCTGCAGTGAACGTACATGTGCATGTGTCTTTATAATGGAATGATTTATATTGCTTTGGGTATATACCCCATAATGAGATTGCTGGGTCGAATGGAAATTCTGCCTTAAGTTCTTTGAGAAATCGCCAAACTGCTTTCTACCATGGCTGATTTACCATGACTAATTTACATTCCCACCAGCAGTGTATAAGCATTCCCTTTTCTCAGTTATTTTTTGACTTTTTAATAATAGCCATTCTGACTGATGTAAGGTGGTGTATACCTCATGGTGGTTTTGATTTGCATTTCTGTAATGATTAGTGGTGATGAGCATTTTTTCTTATGCTTGTTGGCCACATATATGTCTTCTTCTGAAAAGTATTCATGTCCTTTGCCCACTTTTTAATGGGATTGTTTGTTTTTTCCTTGTTAATTTGAAAATCTATATTGTTTACACCCAGTTCACTGAATACTTTTTTTTTTAAAGGGTTTCATGAACTATTTAACCATTATACTCTAAAGCAGGCATTTTTCCTTTCTGGTTTAAAATGATTATTTTCTAATTTAGGACATTGTATAATTATAACATAATTATAACTAGAATATGATTAGAACTTCATTTAAAGCTTTGAACATCTAAAGAAGAATGGTGGGTTGAATTACGGATATTGTTGCCTGTTGCTCTGTGATACTTGCATTTTATCTCAACACACACACACACACACGCACACACACACACAGCAGACACACTACCGGACTGAACCATTTTACTTCTTTTCATCCTGGCCCAATATATAAATAATTGATTAGAGAGCATTAAAGTAGGTGAGGGGGAATCAATTTCACTTTTGATAACGGGAATGAAGTACTCCTATATTTTTAATTGTCTAGATCAAGTTTGTGCAACCCGCAGCCTGCGGGCCACATGCAGCCTAGGATGGCTTTGAATGCAGCCCAATACAAATTCACATGGGCATTGTACAGATTCTCCTCTTGTGGCTTTCACTTAAGAAACAGAATTTTGTAAGGATAAGGGCGTTACAAATCATCAAATTGAATCCCTCTTTCAAGAAACCAGTCTCATAGTCACATGATTATTGACCAGGGCAAAGAAGTCCAGGCATGTGCTTTTGGAATGGCATCCTGTGCCACATCCTCCACTAAACATGTTTCGCCGTGGGTCCCTCTCCCACCCTGTGTGCAGCCCAAAGACCGACTCCCTATTCTGCTCTCGGTTCTTCCACCTTTTCTCTGGGTCCTCAACACTTCATCCAGGGCGACTCCAATTTCATGTAATTTTCAAATATCTTTAATATCTGCTTCTCATAGATTCCTTGCTTTTGATTTCCAACCACACTTTGCTTTTTCTATATTAAAAATTAACCACAAAATA